>NC_000004.12:14947916-15572916 GCF_000001405.40 Homo sapiens
ATATTTATCAGAGTGCCAAACAAGCAGAAGGTCCTCAAAAAATAACAACAAAAGCAAAACAAAAAAAAAATGATGACAGCAATTGCCATCCTGACTGGCATGAGATGGTATCTCATTGTGGTTTTGATTTGCATTTCTCTAATGACCAGTGATGTTGGGCTTTTTTTTTTCATATGTTTGTTGGCCGCATGAATGTCTTCTTTTGAGAACTGTCAGTTTATGTCCTTTGCCCAGTTTTCAATGGGGTTGTTTTTTCTTGTAAATTTGTTTAAGTTCCTTGTAGATTCTGGATGTGAAATCTTTGTCAGATGGATAGATTGCAAAAATTTTCTCCTACTCTGTAGGTTGCCTGTTCACTCTGATGATAGTTTCTTTCACTGTGCAGAAGCTTTTTAGTTTAATTAGATCCCATTTGTCAATTTTTGCTTTTGTTGCAATTGCTTTCGGCAATTTCGTCATGAAGTCTTTGCCCGTACATATGTCCTGAATGGTATTGCCTAGAAAAATAGCTAATGCATGCTAGGCTTAATACCTAGGTGACAGATTGATAGGTGCAGCAAACCACCATAGCACACGTTTACCTATGTAACAAACCTGCACATCCTGCACATGTACCCCAGAACTTAAGATAAAAATTAAAGAAAAATCATGACAACAACAGAAAAACAGGCACCTATATTTGTGTAAATTAGACCATTATCATGATGTTTCCTTGAGGGGCCAAGTATATTTTTTAAATAATTTTATCAATTTTTGTAAAGTAGTACATATTTACTGTAGAAATGGTGAATCATACCTACAAATAGTTTTTAAATGAAACTTACCTAGAATCCTGTCTCCCAGACAATCACTGCTGACATTTTAGCTATATATTCTTCAAATCTTTCTTTACTTCCTCCCTTCTTTCCCTCCCTCCCCCCTCCCTTCTCTCTCTCTCTCTCTCTCTCTCTCTCTCTCTCTCTCTCTCTCTCTCTCTGTCTCCCTCTCTCTGTCTCTCTCTCGCTGGAGTGCAGTGGTGAGATCATAGCTCACTGCATGCAACCTCCATCCCTTGGGCTCAAGCGATTCTCCCACCTCAGGATCACAGGCGTGCACCACAGTGCTCTGCTAATTTCTGTATTTTCTGTAGAGACAGGGTTTCGCCATGTTTCCCAGACTGGTCTCGAACTCCTGGGCTCAGATGATCCACCTGCCTCAGCCTGCCAAAGTGCCAGGACTACAGGCATGACCTACTTCTTCCAGCCCTTCAAGTCTTTTTAACATATGTATCTGCATGTATGGTGTTTTATCTGTCATTACATTAACAATGTCATCCAAATTCTTAAAGAACATGATTTCTAAAAGCTGTATTTCCTTTTTCTGAGCTCTTATTGATGTTCTGTTGAATTGATTCACATATTTACAACTATTAACAATCATAATATTATTAATAAATTTGGGGGGATTATTTCCATGGGTAAAATTCCTAAATGGAATTAATGAGTGAAATGAAAATCATTGACATTTTTGATACATTTTGCCAAATTTTCTTCCCCCCAAAATTTGCTAATTTACACTAAAATCAGCAGTGTATGACTGCCTATTTCCTTAACTCCTAATGAAAGATTGAATTATAGTGCAGAAAAAAACAGCACAAATACCATTGTGGTAAACAAACAAAAAGTCTTACTATATTTTATTTTTTGTAATATGTAATAATAAAGTTTAATATCAATGTTTTAACAATAATGACTTCATTATATGTGTTAAAATGTATACTGTTATATATTTTTTCAAATACAGATTAAAAATTCCACCACCCAGTCATAGTGTTCGTCAACTCTTTCTTCATACAATTTCAGACATCTCTCTATGGATAAGAAGATGTCAGAACAGGTATGAAGTTAGGGAGGAAAAGGGGGAAGAAGGGTGAAAGAAGACCTTATTAGAGATACAGTGTATCCTCCTTGTTTGTGGATTCCATATTTGTGAATTTGCCTACATGCTAAAATTTGTTTGTAATCCCAAAATCAATACTACTGGAGCTTTTGTGGCCATTCACAGATATGCACACAGTAGCAGAAATTTGAGTCACCTGACAAACACATTCCCAGCTAAGTCAAACCAGGTGATATTCTGCCATTTGGTTTCAGCACTCATACTGTAAATAAGTGTCCTTTGCACAGTCTATTTTGTGCCATGTAATTCCCATTATTGTGCTTCGTGTTGGTGATTTTACTGGTTACGGTGGCTTCGAAGCATAATGCTGAAGTTCCACCTAGTTTTCCAAAGTGCAAGAAGCTATGATGTGAGAAAATACAAGTGTTAGATAAGCTCAATTCAGTCATGAATTATAATGCCGTCAGTCACGGGTTCAATTTAAATGAATCAACAATATATATTAAATAAGGTGCCTTTAAACAGAAACACACATAAAACACACAATTTTGTAATGATCAGTTAATGAAGATGCTGTGATCAGAGGCTCAAAGGAACCTAACCTGAAACATAATTTCCCCCAGGAACAATGGTTGAGTATTCTCTAATTCAGTTTTCCTAGCGACTTTATAGAACACACCAACCATAAATTCTTGAATCTACTGTACTTTAGAAAACTTAGAAATATAAATTTTAATGGATTGTACTATAAATGCTACCATTAATAAAAGTATTAAATGGCATTTATTTGAATTTACAGTAAAGTATAAATCATGTAGAATTAAATTGCTAAAAACCATTCAATTTTCTTCCCAACAAGAAATATCAATTCTTAAATGACCCCTCTAGGTTGCTAAATTTAAAGACATGAATATGGTTGTGAATTTACTAAGAGGCTGGGGTCATTATGTTTTTAAACTATGCTTCAAATTTATATACCATTCATGGATTATTTGACATGAGAATATTAGAATACTTATACTTCCCAACAGACACATCTTCTCTCTACCCCATCCTGAATTTGTTAAATTATTACCATGACATTGTGAAAGCTTATGCCATTTGCATTTGAAGATGTGAACATAAATTCAATAGTTTTTCAGATTTGCTCTACTTTTAAGCTGATTTCCATACTCATCATCAGTGCTTTGACTGCAATTTCTCCATTCCTGAGTTACAACTTTGCAATTATTCTTACTATAAATGATTATTGGAATAGAACTATATTGTTATCTATAGGATGGATGGACACACCTTTGCAACACATACTACACACACACACACACACACACACACACACACACACACACCAGAAACCACCCCCAACCCAGGGACCCACTTGCAAGGTACAAATTGGAAGAGACGAAACAACTGCCATTAATGGAAAACCAAACATCATATGTTCTCACTAAGAAGAGGGAGCTAAACTATGAGGATGCAAAGGTATGACACAGTGAACTTTGGGGACTCACAGGGAAAGGGTGGGAAGAAGGTAAAGAATAAAGACTACAAATTGGGTTCAGTGTATACTGCACAGGTGATGGATGCACGAAAATCTCACAGATCACCACTAAAGAAATTACTCATGTAACCAAATACCACCTGTTCCCCAAAGACATATGGAAATAAAAAATTAAAAAACAAAAGAAACAACTGCCTTCCTGTGTGTCATTGATTCTAAGACACATTTTTTTTTCATATTTTATTCTCTTGGAAAATGAGGTGTGCTTTACAATTGATATCATGTCAGAATTTAATTGGCAGTAGTTTTTGTTTCTTAGTTAAAAAAATTAAAAAATCATATTGCATCTTACAATTGATGGCATCTTTGATTTAACAGGATACAGTGGCATAGATCTAAAGGGACAGCCCATGGAGGACATTGGGAGAGCTGTGGATGTGTGGCAGGAATGGAAGAAGTTTGGGTAACTGGGGCAGAAAATGGCAAAGGTGACTGAGTAGGAGGATTCACAGTCAGAGACTGGGAATACCTTAGTCAAAAGATTGTACAAAGGTCAACTTGTCCATTATCATCATCCTCAAATATTTGAAAGGCTGTCATGTGGAAGAAGAAAACATACTTGTTTTGTATGGCTCCTGAGGACAGAATGAGGGCCAGCAAGTCAAGCAAATGATGCTGCGTGGGGATCAAGAAACTCCGAATTTTAGAAATTTGAACTGGCCAGCAATTGGATAAACTTTCTTGTGAGAAAGTGAAATTTATAGAAAGGAGTCAAGAAGAGGCATATGGCTTTAGAGGGTGTCCCTGCCTTAAGTTTGAGGTTTAACAAAGCAACTTCTCTCCGTTTTGAGATTCCTATACTCTAAAAATTCATACCCATTTTAGCCTCCACCAGAAAATAACTTAGGTAAATAATCACAAAGAAGAATAGAGAAATGTGTAGGAAGATGTTAATTGTAGAGGAAGAAAGAGTCAATCAATACATCCATTCATAGGGAAATGTTTCAATAACCACTAAAATCTGATGAAATATAACACAGCTGTTGGAAATGACCATTATGAAGACCATGTACTGGCAAGGAAAGCTGTGTCTGAAAGTCTTGAGAAAATATGACACAAAATTACATCTTTACTGATTATATGTAAAAATATGTAATTTTCTGCATATGGAAAAAACTAGATAGAAATATGGAAGTGAAAACAGGTGATGTTTTTGACTGGCAGAATTCTGGGTTAGTCTTTTTCTCTTTCATTTTAAATTTTGACTATTATTGTGGTTAGCAATTTCAGCAACCCTTGTTGTGGGGGAAGTTAGTTTGTCTTATTTGAGGGATACCAACTGGGACATCTCTGATATGAATAACATGTGCTGTAAACTCCTGGTGCTCATTCCTGAAACACAAAAGATATTTTAAGTTGTTTGGACCTCATTACCTAATAAATAGACCTGTTGGGTGTTTATTTTAGACTAGGGGCCTCATCAAAACATTACTGAGACAATAAAGGCAATGTGAACCAAGGCAATTTTGGAAACCTTTGACATAGCCCCTACACTCAAATAACTCATCATTAGTCTCAAAAGCCAGATCATAAATAAATGAAACTAGCAAAATAGGTCATATAATCTGGATGAGTACAAAATGAGAAGGGAGAATTGGAGTGGGAGAAGAGGGGAAGACAAGTAATTTTGACTGCATGGAAGGCATCAAAAAAAGCTGCACAGGAAGCATGATTTTTAATACTGGTTGTTTTATTTCATCTAAATAATAAATGTTCTTTAAATAAACTAGATTATACTGAGAAAATGGTAATCTTCTGCCCCAGTCACCATCAAAACCCCAGTCCTGCTCCCCAGAGCCAACCTCTTTCAATTGTTGTACCTACTTCTCCTGGTAATTGTTTCCCTATCTTCAAAATAAGATGCTTACACTGCTAAATCTTGTTTTATAAATTTTCAGCCTTTTGTAGTGACTTCCTGTTATAGAACTTAAGGGGTTAGCTTTCTTATGCCATCCTCAACCCACATCCCTCAATTTAATTATATATCAAATACTGGGTGCATCATTATGACTATATAAATGTTGTTTATTACTAAACCATGTAATGTACCATAATTACTTATTCCTTCTCCTAGAACTTATTGTTTTTCCTCGGATTCTTAATACATCCTGGTTTCTGTTAATTTTTTAAATGTACTTACTATTACTTTTGTCCTAAATGCCCCAACGGATCTTTTAAAATCTATCGGTAATTTTTGCACTTGCTGGGCTACAGTTTCAAACACTCTATACGTTTCTGCCTCCTGCCCTCCCTTCTTCGACCCACCCATCCTGCACCCTCTCTCCCACGGCCTACAGTTCTTCTGCTCCTATTGTGGACCCTTTGATCTCCGGGCCAGCTACCTGGCTTTCATGCTAAGCCTTCTTTTCTTCACCCTCCTCCACCCCAGGCATTACATGGCCTGGTTTTTTAATACCATGTCTTTCTCTTCCTTGATTGACTCCCTCATTTTATAAAGAACATTCTTCATTTGCTTCTTAAGAAAAGATGTGTAGTGGGCAAAACGTTTGAGCCTTTCATGTCAGAAAATGTCTGTATACTACTGTGTACCCTCAATCGATAATTTGGCTTAGTATAGAATAGTAGATTGAAAATAATTATCCCTCCAAGTTTTGAAAATATTTCTCTTTTGTTCTAGCATTCAGTGTTGCTGAATGCTAGAACATTCAGAAGCCATTCTGAATTTCCTCTCTCTCTCTCTCTCTCCCTCCCTCCCTCCCTCCCTCCCTCTTTCATCTCAAGTAACTCTTCTAGGGTCTTCTTGTGTATAGTGTGCTGAGTAATTAGGGAACCCGTCAGTGTAGAAGCTCACGTATTTCAGCTGTAAGAGATATTCCTACATTATTCATTTGATTATCTTATCCTTTCCTTTTTCTCTATCTTCTCTTTCTGAAACTCCTAATGTTTAGAGGTGAAGCTTCCTAGATTGAGATTCTAATTTTCTTTCCTTCCTTCTTATTCATCATTATTCCTCTTGTTTTTCAACAAAGTTATTTTCCAAAATTGTATGCACTTTTAAATTTATTTTCTGGGATATGAAATAAAAATATTTTCCCCAAGAGCTCTTTATTGCTCTGATGTTTCTTTTTCCCAAGCTTCCTGTTGTTATTCTAAAGATGCAACAAATTTTCTTGTATTTCTGAAGTTATTAGTGGCAGCTTTTTGAAAATTTTCCTTTGTTCCCAACATTGTCTCTATTTCACTGAATTCCTTTTCCTTGTTGTTTTGTTGATTTGTTTCTTTCATTGGCTGGTTGATATTGTGCGTGTTTTCAGCTCTTTCATGTGGAAAGCCTTCCTCAAAATATCCAGTTATCCTGGATTGTCCGCTTGTTTTTTCAGAGTGAAGCATCAAGTGTTTCATCTGAAGCACTGTAAGCATGGGCAGATACTTAATTGCTGGGTTTTACTCGGGGTAATGAAAGGGCAAGCCATCCTTCCTGATGGAGAGCTCCACATGTCTGTGTCTAAAAATCTCTCTGGGCCCACTTCATTTCTACACAAAATGACCTTCCAATCTGCTGCTGTAGAAGGTGAAGAATAGGACATATGTCTGGCTGCTGGCCTTCTAAAGCAATGGGGGAAGGCTGCTGAGGGTCTCCGAATTTGTTGTATACGTTTTCTTTAATCCCATGCCACACTACCTTGCTCTCCCCAGATGTTGGTGTCCCTGAGACCACACTCCCACTAGTTTATTCTCCAAAGAATGATTTTTCTCCAGCATGATAGTAAAGGCAAGGATGTAACATCTGAAGCTGGGTAATTCAGAAAGAAAAGAGGTTTATTTGTCTCATCATTCTGCAGACTTCACAAGCAAAGTAACAGCATCTGCTTAGCTTCTGGTTGGCAGCCTCAGGAAGCTTACAATCATAGCAAAATGTGAAAAGGAGCCAGTGTGTCTCATGGCAAGAGAAGGAACAAAACATATCAGAGGTGGTTTGTTTAAGTGAGAACAACAATAACAAAGCAACAAAAATTCAGACTATCTTAAATAATAAGGAAATACATTTGGCTCAGGAAAAAAGAAACCTAGAAACCAGCTAGACTTGAGGATTTATTAACCTGAAGACTATAACTCAGTTTCTCCATAGTTTTTTGATTGACCCTTACTCAGTGTATTTACTTCCCTCTGACATCCAGTGGTTTGTTTTTCAGTTATAGGAAATGTCTGACTTAGAACCCTAAGAATTTCTCCCTCTTGTGTCTCTGGCCTGAGCTTGATCGATTCATGAATGGAGTCCAGGGGCCTAGCAAGTGCTAACTGTCTTAGACCTGGATTCCTGAATCGCTATGCCAGTTTTGGATGAATTAGCTCCAAACCACTTGCATGAACCTCCAGAGCTGAAGATGGAGGCAGGGTTCCTGAAATCAAGGGTGACAGAAGGAGATGCATCATTAAATGAACACTGGGATAGTTTACTTAGGGCAAATACAATAATGGGTATATAAACAGCAATATCCACTGCACTCACAATAAAATAAAAAATAATACAAACGTTCTGATGCAATGTAATAGTCTTATAGTGTTATTTTATAGTCTATATAGCTCTATAGACTATATAATAACACATAGTACTGCTATATTATAAATAACAAGATAAAGCTGAAGAGATAATAAAGGTAAAATGGTGAGAGGAGAACAATGGGAAAATTACTAGATAGACTCTGAACAGTAAAAGCCCCAACAAATTGATTAAAAATAAAATGGTAGGCTGGGTGCGGTGTCTCACGCCTGCAATCCCAGCACTTTGGGAGGCTGAGGTGGGTGGATCACGAAGTCAGGAGATCAAGACCATCCTGGCTAACATGGTGAAACCCCATCTGTACTAAATATACAAAAAAATTAGCCAGGCATGGTGGCGGGCACCTGTGGTCCCAGCTACTCGGGGGGCTGAGGCAGAAGAATGGCATGAACCCGAGAGGCAGAGCTTGCAGTGAGCAGAGATCACGCCACTGGACTCCAGCCTGGATGACAGAGCAAGACTCCATCTCTAAATAAATAAATAAATAAATAAACAAACAAACAAACAGTAATTTTCTTTTGAGCCTCCTGGCAGCCAAAGCAAAGAAAGAAGAATGATCAGTTAAAGGGGCCACATTATACTTTGGAGGAATAAAGATATTTCTGATCCAGAGTCCTCAGATAAATCATTTTTCCCACAAGTCTTCCTAAAGGGGTCACTGCATGACAATGGAACTGTCAGTAGCATCCCTATGGTGTATGTAACGATGAATTTGAAAACATCTATCAACACTACCACAGATTTAATTTAGTTGCTCTGATATATTTGGTCCAAACCAAGACAATTCTCACATGCTCTGGATTAATCTAAGGATAAAATCTGGGGTGATAAGAGCCATGTCTCTCAAACTGGGGTAGAATTAGAACTACTGGGGACACAACAGGAGGTAAAAGTAGTACATATTCCTTGTGGTAGGAAGGAAATCATTTTGGTTTGGCCTTTTTCTTGATAGAAATAGATTTAAAAGATTACTTTTATATTTAAACCAACATAAATATATTACAGAGTAGAATATAAAAAGCATAAATGCTATGAAAAAGAGAGCATAAAACCTCAATGAAAGGATATCCCAGTTGTGTGGACAGCCTTGAGCTATATACCCAGTCCCCCAGAGGCGTCATCTCATGGTCTTCTACCTTTCAGGTTTGTTCAGGGGAAAGGTTTCAAGACACTTCCCTCTACACTTTCTTCATCTGGCCAACTCCTAGTCATCTCTGATAGCTCCTTGTACTCCTTTGATCATGCCACTCTGTACATTTTGTTGTAGTTATTTGTTTAAAATCTTCCTCCCTTAATAGAATGGCAAGAAATTGGCTACCTTGTCCTCCAGTTCCTGGTGCAGTGTCTGTTTTGGTACAAGAGGCCAATAAATTAATAAGTTAATGAACTAAAGACGTCTGATTGTTATGGGCCGAATTGTTTCCCCTCAAAATTAATATGTTGAAGTCCTAACTCCAGCACTTCAGAATGTGACCTTATGTGGAGTAGGGCCTTTAAAAAAGTAATCAAGCTAAAACAAGGTTATACAGGTGGCCTCAATAAAATATGACTGGTTTCCTTATAAGAAGTGGAGATTTGGACACAGAGACATGCAGAGAAGAAAGATCATATGAAGACATGACCAAGAAGAGAGCCTTGGAATAGACCTTCCCTCACAACCTTCAGAAGGAACCAGCTCTGCCCACACCTTGATCTCAGACTTTCAACCTCCAGAACTGCAAGACCATACATTTCTGTTGTTTCAGTTGCTCACTCTGTGGTACTTTGTTACACAACCCTAGAAAACTAATACACTGATCTTCAAATCCTTCAGACGGCCCTACCTCCCACGAATATAAATGTGAGCCTCTTTCCTTGCTCTCTTGCTCTCCATGCAATGGAATACATACTTCTTTCTCCACAGAAGGAGGAAGGAGGCCCTCAAATCCTTTACAATTTTAAGGCATTTTTTCCTTTAATATTATTATCCAGCAGCCTTCTACAATAGGCAGAAAAATCATGAAGATAGTTTGACTGGAGAGATGACAAATAAGTGCCATTTTAGTTTATAAGGAGAATTAAATTTTTGTGAACTAAACATTCTAATTGGTATCTTAAAATTTTTCATTAAAAAACAATCCTGGTTCATTGAGTTTACTTAGAAACTTTGGCTGTAGTTTACACTTAGAACAAATGGCTTTAATTTCATTATACACTACCAAATCAACCAAGTCATTGTACACGTAAACTTAACCTTCATGTCTTGCAAATATGTGTGTGTGTATTTTTTTCCTGGTGCTTTACTCTAATTTTTATTGTTTAAATTTTTTTCTTTATTGTTTCTCAGTAACTGAGTGTTCCCTAAACCAGACAGAGAAAAAAAAAGGAAAGACATTCTCAATCATGGGACTGAGGCTGTTAGATCCCAGAAATTGTTTTCCAAAGAGTAAATCAGAGTACTTTTCCACTTGAATCACAGTACTTTTCCAGGACTAGCTATAGGATGATCTTGGTACAAATTTATTTGTCGTGACAGAATAGAGAAAATTTAGTGCTATTATTTTCCACAAACCCTTTTGAACACTTTTGCAAGAATATCAAAATGCCAGGTGAACATTGTTTCACTTAACATGACCCAGTGTTAATAATTAAACAGGGCCAAGCATTCTGTAAATATTTAAAGCCCTACTAATATACACTTGGCATCATCTATGAAAAATTCGGGTACCTGCCACACATTTGGAATTCAGGTGTGAATTATAAAGTGCTCAACAAATTTAAAATAACAGAAGGCAAGCCACGGTCACTGCAGGCAGGAGCACTAAGGGTAAGGAGAAGGGCTAATTGACGTCCTAACAACAAATGAGGAAGCAGGAAACCCATAAAAACTGGTCACAAGCATATAAAACCCCAGCATTCATTTTTTATAGAAGCACTGAATATTAAGTGTGCCACAGGCCCCAAGACATTAATGTAATACAACCCAACAGAAGGAGACAAAGTCGCTGCAATGCTCCCTGGAAAGGCAAAGGGATCAGCAACCAGGCATTTGGAAGGCCCCCTGATTAGCCAGGCCACTTGGAAAAGTCATTTAATCTCTCAAAGCTGCTCTTTATCTACAAATAAAAATAATAATTCTGTCATTTCCTACTCTACAGGGTCATGGTGGGGATCAAAAGTAGAAAAGCTGCTGCATAGAATCACTGACTGGATTTCACACCTTGTTCCCTCCTCTCTCTTTTCTTGGCTTCCAGCACCCCACACACCGTCCTGTTTCCCTCTAATGCATTGGCTATTCCTGCTCATACTGCTATGCAGGTTCACTCTTTGATCCCCAAATTTTGGAGTACCCTAGACTTCAGTCCTTATCCTTTTTATCTGGTCTATCTGTAGTCTCTCTTTAGGTAATCTCAAGGTCCTATGTATGATTCCTTTTGCTGATCATTCCCACATTTTTATCTCCAATTTTAATCTTCCTTCTGAATTTCAGACTTACATATGTAACTGTAAACTTGACGTCTTCACTTGATGCCCGATAGGCAGCTCAAACGTTTTATGGCCAAAATAGGCCTATTGATTCTCCACAATCCAACCTCTTATTTTCATCAATCTCATCCTCTCAATTGCTCAAGCCAAAAAAAAAATCTAGGAGTTATCTTAGTTCTTCTCTGTCCTTCATCTCTCACATCCTATGCATCAGCAAGGACTGTCTCTGAAACAGATCTCAAATCTATCCATTTCTCTTCACCACTACTACCATTGCCCTTGTCCAAACCACCATCTTTGCTCATCTGAATGTCCACAGATGACTCTCAACTGGTCCTCATTTTCCTATTAGCCTAGGCAAACCTTTTTTTAACATTTATTATAGCCTTTATACAAACTTAATTTAGTGACATTGTATAAATAAATAATAAATATGTAAAAGATAGTGTTTTTAATTTAAAAATCCACCAAACAATTAAACATACATGTGTATGTAAAAAAATTAAAAATCAATAAAGGCCTAGAAGGATACACACAAAATCTATGATACATTTAACTTCTTCAAAAAAAAAAATTAGGATAAGGATGAAGGACAAAATGGGCTTGACTTTAACTCATAACATTCCCTTCTTTTAAAAAGCATAAGAACTTGGAGCAAACATGTCAGTATGTTAAATGTTGATTCTTGGTCAGATATTTTGATACTCTTCTCTGTAAACTTTTTCTGATTTTTTTCAAAATAAAAAAAGTAAACACAGAAAGGAGAAGATAGAAAACATAAAAAGGACAAGGGTAAAAGGAGGATAGAAAAAGTGTAAAAGGATAATGTCCCTGAGCTAAAAAAAAATGCGTTAAAACTTTAAATATAAAATGTATAAATATATATTTTATATATATACGTATATATACATATACGTATATATATACACATATATACATATAAATACATATATATAAATTTATATGTGTATATATACATATAAATACATATATAAAATGTATAAAAATATAAAATATAAAATAAATATTTAATTTTTAAATAAAAATATAAATATTCTCCACATGTACAGGTGGATAAGTATTTCAATTTTTTGAAAGAGGAACAAAAAGTCTTGCTCTATTTCTAACTGAAATCTTTCTATGTGTCTCCGCACTGTATAAAATCTTGAAAGTATAAATCAAATCATATAATCTATTTAGAGTCTTCCAATGGTGCAACACATTTAGAATCAAATTCAAATTCTTTACCATAATACACAAAGTCCCACCAAATCTGACCTCTAACCATCTCTCCAACTTCCTCTGGCCCCACCATCATCTAGGGGCCAGCCATACCACCTGTCTGTCAATCACAAGTTCTTCCTCACGTGAAGCCCTTCACAGTGGCACCTCATCTACCTGGATTGCACTTCTCCCAGAACTGAATTTGACTGGAAACTTCTTGTCATACGAGTCTTTTCAAATAAGACTGCATCAAGGAGACTTCTCTTGACCAACTGATCTAAAGAAGCCCCCTAACACTCTCAATTATATCACCCCATTATAATTCTCTTCATAACACTGACCACCATCTGATATTTTACCGTGTGTTTATTTATTGGTATTTCTTCATGCATCTTCTTCATCCCCCATCCTTCTCCCAGAACATAAACTCTGTGATTGCAGAGGCTATGTTATATCCTCAGGACCAAGAACTATCATGATCCTCTATAAAGGGTATATTTGTCTCTAGTGCAGCATAACAAATTACCATAATCTTAGTGGCTCCAAACAGCAACCATTTATTAGTCCTGGTCCTTTAGGTCAGAAGTCCATTCACAGCTTGGCTAGGGTCTATGATCTGATGAGAGCACTAAAGGCTGAAATCAAGGTGTTGACTAGGCTAAGTTCTTATCTGGCGGCTCTGGAAAAGAATCTGCTTCCAAGCTCATTCAGAGTATTAGCAAAATCCAGCTTCATTATACTATAAAACTAAGATCTCCATTTCCTTACTGACTGCCAGCCAAGGGTTCCTAGAGGCCACCCACACTCCATATCATCTGGGCCCCTCCATCTTCAGGCTGGCAATTGTGTGGAAAAACCTTCTTATGCTTTCCAATCTGACTTCCTCTTCTATTAACAGCTGGAAAACTCTGTTTTCAAGGACTCTTATGACTCAACAGTGCCCACTTGGATAACTTCCCTATTTTAATGTCAATTGTGCCATATAAAAAAATCCAATCACAAGAGCAAAGTCCACTGTATTAGTCAGGGTTCTCTAGAGGGACAGAACTAATAGGATAGATGTATTTATTTTATTTTATTTTATTTTATTTTATTTTATTTTATTTTACTTTATTTTGAGATGGAGTCTCACTTCTTTGCCCAAGCTGAGTGTAATGGTGCGATCTTGGCTTACTGAAACCTCCGCCTCCCGGGTTCAAGCAATTCTCCTGCCCCAGCCTCCCAAGTAGCTAGGATTGCAGGCATGTGCCAGAATACAGAGCTAATTTTTGGATTTTTAGTAGAGACGGTGTTTCACCATGTTGGCCAGGCTGGTCTCGAACTCTTGACCTCAAGTGATCTGCCTGCCACGGTTTCCCAAAGTACTGGGATTACAGGCATGAGCCACCACACCTGATAGGATAGATGTATTTAAAAAGGAGAGTTTATTCAGGAGTATTAACTTACACAGTCACAAGGTCCCACAATAAGCCATCTTCAAGCTGAGGAGCAAAAAAGTCAGTCCGAGTCCCAAAGCTGAAGAACTTGGGACTCTGATGTTCGAGGGCAGGAAACATCCAGCACAGGAGAAAGAGGTAGGCAGGGAGGCTAAGCCAGTCTGGTCTCTCATGTTCTTCTGCTTGCTTTTATTCTGATCATACTGGCAGCTGATTAGATAGTGCCCACACAGATTGAGAGTGGGTCTGCCTTTCCCAGTCCACTGACTCAAATGTTAATCTCCTTGGGCAACACCCTCACAGACACACTCAGGATCAATACTTTGCATCCTTCAATCCAATCAAGTTGACACTCAGTATTAACCATTACAATCCACCATATTCATTGTCCTGGGGATTATGAAAAATATGTGCAACAGTAAGCAGGAAATCTTAGGGCTTGTTTTAGAATGGCCTTTATCTATCTGCCTAAAAGAGAAGGTATTTTAGGCCTGGCGCAGTGGCTCACACCTGTAATCCCAGCACTTTGGGAGGCTGAGGTGGGTGGATCACCTGAGGCCAGGAGTTCGTGACCAGCCTGGCCAACATGGTGAAACCCCGCCTCTACTAAAAAAAATACAAAAATTAGCCAGGCGTGGTAGCACGCACCTGTAATCCCAGCTACTCAGGAGGCTGAGGCAGGAGAATTGCTTGAAACCGGGAGGCGGAGGTTGCAGTGAGCCGAGATGGCGCCACTGCACTCCAGCCTGGGTGACAGAGAGACTGTCTTAAAAAAAAAAGAAAAAGAAAAAGAGAGAGAGAGGGTATTTTATAAACATTGGTGAATGAAAAAAGAATGAGTAACAAAGTAGTTGTCTAAAATCACACATAATCTCACAAATGTTGGCATTAAAGTAATTTAATTCATAAAGAAGTCCTGTGACATCATGAAAAGCTTAAAGTAGGTCTGATTTGCCATGGTTAAGAAGAAAGTCCACAGAAGCAAGAATAGTTGGGAGTGAGGGGGTAGCTCAGAAATATAAACCCTGTTAGCTAATGCAGGCGGTTTAAAATAACAACAACACAGACTAATTGGTAAGGTTTGGTTTTCATTTGACTCAGCTACTTACGAGCTCTGACGTTGAGCAATTCATTTATATATCTAGTTCAGATTTCTTACTTCTTTTTTTTTTTTTTTTGAGACGGAGTCTCGCTCTGTCACCCGGGCTGGAGTGCAGTGGCGTGATCTCCACTCACTGCAAGCTCCGCCTCCCTGGTTCACACCATTCTCCTGCCTCAGCCTCCCGAGTAGCTGGGACTACAGGCGCCCGCCACTACGCCCGGCTAATTTTTTGTATTTTTAATAGAGACGGGGTTTCATCGTGTTAGCCAGGATGGTCTCGATCTCCTGACCTCGTGATCCGGCCGACTCGGCTTCCCAAAGTGCTGGGATTACAGGTGTGAGCCACCGCGCCCGGCCCGGATTTCTTCCTTCTTAAATGGGCAACCACTCCACAGGTGGTTGTGTGATTTAAATTATTGGATGCATGTTCATTATCTACTACATTATCCAGAGCATCGTAACTACTTGAAAATTGTCATCCATCACTCCGCAAAAATCAGTTATTTTGAATGACAATTCCCAGGTTTGCTTCACCCAGGCAGTCTTTCAGTGGATTTTTGCAGGGTAAGAGTGAAGAGGGTTGTGGTATATTCTAATGTCAGAAAATTAGTCAGAAATATATATTTCTGAATTGAAACTTATTAAATTAAATAATTCTTGGTGTATTACTTAAGAGCTATATTTCTTTCATTCTAAAAGAAAATAGCCTTATTGGGTTCCACAGAAAATATATATATTCTTAGAATTTGAATTGCCTGCTTTACTGACCATGAATATGGTGGATTCTGCTCTTGTGATTAGATTTTTTTATATGGCACAGTTGACCTTAAAATATGGAAATTATCCAAGTGGGTCCTGTTGAGTCACATGAGTCCTCTGAAAATAGAGTTTTCCAGCTGGTAATAGAAGAGAAATATATATTTCTGACTAATTTTCCAACATTGGAACATACCACCGACCCTTTTCACTCTTACCCCACAAAAATCCACTAAAAGACTTTGCCTGGATGAAGCAAATCTGGGAATTGTCATTTGAAATAGCTGATATATATATTTTTTTAATATATATATAATATAGATGTAATAATTATATATTTATAATATATATAATTAGTATCTATAATCATATAATATGTAATATATGATTATAGATATTAATTATATAATATATGGTCATATATATATATGTATATATATAATATCAATATTCTTCTTGCAAATGACCTGGACAACTTTCTGAACCTCAATTTGTAGGAAGTTGCCATACTGAAGACTAACAAATTCAGTGTAGTCAGCTTTCCTTTCACTGCTGGAAAGAAATTCTTATTTATTTAGCTAAGTATCATGCAAAGAAATTGAAGATAGTTTAATGAACATATTTTATCAAAAATACCTATCTTTAAATACTGCAATCTCAGCACAGCAAAGAGCTCCTAACCAAAGAGGCAACAGTGCAGTGGAAGTAAATCCCAGCTCTGCCACTTAATAGCTCTTTGGCACTGGACAAGTTAACATAATTTCTCTGTGCTTCAATGTTCTCATCTGCAAAATGGAAACAGTAGTTAATCATATGGCTGATGTAAACACCAAATAATTCAGTATAAATAAAATATTTAGAACATTGTCTGGCATAGAGTAAATGCCATAAATATTTACTGACTAAAATTAGGACTTTAAGGAACATAGAACCTGGCTGAGGGAACAAGGTACCTGCATCTCATGCTCATTCAGTGAACACTCCTAATTCGTAGATGGCACTATTTAAGTTGCTGTTTTCTCCACCACCACCACCACCCCATCTTTTTTTTTCAGATGAGCTGCTGTATCAATTCAGATTTTCTGAGAGGTAGGCACCAAAAAGGGATTAGATAAACAAGAGATTTGATGGGGAAAACACATATGAAAGATAAAGAAAAAGGGAGCAGGAGTGATGAGGAAGAGCTTTCAGATCATAACACAGATTGGATACTTATGCAAGGAGAGGGAGAAAGAAGGATTGGCCAGGAAAAGCTCAGACTACAGTGAAGTTCTAAGAAAATCTCAGCCAAACCAATAAGGAGTCAACAAGCAAACACAACACTGCCTGTTAGTGGAATCCCACATTGGGTAGAGAAGGAATGGACCCAGTGCCCCTGCCATACCCAGATGTTGGCTAGAAGAGTCTAGATGACGCACAGCATTGGCAGTTTCAAATGTGAAAGTCTAACAGCTGCCAACAGCTGTGCTTCCCACAAAAGGTCCTCTTAAAAGGGAATCTGAGTGGCACACTTCTATGGTTACTACAGCCCCTGTGATTGCATTTATGCAGGTGAAATGCACACATAACATGATGTCCACTGACCTTTTTTGTTAGGCCATCATTTAAACACCATTTCTGGGAGGTGGGCACCTGGCAGGTACCACTGAACACCCTAATGTCTTTGGGGTATCAGCCAGGAGGAAGCAGCTGAGGCTACTGATGTCTCTCTGATGGGATCTACCTATGGGGAAGACTGATGCATTACTGGTTAAATGTATCTATGGACTGATGACTTGAACATTTCCCAAGTTTGGCATTTGCTGATCATGGAGTCCAGTACTGAGCAGCCTTCTTTTACATGAAGGCCAATACAGGAATAATATGTATGGATACATACATGTACACATAGGGGTGTATGTGTGTGTGTATTACTTAGAGGCTATATTTCTTTCATTCAAAAAGAAAATAGACTTATTGGGTTTCATAGGAAATATATACATCCTTGGAACTTAAATTGCCTGCTTTATTGAGTAGAAGAATGCCATTAAGAAAGTTGGCACTGCTTTTAAGCCACCAAAATGATTACATCTAGAATTATTTGAAAAACATCAAGAATAAGGCAACTTTCTAAGTTTCTCATCCTGAAATTAGATCACAGGCCACATTTCCAAGCTCAACAGCCCCAGCTGGCTCTCTGGCCTGTGTGTGGACCACATCTCCATAGTATACCTGGTGCTATGAGGAGACCAGGGGCACAGAACAAAAAGACTAAGTGCCACGGCTTGGGAGGACACTGCCTAGTGCACTAAGCTGACAAGGACAAAAGTGCTATAGAGGTGTGTGAAGGCACTAGGCAAATTCAGAGGAGTGAGCCTCAACTCATCGCTATGGGAAGAATAGTGAATAGCTGGGAACTCCAGGTAGGAAGCTGTGCCTTAACGGTGCTGCTGCACACACCTGACATCCAGCTTTTTCCTCATCCTATTCCACATCTTTGCTTCTAGTTTAACCTTGACTCTCCAAGCGCAGATGAGCTTAGTGTGACCCTTGCCACCCCAGTCCCTATCATTTATTTATTCACCAATTTCTTAATCAAGGACATATTGAATACAAAGTGCATTTAGACTACAGTTTGTACTGATCCAAGGTCCCATATACAATATATATCTATATTGTTATATTAATTTGCAGTATTAACTCAAATCACTTAGGGAATAAATAAAATTCCAGCAGTTATAAATTAGCCAGTTTCTCATCTATATTTTGCACAGATGGCATGAAAATTTGAAGGATTGTATTAGTCCATTTTCACACTGCTGATAAATACATACCCAAGACTGGGCAATTTGGGGGAGGCCTCACAATCATGGCAGAAGTTGAGGAGGACCACGTCACATCTTATATGGATGGCGGCAGGCAAAGAGAGAGCTTGTGCAGGGAGACTCCTGTTTTTAAAACCATCAGGTCTCATGAGATCCATTCACTGTAATGAGAACAGCACGGGAAAGACCCGGCCCAATGACTCAATTATCTCCCACTGGGTCCCTCGCACAACATGTGGGAATTATGGAAGCTACTAGATGAGATTTGGGTGAGGACACAGAACCTAACTATATCAACGATTATGAGGTTTGCTGCCAGAATATCAGCACTTACTATGTGTGACCTGAACAAATTTCTGAAACTCATTTTCCTTGCCATAATCTGGAAAATAGAGATAACAATACTTATCTTGCAAAGTACGCATTACATTTCATATGAAAAGAGCAAAGTACAGTGATTGGAATAACATAAAATGAAAGGTAGAAAATAAACTAAGATGTGTAAAAAGGAAATTTAGATTTTTGAAAATAATTTAGAAGTGGGACAAATGCTCCTAAACAAGAAAAAAATCAGGAATCCTAAAGAAAAAGTATAATATATTTGGATACATAAAATAACCTCTATGTGATAAAATACAGCATAAACAAACACAACTGGGCATATCATAGGCCAAGAAAATATAGTCGCCATGAATATAATGAAGATTAATAGCGATTTTTCAAAAGTTTCTGCAAATTAATAAGAAAAATACAACCCCAGAGAAAAATGACGAAATATTATATATCAGCAATTCACAGAATTATAAATAGCCAATAAAGACCGGAAAACATTCTCAGCGTAGCTGCTTCTTAAGTAACACAAATTAAAACAAATAAGTGATTCCATTGTTTTTACTCACCATATGAACACAACAATGTAAATATTTATAACATCCCTTATAGGTAAATATATGGGCAAATGGATGCTTTCATATACTTTTTAAGAGAACATTAAGTCAAGGTGCCTGCTGGTGTAGTAAGCTTCACTATTATGATGCTTGGTTACAAAAAATGGGGGAAAGATAATTTGAACCAATTTAAGTTAAAAAGAAGAAAATTATTACTGTTTACTACTATCATCATAAAGAGATTGAGATATTTCCTGAATCTTAACATTGCTCATGTAGTTTGACTGCAGGAGCACGGAGAACCAGGCACTGAAATTCCATTTGGACTTATCTTGGGGGATAAGTCCATCATCTCTGGGTATGGGCTTCATACTTCTCTCTCTTGGTGCCAACTAACTTTGTCCTTTTGGTGAAAAACAGCAACCAACAAATTCTGAGTTTTAAGTCCTTAATAGCTTCAACCATCAGAAAATTATTGATTCAAGTCACGTTTCCCATGCCCAAAAATTCCAAGAAAGTCAGTCTCTGGCCCTGACTAGATCCAATGAACATTCCTGGACCAATAATTGATGACCTCAGAGATGAGGTTCTATGATTAGCCCAGCTTGATTCTGGAACCCCTCCTGACGCAATCGTTGCATCAGAAGATGAGTTCACATTAACTTGGCTGCTCTCAGCAGAAGGATGAGGGAAGTCATAATTCCCAGAGGAAGGGACTGTTATTCCCAGAAGAAAAACATGCTAGCCAGATACAAAAGAGCTTAAAATATAAAGGCACTCAGTATCCTTTTTAATAAATTAGATAATTAAAAGATAAATTGGTATAATCAATTAATTGGAAGAGGAATTTAGCAATATCTATCAAGACTTTATATAATCTTATGTCCACTAATTCCACTTTTGGTCCTGTATCATAAAACTAACATACATACACAAAAAGTATTAATTTATTAACTTGTTCATCAAATATTTAGTGCATAGTGTGTGCTTACTATTCGAACAGCTGGAATAATAGTAATAAAAAAGATACAATTTTTCTATATTTACATTTGAGTGGAGAACAGAAATTACAAATAAGTGACTGGCACATAACAAACTTTTGTTACTAAGCATTCTGTCCAATTTCAATGTCTAGATGTCATAAACTTACAATATAAATGTATCTTCTGTTTATGATCAGGAGTTTTCAATATTTCAAATCTCCATCTATGATATGTACACTGGCAATTGCAAATGGTGTCATGTTATGTCTAATTTTTACAGAATTGTACACTTTACAAAAAGTTTTCAGTTTTCACATCTACTATCTCATTTCTCTCATGCATCAACACTCTAAATTAGATAAAGGCAGTATTTTTATTGGTTTATCATTGAATCACTTCTCCAGAGCCAAGCAAAATGCAAGGTAAGCACCAAATAAGAATTTGTTAAGGAATCAAAATTAAGAGGCATGGCTAAAACACAGAGGTGCTTAGGTAACATAGCAAGTTATATCTTTGCAGCTGCCATTCCTTCTAGGTTTAAGGACTTTGAAATTGGTTTGGTTTTTAAAAGAAATAATTAAGTATTTTGTTCATGGTATATTCACAAAACAAGAATTGCTCTTGTAAAACTTGGAACAAATAGCAACTGGAATTCAACGTATGGAGCATAGAAAGAAGTTTTGGTAACACCCAGATTTGAGCCTCAGGAGAAATCTAAGACTCATGTTTTAATTTTAATCACATATGTGTGACCTGGACAAGTTATTCTGCCTCTACAAAATGAAGTGATTGTTTCAATTGAATAATTTCTTCTGGCTACAAAATGTGATGATATGTCTACTTTTTCAGCCATGCCTGTTCCATAACTGTGGACCTCAATGGTTGTGTTTTAGTTGACTCTGAAGACGAGGAAATGCACTGTAAAACAAAGCCATTTCAGGCAGCTATGTGTGCAAATGAGTGTTTTAGGCTCCACAAATGAGGTTGCAAACCTAATTATGACAAAGAACAAGCATTAGTTCTGTTACTTAGTTAAATGAGTCAACAGAAGAGAGTTTAAGCCCATTCTCTTTCTTAGAGAAGTCTCATCAAATGCCATGACTTTGCAGATACCTAGGTAAATGCATTGAATGGGAACTACTGAAAAAGAAAGTCTGCTCTTAGGCAATCACTTTGGGCTGAAAATCTAATGACAGAAGTAGTCCTTAGACAGGGTATAACATGATTAGTTATATCCTTCTCAACTACAAAGAATAACAAGCACACATAGTCCCTCACCTAATTTTCATGGCAGGTTCCTGTGGTGGGATATAAATGGGTTTTGGAATGCCATGAACTCAGGTTGAAAATTCTAGCCTTTGCCCTGAATGACATTGGCTAAGCTATAAAACTCCCTTAATCTCAAATTTCTAATCTACAAAATTAGGATAATAATATTTACATTCTGAGATTTAAGTCACAAGTGTATTTAAGCACCTGGTTGAGTCCTGTGACACCAAATAGATGATGAATAAACATTGACATATCACAGTTTGTTTAACCATTCATCTATTAAAAGACATCTGGGTTGTTTCCAGTTCTGCCTATTATAAATAAAACTTCTTTGAATATTTTTGTACAAGTTTCTGTAAAAATAAGCTTTCATTTCCCTGAATAAATCCCTCAAAGTGGAATTGCTGAATGGTATGATAGCTGCATATTTAGTTTATAAAGAAATTGCCAACCTCTTTTCAAGAGTGACTGTGCCACTTTACATACCACCAGCAACACAAATGAGATCCACTCTCTCCACATTCTCAACAGTATTTGGTATTGTCATAATTTTTATTTGTGCCATTCTGATAGGTATGTAGTGATAACTCATCATGGCTTTAATTTTTATTTTGCTATTTGCTAATCAGGTTGTTTGTTTTGAGAGTTCTTTATGTATTTTATATGCTACCCCTTTGTCAGGCAAGTGGTTTCCAAATATTGGGTCTCCAGCTTGTATCTTGTCTTCTCATTCCCTTAGCAGTGTCATTCTGAAGGCAAAAGTTTTTAATTTTGGTGAAGTCCAATTTATTCATTTTCTTCTTTTATGAATCTTACTAATAATGTTATATCTAAGAACCCTTCACGCAAGACTAGGTCATAGAGCTTCTCTCCTATGTTCTCTTCTAAAAGATTACAGTTTTATGTTTTATGTTTAAATACATAATTCATTTTACATTTTTGTATAACATGTGAAGTTTAAGTTGAGGTTCATTTTTATTGCCTATAAATTACAATTGCTTTAGCACCATTTGTTGAAAAAGCTATAATTCCTCCTATGAATTGCTTTTCCATCTTTGTCAAAAATTGCCGAGACCATACACTGGGGAAAGGACAATCTCTTCAGTAAATGGTGCTAGGGAAATTAAATACCCATATGCAGAAGAATGAAACTAGACCCCCATTTTGAACTAAATGTAAGACCCAATATAATAAAACTATTAAAATAAAACAGGGAAATGCTTCAGAAAATTGGTCTGGGAAGATATTTTATGAATAAAACCTGAAAAGCACAGGCAACAAAAACAAAAATAGACAGATGGGATGAAATCAAACTAAAAACCTGCCCACCAAAGGAAATAATCAGCAGAGTGAAAAGACAATCTACAGAATGAGATAAAATATTTGCAAACTATTTATCCTACAAGGGATTAATATTCAGAATATACAAGGAACTCAAACATCTCAACTACAAAAAAAATTTAATTAAAAAATTTAAAAATAATAAAAATCATTTGGGCATATTTATGTAGTCCCTTTGTTTTCATTCTCTATTCTGTCCTTTTGATTTATATGTCTATCCTTCTGCCAATAACATGCAGTCTTGGTTACTATAGCTACATAAGTCTTGAACTTGGGCAGAGTGACTCCTCACACTACATTCTTTTTCACAATTGTTTTAGCTGTTCTAGTTTCCTTGCCTTTCCATACTACTGTTAGAATAATCTTGTCTGCATGCATAAAAAATATAGCTGGAATTTTGATGAGAATCTTATTAAATCTGTTTATCAGTTTGGGGAGAATTGACATTTTTATTATGTTGAGTCTTCCAATCCATAAACATAGTACACCTCTTCATTTATTTAGAAATTCTTTGATTTCTTTCATCAGTATTTTGTAGTTTTCAGCTTGCAATTCCTGTACATATTTTTTATATTTACACCTCAGTATTTAATTTTTGGAGGAATTGTAAATGGTATCATACTTTTAATTTTGATGTCTGTGTTTTCATTGCTGGCATATAGAAATGCAATTAATTTTTGCATGTTTATCTGGTATCCGGTGATCTTTCTGAACTTATGAGTTCTGGGAGAGTTATTAAAATACATTCTTTCAGATTTTCTATGTAGACAACCATGTCTTCTACAAATAGTTAAAGTAGTATTTCTTCCTTTTTGATGTGTGTGTCTTTCTTTTCTTGCCTTAATTGCGACAACTAGAAAGAACTTCAGCATTACGTAGAATAAGAATTATGAAAGCTGACATCATGTCTTTTTCTCAATTTAAGGGGAAAGCATACAGTAATTCATCACTAAGTATAATGCTTCTCAATTTAAGGGGAAAGCATTCAGTAATTCATCACTAAGTATAATGCTAAGCTGTAGATATTTTATATTTTTTTACTCAAGCTGAGAAAGTTATCCTGTATTTCTATTTTTTATGATAGCTTTATAATAAATACACGCTGAATTCTGTCAAATGTTTTTTGTTTTATTTTGTTTTCTTTGCATCAACTAACATGATTGTGTGTTTTTTTTCTTTCTTTCCTCTGGTAATATGGTGGGTTACACTGGCTGGTTCTTCAATATTGAACCAGACTTGCATCCTTGGAATAAATCTATTTTGGTCATGAAGTATAATTATTTTATTTTTATATATTATTGAATTATATTTGTTAGTTTTATAAAATATTTTTGTGTTTATATTCATGAGGGATATTTACCTATAGTTTTATTTATTCTGTACTTCTTTTGAGTTTTCATTTCAAAATACAATTAGCCTCGTAAGTTTAATTAGGAAGTAGTTCTAGTTTGTTTTCTAGAGAGACTAGACTGCACTGAATTGGTATTAGTTCTTCTTCAAATATTTGGTAGAATTCTCCAGTAAAATAATCTGGGACTGGATACTTCTTTTTTGGGAAATGTATTAGTCTATTCTCACACTGCTATAAAGAAGTACCTGAGACTGGTAATTCATGAAGAAAAGAGGTTTAATTGACTCACAATTCCATAGGCTGTACAGGACGCATGGCTTGAAGACCTAAGGAAACTTACAAGTATGGTGGAAGGCAAGGGGAAGAAACACATCTTCACATGTAGGAGCAGGAGGAAGAGAGAGCGAGAGAAGGGGGAAGTGCTACACATTTTCAAACAACCATATCTCATGAGAACTCACTATCATGAGAACAGCAAGGGGGAAATCCTCCCCTCCCCATGATCTAATAGACTCCCACCCGGTTCCTCCCCCAACATCAGGGATTACAATTCAATGAGATTTGGGTGGGGATCAAAGAGTTTTAAAGTTACAAATTCAATTTTTATGAGTTGTTGGGCTATAAAAATTATCTATTTCTTATTGAGTGTGTTGAGAGTTTGCTTTTTGAGGAATTGGTTCATTTTATTTGTTATCAAATGTTTGTATGTGGAGTTGTTCGAATATTCACTTATTATCTAATGTCTTCAGGGTTTGTGGTGATATCAGTTGTTTCATTTTTTTATATTGGTAAATCGCATCTTCTCTTTCTTTTCCTTGTCACTCTTGCTAGAAATTTGCAAGAACCAACTGTTTCTTTTTCTCTCTTTTTCTATTTTTAATTTTGTTAATTTCTACTCTTATCTTTATTATTTCCTTTCTTTTGCCTGCTTTATTTTATTTATTCTTCTTTTAGTTTCTTGAGGTGGAAGCTAAGACTATTAATTTGAAATGTGTCCTGCATTCCAATGTAAGCATTTAGTGCTATAAATTTTTCTCTCAGTACTGCTTTAGCTGCATCCCACAAATTCTGACATGTATTATTTCCATTTTCATTCAGTTCAATGTATTTTTTTATTTCCCTTGAGAGTTCTTCTTTGACTCAAAGGTTATTTAGAAGTAAATTGTCTAGTTTTTAAGTGATTGGAGGTTTTACTGTTATTTTTTAAAATAATTTCTAGTTTGATGTCACTATAGTCAGAGAACATGCTCTGGATGATTTTAATTGTTATAAGTTTGTTGTTGTTCTTTTTATGACTCAGAATATGATTTAACTTGGCATATGTTCCATAGGTGCTTGAAAAAAATTTGTATTCTGTTGTCGATTGAGTGTTCTGTAA
Source organism: Homo sapiens (assembly GCF_000001405.40). Lineage (NCBI taxonomy): Eukaryota > Metazoa > Chordata > Mammalia > Primates > Hominidae > Homo > Homo sapiens. Next base: position 14,973,877 of record NC_000004.12, read on the forward strand.
CTACTGATTATATCCTGTTGTCAATTGAGTGTTCTGTAACTACTGATTATATCCTGTTGTCGATTGAGTGTTCTGTAACTACTGATTACATCCTGTTGGTTCCAGTAGTCTTGTGATATGAATATTAGATCTTTTGATATAGTCACATAAGTCCTGAGTATCTGTTCAATTTTTAAGTTTATTTTCTATTGTTCAGATTGGATAATTTCTATTATTCTTTCTTTCAGTTTACTGATTCTTTTCTGTTCCTTCCATTCAGCTGTTGAGTCCATCCACTGAATTTTTTTATTTGTTATTGCATTTTCTGTTCTAAAATCTGAGTTTCTTTACAGCTTCTACTTCTTTGCTGAAACTACTTTTTTTCATTTGTTTCAAGCATGTTATAATTGCTCATTGAAGCATCTTTATAATAGCTGCTTTAACTTTCTTTTTCAGATAAATGGGACAGGAAAGATAATCAGTACACTGAAAGTGAGAACAATGAAAATTATGCAATCTTAACATACTGAAAAAAAGAGAGACTTGGGGACCTTTATGACTAAAATAAAAGCTCTAACATTCATGTCACTGGAATATGGGAGGGAGAAAAAAGGGAAAGCTGAAAAAATAATGGTTGAAAACTCCTCAAATATTAACATCTCTGTCATCTCAGTGTTGGCATTCGTTGTTATTATTCATTCAAGAGAGATCGTCCTGGTTCTTGGTTTGATGAATCATTTTTGACTGGAATCTGGATATTTTGGGTATTTTGTTAACAAACTCCAGATTTTATTTTAACTTTATACTTTTGTTAGCTATCTATGATATCACTCTGGCAACAGCAGAAGGGGATATTGACTCATTACTTCCAGGTAGAGACAGAAGTCCAGGTTCCTCACTTGGCCCCTGTTGATACCTGAGAACAGGGGGCTCCATGTCACTACTGAGAGGAAGTGGGGGTCTCAGCTCCCCACTAGTCCTCCCCTGATACCACCCTGGATAAAAGTGCAAATGACTCATTACTGCTCCCCACATGTCCTCCAATGTCACTACAGGGATTGTATGGCCTCATTACCACTGAACACTAGCAAAAGTCCAGACTCTTCATTAGGTATCTTCTGACGTCGGCTCAGTAGCGTGAGGGAGTAGAACCTAATTACTGCAGGGTGCAGGTGGAAGTCCAGGTTTACATGTGGTCTCCACTGACATTGTGAGTGGGGGTCTTCATTATTTCTCGGCAAGAATGAAAGTACTAGTTTTCTACTCGGCCTCCTCTAACACCATCCAGCACCATCTAACACCATCCAGGTATGTTTAGGGTGTTGGGGGGAAACACTTTGTTACAGCCTAGCAAGGGTGGAGCTCTAGGCTACCCACTTGGTCTTTGCTGGCATAGCTAATAGCCAGGCCACATTTTTTTTTTCTGTAGTATTTGGCTGGAATAGAATGGTTATTTTCTAAAGCTTCTGTGCTGCTAGACTGCCCTTTTCCTGTTTTGATTGTTTGTTTGTTTGTTTGTTTGACTACAGAGAGCAGGCTTTTGTTGGGGCTTTGTTTGCTGTTTGAACATGTTAGCATTTACAGAGTTCTAGTTTCTCCACCTCCAATTCTGGGATATACAAGGCAAAAAAGGAAACCAAAGGGCCTTACTGTCCCTTGGGTTCCAAGATGCCTAGACAGTTATCCTTCTTTTCTTTACCTTTTGGACTTTTAGATTTTTGTTTTGTATATAATATTCAGGGTTATTCATTGTCCTTAGTGGGAGGAAGAGAGGCAAATAATCTACTCTATCTTCAAGGAGGCAGAGGTTCTAAACATTTATTCTTAATAACATCTTATTACAAAAACACAATTAAATGGCATTGAATGAAACGTTAAAGTAGAATAAAGACTTCCTATAATGTTTAGTAATCTTATTATTGTTATTCCTCACAAGATTAAGATTTGTAGGTGAGTATTGGCCACATTCTTAGCAAAGGCATGTGTATGTATACTCACCTATTTAATTTAAAGGTATTTGTGGTAGGCAGATTGATAACTACGAATATGTGGTTTGATGGTGCTAAGTAAACCAGCCTTCCTCAAATAAATTCTCTCTCTGGCTAGCGTATAGCATTACCAGGCTTAAGCTTTATCCCTTTAACGGGTGTCTATAATACCTGCTGAAATATAATATCCATGGAAAATATATGGTACTACTCTAGAGCCCAATTGTGCTGCATGCTTCCAACCCTTACCAATAGAAAGGAATTAGATACTTAACAGAACCAAACAAATATGAGGACAGCTCCCCAGAACTCCCAAGTATATTCTTTTAGACACAGACACACAGTCATGTACTCATGTACATACCTCTCTGCAACACATAAGTACCTATGTATCTTAAACAACCAAATGGACAAAGAAGATCCAATTTAATCAGCACTTTAGATTATAACTAATATTTATTGACAACTGTTTTGTGTGTTGAATAGGTTACAAGTTGGGTGTAACATGTCTTCCCACTCACTTGAAGAGAGAGAATCTGATTTTCTCTTGTGTCTTTCAGTCATTCGGGAGCTAAGCTCAAAAAGTATTTATTAAGCACTTACTGTGTAACAGACACCATGTTACTAGGGATAAGCATGTATAAGTCACTTCTTTATACTTTCTCTTATTTGATGGCTCTTATACCAAAAATTTGTTTCTGTGAAATTGGCTTTCTTAATCATAAATTTGTAACACGTTTTAGAAACTGCTTTCCCATACATCCACCCATTAATTCTTAAAATAAGGTAGAAAGCTCTATTATTTCTTATATTTAACAAATTAGGGCAGTGAGGTCAAGAAATTTCAGTGTCCTTCCCACCACCACACAACTAGAACTGCAGTGATGTCGTAAATAGTAATCTTCTGGCCCTCCAAGCCCAGAACACTTTCATATCACACCTAGATGCTGCTCACTTTCTGAGAGCTGTTTCCCCCAATGATCTGACCATCTTTGGTTAAGTTCCCACCTTGTGATTGTATTCATTTTCCCAAATCGTACTACTAAACCAATAATTCCAGGAGGATGAAGCTCTTGTTATGATTCATTATACTTTTATACATCTGTCCTTGTTGGCCTTCCCTTATTATTTGTTAATTTCAAAATGGCTGCAATGGATCCAGACTCTGAAAAAGAAATAATCCTTGATGCTCTTCCTTGTTATCAATCGACCTGCCTCTGCCTCTTCCTAGCTCTGTGGTCTCAGCGAAATTAATAATATTCTCTTAGTTGAGGTTTCTTATTTTATTCTATTATTATTATTTTTATTATACTTAAAGTTCTAGGATACATGTGCAGAACGTGCAGGTTTGTTACATAGGTATACACGTGTCATGGTGGTTTGCTTCACCCATCAACCTGTCATCTACCTTAGGTATTTCTCCTAATGCTATCCCTCCCCTAGCCCCCAACCCCCCAAGAGGCCCCGGTGTGTGATATTCCTCTCCCTGTGTCCATGTGTTGAGGTTTCTTATTTGTAATATGGGTGTAATAATGCTTACCTCTCAGGGCTGTTAAAAATATAGAGAATACTCAATGGATTGTGCAAAACTCCTAGGACAGTGTTTGGCAGAGAGCAGGCCCTCCTCTCCTTCCTACTGTATAGCAAACGTCTTGAGAATAGGAACATGTCCACACGGTGTTTTGTACTTAACAGGCATTGGAAACAGATTTGCTGAATGAATGGATAAACAAATATAATACTACAAAAGGATTTTTAATTATTAGTATTACAAAATAACTTTACATACAGCAAGTTGATAATTTTGGCATTCAGTCTTGTAGTACAGTCTACAAGATATATATATATACACCATATATATATATACACATATATATACCATATATATACATATATATACACACATATATATATACACATATATATATACCAGTATATACACTACGTACACTATACATATCTTGTAGACTAAAATGGAATATATGATCATTAATAACACTAAATCTTTTCACTTTAACATGTTTGCCCTATTGTTTATTTAATCTCTGATGTCTGTACCAGCTCCCTGCTACCTGGCTTTATCCTTTCCTGTGAACTAATCATTCACTCATGCATGCAATTAACATTTGCTGACCATTTACTGTCTACCATAAACCAGGGTGCATGATTCATAAGACTCCTCTGTCTCTGCCTCCAAAAGATTTATACACTATGAAAAAAATGCATAAACAATTTATAATTAATGGAGGTGTTATGATAGAAGTACAAAAAAGTGCTATGGTTGTAAGAATGATTCATTTTGCCTAGGGAGTTTGCTTACCAGAGCTTACATGCTAGAAAGTGATTTTTCTCTTTGTAAACTAAATTGAGTTACTGGTAGTAAAAATAGCTTCCATTTGTCTAGTACTTTAAAAGTGCTTTCACATCCATTTCTTCTTTTAATCCTCATAATGAATGCTCTATAGTGTAATGGTTTTCTTTAAGATATATTTGCAAAAAAAAAAAAAAGGATGTTATGAGGCCAGCTGATATGCAACATGGAAATGCATTTGAAATCTCATAGGTAGAAGATAGAAGCCAGAACTGGAACCAGTGTTCAATTGGAACGTTATGGGAATCATTCCAAGAATTTTTGCTATTTTGCTAATAGCAAAGACCAGTTTCTTCACCTTCATCCTCAATGTCATCTCCTCATTTCAAGCCTGACCTACCATCTCGCTTTTGGGTTATTCCGACAGCCTTCTGACTGGATTCTCTGATTTGTATCTCATCTCCCTCCAAACCATTTGCCATATTGGCCACAAAATAATTTTTTAATACAAATTGGACCACATCATTCTCCCATTGAAAGCTGTTTTATGCTATAGAGCTTCACACTCCCTATAGAGTTAAATCCAAATGCTTTCGCATGTTTATAAAACTCTCCATCATCTAAACCTGTCAACTTCTTCAAACTTGTTATTGGTCACTTTCTTCAAACTATACTTACTGATTTTACTCCAAGCCACCATACCATCTCCATTTTTGTGCCTTTATAGATGCAATCTTTGGCCTAGAATGCTTTTAGCTCTCCACCATTCTGTCTGGTACAACGATGGCAGACATACAAAGTGTGGCGATTTTCTTGTTTATAACTAGACATACTTAACAACAATAGCAGAATCTTCACAACATAATTTTCATTCTTGCTTTTTTTCCCTCTTATTTTATTACTACATAAAATAGAGTTTGGGAACCATTAGTCTAGCTTTTTCTCTTAAAATCTCAGGGAAAGATTATTATGTTTTTATTGCATATTAAAGATTCATGACATTTATATTCATTTAACATAGAACTAAAATATCTTCTATTGTGAGCATATTTTGTGCTACATGCTAAGTAACTAGCTGGGGATAAGTCAAACAGGGCATATCTGAGTGTATCATGGATCTCATATTCAAATGAAATAGACAATAAAATAAATAAATGAATTAAATCTTACATATTGGTGAGCAATGCTTCTGAGGAAATAAAAGATGGCCTGAGAAGGAGGACACTTTAGAGTGGACAGCCCATGAAGGTTTCTAGGAGGAAATATATCTTAGATGAAGTTTGAAAGATGAGGAGCCAGCTGTGCAGTTGGGAGAAGAGTCAGCTGGGCTGAGGCAGCTGCAAGCACAGAAACTCTAAGTCAGAACAAAGTTTAGAGTGTTTGAAGACTGAACGACCAGGATAGTTGAGCATGGCGTGTGAGGGGTTGAGTTGATGGTAGAAGATACAGGGCCTTGTAGGCTAGGCCAAGGAAACCACTGGATGACTTTAAAAAAATAAATGATGAACTGGATGCAACACTGGCTACTGGGTAAAGAATGAATTATAAGAGAACAGGAGTGGAAACAAGGGAACGAGTTAGGAGGTTATAGTAAGGTTCTGTCAAGCGATATCGATGGATGGGACTACAGTGGTGGCAGTGGCAATAGAAAGAAACGGATGGATTTGAGATACACTTTGGAGATAAAACGAACAACATCATTTTGGAAGGTAAGGAAGACAAATATAATATGTGTCCTAGCTCTCCGGCATGAAGCCACTGGGTAGACAGTGAACCATTTACTGAGATGGAAAAGACTGAGGAAACAAAAAAAATGGAGGAAAACAGAGCTTCATTTTGCACACGTTATATTTGAGGTACCTCTCAAACATCTGAGGGAAGACATCAAGTAGGTAGTTGAATAAGCAGTTCATACCTCAGAAGGGAGTCCTGAGCTAGATATGCAAACGTGGAAGTTTTAAATATAGAGATGAGGTGAGGTAATGCATTGAATATATTAAATGAAATAATACATAGAAAGTAGCAGACACTCTATTTGGCATAGTAGCAAACATGTGCTCAAAAACAATATTAGCTGTTGGATGCTGCTTGTGGTTAGGACATTCTTCACACAGTGTAACTTAAGTTTTTTTCACTAAGGATAAATGGCTTTTATATTATTTTCTTCTCAATAGAAATATTAACAACCAGTAGGTGTTAAAAGTTACTCACGTATTTGAAAGCTTATTTAGAATGTTTTACATATTGATATGCAGAAGTAAAAAAGATGAAATGAAAAGGTTAATATTAGAAATACATGGCATATATAACAATATATTACATAATATAAAATATATATTGTATATAATAGAAATAGATATATAATTTAGTTTCAAAGGTATTTTTAACAGACCGAATGGAAAATTGGTTAAATTATTGAGATTTTAAGAGTTTTAGCATGTATATACAAATAAATATATTCCAGAATGCTGATAAATTAATTTATGACACAGATTAATTTTAATGCATGGTAGTTACAACTAAGAAAATGTGGTTTTACCTCATACATTGTCTCTGCAATTTACTAGGTGTGTGAACTTGGGCAAATTATATATAACCCCTTGGTTCCTCAATTCCCACATCTGTAAAACACCAATAATTATACCCTATCTAATCATGTTGTCATGTGAAATGACAATAATGTGTATAAAATATATAGTACAGTGCCTGAAGTAAACCATAAATGATTGGTCTGTACAGTGGTTCTCAACCCCAGATGGATATTAGAATCACCTGGGGAGTTTCTTGAATACTGATGTCCAGGCTTCACCTAAAGCAATTACATCTGAATCTCTGGAGGTGGGGCTTAAGCCAATAACAATTTTTTTAAAAATTCATCACATGGGCCAGGTTCAGTGGCTCACACCTGTAATCCCAGCGTTTTGGGAGGCCAAGGCAGGAGGACTGCTGGAGCCCAAAAGTCGAGACCAGCCTGGGCAACATGATGAGGCCTTGACTGTACAAAAAATGTTAAAAATTAGCCAGGCATGGTGGAGTGCACCTAAAGTCCCAGCTACTTGGGAGACTGAAGTAGGAGGATTGCTTGAGCCCAGGAGATCGAGGCTGCAATGAGCCTTGTTCGGGCCACTGCACTCCAGCCTGGGCAACAGAATGAGAACTTGTCACAAAACAAAACGAAAACAAAAACAAAAACAAACAAACAAAAATCTCCCTCACTTTATGATTTCAATGTATATCCAGGGTTGAGAACTACTGATCTATAATAACTATCATGTATCACATATGGGCATGTAATGTTTGTATATGTGAATTATATTAACATAATATAGTGTCATGTCTATTAAACAAGTGGTGAAAAGAAATTAAAAATCTGTCCAGTGATTTAGTTTGAAAAAAATATATAAATTGGAAGAGTAGATAAATGATAATCAGGCCTAAGATCTCTGGAGTAGGTTGCCTGTGCACAATTACCACCTCCCACATTCACTAGCTTATAACTTTGGGCAAGTTACTCGACTACTGTTTCCTTATTTATCAGCTAGGGATAATGAAGATGCCTATCTCTCATTGCATTGTTAGTAAAATGCATATAACATTGTCTGGCATATCACAAGTATTACATATTTATGTTTTGGGAAATTTGATGGAACTGTTGCTGGGAATGTAAATCAGGTTCAACCATTGTGGAAAGCAGTATGGCAATTCCTCAAAGAGCTAAAAACAGAACTACCATTAGACCCAGAAATCCCATTACTGGGTATATACCCAAAAGAATGTAAGTCGTTCTATCATAAAGGCACATGCACGTGTATGTTCACTGCAGCACTATTCACAACAACAAAGACATGGAATCAACCTAACTGCCCATCAATGGTAGACTAAAGAACATGTGGTACATATACACCATGAAATACTATGCAGCCATAAAAAATGAGATCATGTCCTTTGCAGGAACATGGATGGAGCTAGAGGCCATTATCTTTAGCAAACTAACGCAGTCAGAGAAAACCAAATGCCACATATCCTCACTTACAGGTGGGAGCTAAATGATGAGAACACATGGACACATAGAGGGGAACAACAGACCCCTGTATCTACTGGAGAGTGGAGGGTGGGAGGAGGGAAAAGATCAGGAAAAATAACTAATAGGTACTAGGCTCCATACCTCTGAAATAATCTGTACAACAAATCCCCATGACACGAGTTAACCTATGTAACAAACATGCACGTGTACTCCTGAACTTAAAAGATAAAAAAAAGAAATTTGATGAAAATAGGTATTTGGAATGAATATTACCAGTAGTTAATATTCAATCTCAGTAACATACTTTTGCATTAGAACTGAAAAACAGATGCTATACCAAAGGTCTGGGGTAACTGTGAAGAAACATTCTCTAGACCTTATATGAAAGATCAAACGGATCCTCATTTCGTATTAGTTATTTGTCATCATAGAAAATAATAATGTTAATCTTGCCAGGACCTATATAAAACACCATAGAATATGTTAGTAAAAGTATCCAGCATCCCTGAAGCCCTGAATCTCAGATACTAGATGACAAACTGCTGGGAATGTTCAAATTATGTAACCATATACAGGTCCTGTGTTGGGTGCAGGTCCTGGAAGTGGATTTTCAGTGATGAATCCCTGTCTCGACTGGCTTGATTTCCGTTACTTCTCCAGCCTTGTTCAAATGGCCTCACCTCACCCCTTTGCTCCATCTAGGCAACACCCTCTTCCCTTTCTATAACATTTCCTACTATTTGTCTCCTCCAAGGCTTGGCTATTCTTGCCGATACCTCTTTCTAGAATGTTCTTCCCATTTCCCTCTATCTCACCCCCAACCTACACATCTTTTAAGATTCAACTCAAGTACTAAGCTTTTCCAATGAAGCCTTTCCCCAATGCCCCAGGTTGAAGTAACAATTCCCTCTTTTTTACCTGCTTACACCATGAACAGAGGGCCATTTAAAACCATCACTGAGGCCGGGCGCAGTGTCTCATGCCTGTAATCCCAGCATTTTGGGAGGCCAAGGCAGGTGGATCACGAGGTCAGGAGATACAGACCATCCTGGCTAACAGGGTGAAACCCTGTCTGTACTAAAAAATACAAAAAATTAGCCGGTTGTGGTGGCAGGTGCCTGTAGTCCCAGCTACTTGGGAGGCTCAGGCAGGAGAATGGCGTGAACCCGGGAGGCGGAGCTTGCACTGAGCCCAGATGGTGCCTGGGCGACAGAGCAAGACTCCGTCTCAAAAAAAAAAAAAAATCATTGAGTCTCCTTAAAGTCCAGAGCACTAGTCTTATTCATTTATTTATTTATTTACTCATCAGCCCCTGGCACAGAGGCTTGTTTAACTGATTTCATTGACTTAGAGAATGGAAGGAAGGGAGGGAAGGGAAAAAGAAGAAACAACATCCATTTGCAGAGTGTATGACCTAGAGGAAGGACACTAACAATGAGCATGAATGTGTAAATGAAAATCTGCGGCCCCTGGTTTCAATAAGGTCAACAGAAAAACCATGCTGACACTCAGCAATCAGTTTCTCATAAAGTTAATGCAGCATCACATCTCTGCTTCATGGAGAAGCACTGTTCCGGATTTCAGTAAGAATCAGAAGTTTACTTTCAAACACTGAAATTCTCTAGATTTCCATTCTTGTGAATTAACTCCCATCTTTCAAAGATCTTCACTCAGGAGGCTGAAGTGACAGGATCACTTGAGCCTGGAAGGCAGAGGCTGCTGTGAGCTGAGATTACAGCACTGCACTCCATCCCTCCTGGGTGACAGAGGAAGACCCTGTCTCAAAAACAAACAAACAAACAAACCAAAAAATAAGAAAACCAAACACCACATATCCTCACAAAAAACAAAGATATTCTAAACTGTCACCACCTCTTGGAAGTCTTCTCCAGTTTAGTGGAGACAAAATCATGAGATCCACAACAATTTCAGCACAGTAAATTAAGAGCAGGAACTCTGGGATACTGTTACTACTATTAGCTCTGTGGTTTCAGGCAAGCTGCCTAACACCTTTGTGCCTTAGTTCACTCGCCTTTGAAATGAAGACAATAGTAATATTTATCACAGATTTGAAAAGGGTACTGAATGTTCAGAATAATGCCTTGCATATGGAGAGAACTACATAAATGCTAATAGTTTATATTATAAATTGTTAATAGTTAATATTATAAATATGACTATTAGGAGAAAGAGTTACTGAATTTTATTCCTTCCTTCCATCCTTCCCTAAACAAGAAGAATGTAGGTATCTCTGTTTTAATTTCTACAACATTGCTTATTTTATAAGTTAAGGGCCTAAACATATTGGCCATAGAGATAATATACTTTCACCATTCATATGAAAAAACAAGTCTATATTTAACTTACAAAACAGGAGATTTCTCTTCTATAAATCCTTTGTAATATTTGTTGCTTCAGAGTCTATATTAGCAATAGTGAAACTTGGCAAGATAACCAATCTTGTGTAATGGCAGAGAAATGGCAGGACAACCTTGCCTAAGATTTGTAAATTTCAAATAAGGCAGTATCTGTCAGATGTACGGGGACATTTTTTTCTGAACTAAAATGAGCTGAACACAAGTATAAAGCTTAATATCAATCTCATTTTCAGTTCCTTTGAAATCTTTTGTGAGTTGATCCTAGCTAAGAGACTAGACATCAAAAAAAAAAATCTATGTGTGGTAGAGGATTAGGTAAAACAAATGCCTTATACAAGTTGAGAATCCATCATTCTTGTTTCCATTCTCCAATGAAGAGGATAAATCTTATCCTCCTCAGTAAATGAACTACAGAAGGCTCCAAAGAGACTAAAGCCTTTAGACACTATAGGGACCCCTGATGTTATGCCTAAGGAAAAGTTACGGTATGACCTCAGCAAGGATGAAGAAATAACAAGTTAGTAAATTATCTCTGTTTACATTTACAACCAACAAACCAATCATTTCTATACACAGTTTGTACCTAAATTTCAAACATTCTTGATTATTAATAAAAGAGACTATGTTAGAATTCACAAGTAAGTTTGATATCTTGTAGTCTTACCAGAATGAAGTTCCTAAGTCCCTCAAAGAAATATGTTCTGCTAGTTCAAAGGTCTTTCTATGCCTTTTCCACAGTCTCTCTCTCTTTCCAGATTCTTCCTCCAGCCTCCAGCCACCAGCCCAGACATTTTATCTTGTTGAGCAATAGGGCAGACAACTGGATTCACAGGAAACAAGATGGAGTGAACAGAACACAGGAATGTAACTCGGAAGACAGTGGTGATTTTGCCACTTACTGTGTGTCTTCAGGAATATACTTGACATTAGCTTTCATTTACTCACAAATCAAATGTAGATAATAGTATTACCCCCCCCCCCATCTTACAAAGTTACTTTGAGGATACTAGAATTGCTTATGAAAGCAATTCAAAGCTGCAAAGTACTAAACAGAAGTCACTCTGATCCCACTCATTCCATAGCATAGGCTTTAGTACTCAGTGACCTCTGGTTTTAGACTGTCTGAGTTTAAATCCAGGCTCTTACTCATTGTGTCCTTGAATGAGTTCATGCTTCAGTTTCCTTATCTGTAAAATGGGGCTAATAATAGCATCAATTTATAAAGCTATTATGAAGTGTGAAATGGAATGGCACCTATGTGGCACTTAGAACAATGCCTGAAACCTAGAAAATAAGGGGATGATCCAGTCAGTACTTCTTTAAGTGGCTACCTTTTGAGTATAGTGGAGCTTTGAGGATTCCAAAGAATGGATAAGATCTAGCTCATACTCATCTTTGGAGATCTCACAAACTTGTGAAGAGTGGACACTCAGGTAAACAAGTGCTGTGACAGAGATAAAATGAGGCAAAGTACAAGGTACAAATTCATCCCTAACTCCCTCCTCTGCCCTTTGCCCTTATTCTGTTTCCCTGCTTTCCCTAGGTAAGTTTGCCTGATAATCCCATACACTTTCATGGCCTCAGCTATCAACTGCACACCAACAAAAACCAAGATCCATAGACCAAAACCCTACTCTTACTCTCTGATATCTCCACTCAGCTTACTCTTTCCCGCCACTCCTGAACCTGCACCTCTTTTAACTAACCCGTCAAACCTAATAATTGGCCAAACTATGACAATTACATCAGAGAAACATGCCCACTCCTCAACCCCTGTACACATCTACTATATTCACCTTAACTATTGCAGCCACCTCCTAAGTATCTCAGTGCCTCCAGTTTCAATCTCCTTATCTGCAACCCATTCCCCATTCAGCCACCTGAGGGGGTTCTAAATATTTCTGTTAACAACACTCCCTCTAAGAAAAGTTTTGGTAGCTTGCCTTTGCTTGCGGAACAGTGTTGTCTTGGGCCTGCAGCACTCTTAACATACGTCTGAGGCTCCTTTCCGCTCTTATCCTCACTTCCCAGATCTCAACACAAAGAACACTCAGTGTCCTTTTCCAGATGGCATCTGCACCTTCCATTACTCTCCACTTTTGCTCTTACTGGTTATGCTCTCTCAAATGCCCCACCTGCCACCTATCCATCCACTCATCTTCTCCCTTATCCTTCAATGTACAGCTCAAATGTCACCAACTGCACATCATTTGCTCTGCTTAATAAATTCCTCAAGACTTACTGTTCTTTCACATGGATTTGCATATAACATGTAGGTTGAACCATATGAGTTACCAGTTTTTGGTAGGCCAAAATGGTCAATAACTGCACTTTCCAGTACTTGAACTTATAACATGATATGGTCCTCTTACAGCATTTATCCTGCTTCATCAGAACTCTTTCTTTAAGTATATTGCCCATGTACCTTGTCGTCTTCACCTTTCCATGCCCAGTGCCTTGCAGAGTGCCAGGCAAGAAGTAGATGCTCCAGGAAAGTGTGTAGAATTCAAGGTAATTGCTGTGTATGGATCTTAACACTTTGTTGAGCTCTCTTAAGTCTAGGTCCTAATCTTACTCTCATTATCTAGGGACTGCCAAAGGTAAACGTAGCCATCCAGGGCTGTCTGGAAGAGAGTCAGGATTGTAGGTATCCCTTTCCTTTCCCCATTTACATCAAGACCCAGCTCTCTACCTACTAACTAATTACCTAACCTAGGTAGGAAAACATCAGCCTCCTGGGTTGTCCTTTCTTTAGGCAGCAAGTATGTAATTTGCAATACCATTCAGGGCACTTAACACATTAATTCACTCATTCAATCACGGGGCTGTGATTGGTACTAGGAATATAGTAGTAACTAAGGCAACTAGAGACTATGAGTTTGGAGGGTTTTAATCTATTCTTCAAACTTTTTCCCTTAAGAATTACCTAAAGAAACTGAATATTTTCCAAAACATAGCTTGCATATTTGAACACTTTTAAATGTCTTATACATACATTTTAAGTCCTCTAAAAATATTATAAGTTGAAATAATTGTTGCAAAGGATGTAATTTCAGTATATATTTTATTTTGTCACTTTAAATTACTATTATTTTTAATGTATTTAATGAAATCTGAATATCATAACAATCTGATACCCATGACTATCTTTTTTTAATGAGAAAGATGTTTTAATTTAAAAATTTTAGATTTTTTTCTCTTTGAACTCATATTTGCATTATACTTTGCCCTTGAATTTTATACATTTATAAAAAATCAAAACTGTGGTCCTTCATATTTAGATCAATTTATGGAACATGTGTACTACATATATTGGCAAACCAGTAAGCCAAATTGAACTTTCCCTCCAGAAAAATCCTGCCTCTATTTTTCAATTCAAACAAATGTGTTAATTTGCATTGCAAAAAATATTATTAAAACATTGAGGCTGGGTGCGATGGCTCACACCTGTAATTCCAACACTTTGGGAGGCCGAGGCAGGCATATCACTTGAGGTCAGGAGTTTGAGACAAGCCTGACCAACATGGCAAAACCTTGTCTCCGTTAAAAATACAAAAATTAGCTGGGCGTGGTGTTGGGCGCCTGTAATCCCAGCTACGCAGGATGCTGAGGCAGGAGAATTGCTTGAACTCAGGAGGCGGAGGTTGCAGTGAGCCAAGATCACACCACTGCCCTCCAGCCTGGGCAACAGAGCAAGACTCCATCTCACAAACAAAAAACAACAAAACCCACAGAACACTGAGAAATATGTTACAAAATGAATCCTATAAGACAGATTATGAAAGGACGTCAAACTTAATATAGATCTAATACAAGTAATGCATCTCATCAATTATAAAAGGAATATAAATTAATATGATAATCCTTATCAGCTAATTTTTAATAAAGCAATGAATGTACAATTTATCAAATAATGACTATATCATTCCTCTAATAAAAATGCGTATCCCTCTCCAGTCAAAAGACAGAGAATGCAGAATGAAGCAAACACAATTCAATCATAAGCCATCTACAATAGACACACTAGATTCAAAGATATAAGTAAGTCCAAAGTGAAAAGATAGAAAATTGTATACCATACAAACAGTATCCAAAAGAGAAGTGGAGTGGCTATACTAGTATCAGACAAAAGGGCTTTAAGACAAGATTTGTTACTAGAGTCAAAAAAAGACATAGTGATAAAAGGGTCAATTCATCAGGAAGACAAACAATAAAAACATAAATGCACCTAACAACAGAACCTCCTAAAACATGAATTCAAATACATAAGTTGAAAGGAGAAATAGACATTTAACAATAATAATTGGAAACATCAATAACCTGCTTCCAATAATGGCTGAAGACTTGAACAACACTATAAACTAACTAGATGTAACATATCTGTAGAAAACTCTAAAAATAGCAGAGCATACATTCTTCTCAAGTATGCAGTGAAAATTCTCCGTGATAAAGCGTATGTTAAAAGGCCATAAAAAGAAACCTCAATAAATTTAAAGACTGTTAAATCACACAAAGGATGTTCTTTGACCATCACGGAATAGATTTAAAAGTCACAATAACAAATACATTTGGAAAACACAAATATGTAAAAAGTAATCTAAACACTTTTAAATAACAAATGGTTTTAAAATGTACAAGGCAAATTAGAAAATTATTTGAGATTAATGAGATCAAAAATACAACATACCAAAACTTATTAGGTGCAGCTTAAGCAGCAATCAGAGAGAAATTTGTAGCTGTAATGCTTATTATGAAAAGAAGGAAGAGCTCAAATTAATAATCTAAACTTCTATCTTTCAAAACTACCAAAGAAGAATAAACTAAAACCAAAGCAAGCAGAATAAATAACATTATAAATATTAAAGCACAAATAAACGAAATAGATAACAAATAGCGAACATCAATGAAATCAAAAGTTACTTATTTAAAAAAATCAATAAAATTAATGAACACTTAGTGAGGCTGAACAAGAAAAGAGGAATCAAAATATTAAAATCAGGAATAAAAAAGGGGACCTCAGCATCAACCTCATAGAAATAAAAAGGATTAGAAGAGAACATTACAGACAGGATGCAGTGGCTCACATCTATAATTCCAGCACTTTGGGAGGCCAAGGCAGGAGGATCACTTGAAGCCAGGAATTTGAGACCAGCCCAGCAACAAATTAATTTAAAAAAAAAATAAGTAAATAATAACTTTTTAAAAAAGAGAATGCCATTAACAATTGTATATCAACAAATTAGAAAGCCTAGATAAAATAAACAAATTCCCAAACACCAACAACTCATACTAAAATAAGAAGAAATGAAAAGTCTGAATAGACTTATAACAAACACAAATTGAATTAACAATTTTTAAACTTTCCACAAGGAAAGTCTAGGCCCAAATGGCTTTACTCGTCAATTCTACCACAAACTTAAAGAAGAATTAATATCAATACTTCACACACTCTTAACAAAAAAATTACAAGAATACTTCCCAACTCATTCTATGAGACTAGTATTAGTTACTCTAATACCAAAAACAGCACAAGAAAAAAAACACCACAAGCTGATAACCCCCATAAACATACATGCCAATATTCTCAACAAATTACTTGCAATCCAAATCCAATAACATATAAAAAGGATTATACACCATAACCAAATGAAATGTATCCCAGGAATACAAGGTTGGCTTAAAATATGAAAATCAACCAATTTAATATACTAAATACACTAAACCATAAAACTACAATCATCTTAATAGATGGAGAAAAGCAGTAAAGTGGTGATAACTTGTATATCAATTGCATGGTGAAATAATAATAATTTGCATATATTGATTTAAATAAAATACATTACTCAAGTTAATTTCACTTGTATCTTTTTAATTTTTAAAATGTGGCTAGTGCACACCTTAATTCCAGCAGTTTGGGAGGCCAAAGCAGGAAGCTAGCTTGAGTACAGGAGTTGGAGACCAGCCTGGGCAACACAGCAAGACTTCATCTCTACAAAAACTTTTTTTTAAAAATTAGTTATGCATTGCAGTGTACGTCTGTAGTCCTAGCTACTTGGGAAGCTGAGGTGGGAGGCTGCAATGAGCTATGATCACACCACTGCACTCTAGCTTGGGCAACTGAGCCACACCCTGTCTGTAAAAAATAAAATGTGGCTACTAGAAAAGTTCACATTACATATATAGCTCACATTTATGGCTTGTGTTGTATTTCTATTGGACCACAATGGTCTAGGCATATCCTAGTTTGAAGATCAGTGCTCTAACAGCATTTGGTGTTTTCAAACATATTTCTCTATGTTATTTATCAGATGAGAAATCAGAGAATGAGGATGGTTAACATGCCCAGGTAAACATAACCTTCCCCATAGGTGTCAGAACTGGTAGTGGGATTCAGTAATATCCTTAAAGTCAGAGTTTGCCCTAATTGCATAACTGGTCTCTGGTCTTTCTTAGAGGTACAAAATAGTCATTGAATATGTTTAACATTTAAGTTTCAGAAATTTTTTATGTTTTCCAGATCCAAGAGGAATTTAGCTTTTTTTTTTTCTCATTTTTTATTTGGATATCTCCTTCCACTGCTAGCAATCAAGGATTTCACTGCCATTACCAACCTCCATGTTGTCTGGTAACTGTTTTGCTTTGCTTTTGCTTTGGTTATCCATTCTCCAGGACTACCACTGTGTTCAGGCTGGCTTTCTCATCTACTCTTTACCTTGAACTGCATAGCAGATAACAGCTAAGATGTTTTTTCTGTTTGTTTAAACATCTATTTTGTGTCAAACACTGTAGAAGACTCTCTACTTAAAATATTGCTAATTATCATCACCATAGCCCCCGCTTCACAGGTAATGTTTGTCTTTACCTCCACAGATGAGAATACTGAGGTTCCCAAAGTTTAACTGCCAAAGTTACATAGTAACAGAGGAAGTCGGACTAAAAGCCACGTCTCTGACTCCATAGCCCTGGTGTGTCCATCATATCACTCTTCCCTATCTCTTAATATGGGATGAATATGCATCAACTGTGGGCCTACAAACAATGGTATTTTCATATACACGATTCATGTCCTTATGAAAATCTTAGAGTTTCTTATTCTCTGTACCAGTTTGTCTATTTTTTTCTATTGAAAATTGAGGTCTATGTTTTTTCTTATTGTTATGAATTACGTACTCCAATGTTAGTACAATGGCTTACACTATAAATGAATTTTGGATGTGAGATGACATAAAGTCCTATAGTCCTTTCTCAAGTCCCACAAAAAAAAGGAGACAGCAAAAGTGAATTGCTAGCACTGACAATGAAGCACTAAGACTAAAATCAAATATCCCTCTTCCCTCTGAATGTTTTTCCTCTCTTGTCTTTACATTTAATCAATCCTTGTACAAAGGCTGGTGATAATGCCTGCTACCATATAAGCTTCATGATATTTCTTTTTAACTGCACGTTTAGAGTTTTGAAAACAAACATTTAAAATGTTGAATCTTCTAAGATTCTAAACATATTAAGGTCAAATTTGATAGATGCAATGCTCTTCATCTACTTAAAGTCTACATATTTAATATTTAGTCAAGATGCATCACTTTTCTCTGCCTAGAATAATTTATCAATTGAAGTGGTTAGCTTACCACAATGTGGAAAAATACAATATATCCAATATATACTGCCAGACCTCATTCTTACTACAGGAGAAAAATGAGTAAGCATATGTGAGGAATATCTCTGATTTTCTGTGGGATATGTTATTTTGAAAATAAGATGCTTTTTCTCTGAGGTCTCTACTACCAATTTTCATTCATGTAGCTAGGTGTCACTGTGAAGACTTGAAGGATTATCCCTTCCACTCCTTAACTTTTAGTAGAAGCAGGGACTGTTGCTTTAAAAAAAAAAAAGTTTTATTTTTTGACATTATAATTGTATATTATTATTGCATACAGTGATGTTATA
This sequence comes from Homo sapiens, assembly GCF_000001405.40. Lineage (NCBI taxonomy): Eukaryota > Metazoa > Chordata > Mammalia > Primates > Hominidae > Homo > Homo sapiens. Next base: position 14,992,501 of record NC_000004.12, read on the forward strand.
TGTATACAGAGTTGAATGATTGAATCAAGCTAGTTAACATATCAATCAGCTTAAATACTTATCATTTTAAATCTAACTGCAACTTTCTACCCTTTGACCAACATTCCCTGTTCTCCCAGCCCCTGGCCTCGATAACCACCATTCTATTCCCAGCTTCCATGAATTTGATTGTGTTAGATTCCACATATAAGTGAGAACATTCAGTTTTTACCTTTCCATGCCTGGCTTATTTCACTTATATAATATCCTCCAGGTTCATCCATGTTGTTGCAGTTAGCCAGATTTCCTTCTTTTTAAAGGCTGAATAGTATTCCACTGTGTATATATGCTACATTTGCTTCATCCATTCATCTGTTGGTGAACACTTAGGTTGTTTCCGTGTCTTCGCTACTGCGACTAATGCTACAGTGAACACAAGAGTGCAGACGTCGCTTCGACATACTGGTTTCAAGTCCTCAGGATATATATACCCAAGCACCGTTTTTAAGCGTGTGTCCCTGTGACCCTGTTTTACTCAGGTACTTGCTGAGCAGTGGCCCACTCTTTGTCTTTGCTTCTAGCACTAGCCTGAGGGCCAACTAATGAAGCAAGAGACTGAGAAATGAGGAGATGGGGGCATTAATCTCAGTCTATGCAAACCATCTCAAGCAAACGACTTTACCTCTGGGCTTTGGTTTTCCAACAACAAAACAAAAATATTATTCGCTTTATCTACTCACAAAGTATATTGTGACAAGAAAAGGAAATAATAGAAGTCCCATTTCAAGCCAGGATTGAGATGAGCTTCAGTGTGTAATTTTTTCTGCCTTCTTGCTAGATTTGCCTTACCTCAATATTCTGTATAGATCACAAGGCTCCACCGATGACCAGCCCGGCAAGGTCATATTGCAGCAAGTAGGATTCCAATTTAGTAGGTCAGTTTCAGCCTACAGTCTCACTGTTTATGACTCTGCCCAGATAATTAGGGTTGGGAATTATCATAACTAATGTCAACAGTATTTATTTACAGCCTCTGTGAGGATGTACAGAATAATGGATATATTTTCTGTTCTTTTCACAGTTATACCCATAGTGCCTTGCACAGTGTCTGGTACAGAGCAGGCACTCAACAGAGAGTTTCTGAATACATAAATCAATCAATAAGAACTAGGAAAATTAAAGAACATATAAGGCATAGCAACTGCCTACAAAGACTTGTAATTCAATCGAGTTCACATGGCCTTAAAGATACAAGATAAGTAGCAATAGAGAAGTCAGTCAGTCTACGTAAGGGCCCAGTGAGCATCGTGGCAGAAATTACTGGAGAGGCTGACAGGTTCTCTCCTAGGTGGGGGTATTGGAGTGGGATGATAAATCCCCTGGATGCCACAAAGGGTAACACAGACCTTCTATTATGTTTCGGGGCTACACTTTGTCATCAGGGGAAGATTCTTGATATTTTTCTTTGTCAATGAGTTCATCTTTGTATGGCATAATAACCAGAATAGAGATCGTAATAACCAGAGTGAAACTTTTAGTTTGGTATTGTCAAGGAAAAAATATTGGGAAGGAAAATAACTTTTTTGTCATTGTTATTATGATTATTCATTTTATTTTTTCTCCAGTAAACATAAGGTAACAATGCTACAGTTATCCACAAAATGGCTCATGTCTTTGTAAAGCATGCTTTGGAAACATCTACCTCTTTCCTTCCTTCCATCTCCCTCCTTCCTTTCCTTACCTTGTTTTCTCCTTTTCTTCATCTTTTCTTCTTACAGCATTCATTGGGCAATTACTAATCAACAAATACTTATTGGGCACTTGTGTTCCAGGAATGTGAAAGGCAAGGGAATGCGGAGATACATGAAGGAATTACATTTGAGTAACGTTTCTGCAGTATAATTGACAGAGCATGGTTGACAATTGTTTTTGGAGGGTGAGAGAGATGAAGGAAGAGGATGACTCATGTTTCAGCTTGAGAAACTGGTTGTGTGATGATGACGTCAGCCAAGACAAGAAGCAAAATAGGAGAAGCAGATTTTGGGGAAGATGTTGAATGCAGGTATAGACACATTGAATTGATGTGGCTGAAGGACACCCAGGTCAAACTGTTAAACAGGCAGTTGGAAATATGATTTTGACCATGAGGCTAAAGAGATGGATTTGGAAGACATTAGCATTTAGATGATGTTTGAAAACATGATAATAAATTCATCTAGAAAAAGTAGGTAGAAATATAGAAAAGGACCAGAAACATAAGCCTAAGGAACTCTCACACGTAAAGAATATGTAAGGAGAAAGTGAAGGAGGAAATTATGAAGGAAGGTTTAGAAAAGTAGGAGAACTAGAAGTAATTGAGGATGGTACTACTCTTGAGTGCCACATCAATAAAGCACCTTGAAGTTGGTCAAGGTCAGAATGAATCTTAATTTCTACTTTCTCCTTTTCCAACTCCAAACCAGAGCTAATTAGCTCCCATCTAAAGACTCAAAGCTTTCCCATTCTGTGGGGTTAATTACATTTATGGGCATGGGCTCTGCCACAGAAAGAAACCAGCAGCATGGAAGTAAGGCATCCAGTTGACCTTAACTGCAGTGCCTCCTGAACTGGTTCCATTTCTATGAGATGGGGTCTTGACTCCTCTCTTTGTTCAAGCTCCTGTAATGAACCCCTGTGTTCCTGGAGTCCCAACTCTAGTCTCCTGAGACAGAAGTTTTCCCCCTTGTACTCCAGGGTTATCTATTCCCCAGCGTTATAGTCTTGGGATGACTTACCTGTCTTCATGTACTTATCCTATATCTGACAATGCCTGGAATTATTTTTGGCTAGTTTAAGAATCCTAGGAGCATCTGCATGGTGTTTGGACAGCTCCTGAAAACAAATTAACCATTTATAAACAGACCCTTGTATTACTATTGTATTCTTTTAGCTATCATTTCCTAAAATTGCTATTTATTAATTCAACAACCCCTTTAATAAGTGCATGCAATTCCCAACTCTTGAAAGCCTACTATGTGCAAGGCATCGTTGTAAGTGCTGAGGATACAACAGTGAGCAAAACAGGCATGGACCTTTCCTCATGGGCTTGTGATCTCAGAGAGAGGACAGATAAACAGTTCAAGTACATAGTGGGTCAGATGGAAACACAAACACCTTATGAGGAATAAGAAGGCTGGGAAAGAGTGGCGGCGGGGGGTTGTCATTTTATTACAATGGTGGTCAGGGAAGACATCACTGAAAAATGACTTTTAGCAGAGACGTGAGAGAGACATGAAAAAAAATGATAAAAACATGATTAAGTGAGCCCTGTTGCTACTTAGGAGACAAGTATTCCAGGTGTGGGAATTGCGAGGGCAAAGGCCCTAAGGCTGAATTGGCCTGGGCTGTTACAGAAATAAGCATTCCACTGTAGGGAAGCTTTCAGAGGGGTTAGTGGTGGCAGGAGCGATTCTGAAGAACCTTTTGGTTATTAAAATGTTTTGACTTCTATTCTGAGAAAATGTAAGTATTTAGTCAGAGGAGTTGACATGACCTGTCTTCCACTTCAGAAGTATCATCCTGGCTGCTATGTTGGGAACAGACTGGAGAGGGGCAAGATCAGAAGCTGGAATACGAGTTAGTAGGTGAGAGCAACGATGTAGCCTGGTCCAGGCTGCTTGTGGTGAGAATGGGGTGAAGTGCTTGGATTCTGGATATATAGGCACTCCTCGCTTTATTGTGCTCTGCTATATTGTGCTTCTCAGATAATGGGTTTTTCACAAATTGAAGGTTGGTGGCAACCCTGCATCAAGCAAGTCTATCAGCACAATTTTCCCAACAGCATGGCTCAATTTGTATCTCTGTGTTACATTTTGGTAATTCTTGCGTTACTTAAAGCTTTGTCATTATTATTATATCTATTTTGGGGATCTGTGATCATAATATTTAATGTTACTAGTGTAACTGTTTTGGGACATCACAAACCACAACCATATAAGACAATAATTTAATCAATAAAGGCTTTGGGCTTCCCTATTCCCTGAGACAAAACAATATTGAAATTAGGCCAATTAATAACACTCTAACGACCTCTAAGTATTCAAGTGAAAGGAAGAGGTACATGTCTCTCACTTTAAATGAAAAGCTAGAAATAATTAGGCTTAGTGAGGAAGGTATGTGGAAAGCTGAAATAGGTTGAAAGCTAGGCCTCTTGCACCAAGTAGTTAGTCAAGTTCTGAATGCAAAGGAAAAGTTCTTGAAGGAAATTAAAAGTACTATTCCAGTGAACACGAGTGATAAGAAAGTGAAACAGCTTTATTGCTGATATAGAAAAAGTGTGAATGGTCTGGATAGAGAAAATTAAACCAGCCACAACATTCCCTTAAGCTGAAGCCTACTCCAGAGCAAGGCCCTAACTCTCTTCAATTCTGTGAAGGCTGAGAGAGGTGAGGAAGCTGCAGAAGAAAAAAGTTCAAAGCTCGCAGAGGTCGGTTCGTGTTTAAGGAAAGAAGCTGTCTTCGTAACATAAAAGTGCAAGGTAAAGCAGAAAGTGCTTATGGAGAAGCTGCAGCAAGTTATCTAGAAATCTAGCTAAGATAACTGATGAAGGTGGCTACACTAAATAAGTTTTCACGTAGAAAAAACAGCCTTCTATTGGAAGAAGGTATCATCTAGGACTTTCATAGCTGGAAAAGTCAATGCCTAGCTTCAAGCTTCAAAAGACAGACTCTTTTCTTAAGGGCTAATGTAGCTGGTGACCTTAACTTGAAGCCAATGCTCATTAATCATTCTGAAAATCCTAGGGCCCTTAAGAATCATGCTAAGTCTACTCTGCCTGTGCTTGGTAAATGGAACCACAAAACTTGGAAAGAGCATAGTTTACTGAACATTTTAAGTCCACTGTTGAGATCTACTGCTTAGAAAAGAAGATTGCTTTCAAAATATTACTGCTCATTGACTATATACCTGGTCACCCAAGAGTTCTGATGGAGATGTACAAGAAGATAATTGTTGTTCTCATACCTGCTAACCCAACTTCAATTCTGCAGCCCATGGATTCAGGAGTAATTATGAGTTTCAAGTATTATTATTATTATTTTTGAGACAAAATCTGGCTCTGGCTATAAGACTGGAGTTCAGTGGCACTATCTCGGCTCCCTGCAACTTCCGCCTCCCAGGTTCAAGCGATTCTCCTGCCTCAGCCTCCCAATTAGCTGAGATTACAGGCATGCGCCACCACACCCAGCTAATTTTTGTATTTTTAGAAGTGAATGGTTTTCACCATGTTGGCAAGGCTGGTCTTGAACTCCTGACCTCAAGTGACCTGCCCGCCTTGGCCTCCCAAAGTGCTGAGATTGTTTTGAAATAAAGCTGCTATTAAGCAATTCTTCTAATAATGCAACTAACTCCTCTTTATAATTCTATTTTCATTTTAAAATTTAAAATCACTAAGTTGTCACCAGGACAGCCTCAAGTATTATTTTAGAAATAAATTTCATAAGGCTATAGCTGCCATAGTGATTTCTCTGATGGATAAGGGCAAAGCAAATTGAAAACCTTCTGGAAGGGATTCACCATTCTAGCTGCCATTCAGAATATGTGTGACTCATGGGAGGTCAAAGTGTCAACATTAACTGGAGTTTGGAAGAAGCTGATTCCAACCCTCTTGGATGACTTCGAGGGGTTCAAGACTTCAGTGAAGGAAGTTACTGCAGATGTAGTAAAAATAGCAAGAGAACTAGAATTAGAAGTGGAGCCTGAGGATGTGACTGAATTGCTGCAATATTACAATAAAACTTGAATGGAGAAGGAGTTGCTGCTCATGGATAAGCAAAGAAAGTGGTTTCTTGAGACGGAATCTACTCCTCATGAAGATGCTATGAACACTGCTGAAATGACAAAAAAGATTTAGAATATTACATAAATTTAGATGATAAAGCATTAGCAGGTTTTGAGAGGACTGACTAATTTTGAAAGAAGTTCTGTGGACAAAATGCTATCAAACAGCATTGCATGGTACAGAGAAATCTTTCATGAAAGGGAGATTCAATTTATGTGACAAACTCTATCTTTGTCTTAAGAAATTGCCACAACCACCTCCGCCTTCAGCCACCACCATGCTGATCAGTCAGCAGCCATGAATGTCGAGACAAGACTCTCCACTGACAAAAAGATTATGACTTACTGAAGGCTCAGATGATCATTAGCACTTTTTAGCAGTATTTTTAAATTAATGTGTGTATATTTTTCAGAATAATGCTACTGTGCACTTATTTAAATGTAATTACAAGTTATGTTTAGACTATAATTGAGAACTTATGTTTAGAGTATAATATACTGTAAACATAACTTTTACATGCACTGGGAAACCAAAAAATTGGTGTGACTTGCTTTATTGGGATATTTGCTTTATTGTGGTAATCTGGAACAAAACCCACGGTATCTCTAGGTTATGCCAGTAATTTAAAGGTAGGACAAGCAACATGTTCTGATGGCTTGGATATGATGCAAGAAGGACAGAAGTGGATTGAAGTGAAGAATGACTCCAGGGTTTTTGGCCTGAGCAACCAGAACAATGGAGCGCCACAGGGATTGGGCCTAGTGAGGCAGGGAGTTTAATTTTTGACGTGTTTAATTTGAGGTATCTATGAGACACTCAGTCAAATGGGCAAGTCGTTCAGGCAATGTAAAAGCAGAAAAAGAAGGCAGTAGCTAAAGGAGGGAGAATATAAGGTCAAAAGGTTTTGGCTTTACTTTTCAAAGGTGAGAACTAGTAAAGCAAGTTTTTGTGCACATGGAAGTGTTTCCTGGAGAGGAAAGAGGTCATGATGAAGGACAGAGAGAGAAAACTGTTGGAGCCCATGTCTTGAGTAGGTTAGAGGTAGGATCTGCTCCGCCAGTGGAGAGGCTGGCCTTAGACAGGAGTATGGGCAGATGGGCCATCCATTGTATCGAGAGGGAAGGCAAGGTGTGCAGGGACAGATGCAGGGAGACTGTGGAAGTTTTCCTGTGGTTGCTTCTTTTTTCTCAGTGAAATAAGCATGTAGCTCAGCAGCTGAGAGTGCTACATGCTAGCAGATGCATGTAGGAGAGATGTGACAAGAGGTTTTCAGATTGAGCAGAATGTTTGAAATGGTCTAGGACAGTGGTTTTTCAGTTCATAATCTGATAGAGGGTGTTAAAACCAACTTTGTAATTTGAGATCAAACGTGATTTTAAAATGAAAATAGAATTATAAAAAGGAGTTTGTTGCATTATTAAAAGAATTGCTTAATAGCAGCTTTATTTCAGTTGCATGAGTGTGTACTTGCACATATATTGGGTTGTAGCAAAAATACTTTTAAAAATACTTGCCCAGGACAGTGGGAGTAAATGAATAAGGGACTGTCAAATACAAAGTCAAGGTCCTAGTTAATGATCATGAGTCAAAATATTTTCATGTAAAAAACCAAAAAAATCATTGAATGGACTCATAAGATCTTGGCATGGAAACTGCTAGAGGACCATAGTCCCTCCTCAGTATTTGCTGCTCCTTCTCCCTACCCCACTCCACTCTCCACCCTAGGAAACCTTTTCATTTGAATATTTTCAATAAGGGCAAGATCACCAGCTTACAAGATGTCAGAAAGTAACTTTCTGCTCTAAAAAAATGGGGCCCTCACAAAAGTAGTGAGTAGAGGCCCTGGCAGGATTTGGAATTTGGTGTATTTAATATGAAGTTTGACATTATTATGTAATAACAAACTTGATGGCTTTTCCCCGTTTCAGAGAGCTCTAAATCCTCTAAGACAAAACTAGTACCAGAGCACTAAGAAATCTTGTTTTTGTTCAAAACTCTAGCCCAGAAAGGCACCAGTTAGCTTTTAAAAGTATGTGCTCTCTCCTCTTTACTAACTGCGGTGTTAGTGGATAATTGAGCTAAGGTTTATACCTGTATTTTCCCCCTATTTCAAGATTTGTTGTTGGATCTGCAAATGATTCCAATCAAATACAACTGTACTTGGAAAAAAATCATCCGTTGTTAAGACTTTACATTCCTTAGTTGCAGAAGTAGTTTTTTTTCCTGCACAATACCTTTTAAAAAATGAATATTTAATATGTCAATATATACTCTGAAAATAACCATTTATATTTTAAATTCTGAGCTCAGGTTATTTTCTAGACATTGTAATTTAGAATAAAAATACTTCTCCAGTTCTACATTTTGCCTGACTGTTAAAAATGATTTTGAGATTAATAAGTTGAACCAATTTTCTATTCACCTGACCAAATTCTGAACCATTTGAGTTTTTTAAAAAGTACTTTTTCCTTATTGTAAAGGCAACATAAAACTTGGTTCATTGGACAGGATAGCAGAGATAAACATTATACATGAAGTATAGTTCCCTGGGGCAATGTTGCTCTCTTTCTACCATGTTTATTTCGATTTATATAAATTTGAGACACTGAACAGAAGTAGAATTCAAATAGAGAATGAGGACTTATAAAAATGTACACTCTGCCTACATCAGTAAGAGTATGCTAATTTATAAAATTAAATATTTAATCTTAGTTCACTTGTAAACCAAAATCAAGTAAAGTCTGAATCCACCTTCTATTGCTTTGGGGGTTTGAGTCTATATTCTAGGATTCATTTAATAGTTTCATTTCTCTAAGCATCAAGCAAAACAGTTAAAATTACAAAACAGAAACATAAAGTTCACCTCATCATGTAGTATGGATCACTCTGTTATTCTTTATCTAGACCTTCAAATACTTTATGTAAAATGTTTCTATACAAAAGGAAACACAGGATTAGTTCCTCCTCTAATGCTTCTAAAGAGCTCTACCATGGAAAGCTCTCTCCCTTCCATTTTGCAAGTCTCAACAAGTCTGCTGCTGAGTCAGAACCTCCTTTTTTCCCTGATGTAAGAACTATTTCTCCCTTGAAAATTCATAAAGCTTAGGAATAAATTAGAGTCTCCCTGGGGGGAAGGGGCGGGGACGCCGGAATGAATGTGGTGGGGAGGAGTCCCACGCTGCAGCCCTGATGGCACACGAAAGGCTTTTATGAAGCGGAGCTGGCCCGGGGTTACTATGGGAGCTCGCCGTGGAACCCGTTCCACGCATCCGAGTGTGTAAATAACCACGCGGAGCGTGTTTGTTCCAGGGACTTTGTTCCTTCTTACCCAAGTGAAAATGCCTGGAATATAGCCGAGGCTTCATGTTTACCCTACAGAAACACCCTCGGCGGCTCTACGACGTCGGTGACAGCACTCCTACCAGCGCCTAAAAACAGAAACAAGCTTAGAGGGCGCTACCTAGGGCTACAAGGAGGCCCTAGATCGGGGACTCGGGGTCTAGAGGTGCGCGGCGAGGCGCTCAGCGGACTTCAAGCCGGCAGAGCCCAGACGCTAGTTCACCACAGGACCCCCGGGCTGGGCCGGGCTCCCGCGTTGCGCTGGGGGCCCCTCGGGCGCCTATTTCTACGCGGGTCGCACAGTGCAGGCGCCGGTCGGGGTCCCGGGCCTCAGTTTCCCCCGCGGGCCAGCCCCGCTCTGGGAAGCCCGAGTGGTGCAGCAGGGCTTCTCCCCACCCAGGGCGGAACCGAGGTGACAGGAAGGAGGAGGCACCGCGAGGGGCGGAGACGCGTGCGACCCAGGCAGACTCTGCGCGGATCCCGCGCCAAGGAGGGGCCGTTGCCCAGGAACCGTCCCTCCCTCCCGCGCGTGCTTGCCCTCGTGCGCGCGCCCGCCCAATGCTCCCGACCACTGTTTGCCAGCCGACCCCCACCCCAACCGGCCTGTCCATTTCCCCGGGAGCGGAGAGACCCAACGGGACACGCCGCTCGCTCCCGCCCTCCCGGGAGCGCGAGCGCGCCCTCGGCTGCGTCTGCATAGTAATGAGGGGCGGGGAGGGGCGACGGGGACGCGGTGGCCTCGCGCCCGCGCGTGCCGGGACGCACCGCGGGGGGCGGCGCGATTGTGAGGTGGCGCTGACGCACGTTCCGGGGTTCTTAAGCGGCCAGGGCGGCTACGGCGACTGCGACGGCGGCGGCGGCGGCGATCGCCGCGAGGGGTGGTGGGGCCGAAGTCGGTGCCCCCTGGCTCAGTCACGGTGTCCCTCTCTCACTGACTCCCCCTCCTTCCACCACGGCCGCGCAACCCCAGCGCCGGCGGCTTCCTAGGTGGGGCAGGGGACGAGGAGCGTCTCCTCCCGCTGCCGGCGGCCTGATAAATGAGGGATTTCGGGTTTGGGGTGCTGCAGACCGCCCCGCTCCGAAGTAGCAGTCCTGGGCCCCTGTTCTGCGGCGAGGCGTATGGTCCTTACGCCGTGGGGTCCGTCAACCCGCTGCCCTCCGCCACGCCCTTCGGCCCACTGTCGCCACCACCGTTGCCTGTCACCGGCTTCTTAGAGGCCGCCTCCCCCTTCTCCGTCCCCCTCGGCGGCGGCGCGGGCAGCCCGGCCGCCGCCGCTTCCTCTTCCTCCCCGTTCCTGGCGCATCAGCAGACCATGCAGGATGAGCTGCTTCTGGGGCTGACACAGCAGCCGGCGCGGCCGCTTTCGGGGGCGGCGGCCACGGAGAAACTCCCCGACCACCACCCCGGCGGCGGCACGATCGCGGGTGTGACCCACCTCCTCCCCTCCCAGGACTTCAAACCGAGTCTGCACCACCCCTCCTCCTCCTCCGCCTCCTCCTGCTGCTGCTGCCGCACCTCCTCCCCGCAGGACTTCAGTAAGCGGCAGCAGCAGCAGCTGAGCAGCCAGAAGAGGAAAGAGTTCAGCCCTCCCCACCTTCCCCACCCTCCGGACTCGAAGCCGCCGCCGCCGCCTCCGCCGCTCCACTGCCCCGGTCGGTTCAGCCCGCCGCCGCCGCCAGCCGGCCCGCTCCTCCAGCCGGCGCAGCTCGCTCAGCGCCAGCAGCAACAGCCGCCGCAGCAGTTCAGCCTCCTGCATCAGCAGCACCTCTCGCCGCAGGACTTCGCCCCGCGGCAGCGTCCGGCAGACCTGCCCCCGCTCCCGCAGCTCCCTCCCTCGCCGCCTGCAGCCCCGCGGCGCCGCCACGGAGGCGCGGGCAGCCCTCGCAAGACCCCAGCCGCGGGCGAGGGCAGCGCCGCCGAGTCCCCCAATGCGGGCTTGGCCTCCTCGACGCCGGTGAACCCCGCGCCGGGCTCCATGGAGTCCCCCAACCACCCTCTGCTCAACAGTCCCAGTAACCTCCTGCCCGGAGGTGCGCTTGGCGCGGGCGCCTTCAGCAGCCTGCAGAGCCCGGACCTTCCACACCCGGGCGGCGGCGGCGGCGGCGGGGGCGGGGGGCCCCCAGGAGGCGGAGGGGGAGGCGGCTCCGCGTCGCCGCCGCCGCTGCCCGGCTTCGGCACCCCCTGGTCGGTGCAGACCGCGTCGCCGCCACCCCAGCCCCAGCAGCCGCCGCCGACCCAGCCGCAGCAGCAGCCGCCGCCACCCCAGCAGCCGCCCCAGCCGCAGCCGCAGCCGCCCGGCTCGTCTGCCACCACCCCGGGCGGCGGCAGCGGCGGCTCGCTCAGCGCCATGCCGCCGCCCAGCCCCGACTCAGAGAACGGCTTCTACCCCGGGCTGCCGTCGTCCATGAACCCGGCCTTCTTCCCTAGCTTCTCGCCCGTGTCGCCGCACGGCTGCACTGGGCTCAGCGTTCCGACGAGCGGCGGCGGCGGCGGCGGCTTCGGCGGCCCCTTCTCGGCTACCGCTGTGCCCCCTCCGCCGCCGCCCGCCATGAATATACCTCAACAGCAGCCCCCGCCGCCCGCGGCGCCGCAGCAGCCGCAGAGCCGGAGGTCGCCCGTCAGCCCGCAGCTCCAGCAGCAGCACCAGGCGGCGGCCGCCGCCTTCCTGCAGCAGAGGAACTCCTATAACCACCACCAGGTACGGCGGGCGGCGGCCTGGCCGCGCCGCGGGACCGGGAGACCATGGGCGGGGGACGGAGGCGGGGGCAGGGCAGCCGGGGACCCGACCTTAGCCCCGAGAGAAGCCGCGACGGGGGCCACTCGCCCAAGTGAGAGTGGAACTGAGGGCGGACAACCGTGACAGGACTCGGAACCCCAGCCCCCGGTGGGTTGGGAGGGCAGTGGCCACCGTGGGCTGTGGGGGCGTGGGAGACGAGTTCGCGCTGGGAGCCGCGGCTGGCCGGGCGCCCCCTCGAACGTCCCGGCGCAGCAGTGGGGACTGGGGCAGGGGCCGAATAGCGCCGGGGCCGCGGGCGGCCGGGCGCGGCGTCTCAACCCGGCCCTCCTAGCTGGCGCACCCCGGGATCCGCCCTGTGCCCTGGGCCTGGAGGGCCGCCGCCCCGGACCCCCGACGCGGGGAGGCGCGGCGAGGACCGGGGGCTGGCCGGGGGCCTCGGAAGAGCGGCCGTGGGAAGTGAACTTGGGCAGGGGAAAAATGATTGCTGGAGAAGGTGCGTGCGGAGGAGCCCAAGACTCTGTCTCGCTGTCCAATGAGGGAAGGCGGAAAGGCTTTTTTTTTTCTTTGGAGTTTGTTTATTCTTATTTGGCCGGCGGTGATCTCGCCTTGAAGCCTCAGCCCCTCGGGCGGTCAGTCGAGCCGCTCCCAAAGCTCCGCCCGATCAACCTGCTGGCAGCGCCGCACCCTGGGCCGCCGGCCCAGGAGGGAGTCGGGAGGGAGCGGCCGACCGCCCTCCTCGCAGGACCTGGTTCCCGCGGGGCCGCCTCCTTGGCTGTCACAGGACTGGGAAAGAGAAACTGTTAGTGACCGCTCGGGTTCAAACCGAGATATCCCACGAATGTCTTAGTTTCTGTGCTTTTCAATGTTGGGGTCATGTTTTGTGGGTTTTAAGACAAAACTGAACTTGGATCTGGGATTGGTGTGTTTCCTCGTAGACTTTCGGTACATTTTTTGGTTGCCTTAACCTTCTACAAGGGAATATGTGGGCCGTGTGTATTTTAAGTAGGTAATATTGTGAAATGACACTGGGCAGAATTTTTATTTTCCGGATCTTTTTTGATTCAAGATCTTTTTTGTTATTCCCTCAATACAATTTTTGGGTGACCGCTAGATTGGTAAATTGGCATTGAAAGAGTGTCTTGTTGGTTTTGAATCTTGTTAGCATTTGTTGCAGAGTTCATTCTGTTTAAGTCCATTTTCTATTTTCGTGATTAAGGATTGACAGAGACGCAAAATATGACCTTAACCCCATAACTTTTTCAGTTGACCAAAGTTTTCAAGGATTAGTCTTTTTAAAGTGAATATTATCTAAATTAACCCAAGTGAAAGTTAACAGTTTATCTAAGTTAACCAAAGTGACAGTGAACAGTTTTTGTTGAATCACTGATTTCTTTCTTAGAAAAGAGAATGTGGCCTATGAGGATTGAAAATAGGGATTTTGAAATAATGTTCCACTTTTTCATGATTTTTATAACCCTCAGCAACTGTCTTTTGTGTCTCAGGATCTTCATTTTGTTATCTGGAAACTTGCCCACAGAAAATTATCTGTAGGTAATTTTGTATTTACTTAAAGTTGTGGTACAGAGCGTTGGAAGAACATATACCATGATCCATATTTAACTGTAATTTGCTTTTGGACAAAAGATGGGTCTAGCCATGGAGTGTGAGAGGTCACACAGCTTTCATATGGAATTTTAGATCACTGGAAGATAACTTTGAGCATTAAATCATTTAATAAGGAGAGTAAGGCCCTCAAGAATGAAGTGGTTTGTCCATGGCTCTGTAATTATGCTTTGGACCTCTGTGGAAGAGGAAAGAGTAATAATATACTCATGATTATGTTAGCATTTAAAAGTGTTTAAAAATTGGTGCTGTAGATCAGGAGTTTCTCTTTTAATTGTCTTACAAAAAGCAGGTTCAATTTTAAGAGAACCATATTTATTTGTAGTAACTGTATGGTTCATACTTCTTTAGCTACATCTTAACACCAAAGTATTAAAGTATAAACTTACTGACAGTAGAATTACCAGCAATGAATACTTCTTAAAAAAAAAAAAAACCCAAAACTACAATTATTAGCGTTTTGATGGATTTACCATTCTTTGATGATTTGACTTGTCTTGCCACAGGTTTGAGATTAGGATGTAATTTACTTTTGAAAATGAATCAACTTGATGGAGACTTGTATCAAGATCTCTAGTGGAATAATCAAAGCATATAGTTAATTAGCAGTATACCTCAGTGGATCCACCTATGGGCAACATCAGATAATTGCTTCACAGTTTATGGATAATTAAGTGAAATAAAAACAATTAAGACAAACTATGCTAAAACTGGAATAAAATGCCTTAACAGTTAAATAAACAATGCAGAAAAATGACATAGTTTCTATACTGTCCTTATTTCAAAAGGCGATTTTAATTTGTACAAGAGTAATTCCCACTTTTGTAGTAGTGCAACTTGTTTTGGAAACATAAAGTCTATATATTTCACTTGTATGAGTAGGATATTTTAATTAACAAAGACCATATTTTTAGTTGTGTGCCTAGCATAATTAATATGGTTGCTTTAAGATCACCATGTATGTTATATCTTTAAGAATCTTCAGAGTTAATTTCAATTTTTTTCTTCATATTTATCATGTATACAGTTATCTCTGAAGGATAAAAAGGAACTGCATGGTTCTATTTTAGTAACTGTCATAAAATATCATGATATTTATAGTATACAAGAAGATGAAAACTTGACCAGCATCAAATATGATTTCACATAGAAAGATCTCAAGACTGTTACTTTTATAACCTAGAAAAGATGTATTCTTTTGCCTTTATATATTTCATTCATATAAATTCTTAGGTCTGAAATTTGAATTTGAATTTGAATTGTAAATTCTTTAAATGCCGCAATTTAAATAGCTATGTTTTCCCTAGCCTCTTCTGAAACAGTCTCCCTGGAGCAACCATCAGAGCAGTGGCTGGGGCACTGGAAGTATGTCCTGGGGAGCAATGCATGGCAGAGATCATCGTAGAACCGGAAACATGGGAATCCCAGGAACTATGAATCAGATATCTCCATTGAAGAAACCGTTTTCTGGTAATGTCATAGCACCACCGAAATTTACTCGCTCAACTCCATCACTGACTCCAAAATCTTGGATTGAAGATAATGTGTTCAGAACAGACAACAATAGTAATACACTCTTACCCTTACAGGTAAGAATGGTATGTAAATGACCTTATCTCTAATGTTAATCTTTCAAAATAGGGAGTTGGGTGGTGGTGGTAGTGGTATGCTAAAATTAACATTTTTTGAAATAAAGTTTTAATTTTTAAGCATGTAATTTAATTAACAAAGGTTAAAATATCTATACAGAGAAAATTGAGAATGTAAAATAATTCTCTAAACACGCAATGGAAAATAAGCTTAGTAAAACGTAGAAAAACCTTTTGTATTTATTAAATACATACTGAAGCTTTCAATTAGCAGCTCTTTAAGAATGCTTTAATTTATAAATTCTAATGGGCCACCAAAATTTGTTTCTCCTTTAATATAGCTAAGCTAATATGTTCTGTAATTGTAACTGTTCTTAGAATTGACTATAATTGGCTGTATATATATTAGAATATACTTAGTACAGCTGTGATTGTGGCAAAATAATATTAGGGCTTTTTTGCATCTAATTTAAATTTATCTTCACTAATTCACCGATTATTTTTTCTAAATGTGGCCTAATACGTTGATTAGACTTTTTTTTTCTTTCAGTATTTTTATTATTTTCTTGAAGTTCCCTTATGGCTATTGCAAGTGAGGTTTTTGTTTTGTTTTGTTTTTTTCTTAAACCTTTAGAGGATGGAATGAGGATTTAAGATAGAGCTTTATTTTTTGTTTTCTTTCTTTCTTTCGTTGGGTGGGTATGGGGAAGACAACTGCTCATTTCTGATGAAAACTTCTATGCTATTGAAGGTGAGATCTAGTTTGCAGTTGCCAGCTTGGGGCTCAGATTCACTCCAAGATAGTTGGTGCACTGCAGCCGGAACATCCAGAATAGACCAGGTAGGCTGCACAGTGTATACTTTTTAGGATTTCGGTTAGGAGTTTAGTATTTATATTATGAGTAGGATTTATTATTTACTTTCTTATTATACCTATTGAAACATATGTTAGAGGACACTGAAGCAATTTATTTTTTAAGGATCACCTGCTTTGAACTATTTAATGTAAGAAATTTTTTATTTTCAAATTTAAGAGTAATCCTTTTATAATTCTAAAACATAATAAACTTTTTTTGGAAAAAGGAATTATATACACAAGAGCACCTGACTTTAAACATCAGTCAAACTAAGCAGATTGTATCTCTTTTCAGAATTAAATGCAATTAGGTACAAAATCATATGTTTACTTAACATCTAGCTTTATATTTGATGTTTCATAGAACTTTTCAGTAAATTTTTGTCATGAAGTCTGTATTTGTTTTGAGATATATTTCTAAAAAAGACTTCTCTTGGTTCAGTTTTTTCACCTTTATTAAAAAATATATAGCCTAGTATTCTAAATTTTGTTACTGCTTTTATACCCTGACTTATTCCAAATAATCAGTTTCCTATGGAGAAACCGTTAGTCAAAAAGCTGGGAGTTAGCCTTAATCAAATTACATTTACACCTTTGGTGGTTACAAAATGCTATCTTTCTTCCTGCAAACTGAATTTGAATGTATACTAGGTACCAGGTGGTGAGGATTATTATAGGTTATAGAAAACTCAGTCCTTATATATGCAGGTTCTTTCTTACAGAGCTCAAGTTTGAATGAGCATAGACTTAACGTTGTGTGTGTTATATGAATGGAGCTATGTTATTCTAAGTCTCTTCCTTGGTTAATTTATCAACATGAGATGATTTTACAAGTAAGGACATAAACAGATTAATAATACGTTTGTAAGTAACATTCTAATCTAGAAGGTTAGCATTAATTTTGATAATCAACCACTAACAATTGTTTTAGCCAAGTCCTGCCTGTTTTCCAAAGTAGTCCTGCCAGGGTCTTCACCTAGAAATGGTAGTTACTTCATGCAATTTGCAACGTATTGTCTTGTTAATATAAGTTAGCTATTTACCTCTACTCTCTTCTCTAGTCTGGTCCAGTTAAGCCTTATTAGTGACGTTTTTATGGTAGCATTTTTGTATTTAAATTCAATACATGAATGCCTAGGAGATGGTATGTTTAGGAGAAGAAAATTAATGTAATTATTTTGAAGGTGGCAAGAGAAATGTTTTCAAATAGAAGAGGACATAATTACTCTGTGCAGAAAGAAGCAATAGGATGGATACATATATAGGATACATATATAGGAGAAATAAGTATCCATGGAAAAGAATACAAATTAGCTGGCATACATGGTCCATGAGGCAGGGACAGATGTTGAGAAATCAGATTATTGAGTTGATTTCAGTTGGAGGGATGCTAGAGAGGAGATAGGGGTGATAATGAAAGGGAAGCTTTCACACCAGCCTCCGGGGCTGCCCTCCCACTTAGACTTCAATCAAAGCTATTCTGCTTTTACCTGTATTATAACCTAAGATTTTAGGGAAATTTATTTTAGGAAAAATGATTTTGGTGCTTAAAGATAAACTTATCTGGTAAACTGCTGAGATATTGGCATTCCCTTTGGACTTTTGAGCCAGAGGTGTGATGTGATGAAGTAAAACACAGTGGTGGGGGAAAAAAGAGATAATGGAAAGTGAATGGAACTGGAAGGAAAGAAGGCCTGAAACTTGGATCTTCTTCCTCTTCCTCATAATCTTTATGACATTGAATGACATAGTTTATAGGTTTTCATCTCTTTGGGTCACAGTTTCCTTATCTGTAAAAGGGGGACCTTGAACTGGGTCATTTAAGGCCTTTCCAGCCAGCTTTTAACACTTTCTCTGATCTGTTTTGGCCATTTCTTTTCCTCCATGCTGCCCCACCCCCCTTGCCTCTATTTTTAGAATACAAGCCTCTTGGTTTCTTTGAGCAAAGGGTCTTAGGCATTAGTCTAAGGCAGTGGAGGTAGTATGTGACCTTTCAACTGGACTTAAAAGCAGTGTCATTGTCTCCTCTAAGTACCCTAAGAGTACTTACACATAGTTTGTTGTGTGTTTCCATCTTTCCATAAAAGGTTGAAGTATTTGAAGTTGAGCCTCTTAAAAATACAGCAGCAGCTACAAAATGAAATTGATATCTTAAAATGTTGGGTAGTTTCTCATTCTTTGGCAAAATTAAAATTATAGAAGATTCTTAGTCACTTAAATGTCTGAGGAGATTATCTGCATTTCTGACCTTTTATCATCATATACAGTGTAATTCTAGTATATTTTTGTTAACAAGTACATTATTTTACAACATTTTACTTTTTATTTCCTTTAGTCTCAAACTGATTGGGGCCTAGAATATAATACAAAATTCTAGAACTGAAGTCTTAATTCTTATACTTGGATACCGCGGGCTTTACCTGTGTCAAGAGCTGAACACGTAATCGAATTCAATAAATAAGAAAGAGCTAGTTTTGTAGGTTGATTTTTATTTCTGTTAATATGTAAAATTTTGTGGGTTGGAATTTTATTTTAAATAAGATTTTTTAAAAATAGAAAACCCTCAAATTTAAAACTTTCTAAAAGCAAATATAAATTATTATAAACATTTCTGACTTTAAAATGAGTATTACATACATATCTCTATGAATTTCTTTTCTTTTTTTTTTTTTTTTTTTGAGACAGTTTCACTCTGTCACTCAGGCTGAAGTGCAGTGGCACGATCTCGTCTCACTGCAACCTCTGCCTCCCGGGTTCAAGCGATTCTCATGCCTCAGCCTCCCCAGTAGCTGTGATTACATGCATGCACCACCATACCCGCCTAATTTTTATATTATTAGCAGAGACAGGGTTTCACCATGTTGGCCAGGCTGGTCTCAAACTCCTGATCTCATGTAATCCGCCCGCCTCGGCCTCCAGAGTGCTGGGATTACAGGCTTGAGCCATCATGCCTGGCCAGTATATCTACATGAATTTGCTTAGGGTTATTAATTACTGTACTTTAAAATGTCATTAGCTAGTTACCCTTGCGAGAATCGTACTCAAAAGTTTGAATTCTAAATTATATTACAATGGAATTTGCAGCCAGATCCAGCAATGTGCACTACTTGGAAGGCTGAGGCAGGAGGATTGAATGCCTGAGCCCCAGAGTTGAGTCCAGCCTCGGCAACATAACAAGACACCACCCCCTCTTCCCAAAAAAATAGGAGTTTTCAGTTTAATGTTAAGGTTACGCTATATTTATTCATATGTTTTAAATCAAAGAGTAAATATCCTTTAAGTGAGGTTATTATTACTTACAAGTTTACATATGACATATCAGCTCACTGTAAACAAAGTAATGTCTTGGAACAGTAATTGAGTGTGTGAAGCATGTACGTGCATGTCCGCCTGCCTTCCACCTGGGGAATTATCAATATATCAACTCTCAATTTTTGCTCTTCCACAAGCTCTACTTGCAGTGCTTGAGCATGTCACATAATAAACTACCTTGAATTAATTGAAGATACTTTCCATTAATCTTTAATAGGCTGTTATGATAATGTGGTAAATCATAATTTGGAGATCTGTCTCAGAAAAAATATTATTTGAATCTTTACTCACCTTACACACAAAAAAACAGTATATAGTTGCATACCAAACCCAATTTGTTTATCTGATAA
Source organism: Homo sapiens (assembly GCF_000001405.40). NCBI lineage: Eukaryota > Metazoa > Chordata > Mammalia > Primates > Hominidae > Homo > Homo sapiens. The sequence goes on from NC_000004.12 coordinate 15,012,105, forward strand.
AGCATTTCTTAAATAGTGGTTTGTAAACCAGATGAACTTCAGGGACATTCATAGTCATCAAACTGTTACATGCCCACTGAAAATGGAAAAGAATGGACTCTTGTATTACAGCTTAAGTAATGGATGCCTTCTTTTTGTTTCCTATTCTGTGTTCAGTGCTTTAATTGTTCTTGAAATGTTTTCCACTTGTCTATTTTAATTCTTGTGAGTACTAGAATAGCTTTGGCCTTTTAAAACATTTGTTTATTTTTTTTCTGAGAATGGCTAACACACTTTATTGAGGTTCGAAATTAATAAAGAAAATAAAAGAAATGTATCTTCATTCATTCTGTATGTTAGTGTTTTAATTACCCTTAGAATATATGGATAAAAAATACTATTCTTTGTCTTGGAGAAGGTAAGAGTCTAGTTAGATGAATAAGGGTTATCTATGTAGAACAACTAGAGAATGAGAAGAGAGCTTATGAGATTGAGTACTACGTTATGCAGTAGAGTAGCACGTCATCTGCTACTGAGTATGGTGTGATAACATTGTGTAACAGGAAAGTATGATCAATATCTACTTAAAATTAAGGACAATATTAGCACTACATTGCTTTATTTTAAAGTAAAAATTAGAGAACTAAACACAAGCATTGTAAGTACAATAAAAGCTGATCTTTCTAGTTAAGCAGAATAATACATGTTCAAGCATCTGCTAAATCATTAAATATAAGAATATAGGGGTTTTCTATAATCTTATTTTTCTTTGGAAGAGTACCTCATTTTCAAGAGGAGAAGTTTCTAATTGACCACTTCTTTAAAAATAAAACAGGGTTTTTAATGTATCCCAGCAAAAAAAATTAATATCTCTTCAAAAAGTTCTCTTGTGATTAAGTTTGAATTCCCTTTGTCATACTGCTTCTAATATTGTACACTGACCTCCTTAGTTATTTTTCAGTGTTTATAATCTTTTCTTAGGTTATCTTTTTTCAAGATTTGGATTACTTTGTTCTTTTCTGTGTTTTTCAGCCTTTCTAAGCTTTTATTGATACTCCTGTAAGTGTTTGTGGCAAATGTCTGGGTTTAAGAAAAACCATGAAATAAATATTATAATAAAAGAGGTTATGCCTTTTCCAACAATGTTTTCTAATCATTTTATTCTGTTAGTTATTGTGAGATTCTGTAATCTGTTTCTGAAAGCCCATTTAGTTGATTGTTTGCCAGATAGTTTTTATATTTTAGAATAGATTGCATGCACACTTTTCCTCATAGAGTCTTATATTTCTGAAGTATTTTGGTGCTTTCAAATAACCTTATAGTAATAAATGTAAATTACATTGCTATGATTTTCCATATTTATTAATGATAATTAGTATTGTTGCGTTCATGGTAACTTGAAAATTGCCTTAGTTCTTCTATTTAGTTTTCAAACTGATGGCAGTTTGCATGAACACAATTTTTCCTAATGTCTGTATTTCAGAAGAATGCATGAGTGTTTGTTTTATAACCAGATTTGTTTCTGTTTTTTCAGAAGTCATATTTTAATTCCTGCAATTTATTTAATGGAATTATCAATATCTTTTGCATGTAAGCCTATAGGTTTCATTAAATTCAAAAAGCAATTTTGAGATGTCATGTGCTCTTTGGTTGCTCAAGGCTGTTTTATGTTTGTTGCTTTAAAAATCACATGGGATGCAGCTGATGCTTTACAAAGTACAACCAAGCTAATCATTTTAAAATAGCTTTGCTGTTTTCTTTCCTAGAGTAGGAGTTTAGGATCAAATACTTAACAGAAAAAGGAAAATAAGAGACCTTATAAGTAGGCATCTCACTGATTCAGTTAGATACAGACATTCAAGCTGAAGTTATTAATACATGCAGCCTTTTTGAATAACACCTCTCAAAATTGATTATATAGTGGTCACTGATATTTATAGTTAGTTTAAGGATGTTTCTCTTTCATACTTTAAATATTGTCCATGACCCGAGCAATAATTTTACCATGCTATAGAGCAAGATCACACCTCTTGCAATGAAGGTAGAGGGTACTTTCCCCTACACCTCCAGAAAAAGGAAGTTACTTGGGAAATATTGTTTGGGTGATTTAATAGTTACCATTAATTAAGGTCATCGGTTGACTGGGCATAGGTTGATTCTGTTCAAAGTTAACAACCTAAAAAGATAACCATGAACTGTAATATATTTCCTTTGTGAGGATTTAGGGTAAGGAAGATAATAAAGTATTTTAAAGTATTTACAGTATACTCTTAGAACCTTCATGATATGGCACACCTGCAGAGGGATTTTTTGCTTAATTATATGAACATTAACTTTTATCATTACAGCTTACATTTTATAATTCTATTTTAAATACATCTGGGAACTTTCAGTATTGTGGTACTTAATCTTCCATTGGGTGGTTGGAAATTCAGGTTCATAGCAAGCCACGTTAATCTGATGCTTGTCTCAGTTTAGTCAATTAACATTTGACTACCTGTTCCGTTGAGGATTCTGAGAAAGTTTTATAGTCCTTTACCATTACTATTTAAAAAGTACAGTCTTTCTCCTTACAGAACTCGACTTTTTTTTTACATTTTTTATTGAGTTTTTATGGTAGAGATAAAGAAGTATTCATTCAACAGACATGAGAACTAACTATATTCTGTAATTAGATAGTCCCTATTCTTAATCAACTTAGAAGTTTAGTGGGACAGACAGGAAAATCAACAAATTAGTTATGAACACAGTATAGTGGAAGCACAGGGAAGATGGAAATATCTGGATAGATTCCTAAAATTAATATGTCATTTTTGCCCATATGGGCCATCCTATTCTCTGTTTCAGTTTTATTAATATTTCATTTATTTTAGAGTATTTTGAGTCTTTTTCTTTTCTAGAATTTTTAAAGAGACTATAGGCATCATCTAGTCTGACATGATTATTTTCTAGGAGTTAGAACCAGAGCCTAGAGAGATTTAGTGACTTCAGACGAAGAAACTAATTGCTTCTTATAAAGTGTGATATCCAGACCAGCAGAATCAGTATCACCTGGGAACTTGTTAGAAATACATACTCTCAGGTTCCACTCCAGACCTACTGAATTTGATGTGTTTCAGCAGTCTGTGTGTTTAACCAGCCTTCCAGATGATTCTGAAGCATGTTCAAGTTTAGGAACCACTGTTACAGCTCATTGATTCTTTGTGCCTCCATCACTAATCAAGGTCACTGTTCTAGAGAGCAGCTGTTATTGATGCATGTGTTTTACCTCAGGGGCCTTTCAGTAAAAATCAGTAAAGAGTACTGATAGAGTTAATTGGTGATAAAGCTGGAATAAGAGCCTCCAGTCTAGCATTCCTTCCGTCATTCAGTGTTACTTTTTACCTTTTTAAATCCCTGACAGCAACTTAGTCTACAGTACTGATTCTGAACCCCTAGCTTTAAAAAGGCTACAACCCTAATTTAAACATCAAAGTAAAGTAAATAAATGAACATATTCTTAGAAAAGCTTTTTAGGTTTTTCTTCAGCTTTCTAAAGAACTGATTCTGAATCTTCTCTGGATTGTGGACTCCTGTGGAAAACTGATGAAAGCTATAAACCTTTTCTTCGGGAAAAAAAGAAATTATGTACACACTAGTCCCCCCTTATCCATGAGTGATACGTTCCAAGACAATCAGTGGATGGCTGAAACTGCAAATAGTGCCTTCATATGCTGTTTTTTTCCAATGAAGACATATGATAAGGTTTAATTCATAAATTAGGCACAGTAAGTGATTAACAACAATAATAGTAAAGTAGGACAATTATAACAATGTAATAAAAATTATGTAAATGTGGCATCTCTGTCTCTCAGAATATCTTATTGTATTGTCCTACAGATAACTGAAATCGTGGAAGGCAAAATGCAGAAAGGGGGGACTACTGTACACCTATGAACAGTATATTACATATAATCTCAGAGACTTCTGGTCTCTCTTGAAGCTAATGGACCCAGGTTAATAAGTGCCTTATTTTGATTTCTATGGGGGCTTTTATTTCCACTTAATTTTCAGATTCTTCCTTTCCATTTTCTGTGACAGTCATTTTTTGAGAGTTTAGAATGGACTATCCTGTATCCCCCACGTATACATAAGCTTACACATGCGTGTATACACATATGTAACTGGGTGGGTGAGTATTTTGGGAAGACTCCTAGATTATTTGGAGGGCATGGGCCAGAGCTTCCTCTAGTAGTTCACCACATACCTTTTTTCAGGTACACTGAGTATGTATTGAACAGAATACAGTAGAAATTTATGGACATTAAAGAGTCAGATTCTTTCAAATAAGCAAGTGAAGGGATTGAACATTCAGCAAAGAAGATTCTGATAACAAGACTTTGGAGACTTGGTGAAGTAGCAGACTTAATGAGATTACTGTGCTTTTACTCTTCTCTCCTCCACCTGCCTATTTTGCAGGGGAGTTGGGGGAGGCCGGCTTAAAAATGCAGAGACAAATATGGAAGCACTTTAGAGAGTAATATATGAATCTGAATATTCTAGGCATTAGTCCCTGTTCTGGTTATTAGTATCTTATGCTTTTGATTTTTACCGTATAAGATGTTTATGCACTCATTATTAAATTCAGACTACTATGTCAGATAACAAAATGTTTGATAGATGTTTAAAGTATGGTGCAATTATGGAACTAAAATATTTCCTCCCAAATATTTATTTTCTATGTGCCACTATCTGTCTTCCTAAATATGTGAGAAAAGTTTTGAAATTAACCAAAAAATGCTTTCTGTGTGTATAAGATTTCAGGAAACTTTATAGAGAAAAGTAACTATAGAAATTATTTTACTGTTTTGCATTAGTATTGCCAGTAAAATTAGATTACTTTTGATAAAAGCTTTAAGAGATAAATATACTGAAAATAATGTCCTCCAATGCAAGGAACATTGTAGTTCATGAGATCTTTAGTTATTGGTATTTTTGTGGGATACAGATTAATTAGTAATAATCAGAAGTCCTATTTTATGTAAGAGAATTTAGATAGTGTTTTATAATCGCTTTTTGAAAAAACTGCATAGATTATAATGTCTTTTTTCCTCTTCTCTTCCAGGATCGAAGTAGAATGTATGACAGTTTGAATATGCACTCTTTGGAAAATTCCCTTATCGATATTATGAGAGCAGAGCATGATCCTCTTAAGGGTAGGTGACTTTTTAAAAAAATATATGTTTATATTATACACCAATTTGCTTATCTTACTAGTTTTTATATGAAAGTGAAACCTAAGTAGCACCTATATCCAATATAAAACTCTCTTACACATTTATTAATGAGAATCTTTGTTTTTATGAAATGCCATATTTTTCCTTTGTTGCTTAATGTGAACTCACCTCCCTTGACTTACAATTTAAGGAAAATTTACTATTTAGAGACATGCTTCAGTTCACCAGAGAATGAAGGATGGATCTAAAAGTATACACTAGTCACTTTTCTAGAATTCTTTCAAGTACAAAAATACTAAAAATATTTCTTGGAATACTTGTATTCACAATTTGCAGTGATTCCAGCCTAGAATTATCCCTAGTTAACCTCCTTTCTCTATTTTTCTTCTACTGTCATAGGGTTTTGAAAGGGGGGGGAGTATTTTATAGTAGCTTCTCTGAGGTGAAAAATAGCTTTTCATAGAAGTTGAGACAAATTAGGGAAAAGAACCGGCCCACTTACCCTATAGTAGCAGTCTTCACTAATTGTTTGTAGTATTTGAAGAAATTTCATTAGCATACTTGTTTTTGTCTGTACATATTCTGTGTATAAAATGAAAAAAAGCAATTATTATATATTTTTATACAATATATCACATTGTCATTTATATCAGTGGTGAAAATCTACCAAATTGTCTATTTGAGTCATGACAGTTACTATTTATCTATTGCTACATAATAAATTATCTCAAAACTTAGCAGCTTAAAAACAGCAATAAATATTTATTACCTTAAACAGTTTCTGTGAGTCAGAAATTCAGGAGCAGCTTAACTATTTTATTCTGGCTCAAAATCTCTCATTGAATCAAAATCATGGATTACTTTGTAAATTTTCGCCATTTTTAATTCTATAAAGCCAAGTTAGAATTCTCTTTCAAGATTTGGCCTAAAAACTATAAACTTCCTTATTGGCAGGGAGGTGGTGATGTGGGGCTAAGTTGATAATACTGACCACATATCTAACTATTTTTTTCTGTTTATGGATTTTTCTTGTAAAAAGAATTCCTTGTCTTTTTAATTCCTTAATTTTAAGGAGCTTGAGAAGCTGAGGGGATATTAGTGATTGTTGATTATGTGTGCTAATAGTAATTCCTCATACAAACTTATAGTTGTATGTCAGGTTTTTGGGGATGTTTGTTTGAGTTTCTTTTTTTTTTTTCCTTTTAACCAAAGTTCAGCTTAGTTTTTTGAGTATCTTTGTATAGGGTCTTGGTCTTTTTCACTGTTATGCTGGCAGTTTCAGTGGTTTGTCTTAGATCCACCATTTAGAATAGAAGCCAGCAGCTTATGATTAAGAAGTTTCCTGTTTATCTCCTTGGCTTCTCAAGAAAGAAAACTCTTAGAAACTCCAATACAAGATAAAGTCAAGATTATTAACTGTTACCAGTGGATAATAAAAGTTTTTCATTGTTGTTTCTCCCAGTCTTTTTTTTTTTTTCAAAAGGCTTTTTAAACATGTTAGACAAAATGTTCATTGTGGCACTGTTAATTATCTCAGTTTTTCTTTTTGCTAGCCTGGGTTATAGTAAAAGTGAAGGGAAACGTAAAAAGAGGACATTGAAAAGGAAATGGAAGCATTATAAGGCTAAGGGGAATTTTATATATATATATATATATATATATATATATATACACACGCACACACACACGCATATATAGATATATATGTTTTTTAATCTCAAGTGAATTCAAAATTTTTAAGTTAGGAAAATTATCTTTGGCTGTGAGAAGGGAAAAAACATGCTCACTAACCACCTTTAGGAATCATTATGGTGACAAGTCTTCATATTTACACAAAACGTGGAATATTTTATCTTCCACGTGTTTTATGACGGAATTTTTAAGTAGAGAAAAAAGAAAAAAATCGAGAAACTTTCTCTGCATAAAATAAAAAAATAAGACTGATATTTCTACAAAGCACCATCATATCCCTATTTAAAATTATCTTGGTACTAAGTGCTGCCACTTTAAGTCTTTTTTTTTTCCTTTCTTTTCTTATTAATACAAATTCCACTGCCTTCTGGGATATTATGTTGTATATTTTCTTTCTCTCCGTACTCTGATTATTGTACTTTTTTCTTTGGGCTAGACCTCAGTAGAATCTTCTAAATCAAGGTGGTAGCAAATGGAATAAACCATCCAGGGTTTAACACCTGAATTTGCTTTCCTTCTTTCCATTACTGTTCTTGAGGGCAGTATTTCGCCCTCTGTCTCATCTCTTGTCTCTTACCTTCTCAACCCTTGTAGGAAATCCTGTCCTCTGTTTAATTAAAAAAAAATGATTTTCCCCTAGAAAACAAAATGAATATTATTTTATCCTTTTTAAATGCTGTTTTACAAACCAGCCATTTGTTTTGTTTTTGTTATGGGATCTGATGAAAAAGGAGAAGGGAGTTGGAGGGTAAACTTTTAAAATGAATTATTTCTCTTTATATTAATGCTGAAAATATCTAGGAAAATGAACTTGAGTGAGGAGAGATATTAGTTATCTCTCTATAATTATCCCAAAATTTAGCAGATCAAAAAAACAGTATACATTATCTCAAACAATTTCTGTGGGTTTAAATTTGGGAGCAGTTTAGCTGGTTACTTCTGGCTAAGGATATCTCATGAAGTAGCAGTCAACATACTGGCTGAGGCTGCAGTCATTTGAAGGCTTAACTGGAACTGGAGGATCTTTTTCTAAGATGGTACACTCACATGGCTGGATGTTGGCAGAAGAACTTGGTTTGTTGCCTCATGGACCTCTCTACAGGGCTGTAAAATTTTTCTTACAACATGGTTGCTTATATCCCCCAAAGTGAGTGATAAAAGCTCAAAACAAATGCCCCAATGTCTTCTATGTCCTAGCCTTAGAAGTCTCATACCATCATTTCCACAACATTCTGTTAACTGCATAGATCAGCTCTGCTCAATTTAGGCCAAGTCTGCTATTCAAGAGATGTGAATACTAGAGGCTGGCTACCACAGAGGTAAAAGGCAGAGTGGTAAATTTGTATTCAATTCGACCCACAGTTAAAGGAAAAGAAAAATTAGTCAAGGTGAGACTGTCAATTGGAAGAAAGCAGTCAAGCAGATAGATCTCTAGAATGCTAAGTGGCAGGTTCCTGACCTAACTGAGGACTGGTGATTGTGCTAACAGAAGCACCTTCCCTCTTATCCTTGTTTATGCCCAAAACACTTCACTGCAGCTTATTTGCCTTTTCCTACTCCCCAGTGTTTTTTCAGGACAGTAGGGAACCTCCATTGTTTAATGTTAATATTTTCATGGTCTGGCATAGCAGGTAGGAAGGGTCTAGTCTTGTTGAAGTTGTACAGATGTGAAATGATGGCAACCCAAGATGGAATGCAGAATGTACTTTACTCAATTAAGTGTGTCTGTTTTTGCACAAGTTTCCTAGACACTGCACGTTGTCGGAGACAGACATAGTGTCTGCCCTCATTGTATAGCCTACTGGGGAAAGAGAGATTCCTTATACAAATACAATATACGTATATCTACTGTGTGTTAGAAATACTGTGGAGGAAGATTATGAGGTGTTTAGAGAGATTATAAATGGAAGTACCTAATTTAGATGTGGAGTAAAGGAAGCTGAGACCTGAAGCATGAGCAGCACAATGATGGAAAAATTGGGAGAAAGTGTCAATTAGACAAAGGAACCAGCATGTGCAAAAGCATGGAAGAGATTGTTACATTTGAGGAACTGAAAGGAGGCTAGCCCTGGCATAGCTTGTTTAGGGCTGCCTGATGCCGACTGGGTGTAACAGGGCACAGTTAACACTGTCGAGAGTGTGCTATCTTTTGCTATGGATCGTGAACAGTGACACACTGTTAAATGCTTTCTTTAGTATGAATGGCACTGACCCGTCTGCTTTATTTATTGTGTGGTAGTTTCTCTCCATTAACATCCTATTTTCTGGTGACTATCTTGATTCTTGGCAAATAATTTGCTTTTCAAAGGAAGATCATGGATTCTTTAAATGGTTAAAGTAAATCATGCTTTGCCAAGTACTGTTTTGTAGTTTTTCAGTTTTAGATTTGCATACCTATTTTAAATAATTTGTGATTTTTTAATATATGTGTATATATATTCCCCCTTTAACAAAAGAACAAGACAGTGATTATTGTTAAGCTCTTTTCCTTCCCTGCCCCCAACAATTTGTAAAAAGGCTTACTGTGTGAGTATTTTTGCCAGAAATTGCTTGTATCATTTCCCAAAGTATAGGGACAAACAGAATTACTTAATTGTAGCTCATAAAAGTTGATTTGAAAACTCTAGGAAGAAATGTAGTTTATGTAACGGTTTGGGGGAAGATCTGTGTCAGTAAGTCGTAATGCCTTTACCAGTGTTTCATGAGCAGTTAAAGGGAATTAAGGAAAAAGAATTTAGAATATGATTTTACACCAAGAAATGTCTAGAAGTGGATGCCTTTAAAACTTATTTACTAAGTTTTTGTATATCTAGTGTCATTTTTATTACCTGATTGCTAAACTCCTATTTTTTAAGACTCCTGAAGTAAGAAGCTCTGTTTATTTTAGGGCATATAAGCCCTGAGAAAATAAGGAGTTATTCCTGTAAGGTGCTGACTGATTATGGTAGTACCAAATTGCTTATTTTCTTCCACTTTTCCCTCTCTTTCTCTTCAGCTGACCTTAATATAAGATTACAATACCAAGTCACAAAATAACTTGTATAAATTTCTAAAAGTCTCCATTGTGAGAACTTATATTTAGAATTTAAGAACTGTCGAGCCAGACAGAGGTTCTCAGACACTGAGACTGTGTCAACCATGTGGTTTTCAGGGCCCACCCTAGAAGTGGTGTAGTTCGTGTGGGGTGTAGAACACACCTGGAGAAACTCTGGTATAAGAGAGCAATGGTAAAGAGATCTTTAAAAAGCTGTGAAAGTTTAATGGCATTTATTAAAATAAAGTACAAAATAAAACAAATACCAATAATATACATGCCAAAGCAGGAATGTCATCTGCTCTTACAGGACTCTTCCTTATTTCCCCTGACAGAGAAAAAGGGGTGCATTTCTCAAAACTGAGTTTACTTTTTCTTCAGCCACTGGTGTTTTCCTGAAGTTGAAAGTTTTAAAATTGCCAATAACAAAAAAGAGTATAGAAGAAAATCACATATATTAGATACATATCTATGTATCTAATATATATATGCATTCAGTTTTAAATGAAATGTTTCCATTTATTTCAAAAAGGAGTAAGTAGAATTGACATTCTTTTTCCTTTGTTGATTTTTCGTTTCTTCATTCTATAGACTCCTGGCCTTTGATAGGAAAAAAAATTATTAACTTTTGGAGTAAATTGTATTTATATAGCAGCCATATGTATTTTATTAAACATATTCTGACTTTAAGAGGTGATTACTCTTATAACGTACATGGAATCTTAATACTTGACCCTTCCACTACTAAGAATTGTTCATCTTAGTGAAAGTACAATTTATGAGTTTGACTGGTAATTGAGAATATCTATAGATTGAAAAGGAAATGATAAAAATGTGGTTGTGAAAGTTTTTGTTTTAAAAAAACATTTGAAATATGACATCATGGATGGAGATAAGTTTTGCTTTTATTCCTTTTTACATAGTTGCCTTTATTACAAACTTATTAAAACATACTTGAGTTTTATTTCTTCCAAGCATCTTTGAATATTTAGGTAAATGATTTAAATTATGACAGACTGAAATTTTTTTGTTAAAAACTAAAACCCATCAGAAACTACAATGAATTTTATTAAAATCACATTTATTTATTCAGAACATATATGTGCTTACTGCAATCCTGTTACTCACCACAAAACATCTTTCATATGATTTGAAAAATGTTTATATCACTTGTTTTAAATGGAAAGTAGAACAACAAAAAGAATGTTTCCTATATATAACTTGCAGTGATAAAAGCAAGTAATTGGAATAATTAGGCTTATGCATTTTAACTACTTATAGTATTTGAAGATATATCAAAGAATTTCTTTTGAAGGTTTTTTCTCCAAAATGATAGCATTTTATCCTTTTTAAAGTGTTTGTTTTCCTGTTACAAAAAAAATAGTATTCATTTATTAAAGAAAATGTGGAAACACTAGGAGAAACAAGTTTTAAAATCATCACTTATCTCACAAACTAAAATAATCATAATTGATATTTTGGTGTATAATTTTTCCAGTCTTTTCATTCTCTATTTATAAACTTAAAATATTTGCAGTAATTAAATCTTTGCCTTCCATCCAACCTGGTTAACTTTTTTAAAAAATTAGTTTAAAAATATATTTACATAATTTTGAAAGTCTAGTAGTGCTATAAGTCTTATATAATGAAAAAATAGAAGTCTCCTTCCTCCTCCTTGTCTGTCCACTTCAGATTCCTGCTCCTTACTGGTAGCCACTATGAGCTTTTTTTTTTTGAACTGATTATGTAATTATTTGTAAATAATATGCTTGTGCTCCTATATTTCCTACATTTTAGGTGTTGTATGTTGATATTCTAATATGACTTAATATCCTTCAATATTTCCCCTACTCTGTCCTCCAAAATGATAAGAGCACTTTTGTTTAAGTCAGGGATTGTATTACTGAGATAAGGCAAATAATATTCATAGATGAACCTTGTATGTTTTGTACTGTAATGTAACATTTTCTTTTTCATAAAGCTTTCTTTTTCCTGGAATTAATCATTATCTTTTTTAGTTTATTTGCTTAGTTTTCTAAGTATTTATCATTAATTCATCCCAGTATTTATCCATAGACTGTAAAGCTTCTTTCAATACATACAAACGCATCAAATTATCATCCAGATTGTTTTTTTTCATTATTGCAGTCCTATATAGCAGTCATTTTGGGACTTCCATAATCCTAGGAATTCCTTTTTTTCTGTGGAATCCATGTCCTAATCCCCATGTCCTTTCTTTAATGACTTACACCTTTGTTTTTCTTTGATTTGTTGGACCTGTATTACCTTCCTGCTAATGGGACATACATTTTGAGACACTATATGTATTAAAACATAATGTTTCTACCTATATAATATGATAAGTCACTATGGAATTATATATTAGCAATTTAGAATATTGAAGGTATGATATTTTAACCTCCAGTATTGCTTTAAGTGTGGCATCATTCTGAATCCTGTTCATTTGTATGATTGCCTTGATTTCTTACTTTATTTTTTTGTTGTTTTTCTTTCTGGAAGCTTTTAGGTTATTTTTCATGCCTGTGGTTCTGCAGTTTCATAGTAATGAAATGTGTATCTTGGAATGTGTATGTGCATACGTACCTTCCTTCCTGCCTTCATTTTTTAATTTATTAAGCTGTACCTTCATTGGACCCTTTTAATTCAGAGATTTATATCTTCAGTTCTTGGAATTTTGGGATATTATTTCTTTGATAATTTTTTTTTTTTTTTTTTTGAGATGGGAGTCTTGCACTGTTGTCCAGGCTGGAGTGCAGTGGCGTGATCTTGGCTCACTGCAACCTTTGCCTCCCGGGTTCAAGTGATTCTCCTGCCTCAGCCTCCCAAGTAGCTGGGATTACAGGTGTCCACCACCAGGCCTGGCTAATTTTTGTATTTTCAGTAGAGACGGGGTTTCACTGTGTTTGGCCAAGCTGGTCTCGAACTCCTGACTTTGTGATCTGCCCGCTTCAGCCTTCCAAAGTGCTGGGATTACAGGCATGAGCCACCATGCCTGCCTCCCATTTTTTAATATTACCTCTTTTTGGAATTCCTGTTCCTCAAATGTTAAATGTTGTATAGTCATCATCTGTTTTTCTTTTCTGTTTTCCATTGTTTTGTCTCTTGTTTTGCATTTCAAGAGCTTATGTTTATTTTTCAAATCTTGAGTTTTTTGTTTTAAAAATTTTTGCTAATTTTTAAAACCTCCTTTAAAAAAATTCTCAGAACTTTCAATTACATCTTATTCTTGTTGTTTGATCTTATTTCTCTGGAGGCTATTATAGTGTTTGAAGATTATTTTCCCAGTTCCTTATATTGTCTGTGCTTCTTCAAAGTTCTTTTTTATTTGTTTGTGTTCTCTTTTTTTCTCATGTTGGGGGCTTCATCTTTTACTGTCTATTCATATTTAAAAGTAAGACACAAAAAATGGGGATTGGAAGCTCAATGTATATAGTTGAAATTATCAACTAGTAATGATTGTAATAAGTCAATCAGGTGAGACCCTCACCATGCCTGTGTCTAGGTCTTTTCTTTTGTTCTGGCAAATGAACATGGATGTGGGTCTTCTAGTCTTCTGCTTGTGAGCTGTAGGCCTAGCTGCTAGACTTCTTAGATGAACCCAGGAGGGTTCTTTTAAAAACTAACAAGCAATCTTAAACCTTCTGTTTTTAGTTGTACCCGACTTTTACACACAGTTATAACCAGAGCTTCTGATTTCTGAACCTATCCAGGTGTGTACTACAGTAAATGGAGTGTTACTTGATGGCATTCCCCATGTATACACGGCTTAGGTTTGTGTTTCAGTGATTTCTGGTCTACAAAGTTAGTTACCATTCAACCATTCACATTTACAGTTCCCAGAAATTTGATGACTTAGTTGTTTTATGATCCTGTTCTAGTGTCTTTATCCTAATGGGGTTATGCCTCTTTAAAAATCTTTTTGTTTTCTTTGAGACACCTCTTTCAAATCTTTTTAACTGCCACGTTAGGGATTTCGGAAAGCAACAGAGGTGAACACGTGTATTCAGTCCTTCATGTTCAGTTGGCAGTCTCTAATCTCTAGTCAATTTCTACCTCATCATAAAGACTCTTTGGCACCCCTATCAAGGGTAGATTACTTTTGTGTTAAAGATTTATAGAGAATCAAGTTTCTTTTTAATCAGAGCACTTTTCTTATTTTAGATTCAATTGTTTGTTTTTGTTTTTGTTTTTGTTTTTTGAGATGGAGTCTTGCTCTGTCACCCAGGCTGGAGTGCAGTGGCGTGATCTTGGCTCACTGCAACCTCCACCTCCTGGGTTCAAGCGATTGTCCTGCCTCAGCTTCCCAAGTAACTGGGACTAGAAGCACATGCCACCACACCCGGCTAATTTTTTGTATTTTTAGTAGAGATGGGGTTTCACCATGTTAGCCAGGATGGTCTTGATCTCCTGACCTCATGATCCACCCGCCTGGGTCTCCCAAAATGCTTGGGATTACAGGCCTGAGCCACCATGCCCGAACTATTTTTTTAATATATATCTTTCACATAATCTTTCACATAAGACTGTGTCATGGGAGCAATGGCCACTTGTGTTTTTGCTTTACCTTGAATCAGCATCTATCATGATGTCAAACAAATAGGAGGAGCCCAGTAAATTATTGGTTAAATGATTAAGCATTTTCTCATAATTCATACTCTTCAAAATATTGATTTAGAACTTTAAAGAATTCCTGTATATTGTATCTATACATGTAAAATAGTTTGTATAACCATTCTGGTATAGTTGAACATTTAGGTATTTCAAATTTTTAAATAAAATTGAATTAGCTTTTTCTGTGTTTATTTTCATAGCACAAACTTCATATGCTTGTTTCTGAGGCTGTAAACATAATATTGCCAACCTAGGTTTGCTTTATACCAGTTCCACTGGCAATATTTTGTTGCCCATTTGCTATTCCTACTGGTTATCAGCATTACTTTTGTTTAAAACCCTTTTAACAGTGAAAAGTTTTGCAACCATTAACTCAACTTGACTTTAATATTAGTTGAATATATCTGAATTAGTACCACTCTTATAGGTATATGATAATATATTATCTTACTAAATGATTAATGACTTAAGTTTTGTCTTTTATTATTATTGTCTTTTGGGATTACCATTTTCTTGAATCAAAACTTTTTGGTATTCTATGTTCTTTGGTGTTTCTTGGTAAATTTTCTAGTATTAATTGGGTAAAAGTCTTAAAATATGATTAGGCCAAAAAATTTATGATAGGATTTTGATTTGAATGCATTAACTAGATTAATTTCAGTTGAATCTAAAGTAGATTGATGGCTTTTATTAGATGTAGGTAAGGAATGATTCTGTTGCTCTCTTCGGATCTGGTACTTTGGATCTAAGGGTCTTTTCTGCGTTTGTATGATCTTATTCTTAGGCTTTTATGAGGCATGCATTGAAATTTGGGAGTGTGGTCAGGAATGACTGTCCTGCCCCTTGGATCTGAGCAGAGATTGGAGTTATTCAAGGTTGGTAATGACCACATTCTAAGTGGATTTTACCAGACTTCAAATGAACCTTTTTTTCCTAATTGGATTTGGAAGTAAAGGTAAAATGTAGATTATGAAAACAATATTGGAAGAGTCTGTCAAATGAGTTGGGGCAATGCTTTATTTAAAGCACTTAATTAAGAAGTATTAGATATCTTCTATTAAGGGTATGTGTGTATTGTGTGTTTAATAAACACATACAGTATATAACATACCATACATATCATTTATTGAACAGTTGATACAGCTAAGCATTGTTCTTGAGGACTCTACATATATGTATTAACTCATTTAATTTGCATGACTAAGAGGTAGATATTTACCCTTATTTTACAGTTGGATGACTATGGCTTATTCTTAATAATTGTCTGCATTTCAACTGCTAGTAAGTGGTGGAACTTGGTAGCTTTGAGTTTGTGCGTTTAACCACTGCACCATAGTGTCTCCCTTTTGATCTGTTGCTAATTCTAACCTAAACTCTTTATGATTCTAATGTGATTTAAATGTTTATTTTTCTTTTAGAAACAATTGGCAGAGCACATGGCATTGTTCTTTAGCTATGTTCTCATCACTGAAGAGTGAGTTAGCATCATCAACTGAATATTAGGGCTTTGGAGTTCATTTCCTCTATTAACTCATTAAAGAAAAAATAGTTTAGAGAAGGGAAAAATTTATCTTGGCAAAGAGCAATAAGCAGGACTTTTGCAATATCTCTCCCCACAACTTCAATATGTAAGAGATTTAGAAATAAGCTGAAAAAAAAGTCTTGTTCTATGATTTTTTTTTTTCATTTTCTTAGAGAATATCCTCCCTATGCCACACATACAAACACATGTTAAGGTATTTGTGTTTTTGATTCAGTCCATAGTTTACATAGTAGAATGAAATATTTGATTTATCCATTCAACAAATATTTGAGAGCCTATTATATGCTACGCTTTGTTTTATATGCTAGAGAGTAAGAGAGACTAAGTTACTGCCTTCATGGATCTTCTGTTTTAAAGAAGTATAGAGACAGAAAATGTTAGATGATAATCAGTACTATGCAGAAAAAATATACTATCAAGGGGATAGAGAAAGAAGCTGCTATTTTAGACAGGATAGTCTGTCATGCTATCTCTTAAAGACCTGAATGAAGTGAGAGGTGCAAGCTTTGGTCGTATCTGGGCAAATGTATTTCAAGCAGAAAAAAAAGGAAGTAGGAAGATCCTGAAAAGGGATTACCTGGCATGTTTGAGGAACAGCAGAGATCAGTGTAGCAAAAATGGTAGAGAATCAGGGACCAGATATTTGTTCCAAATGTAATCTGGTAATTTCTCTAAAGAAGTGATAAGTTTTATACAGTTGTCATATTTCTTAGTATTTTTAGTTGCTCAGATAATACATTTAAAGTGGCTAACATGAAGTAAGGCTTTTTTATACAGTTGTCACTTGGTAACCACTGGGGCTAGTTCCAGGACCACCCAGAGATACCAAGATCGGCAATGCTCAAGTCCCTTATGTAAAATGATGTAGTTTTTGCCTATAACCTGTGCACATCTTGTTGTGTACTTTAAATCGTCTCTAGATTACTTATAATACCTAAGTGCCTAGACATCACATTTGTGCGGATTCAATGTCGTATCATACTTGGTGCACATCAGATTCAAGCTTTGCTTTCTGGAACATTTTGGAATTTTTTTTTCCTGAGTATTTTTGATCAGGAATTATATTTTCAATATAATTTCTTGGTTGAATCCCATGAATGCAGAAGCCCCAGACACAGAGGGCCGACTGTATATGTTATATACAAATTACTATTTAAAATCGTAATAGACGAATAAGAAAATTTTTAAGATACGATAGATCCTCTAGTTATTCACTGATACCCAAAAATACATATATTTTTTAAATTACTTATTTTAAATTTCATAGTATCTTAATGTGAAAGGAGCCGTGTCAAGAGCTAGTGTATACTCTTTATTGATATATTAAACCATTATGAAATTATCATATTTTCACAATAATTAATAAGCAATTGCCTGGTTACCTAAAATTTAATTTGCCCAGGTTTATTACTAGATGACTTTGTTTGTAAGCTTAGGTTCATTAGGGACAACAGAAAACTCCTAAGTGGCTTGAGTAAGATAGAAGTTTGTTTCCCTTACCAGAAACATTAACACTTCTAGAGTAGTATGGTGATTTTCATGGATTGAAGCTCCTTTTTATCTCATTCTTCTATTATCCTGAAAACACAGTTTTTGCCTTATGGTCTAATATGGTCTCTTCACTTTAGCTATCACATCAGCATTTCAGCAAGCAAGAAAGAGAAAAGGAAGGTCTTCCCTTTTAAGGATACAGTACTTCCCAGAAATTGCACGTACCACTTTCACTTTATATCCCATTGGCCAGATCTTACATGCAGGGGTACACTTACCTACAAGAAGGCTGGGCTATGTATGTAGTTTTTTGGTTTTTTGTTTTTTACTCTGGGAAGCTCTGTATCTGTCTAGCTTTGATGACCCTATTATTGACAGGAACAGGTAGTTATTAGTGTACATCTATCAGTCACTGCACCACAGGTCTTTTAAACAATAAGGAGAAATTAGTTTTATAGTAATGTGGTTTTTTTTCTATTTTTTCTATATTAAATCTTAAATTATGAAATATACTATAGAATATTCTGTGAATTTTTTAAGAGATAAAATTGTCCTACAACCAACCATGTATACCTTTATGTTGTCAATATAAAGTAATTATTAAGATAGCGATTAAGAGTATGGAGCCAAACTGCTTAGGTTCAGGTTCTGCCAGTGCTACCTGCCAGTGGTATAACCTTGGGCAACTTACCTATTTAACTTTTTGTGATATAGTGTTGTCATCTTAAAATGGGAAGATAATAATACCTAACTCATAGGATCGTTCTTAGGATTAAGTAATTGGTTGTAAAGAACATAGAAAAGCTCCTGGCTCAGAGTATAGCCTCAAATGCTGTTAGTTCTTACTATCAATTGGCAGGTTTTTAGCGAAAGTACTTTTAATAATACCCTAAGTAAAACTTAACTTTAAAAGTTAACCTATGAAGATGCATTAATGTTTCCACTGTGGTAGAGAAAAAGACTCATCTTTAAAAATGAGTCTAAATTTGCTTATTTCATTTTGGAGTATGTTATTACTTACATTGAGAGATTTTCTTAGGTAGCGAGCTGTAGTATTTATAATATGTATACATATGTATACAATATATGTTCCTTTGCAAATAGTTATGTTTTTTAAACTTTCCACAAAAAGTGTGCCTTTTAAAAGTCTATTCAGAGCCATAATATCAAAAGACTATTAGCAGTGAAACTATTTTATTACCTGTATCTTGGGATAAATAAATGAACAGGAACCTATTAGAGTAATTATGTGACAATTGAAAGTTGAGGATCTTTCAAGGTGGAACTAGGCTTCATGTTAAGGCTTTGCTTAATTTACTTTCCCAGGAAGTCTTGCCTTAATCCCTGGGCCTGATTACTATATACTCTGTTGTGTTTTTTTATATAGCATTCTATACATAACTCTTTTAGCACCTAGCATATTTTATTGAAATTGTATATTTGTGTCTATCTCCCCTACCACATCATAAGACTATGTCCCACTCATGTTTACATGCTCTGCATCCTACACACTGTCAGTATCGTAGATTTAATTAACTTATTATGCTGAACAGTGATACAGGTTGCCATTTTGTAGGAGTTTGTTTTTTTTTTTTAAATCTTAAGTCAGAAATAACAGTAATTTATTCATGGCCTTAAACTGTTCTCCAAATTTGGCCATCTGCAGCAAGATGTTTAGAAATAGGCATATTTCCAAAATAAGCTATAATACTTCAAAGTAATGTTCCGTGTTACTGAAGTGCAGTTTAGGAAAGCTGTGCTTCCTGGCTGTTGATTGTGTACTTCCCATATGTATGCTTCTATTTCTCACTCATACCAAGGTATCACAACAAGAAATTTACTTGTATGTTTTAGAGTATGACAACTTTATTTAAGAGGTCATTTAGTTAACTCATGTCATGCTGCATAAAATGCAGGAGTAAATAAGAGATGGTAGATAATCCTTTTGATAACACTTATTTTACCTGTGTTGAGTCTGAAATCAAAATATTCCATAGTTAACTTAGATCTCAGGTGAAGTGTGTATATGTATGTACAGGAAACATGTTTGGGTACCTATCATATATATTTATGTATTTTAGTGTCAAAATTGGATTATTTTTGCCACTTACTCTTGCATTAGTAGATGATCAAACTCTTTAATTTCATAACTGAAACAAAATCCAACCGACAATCTCCATCTTACATGTGGGCCTGTAGAGTGTAGAGGGCTTGCTGAGGTGGTAAAGGTAGATGCAGTTAATCTGTAGAGGACTTGCTGAGGTGGTAAAGGTAGATGCAGTTCATCTGTACTCCTTACTTGTGTGCTAGCATATTATTTTGTTTTTAAAGGGACTGTGCTGAAAATTACTAAAATGTAATCCCAGACATTTAATTTTTAGACATTTTTCAAATCAGTTAAAAAAATTTTTTTTCATTTGTTGAGAGACAGGGTCTTGCCCTGTTGCTCAGGCCGGAGTGCATTGGCACAGTCATAGCTCACTACATGCTCAAACTCCTGGGCTCAAGTGATCTTCCTTTTTCTACCTCCCAGCTAGGTGGGACTACAAGCATGAGCCACCATGCCCAGCCTCTAAATGGGTTTTAATGTACTATTCTAATAGTCTATTAGAGATTTAGGAATTTGAGAAAAATCCTGTATTTTATAATATAGACTAAAAATAATGGTCATCCTTGCTATTGGCATTTATCAAATAAGTGTTATGATGTAAAAATGCTGGATAAACCACAGAATGTTTCATGCATACCTTTTTTCTTCTCCACAGCAGTTTGTAATACTGTTGTCCCTTCTGCATTTAGTAAATAAAAAACTTTCGAATGAAGAATGACTCAGAGGAAATACTATGCCACTATACTCATCAGCTTTAATTTTTTTTATATTTTTAATCATTTATAAACTTTGAAGAAGTTAAATTTTCAATAATATTTGTAATATAAGATGTTTTCATTAAACTAATTTATTTAAATATGACTTTATAAAGCCACATTGGCAAGTTGAGATGAATTTTTCTGCTTATTTTTTATTTTAACATTTTAATTGTTTTTGATTTAGGAATATGAAATTCTCTCAAGTTTTATTTTTGACAGATCTATAGATAAAATTACAAACAACTTTGAAAAAATTTAAAAATTCACATTTCATATTAAATTTGCAAGACTAGGATATGATAGATATATTGTTTTTACATTCCAAAAATAAATAAGCTTTATTCTATTGGCATTGCTCCCAAATCACATTGTATTCTTATGATCTAGGAACTAAGGTTAACTTTTTGTTTTGCTTTCAACTTCCAAAGATAATTTTAGTTAATATACTTTTAGTTGAACATAAGCTTTTTAGTTCTTAAGAAATATACTGTGCTCAATAATTTTCTCTTTATGCTGCCTTTGTTGTTGTTTTTTGTTTTTTTGTTTTTGCTTTTCAAATAACTCCATAATCTTCAAACTCACCTTTCCTGTCTTTTTAAAGGTCGATTGAGCTATCCACATCCAGGAACTGACAATCTGTTGATGTTAAATGGTAAGTTTTATAAAAACATTTTATGTTTCCAGTTGATTTATGTAAAGATGATTTAATACATGTTTCTCTGAACCTGTCCATACACACAATTTAATCATTCTATGAGCATAAAAATAAAGTTACAACTATTCCTATGCAAAAGGCAGAATTAGGAATCTGAGTGTGTTCGGGCTGGTAAAGCAGCCATTTGTAACAGTATGACTTTAATTCAGTGATCACGGACTTGGAGGCAGTCCTGGTTTGAATATTGCCTTTCCAGTTTCAGGTATGACCTTGGACAGATTACTATTACCTTAGTTTCCCCATCTCTGTAATGAGAATATAGTCTCAAGGTTTATTGTGAGATTTAAATGAAATGTTTGCAAAGGCATAGAACTTGTTACTTAGTATAGCATTGTGTTTGTGGTTAAATAAGGAATATACTGGTAACTCTATAAATATTGTGATCACACTAAACTTACTCAAACTAGAAAGCTTACATAGAGAAGTTCACCAAAGTAAGGAAAATAATAAATAAATTTCATTAAAGTTAGTTTTCTTTCTGTTAGACAAACATTAACATATTCAGAGTCTCAGTACTTAGCACTTCCGTGATTGTGGGAGTAGAGATGGAAGATTAAAATATCCTTCACAGGAGTATTTTTAAGTCAGAGGGTGGGTGTGGAGAGGGAAATAGGAAGGGGAAAGAATAGAAATAGTATTAATATTTACTTTAAAAAAATATCATTAGAATGGCTTGGCTCTTGTATTTCAACTGAAGGTTTGCTGAAATAAGATGGCAATGAAGTTGAGGAACAAAGACTGAAAATAAGGTACATGTGAAGCTAGACTATGTGAACTAATATTAAGACAGAAGGATGGAAATAAAGTCCAGGCCACGTAGGAGATGGTCAGGGTAAGTAGGATTCTCAATGAGAAAAATTGAAGAAGGCAGAGCATTAGATGAGGTGATTGATTTAATCATTCAGTATTTCACTGTTTAGTTGTCTAGCGCATGCCAGTCTAGTCTAAGCACTCGGTTATCTAATTAGTGAGAATCCTACAGGATGGTTGTGGTCAGAATTGCCTGGGGCCATACTGAGTCATGTGGAAGCAAAGAGCTTAGTAGCCACAGTGTATTTGCAACTTACATTATTAGTTATACTAAACATTATTAAACTAATGGATGATTTTGTCAGTTGGGAAAAGCCCTTATAAATAATCTAGATGTTAGGTTGAAAAGTGTTTCATCACATGGCAGAAAGAAGAGTATTTTATTTCAGGCAAGAGTTGCATCTTGTGGACAAGTCGGCTTTGTGTATTATGTGAGTAGTCTTAGTAGTCATTTGGGGCCACAATGCATACTCAGTACAGGAAGCCAGCCTGGAAATTCTGAACTTTTTCTGGCAAGGTACTAGCGGGGAGAAAAAGATAATGAAACTAGGACATGAAAATGTGTTTACATCAGGAAAAGAAACAATTTGATCCAAAGAGAATTTTTTTTAAAACTTTTTTCGGATCATTGGTTGAGAGTGAAGCAAAATAATTGGGAATATTTGTGGGTTAAAGAAGTCACAACATAATCGGGAATATTTGTGGGTTAAAGAAGTCTTGAATATTAGGGATTTAAATAATTTTAGTAGACACCAGGGTTACTGAAGAGAGAACTAGGCCAAGAAAGGTACTAATAGGTAAGGGGATGTTTTTCTTGAGCTATTTTTTAACTACGTGCAATTCAGCTATATTCTTAGCATATTGTCTTCCTGGGAAATGTGAGAATTAAGTGATATTAGTGCTCCTGTACTAAGTATTTATTAAATGTTATTGACTGATTAAAGAAATTGTATCTCATAGTACGTAGATCTACTTTTTGAATTATGAAAGTTTTTAAGTATTACACATTTAACTCACTTTGAGGCATTTGGTTAAGTAAGTTGAATTACTTAACTGACAGGCAGAGCTAATATTGTTAGCTTTAAAAATCAGTGTTTAGTAATAAATTTTGCATCAGTCTTTTTTTCTTTTTTTTTGTAGTGGTGTAATAGTAGCTAGCTCATAGTGGTTGCTAACATAGATTCTGGAGCCAGATTATCTGAGTTTAAACCCAGGTTGGCTTTTTCTATCTGTGTAACCTTGAACAGCTTACCTCACTTCACTTTGACTCAGTTTGTTTATGTCTAAAATAGAGATTAGCATACTGCCTGACTCAGGGGGACTGTTCTGAGAAGTGAGTGAATTCATTCATGTAAAGTATTTAGAGCAGCTTCTGGAAGTAAATGTTAGCTAAGTAGTGGGTGATGGTGAACAGTGACAAAAATTTATTTGAAAGAGTAAAAATCATGTCCTATAAATACATGAAGTTGGATATGTCTATGTTGGAGAATATAAACTTAAGAGAAAACATAACTGATATTTTAAACTATTTGAAGTATATTATAAGTAGCCAACAAAGATGGCCCATTTTGTGTTGTTGCAGAAAGCCAAACTAGAACTATTTGTTAGAAACTATCTTGGGACAAAGTTTAGGTAAAATAACCCCCCAAAAAAGTAAAATAACTCTCTGAGGCACTGTTTCCTAAAGTGTGATGCTGTTGCTCCTTGGAGTACCCAAGATGATTTTGATGTACACAGATACACATTAAAATAAATGCATGACTGTTGCAATTAAAGAACATTCCTTAGAAAATGCAGAACTGACAGAAAGCTGACAGTGATGCTAGGCTTGAGTTTCTTTAATAAAACATACTGTTACAATTGTTGGGCCGATATGGCAAATATATCTGTAAACATACCTGTAAAGATTTTATGATTCTACCTTAATAGTTAATCAGCAGTTATGGTTAATCTTTTCAATATTCCTTTAAGTAAGAAATAAAGAGAAAATGGGATAAAAGCCAGGAAGTTGGTCAAATTCAGTAAAACTATGAAGTGTCTCTGGCAAATCCTTAACTCTAAGCATCTGTTAACTCAGATATATATTTTTTAAAAAAGAGGTGTAATACAATAAATACCTGTATATCTCATGAGGCTGTAGAGATATTTTTTAATTTAAACAATAAAAAAACCATATAAATATAACTACAAGCAGTCTCCTTCCGAACAGACCATATTCCCCAAATTAAGTTGAATTGACTGCTGGAGACTGTCACTATTGAAGAATTCAAATATGTTGAAGAGTCCGTATTTAGCATCCAGAAGCACTTTAGGGAAGTCACATTATATAGAATTGTGTAGATTGTTTTAAAACCAAAGGTGAAGTACTTCTGAAATTAGAATGAAAGTATGTATGTTTATATTTCTAAATGTATAAATCCTAAACACTTTTTATTATCAGTAGTTTAAAAAAAAACCCTGCCTTCCATAGTAGTAAAGAGCAATACAAAATGATGTATCATTCAAGTATTTGTATTAATATTTGAATTATATCTTCTTTACCCCTTTCTCAAGGAAAATAGCTTACGTTTTTATTAGTACGTAACGTTTTTCAAGAGAAACAAATAGAGCAGAAGTATTGGTGGCCAGGAGGGGGAGTGGGAATGGTATTAGCAAGCTAGTTAGAAATGTAAATTTGCTGTGATAACCCACATACAGCTATGTATGTCATAAAGAGCTTACTGTACTTTTTGAGAGGAAAAAAGTTATGAGTATCATTTAATTAAGAAAATTAAGTCAGTAATTGTATTTCTGAAGGCAGATGCTCTAACTTGTATCTATTCAGTCATAAAAATGGGAAAGTGGGGTAGCCATCAGTTCTTTTTTTCTTTTATGCCAGTGGAATGAGTGGAGGAGATAAGCTTTCTTTTGGGTCTTGAAAAGGACTATCATTTAGGGCCCGGGCGCAATGGCTCACGCCTGTAATCCTAGCACTTTGGGAGGCCGAGGCAGGCAGATCACGAGGTCAGGAGATCGAGACCATCCTGGCTAACACGGTGAAACCCCGTCTCTACTAAAAATACAAAAAAATTAGCTGGGTGTGGTGGTGGGTGCCTGTAGTCCCAGCTACTCGGGAGCTGAGGCAGGAGAGTGGCGTGAACCCCGGGAGTTGGAGCTTGCAGTGATGCAGTGAGCTGAGACTGCGCCACTGCACTCCAGCCTGGGCGACAGAGCAAGACTCCGCCTCAAAAAAAAAAAAGACTGTGATTTAGTAGCATGGTTCTCTCCTTAGTTTTGGCTTTTTCACATTGAAAAAAATAAAAATGTCTTTAGTTTCCTCATCAAGAGAACTTTAACCTGTATTTCCAGCTAATTTAATGTGTATGCCTATCCCTTCCTCTAGTTGCAGTAATTCAAGTTACCACAACTGTAGCTGAGAGCCAATACATATGACCCTACACAGTTTCTAGTCAGAATATTAGAATCATCCTGTTTTTGTTTTTTGTAGCTATGGATTAGATCCTTAATAAGACGATTTGGAAACCAGAACCAAAATTGTAAAGTCGCTTGTCTTCAGGCTTTTCTCAAAGCCTTCTTATTTTTAAATAAATAAGGACACACATGTGTCAGTAATATATGTTTAACATACCTGTGCATATACACATCAACAGGTATGTTAAATAGCTCCTCATGTTGTTTTTACAACACTTCATAAGTGTTCTTCATTTTTATACAAGTTTTTCCTTTTAAAAATCATTTTCTAAATGAGTTTGAAGGACATATTGTTATTAAAAGTCTTTTTAAAAACATAAGTCACTTAGTTTTTTTCTTAATAGGTAGGTATTTCTCATAATTCTGATTAAGAGTTATAATGGAACATACTCCAGAAATTCACATAGAAATATTGGTAGGAAAGTGAATACACACACCATTGTTTAGTGTGATGGTGGCAGATTAGTTATTTCCATAACAGGGAATAGGAAATATTTCACATGGTTTAGCTTCATCTGTAGTCAGTTCTATTTTTGGTAATGTAGATACTTGGAATCTGAGAGTTGCCCAAAAAATAAGTAGAATAGCTCTTTACAGGATTCTAAAATTCCTCAGGTATGAGATAGTTGGAGAAATTTTCTAAGTGATTATATTCAAGCCAAGGAATGAAAACTTAAGATGCTATGAAATTTATACATATTTTTACCATTTTAGTATTGAGTAGCCTCAGCTAAGAACATAAACTGGCTATGATATCATTAATTTTCTCAATAGGTCAATAATTGTGACATTATGACATCATAATTTATCATTTGACTTTAAACTTGATGAAAATATTTTTATTTGCTTTGTAAATGTTCAATTCTCTACACCTATGAATGAAATTTTCCAGAGCAAATTTATACTGGATTAATACCATTAGGCTATGCCCAGGGATAAGCAGGAAGCCCTTCACATCCTGTGAAGTGTTTTGGGGACTGTTGACCATTTCTAGGCTTAATACAACTATTCACTCTTCTGTAGTCTATTCTTTTTTTTTTTTTTTTTCTTTGAGACGGAGTCTCGTTCTGTCTCCCAGGCTGGATTGCAGTGGCGCTATCTCATCTACCTGCAACCTCTGCCTCCAGGGTTCAAGCAACTCTCCTGTCTCAGCCTCATGAGTAGCTGGGACTACAGGTGCCTGCCACCACGCCCGGCTAATTTTTGTATTTTTAGTAGAGACGAGGTTTCACCATATTGGTCAGGCTGGTCTCCAACTCCTGGACTCAGGTGATCCACCCGCCTCAGCTTCCCAAAGTGCTGGGATTACAGGCATGACCACCCGTGTGTAGCTCCATAGTCTATTCTTGATCACTCTATTAAAATTTATTGCATCAGTCTGATTTTTCAGTTGATCTCCCATCACTTAGAGCTTTTTAAAAACTTTTATGTTTAGAAGACCTAGACAACAAAATACTAAGTGCTACTTTCACTCCTATCTGAGGAGAGGAGAAATAATATATAGGTCAGGTAAGCTATAAAATAGATCTGCCAGACTTTGGGGTCATTGGAGCTCAAGGATAGGTTAAGTGTGCAACAGATTACAAGCTAAATAAAGACACTACAATGGCAGCGATGCAAATGAAGTTATTTTATATGAAAGGGTCTGATATAAGCCTTATAGTGATTGACTTTTTTCTTAGAATTTAAATGACTGAGAGTTGACAAGTTTGTTTTTCCCACTTTATATTAGAGGAACTAGTGTGTTACAGACACACTTCCTTGTAGTAAAGCATTAGCATAAAATAAAAGTATATTTCATAATGTGAAATGTTTTCTTTTGATCTTTAAGTTTTATATTTTTAGGTAGACATTTCTGGCAACTTTCAGCACATATTTTTACTTAAGATTTATTCAATATTGAATTTTTTCCAGGCCTAAAAAAATCTGTGAATTTAAAATAAGATCTTAATTTTAACAGTCTTTGTTTGTTTACTGCCTTGACTTCATATATTAATTTCAGGGTAAAAATACTCATTGTGTATTCAAATTTGTGGGGAGGAGTTCTTTTAAAACAATTTGTGGATTTTATCAAACTAGTAGTTTCTTATGAAAAAGAAATTACAGTCTTTTTTTTTTCCATAGGAATTATGTCACTGCAAGTAACATAGATAGAAATGCCTATATACTTTTATGGTATTTAACATATGTACTATTCCATGATTTTGTTAATAGTAATTTGTATCTGAATCCCTCTTACCTCATAGGTAGACACATAAACAATTAGTAGATAGCTGTTATAACATATATTAAAGTGATAGAAAGCATTATTAGCTATAGTAATTTCTCTAAACAAGTTTAACATTGATTTCTTAAATCCTGTCTAATCTGTACAGGCTTCAGAGTATCAGTTTAATGGTGGTATATCTTCTCAGTCATCTGTGTCTTCTAGCACTACTTCCATGCAGGACTTGGTATAATGTAGATTGGATCTGAACAGCTATTTATTGGACTATATATGCCATACCATTCTTTATAATAAGTAGAAAAAATAAGCATTTAGTTCAAGTTGTTTCCATTCATTGGGAAAATTATTTGGGATGCTATTTACCGCAAAGTGTTGTATATTTCTGTCTTCATTAGCTGAAACAAATACTTGTGAATTTTAACACAAATGATAATGAAATGTGTGTTTCTTGTTAATTTCAGAGTTTTATATGATTCAGATGATATATATTTACCTATAAATAAAAGTCCTTTGTAGAATGGTAAAACATTTAAATCTTATATGGTGACATTGTCATTGCTCTTAAAACAAAGTAGCACTAATTTTCAGATGCCCACATAGCTTTTCGTATCAGAAATATTTGTATATGTGGGCTTATTTTTAGTTCTGACATTTTACAATTTGTGCTTTGTTTACATGCAGCAAGGAGTTATGGGCGAAGACGAGGTAATTCATTTCTGTTTGCTATGGTATAATTGTTTCTAATGGGGTTTACTGATCAATGTTGTAATTAATTACTCTAGATTTTTCATGCAATATCTGAAAACTCACACAATTGTATTTTGATTTGAGCACTTGTCGAAGTTTTTAATTTTAAATCTCCTAACCTTTGAACTGTATTTTTATACTAATTGTGGTTATTTAATAAATTTTCCCCTTTTAAACTGCTGAGATTTAACTCTAGTTTTTAAAGTTACTTCTGTATCTCTTAAAATAAAGCTGCTGTTTATGGTTTGTCTGCTTAAATATGTTTAATATTAGTGAAGTTAGCATGAAGTATGATTTTTCTGCTCTCTAAATGTGTAACTGTCATATTTATGATGTATAATTTACAGCTCTAGATTGTTAGTTTTATGTTGACCCAGTTGAAAATAACACACACCAAATAGATTATTTTTAACAGTGATTTATAGAAATCATGTTGCTTATATTTCTCTGTTTTCTAAGAATATAACCCCTTCTTTCCCTTTCTGTCTCTCACACACACACACAAACACATACCTTCTCCCCTTTCCTTTTTCCTTTCCCTCCCCCACAAAAGTATTCCCCACAGAGTTCTTGTGTGGTATCCTAAGGAAAGAGGACTATGTGATGCAAGACTATTATTGAACTTCCTAGGAAAGTAGCTGATGTTTTCTGTGGCTAAAACTTTGCTTCTCCCTTTTCCATGTGCAGACTAGTAGATGGGATGAGAGGAAGCAAAAGTATGCTACTAGATTGTTCTTTAAATGAGCAATAATCATGATGTTTATATTGTTAGGCTTATTCCAAGTGCCACACCGAATAAAAAGAGTTTTCTTTGACCTCTAAAAATCTCCCTTAAGCCATAGAGGATAGACAGGAATAATAGTGCCCTTTGATCACTTTTTTTTTTTTTTGAGACGGAGTTTCGCTCTTGTTGCCCAGGCTGGAGTGCAGTGGCGCGATCTCGGCTCACCACAACCTCTGCTTCCCGGATTCAAGCAATTCTCCTACCTCATCCTCCCAAGTAGCTGGGATTACAGGCATGTGCCACCACACCCAGCTAAATTTTTTATT
This sequence comes from Homo sapiens, assembly GCF_000001405.40. Lineage (NCBI taxonomy): Eukaryota > Metazoa > Chordata > Mammalia > Primates > Hominidae > Homo > Homo sapiens. Next base: position 15,041,580 of record NC_000004.12, read on the forward strand.
TTTAGTAGAGATGGAGTTTCTCCATGTTGGCCCGTCTGGTCTTGAATTCCTGACCTCAGGTGATCTGCCCACCTCGGCCTCCCAAAGTGCTGGGATTACAGGCATGAGCCACCTATAGACATGTGCCAGTGCTTCCATTTCTTTTCAACTAGTCATGAATGTGTGTACTTTTTAAACAACAAACAAGCAAAACCATTTGCCACGACTGACAACCAAAACTAGTATTTTATATTCTTAAGTGGTCCCAATTTTATATTTCAGATTATCTGAATTTAACTTAATTTTTTAATATGGTTTTTTCAAATGCTTGACTGAATCTTTTGGTTCTTCAGTTTTCTAACTAAAAACTTAGAGGAGACAGACACTCAAGACTTAAAAAATTGAAGCTGAACAACTTTTCTAAAAACTTAGCAAGCTGAGAAGGGGGGAGCAGTTTAGAAGTTTAGTACCTATTTTCAAATCTATGGACTAGCTTATTTCACTATGCAATTTTAGTAATGGAGCTTCAGTTCTCTGAAACACAACCCACTTACCAGTCTGTGATTTTTAGGCATTTTGAAACTATAGAGCAATTCAGAATTCTTGCCTTGTTAAACATTTTTCATCTTTTACCTGTTGTGACTTACATTTAGTCTAATTTCGTATGCTCTCATGTAAATATCATGACCTAAGAAGTTCTTAGGAACAAGGTATTAGGAAGTAATGTTATTATTTGTCTTCATCTCAGTTCAATAATTGTAGATTATGATTATATTAAGAAAAAACAAAATTTTTTTCCCTGCTTTTATATAGGAACCAGCTATCATTCCTATATATCTCTATCCCCCGTAAGCCATAAAGACTTATTCGGCTTCAGAACTGCCTTCCTGCATTGGAAGAAGGAAGACTCTCACATGGTTTTAAGGCTTCTGATAAAAGCTTCCATTACGACAGAACTGATGGTTGGCATACATATTTGGCTTAGCATAAGGGGGAGTGAATGCCTGAATTTTCATCTCAAATTATATGGCCTTAGTAAATTATGAACACTAGCAGTCTACTTTTAAAATTTTGATTGTGAGAGTCACGTGAAAGGCACACTCATTAGAAATAACTACTGAGAGATTTTATCTGAATTTTAAAGTACACTGAAACGGTAAGTAATGCAATTTTTTTAAAACCTGCATACCAAAGGAATGACTCAGAAATGGCTAGTCACCTGGTTTTCTTCCTATTTTTTACTGTTTTTTCCTATTCCATGCTAGGTATAATAAACCTCAGACTGATAACCTTTTAACCACCAAACACCCCCTTTTATATAGCCTCATGTGTTAGATTTGATCCATCAAAGAAACTGCATTTATTTAGTAATTATTTTGTGAAAAATGAGTTGCTTATCTTCTGTTCATGTCGGATGTGTCACACTGAGTTGATATAATTTTTGCTAAAAATAAGTCATGGCTCTTCTACCAGTGCAATAATGGGTGAACAGTTATTTTCACAGGACATTCTGACTTTGACTTTTGTAGTCCTGTTCAGGAAGAACTGTTTTTCTTCTTTCAGCCCAGGCACGAAACTGTTTTCATTTAAAAGATTTCTCACTTGACTACAGTCAAATCAAGTTACTACCAAAATGACTTTATGTACTTGAATTTCTTAATAATGTCAATAAGAACTTTAAATAAAGCTAGCTCCAGATATTAATTTATGAAATATACTTTAGGAATAATCAAAATGTAATTATGCTAGTAGTAGTTAAGAAAAGCAGAGATTTCTGTCCCTGCTTTTTAGTTGGAACCTACTATCACTACTGTGTATCTCTATCCCCTGGTAGCCATAAAGAGTTCTACTTTAGAGCTGCCTAGGGGGCAGCATTAGGAAGGAAAACGGTTCATATGGGGAGCTGACTTTAATATATGGAAAACTACTTATCATTTGTATTTATTTTTTATTCATTGTTTCTTCCATTCCATTCTGAGAGTGAACATACTTGTCCAGGATTGAAGTAGGATGAGGGTTGTGAAGGGAGGCGTGAAGTGTAATTTAAGTTCGATCCTTTCAACTTAAACTATTTCTATAGCACAATAAGTTCCTTTAATAAAGGATTAAAGGGCTACTGTGTTCCAAAAGGAATAAAAATATATAGAATATTTTTAGTAATATAAATAAAAACGTAGTTTAGTTAATGGTTCTAAGACCCGGAAGGCAATCCTTTTAAGCAAGGAAACCCAGAGCTTGAGTTAGTAGATTACATATGGGATGAGAAGATAGGAGAAATAATTTTAAAGGGAGACAAATGATGGAAAGGTTAATTAGAGAAGTTTGATTTATTCATAGTGTATAGTCATTCAGACTTACGTGCTATAATAAATAAGGAATTATTAATAATATAGTATACTGCTTTGAAGTTGATCCAGGATTTTCAATTTGGAACAATTGTGAAGTACCCAGGGTAACTGTACACTCCCTAATAACATCACTGCCAGATATTTTTATGATGAAATCAAGGCTGAAATCCTTGATAAATAACTTCAATAATTGTGAGAGAGTGGGCAAGATCTCTGAAGCATGAAAAAAAAGCTGGGGTAACACTAATACAGGGGTCAGGAAACCATGGCCCGCAGGCCAAGGCTTCTGTTTTTGTAAACAAAGTTTTATTGAAATGCAGCCAGTATTTATTCATTGACTTTTGTCTGGCTGCCTTGAAACTACAATGATAGCACAGTTGAGTAATTCCAACAGAAAATGTCTGGTCTTCAAAATGTAAAATATTATATTTAATACTGACCCTTTAAAGAAAAAAATTTGCTGACCTCCCTTTCCTAACCTTTAAGAGACTGGTAGTGTCTGCTCTACACCTATACCCAGCAATATGAATTTTTATAGAAAACAAATTTTAGTAAACCTAATTTTAAAGCATATATATCTAGAAATTAAATAAAATTTACAAAGACATATAAGGTCATAGATTATAAATTTTTTAAGTAAATTATCTTCTTTATCCTTAATGAGAAAGGTACAAACCTATTGGAGCAAAACATTTTTAAGCCGTTAGTGTGTACATTATGGTGCCTTTCTCAGTTATTTGCAGAATCATACCCGAGTGTATTTGATTAAACAGATAATGCTGAAAATAGATCAATCTGAAATATACTTCTGTTGTTTTGATAGTTTTTTAAATTAATGTTTGGTAACATTAGCATAGCGCCCAGTGTCAGAGTTAGTAACCACCTATAACTTCTCTAACATACATGGATGTGTGCCGCACATACACCTACACACACACGGAGACCAGAGACCATAGGGGATAGCCATTATTCTCGTTTTGCTCTTCCTTCTCTTATTACTTCATTCATCTATAATCTTTATTATAACTACTATTTTGCCTTTAAAATTATACATTTTAGGTAGCAAACTTAATGTAAGCTATTATACTTGCATTTGTAGGTAGGGTTCTTGAACTCATAGTTAAGAATATCTCCTGTTTTCTGTATTTTACCTTAATATGGCCTTTGGAATATTTCTCTGTGCTTTTGGCTAAGCAAATATCTTCTACCGAAGGAAGGCTTTTTCCCTCTACTTCTTTTTCTCCTCTATCCTTTTCTGTCTATAACTATCTCATTCTTTGTAAATCATTCTCTTTTAAAGAACCTTTAATTAGAATCTCACTCCAGCCTGGGTTATAATTAATCTTCTCTGCTTCTAAATTCTCAGATGTTTTATCTGTATTTTCTATTACAAAACTTCAATTTGCCTTTCATTCATATGTATGTATCAGTGCTTATGTACATAAATATCTGTCATAAATACCTGTACATATGTGTGTATATATACACATATTCATACATATTATATATATATGAGCGTATATACATTTTAATTTAGACTCATGGGAGTAGCATTTTTGTGTAACGGTTTATTCTTGTTGCCTTGTAGTAGGGTCAATAATTTTGATTTGGGTTTCTTTCATAACAATGCAGAGAAATGAAGTGTTTGGAGTCAAGATCAAGTGATAATTTCTAAAATCAAAAAGCAGAAGACCATAAGCAAAAAAAATCTGCCACCTTAAACAATGCAAAACTGTAGTTTTAAATTGTTTTGAGTATAGGGTTTGCAAATTAATATCTTTAGGGTTCTCTTACTGATTTTAACGGCAAGGAAATATTACCTTTAAGATTATTTATCTGGTGAAATAAAAAACACATCTAACTCTTGTGGTAAGAGCCTTAGGAATAACCATATCAGCTCTTCTTTTAAAAGAAAAAAATAATTTCATAAGTAATTACTTTTAAATATTTATAAGTATCAGTCTCAAGTAAAAGAGAAATGATTAGCTTTTTGTACGGAAATTGTATAGAAAGGAAATTACAATTAGTAGTTTTTATCAGTTATTTCTTATTGGTGAATAACATTTTATTGTATGAATTTGTTTATCCATTTTCCTATTGATAGATGTTTGAGTTATACATTTGGTACTTGTTATGAATAAACCTTCCATGAATATTTTTGTACCTTTTTGTATGTGGGTGGACATGAGCACTCGTTTCTCTTGGATGTATAAGTAAAAGTGGAATTACTAGTTCATAGAGCAAGTATATGTTCAACTTTATTAGAAACTGCCAAATAGTTTCCAGTTTTATACCCCAGTAGAGTATGAGACTGTGTTGGCCTTTTTTTTTTGAGATGGAGTTTTGCTCGTGCTGCCCAGGCAGGCTGGAGTGCAATGGCCCGATCTCGGCTCACTGCAACCTCCACCTCCTAGGTTGAAGCGATTCTTCTGCCTCAGCCTTCTGAGTAGTTGGGATTACAGACATGCGCCACCACACCCGGCTAATTTTTATATTTTTAGTAGAGACGGGGTTTCACGATGTTGGCCAGGCTGGTCTCAAACTCCTCACCTCAGGTGATCTGCCTGCCTCAGCCTCCCAAAGTGCTGGGATTACAGGCATGAGCCATCGCGCCTGGCCAAGTGTTGGCTTTTTAATTTTATCCATTCTGGTGGTGTGTAGTCCCTCACTGTGGCTCTAATTTGCAGTTTCCTGATGACTAAGGATGACATCTAAGCACCTTTTCATGTGCTTCTAACCCATTCCATTGTATTCTTCTGTAAAGTTCCATTACAAGTCTTTTGCTCATTTTTAATTGGGTCATTTTTCTTCATTTATGGGAGTTCTTTATATATTTTGTCCTATTTTCCAGTAGCGTATTGCTTGCCATCCACTTTTTAACAGTATCTTTGATAAGCAGAAAAATGTCTAAATTTTAATAAAAATCCAATTATTTTCATTCACCATTAGTGTCATTTAGTCCCAAGAAATTATCACTACCCACAAGGTTATGAAGAAATTCTAGTTTCGTTGTTTTAACTTTTGCATTTAAGTCTGTGATCCTTCTTGGATTTATTTTTCAGTATGGTGTGATACAAGGATCAAATTTATTTTTCCCCCTCCAACTAGAAATCCATTTATTGAAAAGATTTACTTTTCCACATTGAACTGTATTGGTACCTTTGAAAAACATCAAGTGACTGTACATGTATAGGCCCATTTCTAGACTCTATTATGTTCCATTTATCTGTCTAATATCAGTTTTACAGTCTCAATAACTATAGCTAACTAGTGAGTCTTGAAACTTGGTAGTGTAAATCCTCCAACTTTGGCTTTTTGTTTGTTTGTTTTGTACGCTCTCCTTGATTGTTCGTAGGCCTTTGATTTATCATAAATTTTAGAACTGGCTTGTGAATTTCTAGAAGACAGTGTGCTGAGATTTTGGATGGATTGTATCCAGTCTGTAGATTGGATAATTTGGAAAGAATTTACATCTAACATGGTTTCTTCTGTTTATTCATTTATTTCATATTTTTAACATTTTTCCACAGCAAATTTTTGTCATTTTCGGTGTAAAAGTCTTACATATCTTGTGTTAAGTTTATTTGTCAGTATTTGGTGGGTTTGGATGAGGTATGGAAATGATATTTAAAATTTTTCCCAGTTTATTACTAGCATTTAGAAATAATTTGGTTTTTGTAAATTGAATTTGCATTTCTTCCCTAGATAAATACAATTATTTCTACTAGTTTGATTTCTTCGAATTTTACATGTACAATTATGTCTATACTAAGTAATTTTATTTTTCTTTGCCAGTGTTCATGACTTTAAATTATTTTTTTCATCTTCTTTGATTTGTTGTACCTCCAGTAGTACAATGCTGAGTAGAAATAGAGTGAACATCCTTCCAAACCTTCAAGAGAAACCATTTGATAATTTATTATTACAGACTTTCACTCTTTTTTTTTTAAATGCTCTTTATTGGATTGAAGAAATTCCCTCCTACTCCTAGTTTTCTGGGAGTTGTGGTTTTTTTTTTTTTAATTATGAATAGCTGTTGAGTTTTATCAGATGCATTTCCTACATTTATGGAAATAATTTTATGGTATTTCTATTTTTGTCTGTTTATGTAGTACAATTAACAGTAATTGGTTTTAAAATGATAAATCAATCTTACGTTCCTGGGGTGAACCCCACTTAATCATGATTTGTTTTCCATTTTTATCTATACTTCTGGATTCATTCTGCCAATATATTTTTTAGGATTTTTGCATTTGTGTTCATGAGGGATATTGGTATATAGTTTCCTTATGTTTTTGTCAGATTTTAGTATTGCACTTGTAAAAAAAAGTTGTGAAGTGCTTCCTCTTTCTTTATTCTCTGGAAGAGTTTGTATAAAATTGCCATTTTTTCTTCTTCAAAAGTCTAGTTCATTTGCCAGTAAAGCCATCTAGGCCTGGATTTTTCTCTGTCGGAAGATTTTTTTATTTTAAGTTATGACTTTCATTTTTTTTTAGCAGACAAAGAACTTTTCAGATTTTTTCTCCCTGTGCCATTTTTGAAAAGCTGCATTTTTCAAGGGATTTGTTTCCTCTAGTTGTTAAATTTATTACCATAAAGTGGCTAATAACATTCTTTTTAATCTTTTAATGTTTGTAAGTTCTGTGTTGATTGATGTCTCTTTTTTGTTACTTTATTTCCTTCATCGTACTTTCTTTGTATTTTATTTGCTGTTCTTTTTCTAGCTTTTTGTGGTAGAAACAAGATGATTTGTTTTAAGCATGTCTTGTTTTCTAATATGCTTTTAAAACTATGAATTTTCCTTTGAGCCTGGCTTTTGCTGCATTCCAGCAAAATGAATTTGTTGTGTTTCATTATCATTCAGTTTTATTCCTTTGAGGTGTAAGAACCTGAAAACATACGTATGGTATCCTTCTTAGAAAGCATGTTTAAAGTATACTACAGTGGTAGATATAACTTATTTAATGGTTCTCCTTTTATTGTCATATTAATTTGGAATATGATAAAAGGATAATTGGCAAGGTAAAAGGTCAGACTTTGTCAATGATATATATTCAGTTAACTCTTCTTTTAAATGAGTATTTAAATCTGTAGCTTTTATGGCTTCTTGAAAAAAAGCAGTCATTATTGTCCAACAGTGAAGATTCTTGTTAGTATGGCTAGTGTGCAAAATGTTCTTAAACTTTTCGTTACATTCTTTGTTTAGCTGAACTTCGTTAATAGATTATAGATGTTTTTAGTTATATGAATACTAAGTAATATTTTATTATAGTAAACAAAAAGTTTGAGTCACTTTTGGGTCACTTTTCTCTTTGGCATTGCTTATAGTGTGATTTGTCACCGCATTCTTTTTTTTTTAATATAGACCCTAAGTATTTGTGATCCATATTTTTTCTCAACTTAAATGTCTGTTAGAAAGACATTTGAATACTTACTGTATTTATGACACTGCTAAGTTTTTATTTGTGTTAGGGCATTTTAAAGTGAAAAACTTTCCAAAGTATTGTACATCTGAAATAAATATAGAATTTGGATTTGTGATTTTTTTCCTTAAAATCGTTTGTATGTATGCTGTTTATCTTATTCCTTTTAAAGTAGAGAATTATTCAATTAAAGTCTAACCTTTAAAAGTTTGACCAGTTATTCACAATTAATATTATTTTTAGTGGACCTTGATGTTCATTTTATTGAGTAAAAATAGTTTCATGTTGAAGAGTTTCCTTTCTATTGATGACAAAAAATACTGACATTTTGTTTTACATTGCTTCCTGTTTCTAATAACAGCGGTATTTGAAAAGTTAAGCAATATTCACAAAGTTACTCAGTGAACATGGGTATTTTTCAGAACATCATATTTAAACAGCATTTGAATCTTTAGAATAATTCATTTCCTATATCAAATATCATCTTTCTCTCTGTTGTTGTGTCTTATAAACTAAATTTTTATGTCAAACATCTAGGTAGCTAGCTCCCTCACTCTGACAGGCATGTGGTCCCTTCCTTCTTGTCCCCAACCCATTCTGTTCAGGCTGTCACATTTCTAATTGTCTTTGTTTGTATCACTTGCATCATGTGTCATATTGTTCAAGATGTTCTATGGCATGTGATTTAATATATAAACAAATACCCAACATAAAACGGTCCGGTCCGTGGCCTGTTTGTTTAATATATAGACAGATACCCAACATAAAACCGATACTGGTCCATGGTCTGTTAGGAACCAGGCCACACAGCAGGAGGTGAGTGGAGGGCAAGTGAGCATTGCTGCCTGCCTGAGCTCCACCTCCTGTCAGATCAGCAGTAGCATTAGATTCTCACAGGAGCGTGAACCCTATTGTGAACTGCATGTGTGAAGGATCTAGGTTGTGTGCTCCTTATGAGAATCTAATGCCTGATGATCTGAGGTGGAACATTTTCATCCCAAAATCATCCCCCTGCTGTGGAAAAATTGTTGTCCACAAAACTGGTCCCTGGTGCCGAAAAGGTTGGGGATCGCTGCTATAGATTATATGCATTGTCTCCTATCCAAAAAAATCCTTCAGTTAATACTGAAAGAAAAACAACTTGTCCATATTCTTACTGTTTTTCCTTCTCTAACATACTTCTCTTCATTTGATCTCTATACGTAATAAAACTCTAAATACATGCAATGTGACTCCTACCCAACTTTCCTGAAACAGCTACCTTCACAGATCATGTATGTCCTCAAAAACAACTGTTTATTAAAAGTAATTATCTTAATATCTCACATTGTTACTTAATTGCTCTTTCGTTCTTTTATTGGTTTTTTGGTGCTTCTATTACCATGATATTTTGGCTGCCCTCCCACTTTTCTTACCACTCCTTTCTCTAACTCCTTGAATGTTCTGCTTCTTCCTTGTAAGTTTCCCAAGGAACTGTCCTCATCATTTCTCGCTGGAGTGTTTATCATTGATGTTATAAAGGACCTTAAACTATAACCCATGGAGTTGACTCCAAATTATTTTCTCAGAAATATGACATTTCTTTTCTCCACTTCCTTTTCAGCTTCCTACTATACATTTGCTTCTGAACATCCTAACAGCATATAAAACTTTACATCTAAAGCTTAAATTATTTTCCTTTCTTATACCAGTTTCTGGTCTTAACTGTCCTTATATCAGTTAATGGTTTTATCATTTTCTAAAGTCTTCCTTAGATCTCTCCTTTTTCATTCTTTCTCCCTATTTTGTTTCCTATCTGCTTGTGACTGCCATCCATCCTTTGTGGATTTTTTGCACAGCTTCTGATCTGCTCATTTTCAACTACCTTATCCATATTGACTAAGTCTCCCTAATGCATAGAAAAAGTTATAATCTTGATTGAATCCCTGTATCTAGTTTATTATCTTCACCACCTACTAAATGTCTCGTTAGCCTGTCATTCAATGCTAAATACTCTAGCCTCAAAGGGCTTTTCTGGCTTTTACTCTCCTTGTTTCCAACATATTTCAGCCAACCTTGACTATTCCTTATTTCTCAAGTAAGTTCAATTTTTCCTACATTTTCTTATGTTTCTCCTTTCACTTGGAAAAAAAGGAAAATTTACTGAAAACCATGTTCCTGTAAATATTTCCACCTATAGATATTCTCCTCTTTCTAATGCCTCACTATGTACTGCTATTTTTCTCTTTTTATCCCAAATGCTATTTAATTTCACTTAGAGATTTAGGAAATCATCCTTTTATTTGACTCCTTTCCTCCAGAATATGTCCTCTGAGCACTTTGAAGCTTTCTTATGGATGTGTACCATGGTTACATATATAGATCTTATCTTTCTAAATGTACATTCCTTGACAGCCAGGGAGTATATCAGGGCATTTAAGTTTTGTGGAGGGATTACCCACAGAGTGGGGATTACTTCAGAGGATTGTGCAGGATGTGCCCTATATAAGGATTACCTCCTGAAATGTGGGCTCAAATGGGCACTAACGTGCTAGAGGGGGTACCTTTTCTATTTTGCACATGTGCGGAAGCTCCGTCTACTGTTTCATGTAATTGGCACACGTGTAATAAATTAGGTGAAGACCTTGTATACAAGTATTACTTGTTCTCCTCATCCTTACTTACTGTAGTCTACAAGTGATTTTTTATAAATTATATCCCCTTATCTATTTAGTCTGTGTCATTTCCTTTCTGCCACCAGTTTCTGAAAAGTTTCTCCTGTTATATATCCATTCTAACTGTCCACATACATTAGGTTCTTGCTTATAACAAGTTCTTGCTCATAACAAGTTGAAGTGATCTAGTATCTCTTTTGCAGTTTAATTGTTGACATATGACTATGTTTATTTCTAAGTCACTCTTTAGATTGCTTCTTTCTTGAATCCAGGTAATTAAAACCACATGCTATTTAAATTTCTCTTAATTTTTATGTTCACCTGCATCACCTTCATTTTTAAGTCTTTGAATTTGTCATTGGTATTTTTATGCTTAAATTTATCATTTTCTCAGATCTGAGATTCAAGTTGTATTTGTTCTTTATTCTAGGTCGTTCTTCCCTCTTTCCAATAGATGATGGCTTGCTTGATGATGGTCACAGTGATCAAGTTGGAGTTTTAAATTCACCCACCTGTTATTCAGCTCACCAAAATGGAGAGCGAATAGAACGCTTCTCTCGAAAAGTTTTTGTTGGTGGTCTTCCTCCAGATATTGATGAAGGTATTTATTAAGATATTTATTAACATGGTGATTTGGGCTTTAACAAAAACAAAAAGATATGAAATTTAATGTGAATGGACTATGAAAGTTTTTACCACCTAGAGATTTTCAGAATTAGAATGCATTTTCTTCTTTTAAAATACTTTATCACCTGTTGAAATATGAAAGTAGTTGAACAAAAGCTTTTTTATTTTTCACTTTAGATCTTATCATATTTGTAACTGTGAGCATTTTTTGTAAATAAGATTTTCATGACCTAGGTCATATTCTACTTGTTTTTAAAATATAGAATATATTTAGGTATATAAAACTTAAAGCTTTTTGTATCACCATAATGTGTGCATGCACACATACACTGAAATAAATGGAACCAACCATAAGATAATATCTGCAATGCTTGGTAATCAAAAGTTTATTTTTATTTTTATTTATTTATTTATTTTTTTTTTTGAGGTGGAGTCTCGCTCTGTCTTCCAGGCTGGAGTGCAGTGGCGCAATCTCGGCTCGCTGCAAACTCCACTTCCCGGGTTCAAGCGATTCTCCTGCCTCAGCCTCCTGAGTAGCTGGGACTACAGGCGCCCGCCACCATGCCCCGCTAATTTGTTGTATTTTTAGGTGAGACGGGGTTTCACTGTGTTAGCCAGAATGGTTTTGATCTCCTGACCTCATGATCCGCCCACTTTAGCCTCCCAAAGTGCTGGGATTACAGGCATGAGCCACCATACCCGGCCAAAAGTTTAATTTCTTTAAGGATAAATGTGCTCTTAGAAACAGGGAAGAAAGAGGCTATTAAACCCGAAAGGGAAATGGAAACAGAACATGAATAGGAAATTAGGGTTTCACAAACACTAGTAATTGTATGTGATAACAAAAGAAAATTAATTGAAGACTTAAAATATTAAGCTATATTTGTGAGGTTATGGGAAATGTATCACTCATTCTTACATTTTAGGAAATTTTTTAGTTATGATTCAGATATCCACAAACTTAATTCTAAGTATTGATCTTCATAAGCTTTCTATGTAATGAAATAACGTAAGACATAGCAATTGGATGTAACCTATGTGGATTTCAGTGAAACTACCAGGCATGTATCAGACCCTTGTATATTTTTTCAACATTGTAGTTATTCAAGTCTTGTTTTAGCAGACCTTTTTTCCTATAATAAAATGATTTTATTTGTGAAGCAGTAATAGATTTTATTTATATATGTTGGCATTTTTTTCAATCCAGTGCTATTTGTGGTTTGGTGTACTATAAAGTCATTAGTATCCATACAATGTTATATAAAATTTTAAAATTCACATGGAATTGAGTATTCTAACCAATGCATTGCTTAAAAGTGAATTTATTTTGACAAAAATTGTTAATCTTGACATATTATTTTAATAAGTATATTAGACATATTCCCAGTGTTTATATTCTAATTTATCTTAAGGTATTTGGCACTTTTAAATGTTAAATCTTCATAGTAACAGTACAGAATTTCTTAGAACGAATCACTGAAACTAATTTCTAATGTGTATTATTGTACTTTCTTAAGATGAAATAACTGCTAGCTTCAGAAGATTTGGGCCTTTGGTAGTAGATTGGCCTCATAAAGCAGAAAGCAAGTCCTATTTTCCACCAAAAGGTAAGGATTGTTATTGTTAATATTTGCTAGGAAATTGGTTGTATGAGAGCAAAAGAAAGAATAGCAATTACTTAGCCAGTTAGGAATCATAAGAGACTTGCTATGATTTGATAATTTCATAGACTCAGATCAACAAATGTTTGAGTATTTTCTCTGTCTAAAGCATCATTTCAAGTAACTTGGGTATAGACATATGAAACAATATCTCTCTGCATTATGAAATTAAGATCTATGTGAAGTGATTGGTCTTTCATAAAATATAAATTTATGAACAGTTGAAATATCAGATTTACATTAAATGTTCTAGATAACAGCAGAGCAGTAGAAATTATTACCAACTGTTGATGAATAAATAATTTAGATAAAAGACAAAGTAGCTAGTTGGGTCTATTTTTTTTTTCAATTATATAAAGATGTAAAACTTGAGGAAGATGCTTAGTTATGTTAGTCAGTTATTGCTAGGAAGACACCGTGGCTGATCACCACAGGACAAGAATTACAAATTGTGCTAACCTTCACATGCAAGTCGCATGATCAAGTCACCATCTGTGGGGAGAGGAAGTATATCCTGCCCCCAATAACAAGAGGAAGAGAGGAGAAAGGAGTCTTGAACATTAATTCAGCTAGTCAGAATTGCTAATGGAAGGTTCTCTGAAATGAATAAAAAAAAGAGGGGAGGTTCAAAGATTAAGACTTTACTTTAAACATTGCTGAAATATAATTTTAGAAAAAGCACACCACACATACTATTCAGTTTCATGACTTAGTGAATTGTCAAGCCTGGAGAAAAGACCCCAATAGAACTGTTAAATGGTTTGATTTTGACTCTGGGAAATGAAGCATGATAAAGAAGTTATTAGCACATAAAAACTAGGTACAGGTTTCTGGTGATGAATTATATGAGTCATATCTACTTTCTGCCATTGAGAATTATAGAACCTTCACTAATAGTTCACATAGTTTTTTAGATAAATGGAGTAATGCAATGTTTTTTTAATACTTGCAGATTCTATATGTATGTAGGGAATCAAGAGCATCTTTTGAGTAGGGATTCTGGATCCCAGGCCTCTATGAGAATCTGATTAAAGCTATCTACCTCTCTCCATGTAGTCTGGAGTTCATTGGAGGTCACAAAACCTTGGTATAGACAGGAAATTATCTCCACATAGATAGAGATGTTTATTTATTAGCTTAGTTTTAGTGTTGTCCATAGTTTTACTCTCTTGCCATTTCATAAAGTTTACTTTATAAATGCCATTTTTATTGAATACTCAAGAGTATTGAGTTATTTTGTAATGTTCCCGACTAAGCTACCATCATCACTTGCCTGGACTGCTTCAGCTGTCTTTCTAGTCTCTCCACATCTCTAGCCCTCTTCAGTTTTCTCCTATCGTCCAGTCACAGCAGTCTTTGAAAACTCATTGGATGGTGCTATTCCTTACTTACCTGCATAAACCCTTTAATGGTTTCTCTTATTTTTAGGATAAAAGCAAAAATGCATTCCTTCTGCCTGGCCTTGCCTTCTTTCTAGCTTCTTCTACTATTGCTGCTTGTTTCCTTCCAGTCCCACAAACTGGCCTTGTTCTCTCCAGCCTCAGTGCTTTTATGTATGATACTCTCTAGACTGATTGTATCTCTTCCTTAGGTCTCTTTATATATTCCCTACTTATCTTTTGTATCTCAAGCTTAAGTGTAAGTTGATCACAGAAAACATTGAGGATCTACCAAATGAGGTCAGTTCCTCCTGCCCAACTCCTAGTGCTGTCTGTGTCTTTCACTCCTAGCACTCATCACAGTTGCAGTATTACATTTTTACAACTTTAAACATTTGTAATTATTTTATTAATGTCAGTTTCTTTCAATGGTCTGTAAAATAGTGTCTTTATTCACCTTTGTGAATGTTCATATTCTCAATAATTCACGGATTGTTAACTGCCTAATAAATGAGATAACAAAAAATACTATAGGGTGGAGAAATTACTTCAAGTAGATGGGGGAAAGCTTCACTGAGAGGTTTGGAATTAATCTAAGGTATTGTATATAGATAGATAAAAAGCACTTGAACAGCGTTCCAGGCAGGAATGGAAATAGAATTTTAAAAAGGAATTAGAAATTGTTTGGATGGAGAAAGATGCAGATTTTTGCATGAGCTACTTGTTCACTTACAAGGATGGTGTACTTTAAGCCTAGAAAGATGGGATGGAACATATTTAATGAAACAGAATAGTTGTTGTCTTTATTGGTATTGTTGCTATCGTTATTGTGGTTTTGCAGTATTTAGTTTCTCTAATCGAAAAAATAAAATTGGCACTGGCAAATCATAGTTTTTTTGGTACAATTACAGTTAAATGTAGACATTTCCAAAGACCAGTATCCCCAAACCTTGTTCTTTCAAGCAATTTTATTATTTCTGTAATTCAGCATTTTCCATGGTTTGGAAAACACTGGTATAGAAGCATCCAGTGGGTGAAGCTACCTTGTAATTACAGCAGTGACTAGAGTCCCTTAGATGCTAAGCCACACATGTACGTAAGTTTCCTTTGCAGTGAATAACCTTCACCTTAAGTGATTATTAGCTTGCTTTAACAAATTCGAAAGAAGCTATTATGTAGTATGTTTTTGTTAAGAATATTTTAATATCTAATGACTTGCATCAGGTAAGTCATAATTTACCTGATATGGCTTAATTTTTGTAATATAAACATTCCCTAATAATAACAAAAATTGAGCAATATTAAAGATATTGAATTTAGAGTATTACTTTAAATTAAGCAATATTAAAATATTAATATCAAAAATTATGAAAATTGGCCAACATTAAAATATTGAATTTAATATACTATTTTAGTAAATTGGTCTTATATCCTTTTAATTATTACAAAATACTTGTAGTTCCCAGATTATTATTTTGTATCAAAATTAAAGCCTTAAAAAAATCTTCATTATTTTCAAGAATATTGAAATTGTTTCCAGCAGTGTAAAAAATCTAAGACATGTTTTTTAATCCTGTGTAATCTTACCTTTGGAAGTTTGTATTTATATAGGGTGAAATCATTTATATAAGGTGAAATGGCTCCAGGTATTTTTTATGCAAACAGGTATTTTTATTTTATTAAAATGAAGTACTTTAGTGTCACATCAGACTTTTGTGGCATAAAGCTATGGTTGACAATAAGCTGAGTTTTCTGACTTCAGTAAAACATGACCTTACATTTCCCATTATACGATGGAACAGACATACATGGCTTGCCTGATGTCTGCTTTGTACTGGGACTAGATTAAAATGCTGTACATTTGTTCGCATAGAAATCTTGCCAAGGTAATGGATAGATCATTTATAGCTATCACCTGCTGGGAATAATCACATAATAGTAAACTTGCAGTGTAAATTTTGATGCCTTCTTTTTATAATGTAGTCTATTCTGTCTGCTGGATACATGATTTTTTATTAAAGATTGACAATTGGTTGTTTACAAGTCTAGATAGTCTCCAGACAGTTTGAAAAATGTATTCCACTGCTTTCCAAGTTGAGGCTTGATTTAAAAGTTTTGATCCATCTGACCCATGTTTTATTAAGGAACATGTTTCATTCCAGCCTTCCTACTGTAGCTTTCTTAGTATCATTGGGAAGTTTTCATGAGACTGTGGAATGTTTCCTCTGCTTAGGGGATTTCCTGGACCTTTCCAAGTGCGTTCCAGTCTAAAAGTCTAGAACTTGGATTAACCTGAGGGCATTTATAGCAAACTCTAGCTCCAGATATACTCACCTGGTTAATTCTGCCAAGCTCTTTAAGAAGGTAGTATCACTACTAGAAAGCGCATGGGAGACCTTGGGGCTGACCTCGGTTTGAAATTATTCAACCATTTACTATGAGACTGACTTTGGTGGTACTTTGATTTTTTTCTTCTGTAAAACAGGAATAATATTTCATAGACTTTTGAGAATCAAATACTAATGCATGTAAGTTAATACAGTATCTGATAGCAAGTGTTCTATATAAAGTAGCCAATTGCT
Organism: Homo sapiens; assembly: GCF_000001405.40. Taxonomy (NCBI): domain Eukaryota; kingdom Metazoa; phylum Chordata; class Mammalia; order Primates; family Hominidae; genus Homo; species Homo sapiens. The sequence continues at coordinate 15,058,233 of NC_000004.12, forward strand.
TTACTGAGTATCTGTTTTAATGTGTATTACATAAGATATTGTGTTCTCTTGTAGAAGGTAAATGGTTTTTCATCCTATTTGATAGTTTGTTTTTTTTTTTCAAAAGCATGTATTTTCTAAATAGTACTGAAATTTGGAGTAAAATCACTTGGCTTGACATATTGCCTCATCTTTAATGGTTATTCCAGGCTATGCATTTCTTCTCTTTCAAGAAGAGAGCTCAGTTCAGGCACTCATTGATGCTTGTATTGAAGAAGATGGAAAACTCTATCTGTGTGTTTCTAGCCCTACTATCAAGGACAAACCAGTAAGTAAATACCACATGAACTTCAGGCTACAAATGCAAATTTTTCAAAAATTGTTTTGAAATGATTGTTAATTAATAAAAGAACAATTAAACTACCATGTTGAGTTTTAGTTTTTGAAACATCCAGATAATTTATAGCAGGAGTCCCCAACCCCTGGGCAGTGGACCAGTACTGGTGGTCCATGATCTTTTAGGAACCAGGCCACACAGCAGGAGATGAGTGGCAGGCAAGCCAGCATTACTGCCTGAGCTCTGCCTCCTGTCAGATCAGAGATGGCACTCTATTCTCATAGGAATGCGAACCCTATTGTGAACTGCACGTGCGAGTGATCTAGGTTGCATGTTCTTTATGAGAATCTAATGCCTGATGATCTGAGGTGGAACACTTTGATCTCGAAACCATCCTCCACCACCTCCATCCTTAGAAAAACTGTCTTCCTCAAAATTGGTCCCTGGTGCCAAAAAGGTCAGAGACTGCGGATTTATAGTATCTAGATCAACAAAAGTTATAAAAATAATTTGTTTCCAGATCCCACTATACAAATTTTTAAGCAATAAAAGAATCACTATTAACTGGCAAAAACAAACAAACAGAAAATTCTCATAAGACATCAAGGGAGTAAGACCCAATGTAATTTTCTTCATAGGTTCAAATACGTCCTTGGAATTTAAGTGATAGTGATTTTGTAATGGATGGTTCTCAGCCTTTGGATCCCCGAAAAACAATTTTTGTTGGAGGTGTTCCTAGGCCATTAAGGGCTGGTAAGTAGAATGTTAACAATTTTGTTTAAAAAAATCATTTAAATATGTCCTAGTCAATTTAATAAACGTTTGGAAGCTATTGTGTACATGACACTATTGGACAGAGCAGGAGCAGATTCTGCATGCACCAATTGCTGCTAACTACAGAATTTTGAAACAAATTCTGAGGCCCCCTCTTGAAACTCTCCAACTGGAGAATTGGGTACTTATCTATCAATATTAGTGCAGTAGCTAACTCAAAGCAAATCTATAAGAATCCACCTAAATACTTCCGATTTCCTAAGTGTACCTCTCTGAGATAAGAGAATTTGGGGTCTGTTTATTTTGTGTAGATCGATTCTGATATCTGAAAAAGAAATATGGGATTTTTTTCTCTTTTATCTATATTTTAATCATTAAAGTAGCACTTTAGATAAGTGAATGATGATAAACTTCTGTTTATCAATAACTAGGAACCAAAAACCTACCAAAATATGTCACAGAGGAATATAATTGTAGATGTATATGCCCACTTTGCACTTGTTAGATGGTACTGTGCACCATGTGTAGAGTGTTAGTGATTTCCATCACTGAGAACATCGTCTCCCCAGTCATAGAGATATATGTTAAAGAACTATTCATACATGGAAATACTTATAGAATATGATGACTTCTACAAAGAAGTACTATAGGGAACAGAAGAGCATGTAGCAAGGAAATATGATATCTGATATCTTGAAGGTATTTGAAGTCTGATATCTTGAAGGTATTTGTAGTTGAGCTGACATATAAAGACTGGGCAAAAGGAGTAGGATCAGGGTGGTAGCAGGGTTCTGAGGAATGTGTTTCACAGAAAGGGAACAGCTTATTTAAAGGTCTTGAGTGGAGGGAAACAGGGTGCTTTGAAGGAACTGAAAGAAGCCCAAAGTGCCTGACTTGGGATACAAGGAGTGAGGGAAGGGGTCAAATCATACAAGTCTAATAGACTAACTCGGTATTTATTCTCAGAGCAAGGGTAAACCATTGAAGAGTTTTTAAGCAAAAGAGAGACTTCATTATCTTTGCAGTTTTCAAAGTTCACTTTAGCTAATGATTCAGAGAGAGGGGGGCCAGGGTGAGAGTAAATGCGGGCAGACCAGTTTAACATCCTATTATTACAATCCAGGAGATAGACAATGGTGGCTTGGATTAGTGGTAGCAGTGGAGAAAGCCAACTGAACAGAGGTGACAGATGTTTATGAGGTAGACACAAAGACTGAATCTCATCTTTCAGTCATAAGCCACTGGGTGGATAGTGATGCCTTTTACTGAGATGGAAGGAAAACTGGAGAAGGAGCAGATAGGGAGGGAAGATTGTGGTCTTGGTTTTGAACACAAGTTTATGGCACCATTCAGAGCTCCCAAATAGAAATTTCAATTAAACCATGGTATATGGTATATTTTTTTATGTATTTTTATGGTGGTATCTGGTGTATTTTTTAAGAGAATCACTCTTTATACTGTTTTAAAAAGCTGGGAAGGCAAGGGCCAAAAGCAAAGAGAGATAAGGTTATTGCCATGAACCAGATGAAAAATGATGTTAGCATGAATCAGGATGTTAGTGATGGAGGTGAGGCAATTGGACTCTAGATATGTTTTAAAATCAAGTTTACAGGATTGCATGTGCAGTATGGAGCAAGGGAAGAATACAGAAAGAATGAAGCCAAAGATCTTGACAACTTCATCTTTTCTGTTGCTTTCTAACTGGGTCAGCAGAAACTCATTGGAGCAGGTTTAATGGGATAAGGGAAGATTATGAGTTCCATTTTTAATATACCGAGTGTGGCCAGTGCCTGTTAAATATCGAGTTGTCCAGTAGACAGTTGCATGTACAAGTCTGGCATCCATGGGAGAGGTCCACACTAGAGATAAAAATGTAGGAGCTTAAAAACATATAGATGGTGTTTAAAGCTATGATACAGGATGAAGGTACCAAAGCCAGGAGTGTAGATAGTGTTGCAAGGATTGAAAGTTAGGGTACTCTGACATTGAAAAGTTAAGGCGTTTAGGATGAACTATCAAGGAAGACTCAGAAGAAATGTATCAGTGAGGTAGGAGCAGAATTAGTGGGATAATATATTCTAGAAGCCAGATGGAGAAAATATTTGAATGAGAAGGAAGGGATTAATTGTGTTCAATGCTACTTACAGATAGATTGACCATTGGACTTGGCTTGAACAATTATAGTGGAGTCATGGTGTGATAGTCTGGTTAGAAAAAGAGTTGAATAAAGAGAAAGGGAGGAGAGGAATTGGGGGGAATACTGGAACAGATTTTGAGAAATTTGGTTGTAAAGGGGAACAGAGAAATGGAGCAGTAGCTGAGAGGGAGAAAAAGTGTTATGGGAATTTTTTTTAAGATAGGAAAATTATAGTGTACTTGGGAAAATTGATTGTATAGAAGGGAAAGGGGAGAATTGCTGAAGCAGTGTCCTAAGTGAGAGTGTATGGGATCTAGTATGCAAGTGAAAGGATTGGATTTAGGAAAGAGCATGGAACTATTTCTCTATAGGACAGAAGATAGAGTATATAGTGGGTTTAGTGCTGTAAGTAGGTAGATGTGATGGTGGTGAGTCACTTTATAGTTTAAAAAAAGCATCCTCGATCCCCGTCCTTTTTTAACAACAGCCTCTTATCTGCCATTCTACTCCTGGTCAAATGATAATATACTATTGACTTTTACGTTTTACAAAAAGTACTTAAAAATTGTTGATTACTGTGTTCTCTCACATTTGATGTAAACTTCTTTTCCTTTTCAAGTGGAACTTGCTATGATCATGGACCGGCTGTATGGTGGAGTTTGTTATGCAGGAATTGATACAGATCCTGAGCTAAAATACCCAAAAGGTGCTGGGCGAGTTGCTTTCTCCAATCAGCAGAGCTATATTGCTGCCATTAGTGCTCGGTTTGTTCAGCTTCAGCATGGTGATATTGATAAACGTGTAAGTTGCATATTGGGAAATCACTTATGTCCTATAATAAGGTGCTGATCCAAAGCCTCATACCCTAACGAGTTAATAATATAATTTGAACACTTTAATTTTTATACTTCTGTAAGTCTTAAAGGATATTATATAAAAATATCCTTGAAATGGAAAATTACTGAACACACTTTAAACTTTAGATATAATGTAAAAATATTAATATCATTGTGCAGCCATGTCAAAATTTTTTAATCAGCCAGTAAGGTCAAATATTCTAACCGTGGAGGCAGAGGTTGTTTTAAGAGCCTGTACATTGGAGTCAGACTGCCTGGGATTGAACCCCATTTCTACAAATTAACCTTCTGTATGCCTCTTTTTCCTCACTTGTAAAATAGAAAACAATGATAACATGTCTTTCTCAGTAATTTTGAGGATTAAATGAATTTACATATATATAAGCACTTAGAATAGAACTTGACGGAGAGTGTTATTTAAATGTTTGTTTTCATTTGTCACAAAATCTAAAATAAAAATGCATTGTGTGTATTTCTCTAAAATAATTGACCTAAACTTAAAATTTTTTTAGTAGCATTGCTTGAATCATCACAATAAGAACTTGTAAGAAGTACTAGGAATGATAACTGAAACCCCTACTGAATAATTCCAAGTACTGACTACCTTCTAAAATAGGGAAAGACACTAGCATTCATTTACAAATCTATTTTATGCCAAAATCTGTGAACAGTTCCTATACATAGCTAAATATATTATAAAATAATCATGTTTATAATTATAGTATAGCAGAAATACATTAAGAATATGCGGGTAAATGAATTTTTTATATCTGAATTAGTAGATAGAAGATACAATTTGAGTGGGTACTCCTTTTCCCCAATATAACAGTTTCTTCAAGCCTCTTCTGGGGCTGTTTGGCACATTAAAAGACTATTTTGGGGACAGGGAAGCTGGTTAATTAATACCGATTGACTAGACCATGCATGCTAGAAGTAGTCCTCAATGTAATTACCCAACCGTCTCATTTAGAAAAGAAATGCAGCATAGGTTCAGTTCACAAATGCAGAGTAGGTTTTTTTTGTTTGTTTGCATTGCTACTTAAAAGGTTGCCAAAAAAAAAAAACTAAGAGGAGGTGCTCTGCTTTTGACAAGACACGCATACGTAACTTTTCTGAACTTGTCTGAACATTAAGAGTTCCTGTAGTGTTGTGTTTCTCAACCTCTGCTGTACATTATTCACCTGGGAACTTAGAAAAATCTTGACATTTGGGTCCTACCCCCTGAGGTTCTGCTGAATTGGTTATAAAGCTCCGGAAGTGACACAAATGTACAGCAGTGGTTTAGACCGCTAACAGAGAGGTGATAGGTCACAGACGACGTTATTTACATAGTATGTAATCATGGTATTTAATATACACTACCAGAAGAAAAAGACTGTTACAGTGTCATACCTCATACCTCTTTGTTTCTGAAATTATAGTGAAGGACCGATTATTTGGAGCAGAGTACTGACTCTTAAAGAGCAACTCAGTTGCAGAGCAGATGAATTGAGATACATGTGCCTTCTTAAAAAGGCATTGAAATACCTGAGGGAAAAGCTTATTTTCTAAGATATGTGCTACAAAGGTAATTTTGAACTGTATTTGAAAGAATTTGAGCCTTAAATATTTTACAAGTCACTAATATTGCTTATACAAAGAAATATTAAACCATTAACCTTTATACCTTTCATCTCTCCAATATGAATATGGTTATTAAACCATAAAAATTGAATAAATATACGTGTATAACTGCCAACCCAGAGATACACGGGATACTTATTTGGCGGGAATGAAAATTGTTTATTCCACTTAACTTTTTAGACTCATGGATACTGTGGTTTAGTTCCTATCTGATAGCTGGAAAGCAGTCACCACAGATGTGTAATTCATTATATTTTTTTGTATGTTATTTCATAAGTAGTATAATTCACTGTGACTTCTAGTAAATGTTAGAAAATAAGACTAGGTGAAGTGTAGTGTTAATGAAACTTCCTTTTGCATATAGAAGAGTTTAATTATTAGAGATTATTAATGAAAAATAGGTTTTGAAATTCAATTTTCCATCTTTAAAGTCTGGTTTTGAGTAAAGTAGGTTAGCTTCATAAAACTAATATCTAGAATTTTAAAAATACAAATAATTGAAATCATTGCATTTGTGAAATTTTCATTCAACAGTTTTATATTAAAATGTAACTCCTGAACATCTGGTGTTTTATCAGGTATTATGGAAGTGAAGTAAACATCACAGACCCTGGTTTCAATCTGTCTAAAATCTTATTTTAAAAAAAAAGAAATAACCATGAGAAAGAAACCCAGAAAACATATGTAAATGTATTGCATTTATGCATATATTTATAGCATTTCTACTTCGTGCTAGATATTCTTCTAGGCACTGGGAACTGAATGTTGAGCAAATGGGTGCTGTCCCAGTGTTCATGGAGTTTATAATTCAGTGAGATGAAATCCAGTTAACTCTCATGCTACCTTAATTTATTCTTTGTTTGTAATAATGTTCCCATAAAGGAAAAAGTTGAGAGATAAAAATTAAGCATAACAATTTTAAAAATTTGTGTTAAAGATTGTAAAGCCACTGGAAAAAAGGTTAAAAACTCTTAACTGACAAAAGAGAACTCATAAATCAATTTAAAAAACAAACAAAACTCCAGCAAGAAAATATGCAAAAGATACAAACAAGCAATTCAGAAAAGCCAAGTGTCGAATATACATAAAATATATTTATCCTAATCCTAATCAATGAAATATAAACAACAATGTAATTCCATTACCTGTCTATCAAATGAACATCCTACAGTTCTTGTAATCAACTTTTAGGTTGTTTCTAGTTTGTTGTTGTTCTTACAAATAATATTGCGGAAAATATCCTTATATTCATTTTCTGCACTCATGCAAGTATTTCAGTAGAATACATTCAGAATACAAACTGTTGGGTCATTACTTTTTACTATAGGCAACCTTTACTTTATGTCAATCCAGTCCTTCAGAACACTCAGTGTTCTGTTGTCTCCTAAGGAACGGCTGAGCTGTTATGCTGTCTGGCACTTTTCAGCCAAACAACAGTAAAAACCTTCCATTCATAAAGTTATCACAAGCAGGAAAGCAAGGCTATTGCAGCTAATAGTAGCTAATACTAATTTATAGAATATTTTACCATGTGCCGAGCACTGTCTTATGCTTTTACATTCACAATTTAAGCCTCACAACTCTGACAGGATCTGTTATTCCCACTTGACAGATGTGGAAACTGAGGTGGAGAAGTTTATCATTCAGAGCTGACTCCAGTCTGAAGTGTTCTGCCAAGTCAGACCTTCACAACGGGACTTGTGCTTTATATCTTATAAATTTACAGAAGTCTAGGCATGCCCTTTGTAAGATTCTCCACAGTTCTGGCTTGTCTGTGCCAGTTATTTCCAAGCAGAGTGTGACTCGCACCTGCAGTGGAGAGGCGCCGCCTTAATCAGTGGCTGTTCGGGTTCTGCCATCTCACAGGTGATACTGGAATGAGGGGAAAAGGTGTGGAAACTGTCTTCCATGACTACTTGATATCTCTTTTGTTTTTCACTCATAATCTCCCCTAACTCTGAAAATACCAGCACACAGGTGTTTCAAAGATGTTATTCAAGAAAGGTGAGAGTGGAATGTTTTGCAAATCAGATTTTTATAGATTTTTAAAGTGTTTTAACCTACTACATTGTAAAGCTCCTTCCTTGAGAAACTGCCCATTTCCTCAGCTTTTAATGCTGGTCCTTTTTTTCTGCTGTAGAACATTTTAAGTTATTACAGAATTTGATTTCTGAAGCAGACCCTAATGAGACTTAACTTTCTTTTTTTTCAAGGTGGAGGTAAAGCCATATGTGCTAGATGACCAGATGTGTGATGAATGCCAGGGCGCACGCTGTGGTGGAAAATTTGCTCCCTTTTTTTGTGCCAATGTCACTTGCCTGCAGTATTACTGTGAGTTTTGTTGGGCAAATATCCACTCTCGTGCTGGACGTGAGTTCCATAAGCCATTGGTAAAGGAAGGTGCTGATCGCCCACGTCAGATCCACTTCCGCTGGAACTAAGAATAGCAAACTGGCCTCTGTTTAACAAGGAAAGAAAGGGTGCATGTGGCTTACTGTGTCTGAAGATACTGACATGCAGAAGAAATAAGTGCATTCTTCTGCTTTTCACCCCAGCTATCAATACATGCATCTTTATCAGCAGCCAAAACACTACAAGCCTCTTGTTTTTCACCAAAACCCTACATCTCAGGCTTACTAATTTTTGTGATATTTTCATGTTCAAATAAAATGTTTTTTTGTATTTTCTCCAAGTTATTTTTATATGTAAAGTTAAAATTAGATATGAGAATGTTTTGCGTAGGGGCAACACAGTCTGCTGCTATATAGTGGGGGAAGCGTGCACTTATTTCTAAACATGGGTTTTTAACTTCAAGATCTGCCCCAGTAATTTACCAAAGGTAGCAAAATAATAGTGAAGATGGAATATGTCTGCTACAAATGCTTATTTTTATTGTTGCTATTTTCAGTGTATACATAAACTAAAAATTAGGGTTGATTTTTTTGCTCTCCATTTTGACTTGCAAGAAATAATACCTCAAGATAATCTGATTTATTAGCTATTTTTAAACATTTTTAATCACAAGCTGTATTAGCTTTGCTGCTATATAGGTGTTATGTGTAAATGCCACCTATTAATACGGGACTGAAAACGTTAGAGACACACTGCATTGCAGATAAAATGCAGGCAGCACAATATGGCCTAAACTGCCATAGTTTTAGAATGTGAAAAAAATGCATGTTTACTTACCTGTATACACCATATGCATGCACTAGAATTATTAACTAACGAGGTGAGGTATTGCAAATGTTCAAAAAAGCTCTCTTGAATCTAGGTAGCATGAACAAATTATAAAATTTGTTTAAAAAAGCAAACTTGCATGCATTATTGTGACTTCAAGTTTAAAAAATCGTCTTACATGTGTACAATATGCAAATTAGTTTTAGATTAGAGAGTGCAGCCATTTTGTGATCTGGTCAGTAGTGGAATTCGATTTTATGCAGACTGGATGTAATATTTGTAATCCCTGTGCAATTTTGTGACGTGCGGTTCTAATTCATGTGCAGTGATATAGTATAGATAAAAGAATGAGTAAAAGAAAATACAAGAATTCTAAAGAAAGTTGGTTTTAGCCCCTTTGATAGTCCATGGTTAAGACATCCTTTATAAACCAAAGATGGCCAGCACACTGCTAACCAGTCACCAAATGTAAGACCCATAAGAAACCCATATTTAAAAATCTGAATTTTTTAGAAGAATGCAAAACTTTAGTAAACCCTAAGTAAAGTCAAAATGGAGAAGGGGAAATATACAGATGGCTAGTTGCATAAAATTAAATTTTACCTTTATAAGACAATGGTGAAATCTGGCTTGAACTTGCTTATGTGTTTAACCTATAAATATTGGGGTCTTCTGTCTAAACTGGGGTCACTGTTGCATGGAACATTGTTCTTAATAGTTGAGAATTGCTTTTTTGAAAATTTTCATGAAGGAATTTTGGTAATGACTTTGCTTGCAGGTTTTTTGGGGTGTTTTGAGAAAGTGGCATGGAAACATGCAGTAGTTAATGAGTTTCTCTTGGTACTGAACACTATTAGAATATCATTAGTGATATTTTTTCTCTTTAGAGCATTTTTAATGCAACTAGCCCCTATATTTTAATGTAAGAGTTACTCTGCAATCTAAGCAAAGCACCCAACAATGGTAAATGTTTTTTAAAAATGCAGAACTAAGATTTTTGACTCTAAAGAGAGAAAATTACAAGGGTGTTGCCTTATAGCAAACCCTTGGGACAATCCTTCATGTGAGCAAAGTGTTGATCTTAATATTGGTTGTCTGTGGTGTGCTTTTTTGTACTGTAAAAATATGTGGTTCATGTCTAACTCTGCTGTTTTATTGTGGTTGTGGTTCAAGTTTTTAATGTTTAAAGTTGATGCTGTTTTCAGAAGAGCTTTTTACTAATTTATTTGTCAGTGTTCCCTATTTGTTACTTAACCATGATCCTCCAGATTTTTTGGAGTATTCTTTTCTAACCTTAACCCTGCCAAACCTTGATCCATTTTGACATTTGTTATGCACTATTTTTATATCTCTGTGAGAGATTTTTCCAACAGTCAGCTATTTTATGGCACACTTTTTTTGACTGATGACATCTCCTTTGCTATACCTCAATTTTTGGAATTTAGAGAAGAAATCAGTAGTTTTGCAATGTTAATTATTTAGATATTTAATTTCGCAGATTTTTAAACTTTATTTTCATAATTTCTGCTTAATGTTTAAAATTGAAGAGCCTTTTCATGTATTAAATAATGAACACAAATTATATAATTAAAATAATTGGAGATGTTGAAAATCATTTTCCCTTCTTAAACAGAAATAAATATTTGGAATGAAGGGGAATGTACTAGAACACCCTTTTTGCCACGGGTAAAAATAACAGAAATGTATGGTTTGTTTTACCTTCATTTCTGTACAAGTAAAGCTTATTAGTCTAATGTTTTGTTCCTTTCCCACCTCACCCCTACCTCTTTTGTTTTGTTTTGTTTTTGCCCTTTATGTACTACATTCTTATTTTCTAACTTTTAAACACTGTATTGGAGGTTTTTTTTTAATTTACAGATCATATTTATTTTACTATTTTTGTAGAAAATTATTAATTTTGATTGTATTTTTGTATTTTAAAAGCTTCTTCACTTGTGTTCCCTAAATATTCATATTGCTGCCCAAAAGTATGACTGTGGAGGAAAAAAAAATACTTTAAAAATCCACACTTTTTGTTAAGAAGGAAACATTTAGCATTTATATATTTGTGTATGGAAAACACTTGATATTTTATCCCTGTTGCATCTGGCTGCACAGAGCCTCTCCTCAAAGATGCTACAAAACTTGAATATAACACATTTTGGAAGGCTGACTAACCTCGATTCTGTGTTGTGATGTGCAATACTGTTTCTAATGTTTGTATAAAAAAAAACAGTGTAAACCTTTTTAATGCAAATTTATTTTTTTCATTGCATATTTTGCAGATTTTATCCACAGTGTCATTTTTTACTGTCAGAAAAGATACCCCTTTTGTCATTGCAACTATTTTTTAAATCCAGAAATCTTTGTACTGATGTAAATGATTGTAGTTATTTTGGATAGTGTTTTGCTAACAAAAGGAGAGACTTTTTTCATGCATATTTCTATTTTGTTTTTTTGGGTTTTATTTTATTTTAATAGTAGTAAAATACTTGGAATAATTTTTCATATTCTTGTCATTAATATTATTTTGTATTTTTATGTGGAAATATATAATTTTATGACACTAATTGCTAAAGTTTATTTTATGTTGAATTATTTTTGGAGCTGAAATCTTTGTAATATTAAAGCAACTAGTTTCTAATTCCCAGTTTCTGTATAGAATCGCACAAGTGGTTTATGGAGTGTTTGGATTGTAATTATAAATGGTTCTTTGATATGCAAATTAATATTTTCAGTTGATTTTATTTTATATTCCTAATGGGGTGTTAAAGCCGTTTTTTATTTTTTTCTAAATAAAAAGAGAACCCATGCTTTTATGGACACTAGGTAAACACCTTCAGCTTAAATTTTTCGTTAAATATTTTAGTTTATTTTATTGTTATCTTCCAGGTGTCTAAATCTCCAGTCTGTCTGTTGTACTGGTAATTTAACTCTGTAATGGAATAGTTTGCTGCCAACTATTTATATTAAGTAATTTTTAAATATTTGTAATATTGTTGACTGACTAATAAACTATTAAGTTATTGGCATAGTTGTGGAATCTTATTCTTCGGTTCAAATCAAGTAAAATATTCAAAAACACCAGTAAGATCTTATTTAGAGAGAGAGCTTAGTGACATAAATATATTATGATGCCCAGGCCAAACTACATTTCAGTACAAGGATAGAGGAGAAGCCTTGGAGACCATGTTGTCTAGTATCTCTCAGTATTTCAGCCCTGAGTCCTCTTGTGTCAGTTCTCCCACCCTCATCCCCCATATATCATAGAAATTTCTGTGTTACAGTCATCACTTATAATTAATATTGCCATATCTAAGTTGATGCTGCATTCAAAAAATGAGGAACTGTTAATCATGTTGCTAAATGCACAGTTTTCATGATACTTTCTCAGATACCCTCTAGTTGGGAATCACTTGTAGTGTTTTACTTGTTCTTTGCACAGCCTGTGTGGATTTTTCAGTGTCTACTTTGAAGAGGGAGGGAGAAGGAAAAGAAGTATAGAGTAAGGAGCCTGGAATCTAGGTTCCTCATCCTAATTATAACTAGAACAGCTCTACTTTTAACTTTAACAAAGCTGAAGTTCTACCTAAAAATTGGTATGCAGTCACTGGGCAGAAGGAGGAAAGGATTCCATTGCATTTTCAGAAAATGAAAGATCACTGATCATAACCAAATGTTTTGTTTTACCTATAAGGACATAGGTATGTCAGAAAGGGTAAAACTTAATGTTTCCTCATCTTCTACAAGACACCATAGAAACTCCTTAAATGGGCTAATCTTGCCATTGTATGCCCTTCATATTGTGTCACTGTCACCCATGTCCTCCAAGCAAATCATGCATCTCTACATATCTGTATCTTGTTTAGCATATGCTGCCATTTTTCTATTTGGAATCTATTTTCTCTTTCCTCAACAAAGTCCTCTTTCATAATAAAACTAAAGAGCCGCCTCCACATTCTGGCCTATCTAAGACAACAGGAATTTCACAGTGTCTTAATTCCCTTGCTACTGACATAAAGATCATTTTCTTATGCTCCCCTTTCCCTCGGTTATTTAAGAAAAGAATAAGCTTTGAATACCAACTTAGTACTGAACACCGACTTTGTCAAATCTTTGCTCACAAGGTCTCATAGCCTTGAAGGTGAAAGGCCAGGCTAACTCAAATGCAATGCAGTATGCTAATAAAAGATAAAATACACTTTCATAAACATGTATAAAGCATGAAAGGAAGGAATATTCTTCTTAAGTAATTTCATTTCCTTGAAATGAAATTACTTAAGAACTTTTACATAGGGGATAGCATTTGACTTAAATTTTTCCATGAACAAAGAATTAAAAGATACAAAGATTAGCACTCACAAATCCTTTCTAAAAGAGTTACTTAAAGATCTATTTCACCAAAAAGAAGGAATGATAATAAAATACCCAGGAAACATGAAGACATGGGATACTACATAGGTAAAAAATATCGCTCTAGTGTATAGTTAGGAAACGAAATGTGGCTAAAAAGCTTCACACAATTTAGAAGCAAGTCCAAATAAAGTCATAATTTAAAACATCGATGTTAAAATAATAACTAAAACTCAAGGTAATTTAAAGCAAAACCTGGATGAACATTTGAAATGAAGAAGAAAGCCTTGTTTGGGATAGAAGAAGATAAGACTATAGATGTTGATTAATTTATTATTAATACTAAATTGTCTTCAAATTGCAATATATGTAATTTTTAAATGCATTTAATATATATTTAAATGTAACATTTTAAATATTTTAAGTCAAATACACAAATTATGAAAAAGATAAAACCCCACCCACCCTTTCCTCATCTACAATTTCCACTCATAAAAGGCAACTTTTAACTCTTTTTAAGTGTTTTCACTTTAACAGTATCATGTTATTTGCCTTATTATATCCAAATAGCACACTTAACAATGTTTATTTTTCAGTTTAAGACATTGCTGACCTCCTAAAATGACTGCATATTTTAATTCAGACATCCCCCATGTATGCACACACACACTCAGAGTGTTCATTTTGTGAATAATTTATCACGCTGATGATTATTTCCTGAGCACTTTTCTGTATATTTTACACTTCACTAATAAAATTTATTTTAAAAAGGAAAATGGAAAAGAAAACAATGCTTGCTTCAATAGCAGGATAAGAGAGTGAGGAACATAGGAAGAAATACAAAAACAGAATCAAAGAGATTTTTCATGGTAACTAAATTCTAGGTCTATAGGCTGTTTTTAAAACCATTTTGTGCAATGTAATGCACATATAGAAAATGAATTTCCTATCAGTTCACATTATGAATAATTGTAAAACTTGTTGAGAAATAGAAAACTTTTCTAAGCGGAGACTCAACAGGTTTCTGTACATCTATGTTCATAGCAGCATTAGTCACAACAGCCAAAAGGTGGAAGCAACCGAAATGTTTGTCAATGGATGAATGAATAAACAAAAAGGAGTATATGCATACAATGGAATATTCAACCTTAAAAAGGAAGCCTTGAAAATTCTGATACATGCTACAACATGGTGGAAGCCTGAAGACATACTGGGTGATATAAGCCAGTTGCAGAAGGACAAACACTGTATGATTCCATTGCATGAGGTACCTAGAGTGCTCAAATACATAGAGAAAGAATAGTGGTTGCCAGGGGCTAGGGGAAGCGGGCAATGGGGAGTTATTGTTTGGCATAGAATTTCATGTTGAGATGAAAAAAGTTCTGGAGATAGATGGTGGTGATGGTTATGCAGCAATGTGAATGTACTTAATGCATATATATATGTAAAAATAAGTATATGGAGATGTGAAGAATAAGACAAGGTGTTTATGGTCAATTCTAGGAGTACTCTGATAATTTCAATGACATTAAAATAAGGGAGATGTGTGCAATAGGCCACAAGAACACAGAAAATAAGTAATAATTTAAAGAACAAGTGAATAAAGAACATTTCCTGGAAGAAATAAAAACTGAGATTAGGCATGAAGAATATGTGTTACTTAACCAAAAGAAAAAAGTGATAAGAGATTTTAGGGAGAAGAAAGAGTTTGAACAAAGCTCAAAACAACCTGTAGGGTGTGTCTCTAGAGCGTAAATTCCAAAGCCCGGCATGGCAGATAATGAGGTTAGAGATCTAACTGTGCAGATTATGGAACTTTTCAAGACCAACTTCCCTGCCATCTCCTCTAGGAAGCTTCATTTCAATTAGCTTTCTCTCTACCCTACACTCACTGGAGCCGGGATCTACCATTTTCTCCTCTCAAAGAAGAAAATACATTATGTTAGTACTTGGGCCTCACATGACAAATGGCAGGCATGTGGTGATACTATCAAGACACAGATAGTCATATGATAAGTAGTGGCGCTGTGTGTCAAAATAAGCTCTACTGCAAATCACAAAATTATTGTCTTTATTGATAAAACTTCAACAATAATTGTTAAAGTTAGCCTTACCTAATATATAGAACATATGTCTGTATGATTTGAAACTTTAAGTACAACAGACAACTGAGATTTTTTTAATGACGCCCTTGAACATATCATATAATACTGTTATTTTAACGCCCAACTTTACTGCCATTTGAAAAGTATTTTCTACCAAATAGTGAATCTACCTGTTCAATTACCTCTAAACTGAATACTTCCCAAGGAATGCCATCAGTTGAGTTAGATATTGTTAGTGATACAACCTTCCATCCAGTTTTTCTGCTTCTTTTCTTGTGAGCATCTAAGTCAGTATGCTAAACTATTTGTGTGTGAATCAGGATTTTTCTATATGTTGTGTAAATACAAAACAAATATGGAAATAAACTGTACACTAAGGCCAGTAAGCCAGCGGTGAAATAAGAGTGATAAATAATCCTTTGTTGTAGTAAGACAATGAGATTTCAGGGCTAATTTATTACTGCAGCAAGACCTAGTCTAGCTTGACTAACAGTTGTCATATAACACAAAATGGAAAAATGGAAAGTAAGTAAATGGCAGGGCCAAGATCCAAACCTAGTTCTAACTACACCAATGGTTCTCAAATCTATGCTGATTGTTTCTTAAAACATATATTCCCGAAGTTCCAGTCACAGATATATTTATTCAGTAGGCCTTGAGTGAGGCCCAGATGAATATATTTTTAACATGTTCCCCAGGTGATTCTACTGTACAGGCAGGGTCAGGAGCCATCGGACTATGCCACACCACACTGCCCTGCCTTACTGTTCCCATCATCATACTCATGTTCTTGTAAGAGAAGCATGGCTGCTCTTGACCTTTGAGGGAAAATAATGTCTAGAAAGGGAAAAGCTTGGAGAAGATATGTTAGAAAATTATAAAATCAGAAAAGCGGCAAACCGATATACTAGAAAGACAGTGAACTGGGAGCTGCATATACAGTTAGAAAAAGGAATTTCTATTCTATCCTTGCCCTATAGGAGCTAGAAAATCTTGAGAAAGTCTATTAAGCTTACTGGGCATCAGTGATACCTACTATACAGAATTGCTATGCAGATTAGGGATTATGTATGTAAAGCACCCAGTGTTCTCTCTGGCACATAGATACACTTGATAAATATCAGCTTTTTCCCATCCCTCTCCTGCCTTCTAGAACCATCACATTGGCTTTCACTTCCCGTATCTAGCAGACTGGAATAGAGACACATTTAGAGGCAACAACAACAACAGCAGCAGCTCTCAGCTTCTTCTGGGGTGCAAGGAAAGAGTTGGGGTATGTGTCCAATGTTTGAAAGTTTTCCAGGGGCTTCCCAAAGGACTAGTTTCTGTCTTACCTATTGCAGAGTGCTGATAGGTCTTGGCATACTCTAGAGGCTTAGAGGCAAGTGAGAACAAAGACAATGGTTTGAACTAGCATGGAAGCAGCCACAATAGCCCTTCCCCATGCCTCAGAGCACAACGCAAGCAGATGATACATCTTAGATGCTAGCATTTCCCTGAGGAAGGAAAGAATTGGCCCGCACATCCAAAGTTCCAATTTTTCAGGTACTGCTTGAGGCTTCTGTCTCACCTGTCTGAAAGCAATGACAGGGCCCAGCATACTTTAGATGCTTGGGGTCTACTAAAGGACAAAGATGATGATTTGGACTGGCATAAAAGTTTGAGAGGCCCCCCAACATATCTGGCCAGAATGATTGGTGAAAGTCTTCTCCTGTATAAGGCCACTCCGTGAAGATGAAGAGAGTTGACTGTTTTATCTAATACATAGATACCAACACAAAAAGTCAAGGAAAATGAAAAACAATACAAAACTGAAAACTATGTCCTCCAGAAGGGAACAAGATACAGCTTCAGAAAGTGGCCCTAATGAAATGGGAGATATATTGCTAATAGAAAATTACTAATAGATAATTCACAATAACTGTTATAAAGATGCTTAATGAGGTCAGGAGAATAATGCATGAACAAAGGAATTATTACAATAAAAAAGTAAAGTACCAAACAGAAATTTTGAAACTAATGAATGAAACATTTGAACTAAAAAATAAAAAATTAGTAAACTTGAAGACAGATTGTGAAAATGTTTTTGTCAGAGGGACAAACGGAACAAAGAATGAAAAAGAGGAAAGAAAGCTTAAGGGAAACAATATACACATTATGGGAGTCTCAGAAGGATCAGAAAGGGTAGAAAGTGTATTTAAAGAAATAATAACTGAAAACTTCTTAAATCTATGAAAGAAATGGACATCCACATCTCAGCAGCCCAAGGACTCCCAAATAAAATAAACCCAGAGAGATCCACACTGAGACACAATGTAATCAAATTTTTAAAAGTCAAGGAGAATTTTGAAAATAGCAAGAGAAAGCTTGTTATATCTAAGGAAATATACATAACAGTATTGGCAGATTTCTTAGCAGAAATCTTACAGCCTAGAAGGCAGTGAGATGATATATTAAAAGTGCTGAGAATGAAACTGTCATCCAAGAATACTATAACCAGCAAAACCTGTTCTTCAGAAATGAAGGCATGATAAAGACTTTCCCAGACAAACAAAATCTGAAGGAATTCTTCACCAATAGATGTGCCTTACAGAAAATGTTAAAGGGAATTCTTCAAGTTGAAGAGGAAGAATGCTTAACATCTATTAAAAAGCATATGAAACTATATAACTTCATGGTAAAGGTAAATATATATACAGATTGAAAATACCATGACATGTAATATGATAGGTAAATAAGTTTTAGTTTGTTTAGAGGTTAAAAAGGCAAAAACAGTAAAAATAACTATAACTATAAAATATGTTAATGAATAAACAATTTTAAAAGATATAAATTGTAATATCAAGAACAAAGTGTGGGGAGAAGAAAAGTAACAGTGTAGAGTTTCTGTATGGAGTTGATACTAGCCTGAAATAGACTATTATAACCATAAGATGTTTTCTGTAAGCCCCATGTAACCACAAAGAAAACACCTATAAAATATGCACAAAAGAAAGTAAAAAGTAAATTTAAAAAAGTAAGTAAAAAAGAATCAAAGCATATCAATACAAAAAAAAAATCAACAAAGGAAAACAGCAAGAAAGGAAAAGAACACAAGAACCAAAAGACAGAAAACTAGAAAATGGCAATAGTAAGTTCTTCCCTATGAACAATCACTTTAAAGGTAAATGAATTAAATTCTCCAATTATAAATGGCTGCATGGATAAAAATAAAATTAATAAAATATAGGAACTTATTATATGCTGTTTACAGGAGACTGACTTTAGATTTAAGAACATATACAAACTGAAAGTGAAGAGATGGAAAAACATTCCATGCAAATTGTAACCAAAAGAGAGTAGCATGCCTATGCTTATGCTAGACAAAATAGACTTTGAGACAAAGCTGTCACAAAAGGTCATTATATAATGATAAAATAATTATTAAGGAAAATGTAACAATTTTAAATATGTATTCATCCAACATTAGAAGTATCTAAATATATGAAGCAAACATTGACAGAACTAAGGGAAAAACAGCAATAGTAGGATACTTTAATACCTAACATTTAACAATGAATAGAAGTTCCATATGGAAAATCAATGAAGAAACAGAGGACATAAACAATACTGTAGACCAAATGAATCCAAGAGACATATATGGAATATTCCACCAAACAGCAGAAGAATACACATTTTTTTCAAGTGCTGAATTAATTACATGTTAGGTCACACAGCAAATCTTAACAAATTTAAGAAGACTGATCTCATACTAAGTATTTTTTTCTGACCACAATGAAATGAAACTAGAAATCAATAACTAAAGAAAACTGGAAAATTCACAAATATGTAAATTAAACAAGACACTCCTGAACAGCCAGTGAATCAAATAAAAAATCAGAAGGGAAATTTGAGAATATCTTGAGAAAACTGGAAATGGAAACACAACATACCAAGTCCTTTGGACTGTAACAAAATCAGGAAAAGGAAATTATGCAGCAATAAGCACCTACATTGAAATAAGAAAGAACTCAAATAAACAGCATAGCTTTGTACCTCAAGAAAGTAGAAAAAGAACAATCTAAGCCCAAAGTTAGAAAAAAGAAAGAAAGAAAGATTAAAGCAGAAATGAACACAATAGAAAACAGAAAACCAATTAAAAAAAATAAAACTAAGAGTAGGATTTTGAAAAAGATCAACAAAATTGACAAACCCATAGCTAGAATTGAAAAAAAAAAAAAGAGAGAGAGAGAAGACTTAAATTAAAAAAATCAGAAATGAAAGAGGAAACATTTTACCTGATGCCATGGAAATAGGATCAAAAGAGGCTACTATGAACACTTATACACGAACGAATTGTATAACCTAGAATAAACAGATAAATTACTAGAAACATACAACCTACTAAGATTGGATTATGAAGAAATTAAAAACCTGAACAGATCTATAATTAGTAAGGAAATTGAATAAGATGGCTTCACTGGTGAGTTACACCAAACACTTTTAAATAAATAGATGACTTAGGATTATGCAATTCTTTTTATAATTTTTGACCCTTTTTTTGTAACTTTTAAGTTCAGGGATACAAACCTTGTACAAACAAGGTTTGTTACATAACGTAAACTTGCGTCATTGTGGTTTGTTGTAGAGATGATTTCATCACCCACATATTAAGCCTAGTACCCCATTTGTTATTTTTCCTGATCCTTTTCCTCCTCCCATCCTCCACCCTCCAAAGGGCACCAGTGTATGTTGTTCCCCTCTAAGTGTCTATTTTCTCCTCATTTAGATCCCACTTATGAGCACATGTGGTGGTATCCCAAGAGAAATCTAACCGATTTTGTAGTGTGACTATTTCAGATTCTGTTCTGATTTTTATCACTTAAATTCCTAGGAATGAGAAGACATGATAATAAAAAATATTATTCAATTATTAAAAAATTAATGCCAATCCTTCTTAAACTCTTCCAAAAACTTCAAGAGGAGGGGAAGCTTTTAAACTTATTTTATGAGGCCAGTATTACCCTAATACCAAAGTCAAAGACTCTTCAAACAAAATGTGGTATATATATACAATGGAATGTTATTCAGCCTCAAAAAAGAAAGAAATCCTGCCAAATGTGACAACATGATGAATCTTGAGGACACCGTGCTACATGAAATAAGTCAGTCACAAAAGAACAAATATTTATATGAATTTCCAAAAATAGTCATAGGGGCAAAGAGTAGAAGGGTGGTCTCCAGAGTTTGGGGAAAGTGGAAAATGGGGAGTTGCTGGGCAGTGAGTATAAAGTTTTAGTCATGCAAGGTGAATGAGTAAGTTCTAGAAATCTGTTGTGCAATATCATGACTGTATTGAACAATATTGCATTGTACACTTAAAAATTTGTCAAGAAGATAGATATGTTAAATGTTCTTACCACAATTTTTTAAATTACTGGAGAAATTATAGGGTTTTTTTTAAAGAAAACATCCTACTTGTTAAATTAAGTGTTTCTTTGGATGTTAGTTGAGTTTGGTGTCTTTCTTTCATATTGCTTTCTTCAAATATTTGATGTATTCATTTTCTGTTGCTGTGTAACAAACTACCACAAATTTAGTAACTTAAAACAAAACGCATTTACTAGCTCACAATTGTGTAGGTCAGAGGTCTGGGGGAACATGACAGGGTTCTCTGCTAAGGACGTCACGTGGCCAAAATAAAGATGACGGCTGGATTGGACTCTTGCCTGAAGACTGTGGGAAATAAGGTACTTCCAAGAGCATTCAAATTTCAGCAGAATACTGTTTCTTGCATTTGTGCTTTTGAGATGTCTGTTTCTTTGCTGTCTGGTGGCAAGGGGCCACTCTCATCTCCTAGGACTGACCACACTCCTGCTAACGTTGCTTCCTCCTTCAAAGCCAGCAAAAAATGTGTTGAATTTTTCTCAAGTTTGGAAACTTTCTGTTCTGCAACCAGCCAGCGAAAATTTTGCTTTTAAACGGCTCAGCTGATTGAGTCAGGCCCACTGGATAATCTCTGTATTATAGGATCAACTGACATGTAGCTTTAATTACAGCTGCAAAATTTCCTCATAGCAGTACCTAGATCAGTGCTCAATTGAAAAATAAGAAATGGGAATCTTGGGAGACCATCTTTAGAATTCAGTAATTACATGTGGTGTTCCTGGGCTGAATTGAGAATTATTATTGCTATCAGAAGAGTCAGGTTCAGATTATAGGCTTTCACCACTAGGAATTGTCGGACAGGGATGGAACCAGCAGCTAAACAGGTAGCCCTGCCATATATTTGACATAGAAACTTCTGTTTTTAAAAAGTTATGATTACTATATGCCATTTATTAAGCATTTCCTCATTCATGTGCAAGATCTTCATTATTTTTCTTCCTTTTTCTTTTCTTTAGTTTTTCTCTTTTTATTTCTTCCTTTCTATTTCTTTCTTTTTTCCCCTTGTTCAAATTATACTGATGATGACATGTAAATCATTAACCATTCTACAGGAAATAAACCATAGCCCTTACTTATTTAAAGTGACTTTATCAATTATTTCAGATGAGAAGGAAACTGAGTTCCAAGAAGGGAGAATGACTGGTTTGAAGTTCCAAGGCTGTTTGGTGGATGAGCCAAAATGGGAGCCCCAGAGTCTTTGTCCAGTGCTTGCCTTCCCCCCAGACCATGAGAAGCCACTCCACTGAACTTTTTGAAATGTCATCATGCTGCCTGAGAAACTAAAATTTTGGTGGCTCGCAATGATGTCGTTACTCAAAGTGGTGCAGGCATTTCTCCTACAGAGTGACTTTTCACGATCTGAATTAGACACAATGCAGTATATTAATTTGGAGACTTATTTTGCATTACGTAATCTGCTATTGATTAAAATGAACCATTGAGCAGTTTAGTCATGAAGAAAAATGCTGCTTCACATGCAGCACAGTTGTTTCGTTTGGGTGTCCCTGAACTTTCCAAGACCATAGCAAACTCTTTCCTCCTCAAGGACTTTGCATTAGCTGTTCCCTCTGCTTGGAATGCTCTTCCCCCAGGTCTTCTCTGTCTTCAGATCTCAGATTTCATGAGGCCTTTCCTGTCCATGCATTCTGAAGCGAGCCCTTCCTGTTAACTTCCCTCTCGGTGTCTTACCTAGTTCCTTTATCACATATCAAAATCTATAATTATTGTATTGATTTGGTTGCTTACATGTATCATGTCTGTCACTCCCACTAGATTGGAAGATGGGAAGATTCTTGAAGTCAGAATTCTTACCCTTCTTAGTCACTATGACAGCCCCAACATTTAGAACAATGCCTCATGCAGAGCAGAAATTTTTGATAGACAATTGCTAAGTAGATAAAAACAGATGGTAAGAATGTATAACAACAGCTAGTAGTGACAGAAAAAGGAAAGAGATTGTTTTTGAGAGAAAAGCTAGGTGGAATCAAATGCCATATTTGTTCAGTTATGTTTCATTTTTATAGCTATATGTTTTTAGTTAAAAAATACTCATTAATAAAATTCCTACAGGGGAAAAACAACTTTGTTATTGGAAGTCTGAAAAACTTCAGTACCTTATTTCTTCTTCCCATCGAAGTAATTACTCCTATAATGCACTTTTTTGGGGTTTTTTTATGTTTTCTTAGAGACAGTGTCTAACTCACTCTGTGTCACCCAGGCTAAAGTGCCGATCTCGGCTCACTGCAACCTCTGCCTCCCAGGCTCAAGTGATTCTCCTGCCTCAGCCTCCCAAGTAGCTGGGATTACAGACATGCACCACCACGCTTAGCTAATTTTTGTATTTTTAGTAGAGACAGTGTTTCACCATGTTGGCACTTTTTTGGATATGAGATTTATTAAGACTCCCATTATTGCAGAATGGAGTATAATGCACATTCATTTCCTTCAAAACTCACTCCCCTCTTCTATAACAAATTTAAAAGTTCTCTGGATTTTAGTTGTCTCCTGAATATAGGGACCAGAGTGTTCATTCAAGGAGGCTTGCCTCTTATTTCAAATCGGTCTCAATATCTTATCTCATGAGTTTGCGGCATCAGTTGGCCACATATGAGCCCATCTCACCACACTTCAGCAAAACTCTTTACACAATACCTGTTGCAATAAAAGATGGTGTGTAAGTTTTCATTTTCTAACTCAAATAATCTAACTCCAGAAACTTATAGAGAACTGTTTGCCTTTTTTCTTTTTTTTTTTTTTTTTTTTTTTTTTTTTTTGAGACAGAGTCTTGCTCTGTAGCCCAGGCTGGAGTGCAGTGGCGCGATCTCGGCTCACTGCAAGCTCCGCCTCCCAGGTTCACACCATTCTCCTGCCTCAGCCTCTGGAGTAGCTGGGACTACAGGCGCCCGCCACCACGCCCGGCTAATTTTTTTGTATTTTAGTAGAGACGAGGTTTACACCATGTTAGCCAGGATGGTCTCGATCTCCTGACTTCGTGATCCGCTGGTCTTGGCCTCCCAAAGTGCTGGGATTACAGGCATGAGCCACCGCGCCCAGCCGGAGAACTGTTTTAAACAAGAATAATACTTTTTCTAATTTGTTTGGGCATGTGTAAGTGGGGAAAGTCACACCTGGGATGATTTGAAGCATTAGAGTTTTCTCCTGTTTTTCATAGCTCTTCCCTCCATGCTTTCTCCAATAGATCTCATTTCATGCTTTTCTGGACACCATAGCAAATGCCCTGGGGATACTGAAATGAATAACATATAGCCATTCTCTCCAAGCTCTCAGAATTTAAGAGGGGCGGGCTGTCTTTGTGTAATCTGGAAATGCAGCAGAAGTGAATTCTTTAATCATTTACAGGTTTTTCATATTCACATATCACTTATAAGTATATTACTCCGGAAACAAGAAATGTAATAACGATAGCTACCCTTACTTGAGTTTCAGGCACTGTACTAGGTACTTTACATATAAGAAGGCAGGTGAGGAGAAGGCAAAGGAGAAAGGGGATTATTGGGTATCATACACAGGAGTTTGCATACAATATATCATGTATCCTCATAATAACTCTAGGAGATAAATGCTGTTATTGTTTCTACTTTGCATTTGATGATATTAAAGTGCAGAGATATTAAGTTACCAGCTCGACTGAGGGTCACATGAATACTGGGAGTTTTTAGTCCAGATCTGTCTGACTCCGGGGACCATGCTTCTAAGCACTGCATGGTACTATACTCCCCTGATGAGGAAACTGAACCTCAGAGATGTAAAATCCTCTGCCCCAGATCACAAAGCTCAGATTGCATAGAAATGATAACTGAATCCAAATCTGATGTTAAATACATGATCTTTTCCCAAATCATGAGGAAGAGGAACATGTTCACAGGCACATATGCAAGGCTGGATCTGGTCCAGGATTTGTCAGTTATAGGAGCAGCAACATTTATTGGGGATATAATATGTGTCAGAAACACAAAGCATTTTATAGGATTAGCTGAGTTAACCTTCACAACTTTTTGGGGCAGGTAATTCTTCCACCCATTTTATGGATGAAGACATTAATGCATAGGGAGTTTAAGTCCCTGTTCAAAGCAACAGTGTTTATCTAGCCTCCACTTCATTGCATTAGCCTTCAAATCCTGTATCACAAATGGGATCATTGATATTGAGGGTGAAAATTGAAATGGGAAGCACTACATTTCAAATAATAAAAGTACCCATAACGGTGCCAAACACAGAGACTAACTTCATATTTAGTGAATGAATTGAATTAAGCAAAGGAAGAATCAAAACAGGCAATTTTTCTCTTACAATTGACTGCAAGGGAGAAGGAATCACCCTTCAAATACCTGGGTTTGAAATATAAAATAAGCCGCCGTCCAACAGACATAGAACAATAATGAAATTCTCATCAACAACTTCTGGCTCTTTTTCTTACCATCCCAGTCCTCACTGTGGCTTTCTTCCAGTCATGTCCAAACTCGTTCTGTCCAAACCCCTCATGCCACATACCCCACTAGCATGCTCTAGACGTCCACCCTTCTCCCACCTTCCTTTCAAACGTATCCCTCCTGGAGTTGCTTGTAACCGTGATGATGATGAGGATATTTCAAAATAGCTTGCATTTTACTGAAATGCTTACTCTATGACAGGTACTTTGCTAAGCTCTTTATTTTCATTCCCAAAACAAACAAAAAAATCTTCATTCATCCATGAGGAGATTAGAGAATAAAGAGTGGTCGGATGTGGTGGCTCACACCTGTAATCCCAGCACTTTGAGAGGCCGAGGTGGGTGGATTACCTGAGGTTAGGAGTTCGAGACCAGCCTGGCTAACATGGTGAAACACTGTCTCTACTAAAAATACAAAAAAATTAGCTGGGCATGGTGGTGTGCACCTGTAATCCCAGCTACTCGGGAGGCTGAGGCAGGGGAATCATTTGAGCCCAGGAGGTGGAGGTTGCAGTGAGCCGAGATCGGGCCATTGCACTCCAGCCTGAGTGACAACAGTAAAGCTCTGTTTCAAAAAAAAAGGAAAGAAAGAAAGAAAAGAAAAGAATAAAGAGTTTAAGTAACTTGTACAAGATCTAGCTAGGAAATATTAGAGCTCATTTTGCCAAGGAGCTGACTTAATACACAAATTCACCATAGATCTTAATGGTTGATAGTAGCTTCCTTCAACACTTGATTAATACATTAATTCAACAAAAGATCACAGGCCTCCTTTGGTGTGCCAGACACTGACTGGTGCTTTCACAGGTATTCTATGACTGAAAACTCACATTGAATTAGATATCATGTTGATACACACAACTATAAATAGGGAAATGATGGCTATATAATATCATTTGTATTGGTTCATATGTCATTTCTCCAAGGCAACAGAAACTGGAATAAAAGAAAGAATAGAATTCTACCCCTCAACAGGCCAAAACCCATTAGCTAGATTCTGCATAGGCAGAAAGCACTTTCAGTTCTATTGTATTTTTTTAATTGAACTTTTGATTTTGAGATAATTATAAATATACATGCAGTTGTGAAAAAAACAATACAGAGAGTCTATGCATCCTTTACTCAATTTCCTCCATTAGCAACATCTTGCAAAACTAGAATGTAACGTTACAATCAGGACATTGACATTGATGTAGTCAAGATCCAGGACAATTTCATCACCACACGGATCCTTTATGGCACCGTTTTATAGTCCAAACCATTTCCTCCCATTCCCATCTCCTTCTTAATCCCTGGAAATCACTAGTCTGTTCTCCATTTCTATAATTGTGTCATTTCAAAAATTTTATATAAATAAGATTGTAAGGTATGTAACTTTTTGGAATTAGCTCTTATTCACTCAGCATAATTCTCTGAAGATTGATCTAGGTTGTTGCTTGTATCATTAGTATGTTCATATTATATTGCTTAGTAATATTGCATAATATAGATATAGCACAATTTGTTTAACCATTCACCCGTGGAAGGATATATCTGGGTATTTCCAGTTTTTGGCTGTTACACATAAAGAAGCTATTTACATGTCTGAACAGGATTTTGTATGACCATAAGTCATCCTTTCTCTGAAATAAATACCTAGGATTGTAATTCCTTGGTCATATGATAGTTGCATGTTTAGTGTTTTTTTAAAATTGTCAAACTGTTTTCCAGAGTTGCTATACCATTTTACATTTCCACCAGTAACATATGAATGATCCAGTTTATTTATATCTTCATCACTAACTGTATTAGTCTGTTTTGTGCTGCAGATAAAGGTATGCCCGAGACTAGGAAGAAAAAGAGATTAATTGGACTTACGGTTCCACATGGCTGAAGAGGCCTCAGATTCATGGTGGGAGGCAAAAGGCAATTTTTACATGGCGGCGGCAAGAGAAAATGAGAAAGAAGCAAAAGCGGAAACCCCTGATAAACCCATCAGATCGCATGAGACTTACTCACTATCATGAGAATTGCACGGGAAAGACTGACCCCCATAATTCAATTACCTCCCCTTGGATTGAGATTTGCATGGGGACACAGCCAAACCATATCATTCTTCCCCCGGCCCCTCCAAATCTCA
Source organism: Homo sapiens (assembly GCF_000001405.40). NCBI lineage: Eukaryota > Metazoa > Chordata > Mammalia > Primates > Hominidae > Homo > Homo sapiens. The sequence goes on from NC_000004.12 coordinate 15,085,574, forward strand.
TGTCCTCACATTTCAAAACCAATCATGCCTTCCCAACAGTCCCCCAAAGTCTTAACTAATCTCAGCATTAACCCAAAAGTCCACAGCCAAAAGTCTCATCTGAAACAAGGCAAGTCCCTTCCACCTATGAGACTGTAAAATCAAAAGCAAGGTAGTTACTTCCTAGATACAATAGGGGTACAGGTATTGGGTAAATACAGCCATTTAAAATGTGAGATATTGGCCAAAACAAAGGGGTTACAAGGCTCATGCAAGTCCGAGATACAGTGGGGCAGTAAAATTTTAAAGCTCTAAAATGATCTCCTTTGACTCCAGGTCTCACATCCAGATCATGTTGATGCAAGAGGTAGCTCCCATAGTCTTGGGCAACTCGCCCTTGTGGCTTTGCAGGGTACAGCCTCCCTCCTGACTGCTTTCACAGGCTGGCATTGAGTGTCTGAGGCTTTTCCAGGTGCATGGTGCAAGCTGCTGGTGGATCTACCATTCTGGCATCTGGAGGACAGTGGCCCTCTTCTCACAGCTCCACTAGGTGTTGCCCCAGTAGGGGTTCCGTGTGGGGGCTCCAACCCCACATTTCCCTTCTGTACTACCCTAGCAAATGTTCTCCATGAGGGCCCCACCCCTACAGCAAACTTTTGCCTGGGTATCCAGGTGTTTCTATACACCTTCTGAAATCCATGCGGAGGTTCCCAAACCTAAATTCTTGACTTCTGTGTACCCACAGGCTCAAAACCCTGTGGAAGCTGCCAAGCCTTGAAACCACAGCCCAAGCTCTATGTTGGCTTCTTTCAGCCATGACTGGAGCGGCTGGAACACAAAGCACCAAGTCCCTAGGCTGCACACAACATGGGGACCCTGGGCCCAGCCCACAAAATCACTTTTTCCTCCTGGGCCTCCAGGCCTGTGATGGGAGACGCTGCCATGAAGGTCTCTGATATGGAGTGGAGACATTTTCCCCATGGTCTTGGGGATTAACATTAGGCTCCTTGCTACTTATGCAAATTTCTGTAGCCAGCTTGAATTTCTCCTCAAAAAAAAAGCAGGGGGTGGGGTTTCTTTTCTACTGCATCATCAGGCTGCAAATTTTCTAAACTTTTATGCTGTTTCCCTCTTAAAATGGCATGCTTTTAACAGCCCCCAAGTCACCTTTTGAATGCTTTGCTGCTTAGAAATTTCTTCTACTAGATACCGTAAATCATCTCTCTCAAGTTCAAAGTTCCACGAATCTCCAGGGCAGGGGAAAAATGCTGCTAGTCTTTTTGCTAAAACATAACAAGAGTTACCTTTGCTCCAGTTCCCAACAAGTTTCTCTTCTCCATCTGAGACCACCTCAGCCTGGACCTTATCAGTGTTTTTGTCAAAGCCATTCAACAAGTCTCTAGGAGATTCCAAATTTTCCACATTTTCCTGTCTTCTTCTGAGCCCTCCAAACTGTTCCAACCTCTGCCTGTTACCCAGTTCCACAGTTGCTTCCACATTTTCAGGTATCTTTTCAGCAATTCCCCACTCTACTGGTACCAATTTATTATATTAGTCTGTTCCACACTGCTGATAAAGACATACCCAAGACTAGGAAGAAAAAGAGGTTTAATTGAACTTACAGCTATACATGGCTGGGGAGCCCACAGAATCTTGGCAATAGGCAAAAGGCACTTTTTATATGGTGGTGGAAAGAGAAAATCAGGAAGAGGCAAAAACAGAAATCCCTGATAAACCCATCAGATCTTGTGAGACTTATTCACTATCACGAGAATAGCAAGGGAAAGACTGACCCCCATGATTCAATTACCTCCCCATGGGTCCCTCCCACAACACATGGGAATTCTGGGAGATAAAATTCAAGTTGAGATTTGGATGAGGACACAGCCAAACCATATCACTATTTTTTATTTTAGCTATTTTGGTAGGTATGTAAAGATATCTCATTCTGGTTTTAATTTACATTTCTGTGATGGCTAATGATGTTGAACATTTTTCTATACATTTTTTTGCCATCTGTTTATCTTTTTTGGTGAAATGTTTCTTCATGTCTTTTGTTCATTTTGTCATTGGATTGCTTATTTTTCTTTACTGTTAAGTTTTGAGAGTTGTTTATGTATATTCTACATAATAGACCTTTATAGGATATATGGTTTGCAAATATTTTCCTCAATTCTGTAACTTGCCTTTTCATCCTCTGAACAGGGTCTTTCAATGAGCAAAAGTTTTTAATTTTAATGAAGTAAAATTGATCAAATTTTCCTTTCTATGGATGGTGCTTTTGGTATCAAGTCTAAAAACTCTTGGTGGAGCCCTAGATCCTGAAGTTTTTTTTTCCTGTTTTTTTGTTTTGTTTTGTTTTTGTTTCTGTTTTTTGTTTTTTATAAGTGATTTATTGTTTTACATTTCACATTTAAGTCTGTGATCTCTTTTGAATTAATTTTTGTACAAAGTTTGAGACTTAGGGTGAGGTCTTTCTCTTTTTCCTTCTTTTCTCCTTCTCCTTTCTTCCAGTGAGTTTCTAACTGGTCTTGTACCATTTTTTGAAAGATGATCCTTCTTCCACAGAATTACTTTTGCACCATTATAAAAATCAATTGGGCATATTTGTGTGTAGATATTTCTAGGTTCTCTATTCTGTTCCATTTATCTGTTTATCCCTCTGCAAATACCTCACTATCCTGTTTATGGTAGCTATATAACTCCTTGAAACCGGACATACAGATTCCTATCTTTTTATCCTCCTTTTCTCAAAATTGTTTCAGCTGTTCTAGTTCATGTCTTTTCAAATACATTTTAGAATAATCTTGTCAGTGTCTACAAAATATCTTGCAGGGATTTTGAGAGAAATTGTGCTATACTTGTATATCAATTTGGGGAGAACTGACATTTTACTGTGCTGTCATCCACTCCATGAACACAATATATGCCTCCCCATATATTTAGATCTTTGATTTCCTTCATCAGCATGCATTCCTTCATCAGCATTTGATTTCCTTCATCACATTTTGCCATTAAAAAAAAAAAATGGCAAAAACCGCAATTACTTTTGCACCAACCTAATAGCTTTTAGTATACAAGTCCTGCACATGTCTTAAATTTAACATAAATATTTATCTTTTTGTATGAATGTTTGTAATAGTATTTTACTTTTTATTTTGGTGTCCATGTGTCAATTGCTAGTATATAGAAATGAAGTTGATCATTGTATGTTTACCTGTGTTCACCTCTATTTTTACCTGTAAGTTACCTTTGTATGTTTACCTTTGTACCCTGCAATTTTGCTGAGCTTGCTTAAAAGTTCTAGAGATTGTTTTGTAGCTTCCCTCGGAATTTTTTACGTGACAGTTATGTCATCTGCAAACGGGACAGTTTAATTTCTTTCTTTCTGATCTGTATGCCTTTTATTTTCTTCCCTCATTGCACTGACTAAAACTTACATAGCATTATGCTGCATGAGTGGTGAGTGTGAACATTCTTGCCTTGTTCTTGATCCTAGAGGAAAACTATTGTTTTTAACTATTAAACATAACTTTAGGTTTTTTTCTAGGTGCTCTTTATCAGGTTGACGAAGTTTCCCTCTATTCCTCTATTCCTTTTTCTGGGAGTTTTTATTATTAATGGGTGTGGAACTTCATCAAGTGCTTTTTCTGCAACAATTTATACGATCCTGTGATTTTCCTCAGTAGACTGTTAATATGGGGATTATTTGATTAATTTTTGAATACTGAAGCAACATTATATCTCTGGAAGGAATCTTTTTTTTTTTTCTTTTTTTTTGAGACGGAGTCTTGCTCTGTCGCCAGGCTAGAGTGCAGTGGCGCCATCTTGGCTCACTGCAACCTCCGCCTCGGGGGTTCAAGCAATTCTCCTGCCTCAGCCTTCCGAGTAGCTGGGATTACAGGCACGCACCACCACGCCCGGCTAATTTTTTGTATTTTAGTAGAGATGGGGTTTCACCATGTTGGCCAGGATGGCCTCGATCTCCTGACCTCGCTATCCATCTGCCTCGGCCTCCGAAAGTTCTGGGATTACAGGCATAAGCCACCGCGCTGGGCTCCTGGAAGGAATCTTCCTTGGTCATGGTATATAATTTCTTTTATATATTACTGAATTATCTGTAGTATTTTGTTCACGATTTTTACATCTATAATCTTGAGGAATATTGGTCAGCTGTTTTCTTTTTTGCACAGTGTTTGTCTGGTTTTAATATCATGGTAATAGTAGCTTCAGAAATTGAATTGAGAATGTTCCCTCCTCTTCTATTTTCTGGAAGAGATTATGTAGAATTGATGTAACTTCTTTAAACATTTGGTAAAATTCTCCAGGGAAACTTTCTGGGCATGGAGATTTCTTTGGGCATGGAGAGTTTTAAATTACAAATTTAATTTCTTTAATAATTATAAGGCTATTCAAATTATTTATTTCATCTTGGGCAAGTTGTGGTTATTTGTATTTTGAGGAAGTGGTCCCTTTAGTCTAGGTTGTCATATTTACGCAGATAGAATTGGTCATACTGTTTTCTTGTTATCCTTTTGACATTTTCAGGGTATGTAGTGGCATCCCCTTTTTCATTTCTGATATTGGTGATTTCTTCCTTCTTTTTTGCTTTGTCACCCTTGATAGAGATTTGTCAATTTTATTGTTTCTTTTAAAGAATTAGCTTTTTGCTCCATTGATTTTTCTCTATTGTTTTTGTGTTTTCTATTTAATTTCTACTCTAATACTTATTTCCTCCGTTATTCTTGCTTTGAGTTTATTTCTCCCAGTTCATGAGATGAGAGCTTAGATTATTGATCTGAGGCTTTTCCTCTTTTCTAACGAATGAATTTATTGCTATAAAGTTCCCTCTCAGCACTGCTTTAGCTGCATTCCAGAAATTTTGACATGTTGTAAATTGTTTTCATTTGATTTAATGTTTTTTGTTTTGTTTTGTTTTTTAATTCCTTTCAGACTTTTTCTTTGTTCCATGGATCATTTGATTGCTTAGTTTCCAAGTGTTTGAAGATTGTCTTGTTGTTTTTCTGCTATTGATTTTCAGGTTGATTCAATGGTGAATGGAGAACACACTGTAAGATTTCGTCTTTCCAATTTGTTAAGGTTTGTTTTATGGCCCAGGATATGACTTATCTTAGTGTATGTCCTGCTTGCACTTGTCAGCTCTATTTTAAGGATATTAAAAACAAGTATCAACACTCAAGACTCCCTTGCATGGTTCCTGGCTCTTGGCTTGTGGCAGGTTATGTCTTCTTCTGGGCCCACCTGGTTCAGAGCCTGCCTTCCATCTGCATTGTTTGTGTCTCAGTAGCCAGCATTTTTTCAGTCTGTTGTTTTTCTGCAATTTTGTTTTACTCTGAGTCAGCCTACAACCTCACCGAGCTGCCTATCAGCACTGTCTCGGGTATCTGCCTAAGCATCAATTATTGTTTAGATAATTCCACTTACAAAGTCACATAGACTTTAAGTACTCTGCTCCAAGCCTATTATTATCCATAATTTCTGATATTTTTGTTCATGATTTTCACTCTTTTTGCTCCTTTATCACTATTCAGTCATAGTGAACACCAATGTAATCTCCACCCAGGTCACAAAATAAAATATTGCCGGCACCCCCGCCATGCTCCTCCTTTTCAAAGATACCTATTATCCTAACCTCTAAAAGCAAAAGTGTAATTTTAACATTATACAAATGAAATAATATAGGATGTTTGTTTTCTTTCTGATTCCTTTCAATATTGTTTGTGAGAATCATACATATCATATGTAGCTGTGGTCTGTTCATTTTTGTTGTAATAGTATTTCATTGTAAGAAAAAAACCGTATATTTATCTGCTATTTTGCTGATGGGCGTTTGGGTTGCATCCAGTCTGGAGCTATGATGAATAAGGCTGCTATGAACATTCTTACACAGGTCTCCTGGTACACATATACACACATTTCTGTCAAGAATATACTTAGGAATAGGAGTTTTCAGGTAACAGGTGATGCTTATATGCAACCTAAGTTGTTACACTATTTTCCAAAGTCATTGTACCAATTAATATTCCTACTAGCTGGGTATGAAGTTCCCATTGCTTTACAATTCCACCCAGACTTAGTATGTCAGTCTTCTAAATTTTTATCTTTCTGGTAAGCATATGGTGGTAATTTATTTTGATTTAATTTTATATTTCCCTAATGCCTAATGATGAACACCTTTCTGTGTTTATTAGCCATTTTGATATCTTTTTTTGTAGATGCCCTTTTTAAAAAAAGTTTATTGGTCTTTTTCTTATTGTCGAGTAGAAATTCTTTATGTCTTCTAGCTCAAGTCTTTTTTTGTATACATAAATTGCAAATATCTTCTCCCATCTGTGGCTAGGCATTTCATAATATTTCTTGTGTATAAAAGTAGTTAATTTTAATGTATTCCAATTTATCATACTTTTTTATTGTTGTATCTTTTTATGACCTAGTTAGGAAAATTTTAACTCTTCAAAAATCACAAAGATATGAACCTATATAGTGTTCTGAAAGCTTCACTGTTTTAACTTCATTTATTTCACCAATTCACCTGAACATTTTTTATATGGTGCAAGGTAGCAGTAAAGTTTTTTTTTTAAGTGAATATTCAGCTGAATTAGCATGTGTATTTTAAAAAGCCACTTCCCACTACTCTGGATGTCACCTTTGTCATGCATCAAGTGCCTATATGTGCATGGGATAGTTCTGGGGAACTGGAATGCATTTCGTTGCTCTGTTTGTATGATCTTGTACCATACTACATACCATTACTGTAGCTTTATAGCAAGTCTTGATATCCCTTAGAATAAGCGTTTTGTTTTTTTTTTAACATCTTTCTTCTTTTTTATGTTGCTATAAAAAGCAATCAGCTTATTTCGGCAGTAATCTTCTTGAGATACTGGGGGAACTGAATTAAATCTATAGATTTGGGAAGAATTGACTTCTTTGAATTATTGTCCACCAATCAATGAAGTTAGTATATATCCCAGTATTCAATGACTCTTTACTTTCTCTCAATAATATTTTATAGTTTTCTGTATAGAAGCCTGCATATCTTTCATTAGAGTCTAGATTTCTTTGTATTTTATGCTATTATAATGAGATCTCTGTTTAAATTTTATTTTCTAATCTTTTGTTAATATAATATAGAATTTTTATGAAATTTTTTTATTGATTTATCGTATCCAGCAACTTTGCTAAACTCACTTATTAATTTTGACAATTTACCTGTATATTATTCAGATTATATAAAATCATATCATCTGTGCTAATACATTTTACTATTTTTTTGCAACTTAAAAAAATTTTATTTCTTACTTTATTGCATTAGTTAAGACTACCTGTAAATAGTAAACAGCAGTGATGAAAGTGGGTATCCTTGTCCCATTTCTGATCTCAGAGTGTCTTAGTCTATTTTACATTCCTATAACAAAATACCTGAGGCTGGGTAATTTATGAAGAAAATAGGTTTGTTTGTTTATTTATTTATCCCATGATTTTGCAGGCTGGGAATTTCAAGAGTATAGGCCGGCATCTGGCCTGCTTTTAGTGAAGGCCACATGCTGGGTCAAAACATAGTAGAGAGGCAGAAAAATGAACAGGCCTGTGCAAAGAGATCATATGGTGAGAAAAGAAGCAAAAAAAGAGTCTGGGAAGCTGAACTCACTTTTGTAACAATCCACTCTCAAGGTAACGAATCCAGTCCCACAGGAGTGAGAACTCACTCACTCCCAAAGGGAGGGCATTAACCTATTTATGAGGGATCCACCTGCATGATTCAAATACCTTCCAGTAGGCCCCACTTCTCAATACCACCACATTGGGGATCAAATTTCAACATGAGTTTTGTCAGGGACAAACCACATTCAAACTGTAGCAGAGAGGAAAAGCTTTCAACATTTTTTTTTTTTTTTGAGACAGAGTCTCACTCTGTCGCCTAGGCTGGAGTGCAGTGGCACGATCTTGGCTCACTGCAACCTCTGCCTCCCTGGTTCAAGCAGTTCTCCTGCCTCAGCCTCCCTGGGGTTGTGCCACCACACCCAGCTAATTTTTGGTATTTTTAGTAGAGACAAGGTTTCACTATGTTAGCCAGGCTGGTCTCAAACTCCTGACCTCATGATCCACCTTCCCCAGATTCCCAAAGTGCTGGAATTACAGGCATAGGCCACTGCGCCTGGCCAATATTTTTTTATTATTAAATGTATGACTGCTATATATTATTTGTAGATATTCTTTATCTAATTAAAGTAATAGTTCTCTTCCATTTCTAATTTACTACATGCATTTTAACTAAATGGACCTTGAGAGCTTGTTTGGAGGTTCTAGAGGGAAGCGCAGCTAACTAGTACACCCTTGACCGAAGATTAGTCCCCCTCTATCGGGGATGGTTGTCCTCTTCAACCAAGTGTGCAGCTTTGGGAGGAAAGCACACGGAGCGGTGAGGGAGGACGGGGACACCCGCCTAGCCAGCCAGATCAGCCAAATCAACCCTGGCAACCAATGGGGCAACAGATGTCACAGCCAGATCGCCCTCACATCTGCATTTTTATTAAATCGATGTCCAATTTTATCAAATGATTTTGCTATACCCACTGAAGTGATTATATTATTTGCCCCCTTTTTTCTGTTAATATGTTGCATCACATTGATTGACTTTAGATAGTCCATTTTAAATTGCTGGAATTAGCCCAACATAGATGTTATATGTTATTTGTTTTATATATTAAATGACTTATTTTTCTAATTTATTTATGTCATGATTTCTGCTCAAGATTATGCTGGCCTTTGAAAAACTAACCGTTATCTGAAGGAAAAGGTAAGATGGGCGTAACTTTAAATGCTTTTTGGAATTCACTTGCTAAAACTTCTGGATCTGGATTTTTCTTTGTGAGGAGACATTTAATTACAGATTCATTTACTTTTTTTTTTTTTTTTTTTGAGACAGGGTCTCACTCTGTTGCCCAGGCTAGAGTGCAGTGGCACGATCTCCACTCACTGCAGGCTCTGCCTGTCAGGTTCAGTGATTCTCCCACTTTAGCCTCCCAAATAGGAGGGACTACAGGTGCTCACCACTGCACCTGCCTAATTTTTGTATTTTTTGGTACAGATGAGGTTTCACCAGGTTGGCCAGGCTGGTCTCGAACTCCTTACCTCAAGTAATCCACCCACCTCGGCCTCCCAAAGTGCCAGCACTTTGGGACTACAGGTGTGAGCCATCACATCTGGCCTGACTTTAATAAATATACAACAATCCACTTTTTCTAAGCTTTATTATGCAACTTTTTAGTTATATTTTTAGTAGTTTATTTACTTCATCGAAATTTTCAAATTTACTGGAATAAATGGTCTTTTAATAGTTTTTTAAAAGGTTGGTAGGATATAAAGTTTTGTTCCCCTTTTGATTTCTGATTATGGTTATTTCTGTTTTTTTGCTTTCTCTTTGTTTTGGACTGAACTGTGCCTCCCACAAAATGTATATGATGAAGCCCTAACCCCCAGTGCGGCTGTATTTGGTGATTAGGGCCTTTAAGGAGGTAACTAAGGTTAAATGCGGCATAAGGGTGGGATTCTAATCCAACAAAACTGGTGTCTTTTTTTTTTTTTTTTTTCTTTTTGAGGTGGAGTTTCCCTGTTGTTTCCCATGCTGGAGTGCAATGACGTGATCTTGGCTCACCGCAACCTCCACCTCCAGGGTTCAAGCAATTCTCCTGCCTCAGCCTCCCGAGTAGCTGAGATTACAGGCATGTGCCACCATGCCCGCTAATTTTATATTTTTAGTAGAGACAGGGTTTCTCCATGTTAGTCAGGCTGGTCTCAAACTCCCAACCTCAGGTGATCCACCCACCTCGGTCTCCCAAAGTGCTGGGATTACAAGTGTGAGCCACCACACCCAGCCCTAAAACTGGTGTCCTTATAAGAAGAGGAAGAGACACCAGAGTGCTCTCTTTCTCTCTCTTCCTGCATTTGCACAGAGAAAAGGCTGCATGTATTTTATTACATTCTGGATTTCATTCTATTTTATGGTATTATAATGATATCTTTGTTTAAATTTTATTTCCTAATCTTTTGTTAATCTGATATAGAAGTTTTATAGAATTTTGTTTATTGACCCAGTATCCAGCAACGTTGCAAAACTCCCTTATTAATTTGTGAGGACAGAGAGGAGGCATCATTGAGAAGCCAAGGACAGAGGCCTTCTCAGGAACCAACCCTACTTACACCTTGATCTTGGGCTTTCAGCCACCAGAACTGTGAGAAAATAATTTCTTTCATTTAAACGACCCAGTCTGTGGTATTTTATTTTGGGAGCCTGAGCAAATTAATACACTCCTGTTTTTCTGTATCAGTCTAATCTGAAATGTATTAAATTTATTTATTTTTTCAGAGACGCAATTTTTTTCTTTAAGCCTCTCTATAATATCCTTGTTTTCTAAATCACAAATTTCTGCTTTCATCTTTATTTTTTTCTCCCTAAAATTTCCTCAATTTATTTCACTTTTATTTACCTAAACTTTAGAGATGGATGCTTTGCTCACTGATTTTGAGTCTCCTGTCTTTTCTACTACATGAACTTAAGGCTATAAATTTCCTTTTTAAGCATGACTTTAATGTAGTCTACTTTAGTTTTAATTTGTATTATATTCAGTGTTATTCAGGTGAAGCATCCTCTGATTTCCACTGTGCTTTTTTCTTTATTTTTTGAATATATTTTATTTAGAGGTGAAATTCGTAATCTTATATGGGAACCTTAATCATTAATTTTTTTTATTGATTTCTAGTTTAATTGTAGTGGAGTCTGAGAACACATTTTGTATTTCTTTTCTTTAAAACTTCTTGAGACTTCCATGGCTTAGCACCTGGTCCAAGTATATAAATATTTCATGTTTATTTGAAAACAATGTATTTTTTGCAATTGTTGAATAAATATTTTAAATTTGTCAGTTAGATGAACTTTGTTAATCATGACATTCAAATATTCCATATGGTAACTAATTTTTGACTATTTCTTTTAGAATTTTTATTTGATTAATCTTATAGTTTTCAGTTTTCTGCCAAAATTCTCCATCTTGTATTTTTTTCTTAAACATATTATGTTTAGTTATTTGAAAATCTGTGTCTAATAACTACATTATCTGACTCCCCTGTGGGAATCCATTTTCTGTTGCTTCTCTTGATATTTTGGAATTTTATTTTATGTTTTTCTGTTTCCTCATATGACTGATTATTTTCTATTAAAGATCAGATATTGCTATGGACTGAAAGTTTGTGTGCCCCCAGCATTTATATGTTGAAAACCTAAACCCCAAGCTGATGGTATTAGAAGGTATTTGGGGAGGTGATTAGGTAATGAGATCTCCACCCTCATGAATGGGATTAGTGCCCTTATAAAAGAGACCCAGAGAGCTGCCTAGTGGCCATCTGTGACGCAGGAATTGGGTGTTGACCAGACACCAAATCTGTGAGCATCTTGATCTTGGACTTCACAGCCTCCAAAATTGCAAGAAATAAACCCTTGTTGTTTATAAGCCACCTAATCTATGGTAATCTGTTATAATAGCATGAAGGGACTAAACAAGATATTGTATATAAAAATTATACAAATAATATGAGGCCTATGATAATTTTATCTTTTTCCAGACAATGTTTGTGTTTAGTTCAGCAGGCAGCTAGGGCACTAACAATCTGGGCCACTTTAGTCTAAATTAAATGACTTTTATCCCTTTCAAGACCTGTATACTTCTGGTTTACCTGAGGGTGAGTTTCCAGGGCTTTCACTCATTTGCATGCCTGAGACTGTAATGTTTGTCCTCTTCATCCCATTAAGCTATCAAAAGGGTTGCTTAGCTTCTGAAATCAGCGGACAACCATGGAGAAAAAGTGGCTTCAATGCCAGCCCAATTATTTGGATTTCCTAGATCTTGACCTCTTAATTTTTTTTTTTTTTTTTTTTGATAGAGTCTTCTTCTGTTGTCCAGGCTGGAGTGCAGTGGCACGATCTTGGCTCACTGCAACCTCTGCCTCCTGGACTCAAGCGATTCTCGTGCCTAAGCCTGCTGAGTAGCTGGGATTACAGGCGTGCACCACCATACCTGGCTAATTTTTGTATTTTTAGTATTGACGGGTTTCGCCATGTTGGCCAGGCTGATCTTGAACTCCTGGACTGAAGAGATCCACCCTCTTTGGCCTCCCAAAGTGCTGGGATTACAGGCATGAGCCACTGCGCCCAGCCTCTCATAATTCCTTATGACTTATTGCTTATTAGCTCTCCAAGGATTAAAAGCAAATTTTTAAATAAAAATATTTTGTTTGTTATTCCCAGTCTGTTCAGTTATTCTCAGTAAAAGGGTTGATGCAAATTACCGGAATTAGTTTGTACTTTTTAACTAAAGGCTTATGTCTTTTCTTCAATTACTCAGCTATTGTCTTTTCAAATATTGTCTTTTGGCAATTTATTCTATTTTGTTATTAGGATTTCCAATAACACCTGTATGAGCTTATCAGTTATGTCTCTTATTTCATCCTTTCCATTTCTTGATGTCCCCTTGCTGCATTCTGTATGAGTTTTTCAGTACTATCTTCTAATTCACCAATTATATATTTGGGTCCTGTATTTATTCCTTCCTACTTTGAAGGGTAATCTCCAGGGTTTGGGGAAAGGGGAAAATGGGGAGTTGCTGTGCAGTGGGCATAAAGTTTTACTTACTCAAGGTGAATAAGTAAGTTCTAGAAATCTGTTGTGCAATATCATGACTGTATTGAACAGTATTGCATTGTACACTCAAAGATTTGTCAAGAAGATAGATATGTTAAATGTTCTTACCACAATTTTTAAAATTACTTTAGAAATTATAGTATTTTTTAAAGAAAAACATTCTACTTGTTATATTAAGTGTTTCTTCGGATGTTAGTTGAGTTTGGTGTCTTTCTTTCATATAGTTTTCTTCAAATATTTGATATATTCATTTTCTATTGCTGCGTAACAAACTACAACAAATTTAGTGACTTAAAACCCATATTATATAATTATATTATAATTATATCTTTGGGTCCTATATTTATTCCTTCTATTAATACTTTGAAATTTTTGCTAATTATATTTTTTCTCTTTCAGAATTTCTTTTGGGCCATTAAAAAATATCCTTCTGTAAGTCATATTGCTAACAGGTATCCTTGATATAATGTGATGAAAGTGGCACTTTACCCCTGTGGTTTTCTTCCTCAAAACATATTACCCCTTGGTCTAATTACACACGAAAATATCACACAAATTCCAACTGGGGGATGGTCTACAACATAGTTGATAAGTATCCTTCAAAACTGTCAAGGTCAGGAAAACAATGGAAAGTCTGAAAAACCACAAAGAGGAGACTAGGAAAACATAAATAACAAGATAGGATTCTGAAACAGAAAAAGAACATTCGAGAAAACTTAGGAAATCTGAATAATGGTCTTTAGATAATAATGATAATCTGTTGGTTCATTAATTGTAACAAAGGTGCTCATATGGTTTGGCTGTGTTCCCACTCAAATCTTGAATTGAAGCTCCCTTAATTCCCACATGTCATGGGAGGAACCCAGTGGGAGGTAATTGAATTATGGGGGCGGGTCTTTCCCCCGCTGTTCTTGTGATGGTGAATAAGTCCCACGAGATCTGATCGTTTTATAAAGGCGAGTTCCCCTACACAAGCTCTCTCTTGCCTGCCACCATGTAAGATGTGACTTTGCTCTTCCTTTGCCTTCCAGTGTGATTGAGAGGCCTCCCCAGCTACATGGAACTGTGAGTCCATTATACCTCTTTTTCTTTACCCAGTCTCAGTTATGTCTTTATTAACAGTGTGAGACCAGGCTAATACAGGTTCCATACTAAGGTAAGACGATGATTTTTTAAAACTGGGTTTGGGATATAGGGGAAATCTTTGTATTGTTATTCCAATATTTCTAGAAATCTAAAACTCTTCTAAAAAAAAAAGCTTGTTTTAAAAAGACAACTCCCTCCAAAAATCTTTCTGTTCTTGACTCATATCCACCTGTTTTTATTTTATAATTTCTTGTTCTTTCTTCATGGATACTACATTTTCTTATATTCTGTTGGGGATTTTATCCACATGGTGTAAAGTCTACTTTAAAATATGGTTCTAAAACTTACAGTTCCTCAGTAATAAATTCTCCTGTTTGTTGAGTTGTGTACAAAATATTTTCTGATAAATATTTTGACCACATACTTTGTAATTTTTCTTTTTAGATTCACCTTGAGTAGATGTTTCTTACAGTTTATCTTCCCAATCTCATGATGCTTAGCCTTTTGGGTTTGGCAGATTTACATTGCTATCCCCTAGAGCATTGGATTCTCCAATTCAGAACCAGGTTTCATTTTGGTACCATGGGTCTCTTCCTTGTCGGAGCATTCAGAGATGGAGTTTCTGAGAGATAAGTTGGTTGGCTCAGATCCGAGGTTCATGGGCCACCCAACAGGAGCTGTAGCCTTAGGTAGGGTGATATAAATCATACCTGCGGTGGCCTTGCAAGGAGGGACTCAAGGGAATAAATACACAGTATATGCAACCTGTTGTACACCAACTCATGTACCCTTGTCCTTACTGAACAATTCTATGTAGGTTTTGGCCTGTTTCAGGCTGGCAGTGCCTCAACTCACGTGTCTGCTGCTCTTCCCTCTTTTATACTCCACCTTCCTCTTTCTGCCAGGTCTTCTCTGATGCCTGTGGCACTCTGCTCAGCACTCATTCATTAGTAACAAATAAATGTGGGCAATCAATAGCCCTTGGGGGCTGGAGACAATAGTGAATTGCTTCTCCATTTTACCCTTCTGGTGGACAATGCTGAGGCATAGTCTGTTTTCTTCTTAGAACCATTGAGCAGCTCAGATTTAATACCTGATGTTCACTGCAGTAGCCAACTTGGTAGTAGATCCTTATATTGATTTTGTTGCTTCCCTTATCTGACTCACCCCAGTCCTTCACTCCTGCTTCCTATTATCACTTATAAAACTACCTGAACACGAACCCTATTCTTGGACTCTGCCTTCAAGGAAATCCAGGATGAAAAATATCCTGACCTTACTGAAACCAACAAAATGTCAGAAGACAACAGTGGCCAGTGATGGAATCTGTAGTAGTCAACCTCTTCACTCAAAAAGTAGGGCAGAGGCAGGTTAAGAGTGAATCTTGAAGGACAAATGGAAAACACTAAAACACTTTCCAAAAGTTTATTATGTCCTCAACCTTGGGACTAAATAAATAAATTTACTCAGCATGGCATGCTCTTCTGGGCAAAATGCTTGTATAAATCATACCAATTTTCTCATTTACTGACATATAAAGTCTGCTATAAGGAAGTGATACACCCAACTCATTTATGTAGAAAGAGTTTTAAACAAAAAAGTTGTTTGAATTTGGAATATGTAGGTTATGGCATAGAGTCAAGGCAGCACAAGGTCACCACTTGGCAGCAATATCATCCAGTGCTGTAAAGCATTGATAAGGAGATTCACAAGATGTTCTTTAACAATTCTCCTAATTCTAAGTCAGAGCATCAGTGTCTACTAATGAAATAGAAACACTCTCTTTCCATGGGGTGATGTGAGTAGTCATTATTGGAATGCACTCAAATTTTTTGGAAGGAACGTGTTTCCTAACTGAGGGCACCACGAACAGTGTTATATCACTCAACAGGAAGCCCCACCATGCAGTAGTAGAGGAATAGAGGTTTTGGAGCAGAGCTGCAGGTATTTGTGTCAAAGGGCGGGTTGAGGAGAGGAGTATAGACTGTATTCTCCAAAATTCTGTGCTAACATGAACAGAGATGCAACAAGGAGAAATGCAAAACGGAATTTGACCCTTGGTTTCAGCTCTCCAGTGGCAAAATCTAAACAGAGCCTTTGTTCAATACTTGGCACATCATTCCCTAGGCGGCAATGGTCCATTTTGAGAAGACATATGACACTCTCAGGGAAACAGGACTTGGAAGAAGTAGAAGGACCAGCCCATCGAGGAGAAACAGAGTGATGGTGTGTTCTTTCCTCGGGCAGGGCTACTCTGTGCACACCAGGATGCCTCTAACAAACAAAGGTCCTTTGGAAGAAGAAAGAGCAGCTCCTGGCTGTTCTCAGTCATGAGAAGACTCTTTTATGTGCAAGGGAGTTGTGAGAAATTGGCTCCTATCAAATGTCAGATGATTGTATTCATTTGATTTCGTATAATGGCAAAATTTTATAAGAAGTCAAATAAGTATGAAGAACAATATGCTGACTTGGAGCCAGAAGACCTGAGATTGAACCTCAGCTCTAATAATAATATCAGCTCTGCTCATAATCACATAATTGCATATGAGCAGAGCAACTCCACAAGACAGCTGCTGTTCTTAGCCTCATTTCACAGGTCTGTAAATGGAGGCACGAAGAGATGGAGTAACATTTCTAAGGTCACAAAGCTGGTGGTAAGTGTCAGACTTGAGACCCAGTCCTGTCAGGAATTTAATGATTATGCTTTGCTAGTCCTCAGCAAATTCACTTACTCCTTCTGAGTACCCATTTCCAAATATTTTAAACATACCTAATAATACTTATAGGATTTAGGAGAGAAGCAAATGATTTTTTTTCAACAACCTTTTGCTTGTTGTTGATCCCATTTGTTCTGTTTCTCAGAGAACATTGACTAATACAACATCTTTAAAAGCAATTACTCTGATTTTTAAAATTATTCACTACAAAAGTAGCATTTTAAAGAGACTTTGGAAGTTAAAAAGATTAAAAAAAATTGGTGATCTCACTATTCAAATCCAACTATTGTTCAAATTATGTTTCATTCCTTTCCAGCATTTCCCTACATGGACCATTGTTGCTGTTTTTCAAATATTAAATTATACTGTATATAATTTTATATCATCGTTTTTCACATTAAATCGTAAATATTTCTCATTGTTTAGTCTTCATCACCATAATTTTTAATACCAGCATGAGAGCCTTTGTGATATAATTGGTTTAAATATCCTGTGCATGTTGCAAATCTAATTGGTTTCTATTTTTCATTATTACAGTAATAAACATCTGCCTGCATAAAGCATTTTACATATTTGAAATTATTTCCTTAGGATATATCATCAAAGTAGAATAATTACATCAAAGTGCACAAATTTACTTAAGCAACTTGCTACAAACTTTCTTTAGAAAGGTCCTTCCAATTTGAAAATCCCCCCAGGAGAATATGAAAGTATCCATCACATACGCGCTGACCAGCATTAAGAGTCTAGGTTATTTTTTGAATTTTGTGATTAAAAGAGATAGCATAAATTATTTTAATTGGCATTTCTTCCATTGCTAGTGGGGTCTACTGTCAACTTTCCATTGTCATTAACCTGTCATACCCACTAGCACGTGAACCACAATCAGTTACCTATCATAGCTTCATGATATGTGGGGCTGGTCCTAACAATATATTTTTTCCTCAGAAATGTTTGTTTATTCTGCTCATGTTTCTAGGTGAATTTTGGAATGATTGGAATCATGTTGTCGAGTTTCTTAACAAAACTTCCCTTTGGGATTTTGATGAGGTCTGTATTAAGTAAACCAGGTCCTCCCAATTACACCCAGAAAACCCTTGAAGTCACCCAACCACATGCATTAGCATCTCACTTCAGGAAGCCTCAGGAAGCCCCACAGTCTCCACTTCTAGCATCCCTGCTGTATCCTGAGGCTTTCTGCCCTAAGCAACAAAAGGCCCAACAATGAAGTAGCCTGATATGGTTTGGCTGTGTCCCCACCCAAATCTCATCTTGAATTGTAGCTCCCATAATTCCCACGTTATGGGAGGAACCCCATGGGAGGTAGCTGAATCATGGGGGCGGGGGGGTCTTTCCCATGCTGTTGTCCTGATAGTGAATAAGTCTCACAAGATCTGATGGTTTTATAAAGAGGAGTTCCCCTGCACATGCTCTCTTGCCTGCTGCCATGTAAGATGTGACTTTGCTCCTCTTTCACCTTCCACCATAATTGTGAGGCCTTCCCAGCCATGTGGAACTGTGAGTCCATTAAACCTCTTTCCTTTATAAATTATCCAGTCCCAGGTATGTCTTTATTAGCAGCATGAGAACACACTAATACATAGCCTAAATCATGAGGAAGGATTTATACCCTCACCAATAGAAAACCCTGAGGCAAGACTTTTCTAGGTTTAGCCCTGGCAACTGCACAATGTCTCCAAGGCTTTGCGTTTTCCCATTTGGTCCGTCCTCAGTTGGTCGGCTGGGATAGCTACTTCAGACCCAGATCATGCCATCATGTTAACCAGTCACAGTTTCCAAAGTCACAGAGGGGAGTTTCTTTTTCAAGATTTTGTTTTGTTTTGTTTTTGATTAAGGAGGAAGGCCCTTCCTGGAAGTTCTCGCACAGACCTCTCATAGATTTCATTGGCCAGGTTGGCATCATCTGACTATGCCTTCTCCAATCAGTGGTGTGGGGAAGGAACTGCCATTGGTTCTGGAAAATCCAGTCACATGATGGGGCTGGACATGACCTCCTTCCCTTAGCATGAAGAGGGTAAGCATCAGAATAAAATCGGAGAAAGAGGGATGCAGGACAGAAGGTATTGGCAGCTGAGTAACAATGGCTACCACACCAGGATTTTCTCAAATTGCATTTTGGGAAACACAAATTATAGAGTTAATCCTTGCTCTGGGTGTCTAACTATTTGTGGTACTGAATCTTATGCTATTTGGGGACACTCTTTTTTTAAAAAAAGAATAGGAAATATCTCATACAAAATTATGCGGGGGAGCATTCATCTAAAAGGAGAAAAATACAGCAAATTATGTATTTTTAGAGTCTAGCAAATTACCACAAATACCGCAAACTCTAGAAAAAGAACATAATATTTATCTGCCCTGCTCACCTATATTTTTATAACCGATAATTCTGAAGAATAGACAAAATTAGGGCATATACAAAAGTAATTCAAGGCACATTATTGATTTACATAATTATATATAATCAAATTACTGTTGTGTTACATACACGGACTTACTGATGAACATGTCTAGGACTTTTGTCACTGTAACACTTGTGAGTTTAGAATGCTTCACTTCATTAATGGCAATTCTGAATGCCGTTGTATCCAAAATGTCCACTTTGTCAGGGCAAGACATGTCAGATCTGTGCATGCTGCATACGGCCTGTGACTTCTCATGCAGATGTATTTACTGTTTGGTACTGTTGTAGCTTTCTATTGCTGTGTAACAAATCACCACAGACTGGGTGGCTAAAAACACACAAATTTATTGCCTCACAATTTATACAGGTCTGAAGTCTAGGCACAGCATAGCTGGATTCTCTGCTCAGGGTCTCAAGCAGAAATCAATGTGTCAGTCAGGGTTACAGTTCTCATTTGGGGTTCAGGGTCCTCCTATAAGCTCTCTGGTTTCACTGGTTGTTGACATGATTCATTTCCTTGCAGCTGTAGGACTGAGGTCTCCATTTTCCTCCTAGCCACTAGCCTGAGACAACTGGCAGCATCTAGAGGCTTACGTACCATGTGACCCCAGTAGGAAGTTTACAATATTAATGTTTGCTTTTTTTCCCCACTGCAAACCAGCTAGGGGTATGTCTCTATGTCTTTTTCTTCTGCTACCAGCCAATCTCTCAGCTTTAAAAGGATTCATATGATTAGGATTGCCCCTACTCCTCCTAGTCTACATATTTTAAAGTTAACTGAGTTGAGAGGTTAATTACATCTGCAAAATCCCTTTATAGTAGTACTCAGATTAGAATTGGATTGAATAACTAGAGAAATGTGTGTGCACACTAGGGCCAGGAATCTTGGAGGGCCATTTGTTAATTCTGCCTAGCAGAGGCACTATTATAGGTTTGTGCCTTACAGATGTAGGGATTCTGATACTAGTGTGATTCTCTTCAGGATTATAATTGTATATGCTACATTATTATATATCCTAGCAGAAAAACTTGTTTTTGACTAGGCATTGATGAGTGCCAGATTGCTGGCAATTTCACATGACAAGATTGAAAAAATTTTCCAAAGATATCTCTGGTTCTCCATATTTCAAACTTTGTTTCCTTTCTTTTACCATTGTCTGTCCTCTGGAAAAAATAAAATAATGTTCTCTGGTAAAATAAGTTTGAAGTGCATGCCAGGTCCCCATTCAGAAGACTAACAGGATACATTCATATAGAGATCCTCAATTCCTTATCAACAATTCTGAAATTCACAAAGCTCTGAAGCCAGTGCTTTACATGGTGGAAACATGTAACATGAACTGAAATGAAGCTACTTATGGGTCCTTACTGATTTTGTTATCAATTATGTATATCACTGTAGAAATATTAGTCATTCATTGTAAGATGCTGCCAAGACTTTCAGGAGTCTTAGGACACAACTCTCTAAAAATTTTAAATTCTAAAAAAAAAAAAAAAAAAAAAAAACTAGGCCCCAAGGATTTCAGATAAGAGAGTGTGAACTATTATTAAAAGCTAAAAGATATAGTATTTAAAACTATTTAGCGGGCAAATAATCATAATTATCTGCGCAGGGAAAGATGTTTTCCATCTATTCTAACACCAACGGATGTACTTCAATTCAGTTCTGGCACTAAGCACCCAGAATTAGTGCAGACTCCGTAAGTCAAAGGGCATGGTTCCAAGCAACACTGTTTTCACTTCAGACACCAGCTAAAAACGGGGCCCCTAGGCCACCTGCACGTAGGACACACCGACTACAATTCAGGGGTTCCCGTGACCACTTCTAGTTCAATAATTTGCTAGAATGACTTGGAGAACTCAGAATGTGCTATACTCATGGTTTTACTATAAAGGATGCAACTCAGGAATAGCCAAAGAAAGAGATACACAGGGAAAGCCCTGGGAGGCTCCTGGACGCAGAGCTTCTATGCCCTGTCCCCGTGGAGTCAGGACACATCCTCTTCCCAGGACATTGATATGTTCACCAGCCAGGAAGCTCCCACAGGCTTCAGTGTCTAGTATTTTTATTGGACTTTCATTATGTAGGCATGACTGATTACATCATTGGCCACGTCATTGAACTCACTCTCCAGCCTCCTGTCACCTTTCTGGAGGTCAGCCTGGTTCAAAGTCCCAGCCCTCGAATGATGCAGCTGGTCTTTCTGGTGAGCAGCTCTCATCCTGAAGCTATCTAGGAGCTGATCGTGAGTTATTAACATAAACTCAAGTGTGGTCTAAGGGTCTCATGGATAACAAAAACACTTTTTATCACTTGGGAAATTATAAGGGTTTTAAAAGCTCTGTGCCAGAAACCCTGGGCAAAGGTCAGACAAATTCTCTATTATGCAGCAGCATCGTATGACTATTAACATTCCTAGCATGTTCTTCCTTTATCACTAGTGGGGCTGCTACCTGCGACTAAGACCCAGTTTCTGATGCTGTTCTTTTGTTAATGTTCATATGCGATAGGAAGAGAGACTTCCACAACGTCCCCCTTGGGTTGATTCCTGTCTTCAATCCACTTTCTATTCCTGGGTGGGAACAGGGAGATTTTTATTCAAATCATATGCATGTTTTAATAAAATATGTAAACATAAATACCCACACATACTTCTTTTGGTCAAATTTATCGTCTAACATTTTATAATTACCTGCTGGCATATACTTGGTTTATATTTTTCTTATGTTTTCAAAATAGTAGTTGCTGACTTGGAGGAATGCTACTGATTTTTATATATTTATCTCTCTGATCTCTTTTACTCATAACTCTTATTAATTCTAATACCATTTTGGTTGATTTGGATTTTTGTAAATAGTAAACCATGTCATCTTCACATAATGATACCCTTTCTTATACTGATGTCAATCAAGGAAAATGACCAAGGCATGGCTCAATCATTTTAGGAGGTTTATTTGCCAAAGTCAAGACTCGCGCCTGGGAGACAGGTCTATGCCTTTTTCCGAAGATGATTTTGAGGGCTTCAATATTTAAAGGGGAAAGGGCGGGATATTGAGAAATACACAATTTTCATGTGAGATGGGGGAAGGGGAAATATTCGTGCCTTTGTCTGGCTCGCTGAATCTGCACTTTTACGTAAGATAATGTAGACAGTAGGGCACAAGAAACAATCAGATATGCGTTTGTCTCAGGTGGGCAGGCAAAATGTAAGTAAGGTATGTAGCTCTTCATCTTTGTAGCCATCTTATTTAAAAAACCAAAATGAGAGGCCAGGTGCGGTGGCTCACACCTGTAATCCCAGCACTTTGGGAGGCCGAAGCAGGCAGATCACCTGAGGTCAGGAGTTCGAGACCAGCCTGACCAAAATGGAGAAACCCCATCTCTACTAAAAATACAAAATTAGCTGGGCGTGGTGGTGCATGCCTGTAATCCCAGCTACTTGGAAGGCTGAGGCAGGAGAATCATTTGAACCCAGGAGGCAGAGGTTGCAGTGAGCCGAGATCGTGCCATTGCACTCCAGTCTGGGTAATAAGAGCAAAACTCCGTCTAAAAAAAAAAAAAGGGAGGCAGGTTTGCCTAACTCAGTTCCCAGCTTAACTTTTCCCTTTGGCTTAGTGAGTTTGGGGTCCCAATATTTATTTTCCTTTCACACTTATAACACCTATTTTTGTTTCAGGCATTATGAGAATGTCCAGGATATTCAGAATACACTTAAATAATTACGATGATGCCAGAAGCTCTGTTTAGTTCTTGATTTCAATGGAGACATTCCTGGTGTTTTATTGTTAACCATGATACAATATTGGCTGTTTTGGAATATACTTTGTCATACTAAGGACGTAGACTTCAAGTTTAGCATTTTTATTATTAATGGATGTTAAATTTTATATATGACCATTTAAACACCAT
The DNA here is from genome assembly GCF_000001405.40 of Homo sapiens. NCBI lineage: Eukaryota > Metazoa > Chordata > Mammalia > Primates > Hominidae > Homo > Homo sapiens. The sequence goes on from NC_000004.12 coordinate 15,108,406, forward strand.
TAATTTTTTTAATATGATTTATTTTAAGAGACTAATAACAGAATCCCTTTGCAGGTTTTTTTTTAATATAAAAGTATGCCTCAAGTTCTAATTCTAGAATTCTAGAATCATCTGAAAAAGCTAATGTTATCACCCTTATTAAGTCTCAGTTAAAGAATCCCTCCAGATAGTTTTATTGCATGGACCTTACCTAATTATTGGACTCAAGATTCTGATACTTGAATTAGAGAAAGCCAGGTAGCTACGTGTTCTACTTTAGTACTTTGTAAACATCAGTGAATATGGACAACAATGTAAGCTGCCCTTTGGGGAACAACTGTTCTACCAAATCAGGGGTTAGAAAACAGAGGTCCATAGGCCAGATCCACCCCTGTCCACCCTACCTCCCACTTCCATGCACTGCTGTCTTTTTGTAAATACAATTTTATTGGAACACAGCCATGCCCATTTATTTATGTATCATTGATGGCTGTTTTCATGCTATATGGCAGAATGTAGTCATTGCAACAGAAACGTATGGCCCACATGGCCTAAAATATTTACCATTTGGCCCTTACAGAAAAGTGTGCCTACCTCTGTTCTAGATACTAACCAGTATTCTGAGGGGAAAAAAAAATGTTAGGAAGGCATTCCACTGTTAAGTAAATTCAAGAAGTAGTATATCCCTTCATGAACATTTAAATTTTACTCTAACAAGTAAAAAAAAAATTCTGGAATCCTACAGAAATACACATACACCCTCACACACACAGTTGGCCCTTGAACAATGCTGAGGAGAGGGGTGTTGACCCCCACCATGTAATCAAAAATCCACATGTAACTTGATTCCCCCAAAACTTGACTACTAATAGCCTACTGTTGCCTGGAAACCTTACCAATAACATAAACAATTAACACATATTTTGTGTATGTATTACACACTGTATTCTTACAATAAAATAAGCTGGGGAAAAGAAAGTGTAACTAAGAAAATCATAAAGAAGATAAAAAGTATTTGCTATTCATGAAGCAGAAGTAGATCATCATGAAGATCATCCGCACAGTGTTCATGTTGAGTAGGCAGAGGAGGAAGAGGAGGAAAAGGAAGGGTTGTTTTGCTATCTCAGGGGTGGCAGAAGCAGAAGAAAATCCTCATATATAGTGCAAACTCATGTTGTTTAAAGGTCAATTGTATGCATATATAAGCTCACACATATACAGCAATTTGGTTTTATAACATTATTTTACATACTTTTTTATACTTCCAAATCTATTTTCCATTGAAGAACTACTAATATTTCTCAGCACTCTAGAATTTAGTGGATTCTACTCTAGAATTTAGTGGTGGATAATGTGGACTTTAGAACCAGATAATTCCAGCTCCCTCTTCCTCACCTCTGTGACACAAGTGAGTTTCTCAACCTCTCCTCCCACCATGTGACTGTGCTGAGTTCTTGTGAGAATTTAGTGAGATAAATGTGCAAGATGCCTGATGTCAAATAAATGGAAAAAATAATAAATGCTTGCTGTAAGGTGTTATTTATTTTCCTATCACTGCTGTAGAATTCTCTATTTCTGCATTTTGCCTCTCCTTTCCTTTGGTCCTGCTTTATCTGACTCAAAGATTATTTGTAATATGGTTTGGCTATGAACTTGCTCATAGTTTGAATTTGCTAGGCTGAATAGTAAGGATGAAGTGAGTCCGTGACTGACTGGCTGTTGCTACAGTCAGCTTTCATTCATAACAAAGGTTATTAACTTACCTGTGATGTTTTTATGGCAATTGTGTGGGAGGCCACAAGGTACAAAGGGAATTCCTTTGGATCCAGGCAAAAGTACACTCACACTGGCACTTTGACCTGTGACAAGTTCCTTGCTTCCTATTAGCTGGCTTATCTATTTTTATAAACTAGGACTAAGAACAACTAATTAAAAGATTACCAGAATAATGTGAGTTAAGGCTTGTGAAGTAGCTAGTCTGTTTTCTGCAACACAGCAAATGTTTCCCAAGGGTTGATTCTTTCCTGCAAAATTGCTGACACAGTTGAGAGAGAGTTTTAGATTGAGGTAACCCTTGGGAGGGAGGCAATGTATTGCAGTGGTTGAGAATGTGGACTTCAGAACCAGATATACTCCAGTTCCCTCTTCCTCACCTCTGTGACACAAGTGAGTTTCTCAACCTCTCCTTCCACCATGTGACTGTGCCGAGTTCTTGTGAGAATTTAGTGAGATAAATGTGCAAGATGCCTGATGTTAAATAAATGGAAAGGATAAGAAGTACATTGCCAAAGTATTAGCATGATGGTCATAGAGGTATCATGCTATGAAAAGGGAACAATGAATTGGAAGTTGAAAGATACAGCTTGAAGTCCTCGAGTGAGCCACTAACTTACTGGTTCGACAACCAGTAAGATAATCAAGTAAGGTTATCTAAGTAAGGTTAACCAATAAGATAACCAAGTAAGGCACTAACTTACTGGTTATCTAACCAGTAAGATAACCCTACTTAGATAACCAGCAAGTTAGCTAGCTTGATCTGGTTATGTAACCTCTCTGGGCTTCCATCTATCATCTTTGTGGGCTTGACCTAGGTAATACTGTTATACATTTTAGAGCATTTTAAGGGCTACAACATATTTCACACACTTTATTTCACTTTGCAGTCATAATAGTATAGCTCAGGTTCTGTGAAATAAGACTTTATGATGCCAATATAACTAGATTAGAAGCACTTTCTTTTTTTACCTCCAGCCCCTTCTGTGATGCCATTTCTGTAGCCAAATCATTTCCAATGTCCGCAAAGGGGGTCCTTGTTAGGCACTATTTTTATTAATACACAAATGTTCCAACTCAATTGGCTTCCGGGCTAATGAATTTAATTTGACAAGGAAATTAATCAGTTCTAACTAGGCTTCTAAATTATTCCTTGCGCCTTTATGTTTCCTTGGCTTGCATTCACTTTTCCACATGCTGCTGTTGTTGGGGCTTTTCAGGCTACTTAGGGTCAATGGGACAGGCTCCATCACTAGCCTTAAGGCCTCATTCAAGTTCATGGTGGGGTTACTCCTGTGCTGGGCTGGAGGTATTACTGGATTCAAGCCTAGCCCCCAGCATAACCACCAGCTCTTTCTATGGGCTGGGCCTCTTTGGTTCTTTAAGAAACTTTGGTATGAACAGAAGCAACTTTGAGACATGGGATTGTAGATGAGAAAAACCACTGGGAAAGGGCAGATTTGCGGATGGTGAAAGCAAACCAGTGACAGCCGCTCCCAGTGAAATTTGCCTCTGAAGTGTCTCAGGGCTACCTTGTCATCACACATGTTTGCTAGCCCTAGAAAGCATCCAAGCCAATGTGAGACATCCATCGGTTCATCTGCTCAGGAGGAATGTTCCTTCTTGGAATAGTAATGTGACATTGATTTGTGGCAAGACAAGAATTCCATCCAATAAAACTCTAATGCAATATTGGACCATCATAAAAATAATTGAGAAAAAATTCAATGTTTAATCTCTGCTAATTTAATATTCCTAAAGATATGTGAATAGGGCTTCGGGTCAGATTGATTTTACCATGGTCAATTTTTTGTTACCTTTTTCCCCTAAATTCCTTTGAGTCAGAAAAAAAAAATCAGAGTTATTGTGAAGTTTGGGAATGTATTCTGTTTTGTTTGTTATTGTTATTGTTATTTGTATAGCATTTTAGGGTAGCAATTCCATTTTAAATATTTTTTTCCTAGGGAAATAATCATATAAATACTAAAGATAATGATAATTAACAATTCTTGTGCTTATCATTTGCCAGAGATTGTGCTAAGTGCATTATCAGCATCATTTATTTTAACTTCAAAAAATGGATTGAATTAAAGATTAGTGTTATATTCATTTGATTTTACAGATGAAGAAAGGAAGTTCGGAAAGGATAAGTACAATGCCAAGGTCACACAGCAAGGTAACTGATAAGGTAAAAATTTCTGGCTTATCTAACTCCTAATTACTATGACACACTAACTTATGCTGCATATAACTGCATACTGTATATTTAAATAAAATATAAATGTAAAGAAAAAGGACTGGAAGGATATGTGCTAAACTATTAACAGTGTTTGGTTTTAATTAGTGAGATGACTTTTTTTCTTTTTATTTATTTATTTATTATTATTATTTTACTTTAAGCTTTAGGGTACATGTGCACAACGTGCAGGCCAGTCACACATGTATACATGTGCCATGCTGGTGTGCTGCACCCACCAACTCATCATCTAGCATTAGGTATATCTCCCAATGCTATCCCTTCCCCCTCCCCCGACCCCACAACAGTCCCCAGAGTGTGATGTTCCCCTTCCTGTGTCCATGTGTTCTCATTGTTCAATTCCCACCTATGAGTGAGAATATGCAGTGTTTGGTTTTTTGTTCTTGTGATAGTTTACACAGAATGATGATTTCCAATTTCACCCATGTCCCTACAAAGGACATGAACTCATCATTTTTTATGGCTGCATGGTATTCCATGGTGTATATGTGCCACATTTTCTTAATCCAGTCTATCATTGTTGGACATTTGGGTTGGTTCCAAGTCTTTGCTATTGTGAATAATGCCACAATAAACATAAGTGTGCATGTGTCTTTATAGCAGCATGATTTATAGTCCTTTGTGTATATACCCAGTAATGGGATAGCTGGGTCAAATGGTATTTCTAGTTCTAGATCCCTGAGGAATTGCCACACTGACTTCCACAATGGTAGAACTAGTTTACAGTCCCACCAACAGTGTAAAAGTGTTCCTATTTTTCCAGCACCTGTTGTTTCCTGACTTTTTAATGATTGCCATTCTAACTGGTGTGAGATGGTATCTCATTGTGGTTTTGATTTGCATTTCTCTGATAGCTAGTGATGGTGAGCATTTTTTCATGTGTTTTTTGGCTGCATAAATGTCTTCTTTTGAGAAGTGTCTGTTCATGTCCTTCGCCCACTTTTTGATGGGGTTTTTTTTTTTCTTGTAAATTTGTTTGAGTTCATTGTAGATTCTGGATATTAGCCCTTTGTCAGATGAGTAGGTTGCGAAAATTTTCTCCCATTTTGTAGGTTGCCTGTTCACTCTCATGGTAGTTTCTTTTGCTGTGCAGAAGCTCTTTAGTTTAATTAGATCCCATTTATCAATTTTGGCTTTTGTTGCCATTGCTTTTGGTGTTTTAGACATGAAGTCCTTGCCCATGCCTATGTCCTGAATGGTAATGCCTAGGTTTTCTTCTAGGGTTTTTATGGTTTTAGGTCTAACGTTTAAGTCTTTAATCCATCTTGAATTGATTTTTGTATAAGATGTAAGGAAGGGATCCAGTTTCAGCTTTCTACATGTGGCTAGCCAGTTTTCCCAGCACCATTTATTAAATAGGGAATCCTTTCCCCATTGCTTGCTTTTCTCAGGTTTGTCAAAGATCAGATATTTGTAGATAAGCAGCGTTATTTCTGAGGGCTCTGTTCTGTTCCATTGATCTATATCTCTGTTTTGGTACCAGTACCATGCTGTTTTGGTTACTGTAGCCTTGTAGTATAGTTTGAAGTCAGGTAGTGTGATGCCTCCAGCTTTGTTCTTTTGGCTTAGGATTGACTTGGCGATGCGGGCTCTTTTTTGGTTCCATATGAACTTTAAAGTAGTTTTTTCCAATTCTGTGAAGAAAGTCATTGGTAGCTTGATGGGGATGGCATTGAATCTGTAAATTACCTTGGGCAGTATGGCCATTTTCATGATATTGATTCTTCCTACCCATGAGCATGGAATGTTCTTCCATTTGTCCTCCCTAATTCATTTTATGAGGCCAGCATCATCCTGATACCAAAGCCGGGCAGAGACACAACCAAAAAAGAGAATTTTAGACCAATATCCTTGATGAACATTCATGCAAAAATCCTCAATAAAATACTGGCAAAACGAATCCAGCAGCACATCAAAAAGCTTATCCACCATGATCAAGTGGGCTTCATCCCTGGGATGCAAGGCTGGTTCAATATACGCAAATCAATAAATGTAATCCAGCATATAAACAGAACCAAAGACAAAAACCACATGATTATCTCAATAGATGCAGAAAAGGCCTTTGACAAAACTCAACAACCCTTCATGCTAAAAACTCTCAATAAATTAGGTATTGATGGGACGTATTTCAAAATAATAAGAGCTATCTATGACAAACCCACAGCCAATATCATACTGAATGGGCAAAAACTGGAAGCATTCCCTTTGAAAACTGGCACAAGACACGGATGCCCTCTCTCACCACTCCTATTCAACATAGTGTTGGACGTTCTGGCCAGGGCAATTAGGCAGGAGAAGGAAATAAATGGTATTCAATTAGGAAAAGAGGAAGTCAAATTGTCCCTGTTTGCAGACGACATGATTGTATATCTAGAAAACCCCATTGTCTCAGCCCAAAATCTCCTTAAGCTGATAAGCAACTTCATCAAAGTCTCAGGATATAAAATCAATGTACAAAAATCACAAGCATTCTTATACACCAACAACAGACAAACAGAGAGCCAAATCATGAGTGAACTCCCATTCACAATTGCTTCAAAGAGAATAAAATACCTAGGAATCCAACTTACAAGGGATGTGAAGGACTCTTCAAGGAGAGCTACAAACCACTGCTCAAGGAAATAAAAGAGGATACAAACAAATGGAAGACTTTTTTTCTTATTTTCCAAGTTTTGTTAAATAAAAATGTGTTACATTGCACACACACACACACACACACACACATACTCTACTCCCCTCTAAATGTTTCTCCCCAATTTTCTATTTCAACAAATGGCTTCACCCCTACCCAAAACAAAACAGGTAGCTAGGAGCTGTTCTTGATTCCTCTCTTTGCCTTAACCTCAACAAGCCCTTTCAATAAGACTATATCCCCAAATATATCTACTACTCACCTGTTTTACTTCCAGGGACATTGCCATTATCCTTCCTGACTTCTACCACTGTCTTCACCACATGGCAGCAAGAGAGATCTTTTGAAAATAAAAATCAGAATGTGTTTCTTGCCCTCTGAAAACTGTTGGTGGCAAGTAGAATAAAATCTATGCCTACCCCACACTCCTAGCCTCTCTGGATATGGTTGATTCCTGCTTTCTTCTTCAATTCTCCTCCTGCCATTTTCCAACCTCTCACGAGGCTCTGTGAGGGTTTTCCCCCAAGGCCTCAGGCATGCTAGAATTTTCATTCACATGTTCTTTCTGTGGTTAGGACCCTCTTCTCCCGCCTCTCGAGGGGAAGATCTAGTCAACTCTCATTTCTTTCCTTCCTTCCTTCCTTCTCCTCCTCCTCCCTTTCTTTCTTTCTCTTTTCTTTCCCTCCCTCCTTCCTTCCTTCTTTCCTCCCTTCCTTCCTCCTTTCCTGCTTTTCTTCTTTCTCTCTTCTTTCTTTCAAAGAGAGACAGGGTCTCACTCTGTCTCCCAGGCTGAAGTGCGGTGGTACAATCATAGCTCACTGCAGCCTCGACCTCCTGAGCTCAAGTGACCTTCCCACCTCAGCCTCTGGCTCTGGAGTAGCTGGGACCAAAGGCATGTACCACCATGCCTGACTCCATTTATTCTTCATTTCTCTGCTAAGAGGCCACCATCGCAGAAAGAGGTCCCTGTCTATCTTATCAAAAACAGGAGAATAAGATACATGAGGTCCCATCTCTTACTGAGCGTCCGTCTTTTGAAAAGTGTGCTGGTTAATTTTATGTGTCAACTTGACAAGTCTAATGAATACCCCAGATACCTCTTATTCTATAAACTCTCCCAAAGAACTCTGTTATTTTCTCCTTCAGAGCATTTTTTACTGCAGAAAGCTGAAATTAAAACACTTTGAAATTACTTCGAAGTGTTTCACTTTGTTTTCTTCTTCATGATCTATCTCCTTCTCCATTACTCAGGGCTCTCCAGAGAAAAAGAACCAATAGGATAGATGGATGGATGGACAGAATGAGAGCAAGAGAGAGATAAGACAGTCAGATAGATAGATAGATAGATAGATAGATAGATAGATAGATAGATAGATAGAGGATATTTATTATGAGAGTTGGCACACAAGATTACAGAGGCTGAGAAGTTCCACAATATTCTGTCTGCAAATTGGAGAACCAGGAAAGCTGGTGATATAGTTCAGTCCAAAACTGAAGGCCTGAGAATCTGGTAGGGGCTCCTAGGGCTGCTAATTTGTCTTGGAGTCTGAAAGCCTGAGACCCAGGAGCTCTGATTTCTGAGGGCAGGAGTAGATGAATGTCCCAGATCAAGAAGAGAGAGGGAATTAACCTTTCCACTGTCTTTTTGCCATATCTGGGCAGATCACCTTTATTCAGTTGACTGATTCAAATGCTAATCTCTTTTGGAAACAACCTCACAGGCATAATTTTTTTCCAGCTATTTGGGTATTCATTAACCTTGTCAGGTTGACACATAAAATTAATCAGCACACTTTGCAAAAGACTGACACTCTGTGAGAGATGGGAGCTCACGTATCTTATTCTCGGCCCAGCACAGTGCCTGGCACCCAGTGGGGTGCTCAACTAATTATTAATAGCTAAAGTTTAGTAAGTTGGAGACATGAACTGCCCCTGAGGCAAGCTTGAACAATTTCAAGCCATTACAAATTTACTATTTAACCAAGGGCATGTTGCTGAGTCCCTGGGATTCAGAGACCAACTGTACAGCTGGGAAGCTTCTAAGTTAACTTTTATATAGAATGTAGCATTTATTAAAGCATAAAAAATTAAAATGTGATGATATAAAATTTTCATATATATTTAAACTTAATAGTAACTGCAGAATTGTTTATAATTTTGACCAGCAAAATTTTTTTCAGAAAGGAATATTTCACGACTGACATTGAATAGCAATGTCAGATTAAAAAACAGACAACTTTTAGTCAGTTTTAGTATTGTTAGATTATCTCTGGATAAGGGACCCTTTTATTGCCTGATCCAGGATGGTCCCCTCTCACTGCTCAGATGCACTTGGTACCCACTGGGATCACACAACTTCTGAAACCTTGGGCTGTGACTATGTCTTTATTGACTGGAAGTTCTCAGACAACCACTGTGACTCATACTTTCCACTTCTATACAATGGGTACACGAATGGCTTCCTCATAGAATCATTGTGAGAAGTGAGTAAGAAGAGAGTAGAATATTTTAAATGCTTGTTAATGGTCATGCCATCATTTGCTTAAGGATAGAGATGGTCTTGTTTATCTTTTTATTTTCAGCAGAAAAATAATGACTGGAGCTTCATTGCATTTTGTAAAAATGATCAAATTGGGGTTTTTTTTTAGCCTCCCTGTGTGTCAGGGCATCCTTAGGACCTCAGAAAATGTTTGCCTGAAGGCATGATGAAAGGTGAGAAGTTGTCCCCACCCAATCTTCTTTCAAGTTGTCTTTCAGACCCGCATTGTGGTTCCAGGGTTGCGTACAAGGCAGGCAGTAGGAAGAGAGGGTTTCATCTTGGATTGTAGTCTGGAAAGGGAACCCAGCACCCCACCACCCATAGGATTTGCCTTTGCTGTGTTTCAGCTTTCTGCCAAGAAGGCAAAGTGGGCAGAGCAGGAACCTTGAGAACAATGAGACATGAGTTCCAATCACAGCACATCTTAGGAGCTGTGTGACTGTAGGCATGCTACTTAACATCTCTGATCTTAACTATTCAATGAGTGTAATAGGCCTGTTATAATGGGATTGCTGAATAAATAGCATTGTGTATCCAACATGGTATTTTGAACAGTCAATGCTCCATAAGTATTAATCTGCTAATGTCTTATTTCAAGATTTTTGTGTAAGTGGGGGAAGAGAGTGGGAGAAGGACAAAGGGAGAAGGAGAAAGGGAGGAGGAAAAGAGAGAGAGAGAGAAAGTCTCAAAAGATAGACCATGTAATGTCTGCAGAACACAGCAGGTTTCTTGGAAAAGTGATAAAGAGCAAGAAGCAGCATTCAGCTCGGGCTGTGTCCATGACCACAGGCTCAACCCTGCTGTTTGCAGAAGGGGAAATTCTTGAACTGTAAATATTAGACCAAAGAAAACGTGGCTTTTGTGAATTTCTTCTGGGCTGGTTTCTGAGAAGGGTTGCTTTCTGTGCCAGCTCCCCACCTCCACGTCTGTTCCCTGGCCTCTGGAATGTGGCCCCCATGGCAGAGCCTGAATTGTTACCAGGGTGATGAAGATGTCCTTGGCTCAACGTTTGCTGACTAGGGCCTGAAAGGCTGATCAGGACTTAATGACCAGGGACTTGTAATGTTCAAGGCAGCTCTGGCATCAAGATGGAATGAAAACTGGCAGCCCCAAGGAGGCTTGCCTACCCCTGCTCCTCAGTCCAGATTTCCATTTATTCACAATGTTTCCAAAGCATCCAGTTCATGGTATGTGGTGGCATAACTGACCTCAGAAGACCCTCCTTAGAAATGTAATGTGTGTTTAATGGGTTCCAGTCTTAGTTCTGCTACTTAGTTATGTGACCTTGGATAAGTCCCTTTACTTCTGAGTTTCATTTCCTTTGAAGGGTAGAGGGGACAGAGAGAAAAGAGGGTGTTACACTTATATCTTTACAGCACAACAAACCGCTCCAAACCTTAGTGGCTTAAAACAACAATTTACTATGGTCTTTTATGGTTCTGCAGGTTGACTGGGCTCTGCTGGGCAGCTCTTGCATCGGGTGTCTAGAGATGCAGCCATCTGAAGACATGACTAGGCTGGACGTCCAAGAAGGATTACTTATATGGATGGCACTTGATGCGGGTTGTCATCTGGGAGCTCAGTTGAGGCTGTTGACCTGACAGCCAACATGTGGTCTCTCCATGTGGTGTGAGCATCTCACTGTATGGTGAACAGATTTTCAAAGAAAATACCCCCAAAGAGAGCATTCCAAGAGGTTCAGGAAGAAGTTTCAAGACTTCTTATAACCTAGTAATGGAAGTTCTAGGACATCACTTCTACCATATTCTCTTGGTCAAGCAAGGCCAGGCTAGGTTCAAAGGGAGGGGAAATAGATTTTACTACCTAATGAGATAAGGGCAAGATCACAGTGGAGAAGAGGTTGTAGGATAGGAGGTATTGGAGCAGCAATTTTTGGAAACTACAGTCTGCCACAAAAAAGGCAAAAAGGTGGATGAGATTGATCCCTTGGAAAAGCAGGGAGGAAAACCTTGTCATTTCTGGTTCAGTTTTATTCTGTCTGCCCCCATCATCTGTAGCTCTGTGTCAGTAGTGGATGTGGCTTTAGTGTGGTGATCCACATCTTTATTCACTGAGTACCCACTTAAAAACACTTCAGCCTCCACTCCAGGTGCATGTTCCCAACCGCTTGACCAGACATGGTCCCTCCTCACTTGGTTGCCATTTGGGGCTTCTCCTCACTTGTCTTCTCCTCTGATTTTTAATGTTACTTCCATAGAGCTCAGGAATCATCAAGACATTCTTCCCCCTTCTCTGAGAATTGGAGAGAGCTGGGGATAAGATCAGAGATGCCCCCCATTTTTACCTAAGCACATTATACCATTGCCCAGAATCCACAAGCCTCCTAAACTAAGAAAAAGTCAGATGGGAACAGGCACCATGAACTACAAGTGCAAATGCCTAGATCTTAAACGTCTTCTTTGTTGTTGGGGGAAGTCAGGGACCCCAAATGGAGGGACCAGCTGAGGCCGTGGCAGAAGAATGTGGATTGTGAAGATTTCATGGACATTTATTACTTCCCCAAATTAATACTTTTATAATTTCTTATGCCTGTCTTTACTGCAGTCTCTAAACATAAATTGTAAAGATTTCATGGACACTTATCACTTCCCCAATTAACACCCTTGTGATTTCCTATGCCTGTCTTTAATCTCTTAATCCTGTCAGCTGAGGAGGATGTATATCGCCTCAGGACCCTGTAATAATTGCATTAACTGCACAAATTGTACAGCGTGTGTGTTTGAGCAATATGAAATTTGGGCACCTTGAAAAAAGAACAGGATAACAGCAATGTTTAGGAAACAAGAGAGATAACCTTAAACTCTGACCGGTGGTGAGCTGGGCGGAACAGAGCCATATTTCTCTTCTTTCAAAAGCAAATGGGAGAAATATCACTGAATTCTTTTTCTCAGCATGGAAGATCCCTGGGAAAGAGAACATGCACCTGGAGGTATAGGCTTATAAAAAGCCCCCCCCCCCCCAAGTGCACCTGTCTCTTATGGTCAAGACTGCAGGGGTGAAATAGACCCCAGTCTCCCATAGCACTCCTAGGCTTATTAGGAAGAGGAAATTCCCCCCTAATAAATTTTGGTCAGACCGGTTGATCTCAAAAACCCTGTCTCCTGATAAGATGTTATCAATGACAATGGTGCCTGAAACTTCATTAGCAATTTTAATTTTGCCCCGGTTCTGTGGTCCTGTGATCTTGCCCTGCCTCCACTTGCCTTGTGATATTACCTTGTAAAGTACTTGATGTCTGTGACCCACACCTATTCGCACACTCCCTCCCCTTTTGAAACTCCCTAATAAAAACTTGCTGGTTTTTGCAGCTTGTGGGGCATCATGGAACCTACCGACATGTGATGTCTCCCCCGGACGCCCAGCTTTAAAATTTCTCTCTTTTGTACTCTGTCCCTTTATTTCTCAAGCTGGCCGACACTTAAGGAAAATAGAAAAGAACCTACGTGAATATCGGGGCAGATTCCCCGATACTTTATGACATTTATTACTTTTCTATGGTATGTAAAAAATTGCCACAACACATATATATATACCGTGGAATACTATGCAGCCATAAAAAGAATGAGATCATTTTTTTGCAAGGACATGGATGGAGCTATAGGCCATTATCCTTAGCAAACTAACACAGGAACAGAAAACCAAATACCTCATGTTCTCACTTATAATTGGGAGTTAAATGATGAGAACACATGGACACATCAATGGGAAAAACACACACTGGGGCCTTTTCGAGGGTGGAAGGTGAGAGGAGGGAGAGTATCAGGAAACAACTAATGGGTACTAGGCTTAACACCTGGGTGATAAAATCATCTATACGATAAACCCCCATGACACACATTTACCTATGTAACAAACCTGCACTTGTACCCCTAAACTTAAAATAAAAGTGTAAAAAATTGCCAAACGTAGCAGCTTAAAACAATACCTACTTATAAGCTCACAATTCTGTAGGTCTCCTGTCCAGGAAGCATTCACTGGGTTCTTTCCTCAGGCTATCACCAGACTGAATTTAACATGTTGATCAGAATGAACTCTCATTTGGAGGCTCTGGGGAATATCCACTTTCAAGTCAATTCAGATTCTTGGCAGAATTCAGTTCCCGCAGTTGTGAGACTGAGATCCTCATTTTCTTGTTGTCTACTTGTTTTGCTCTTGGTTTCTAGAGGCTACCTGTGTGCCTTGCCAGGTAGCCCCCTCCATTTGACCTTTAGATCCAGGTGTAAATGTCTCAGGTGTTTAGGTCAGGCCTGAGGTACCTCCCTATCTTAAGGCAAACTGATTTGGGGTCTTACTCATATCTAAAAAATTCCTTCCCATGAATACCTAGATTAGTTTTGATTGGTAAACTGGGAGAAGGTGTGTGTATACCAGGGCCCTGGAATCTTGGAGACCATCTCAGAATTTTGCCTGTCACACCTTGCTTCACTCTCTCTAATAGCTGCACCAAAGAAAGCCTAAAGGTTCTTCAGTTTGGCCACAGCCAGTTGGCAAGTGAGAGGCTTCCAGCCTCTGAAAGTGATGCCCTTAGAGCACCCACACCTGGCTTCCAGCGAGGGGCGATGTCTCATCTTAAACAACATTGTCAGTTGCTACAAGTCTCTCCTCTTCAGTGCTCCCTTCCCCTCATTCTCACAGCTTGGGCAGTACTGGCTATGGTGGCTGGTAGTGGGGCTAATTGGCCCACCTCTTAGGAAACCTTGGTCATGATGCTTCATCCTTGTGTCTGTTGGAGGTTTTGTTTAGAATAGGAGCCACTGGAGCCTATTTGTCCTCCAATTGAAGAATTCAGGAAAAGTCCCACTCAACATTCTGTGACATTGTTATTAAATGGGATAATGACTACCTTGGAAATGGTGTCCAGGGGAATGAGAAAAAGCTTATTGTGCCATTCTTACCCCTCAGGCCTTTAGAATGATAGCCTGTTTTCTTTACTTGGAACAATTACTCTCTCTAATTTTCACTTAGATGCTCTTGTCCATCCTTCCTGTTTTATCACTTTTTCCAATTTTTTCAAAGAGGTCAGCATGCCCTTATTATATTATCACATGAATATGTACAACCTTTAAGAGAAACCAATAAAAGAACTTAAAAAGAGCATATAACTTTCAATCCAGCAGGATGTAAAAGCAAATGGAATCTAAAACTCAATCAATTTAAAACAGAAAAAGGAAAATAATTAGAAAAAAACAGGAAATGAAAAATTCTTCTTATTATATTTTTTATTTTTAAATTTTTGTGGGTACATAGTAGGTGTATGTATTTGTGGGGTACATGAGATATTTTGGTGCAAGTATGCAAGGTGAAATAATGAAATAAGCACATCATGGAGAATGGGGTATCCATCTCCTCAAGCATTTATCCTTTGAGTTACAATCCAATTACAGTATTAATTTTAAAATATATAATTAAGTTATTATTGACTATAGTCACCCTATTGTGCTATGAAACAGTAGGCCTTATTCATTCTCTTTTTTGGTATCCATTAACTATCCCCATCTACTCCCAAAACCCCTACTACCCTTCCCAGCCTCTGGCCCTCCTTCTACTCTCTATGTCCATGAGTTGAATTGTTCTGATTTCTAGATCCCACAAATAAGTGAGAACATGCGATGTTTGTCTTCCTGTGCCTGGCTGTAAAGCTGTAAATAGTATGAAAGAAACAACCCCTGAGAGATCATAATCGCAATATATAAGACACAAATCTTCCAGAAATAGATAGAATGGGTAAAGATTAAAATCGTATCTTACAGAAGACATAGTTAAAAGAAAAGAAAGCATAAAGTTTGAGGGTTAATGGATGGAAAAACCTACCAGGTAAATACAATTCAAAAACAAACTGTCCTAGCTGTATTAATATCAGAGGAAATAGACCAAGGAGGGGAAAAATCTTCCAGAGATGAAAAGAGTTATTATTTAATAGTCAAAGGTTGTAATCACTTGGAAGATATAATAATTCTAAACATTTATGCTCATAATACTACAGCAAAAAATGAGAAAAACAACTGTGAGGAGAAATGACAAATCTACCACCCATACAATGAGATTGAAACTTATCTATCTCAGTAGCTGACAAACCAAACCAGAAAATATCATAAAAAACTAGAACTCTTGAGCAATGCAATTAAACAGATTTAATAGATATATAATGAACCCTGTGCCAACATTAAGTGAATATACTTTTGCTCAAGAAGACATAGCATATTTATGAAACTGACTGCATGCTAAGCCATCTAGCAAGTCTCAAACAATGGCAAATAATTGGTGTCATAGAAACTACATGCTGTGACCACAATGTAAAATAAGTTAAAAATCAGTTAAAATGAAAACATGTATTTATATCTATATTGGTTCAAAAATTTAAATCAGTAGTACAAAAATCTATAATCTAATCCTCTGTTGCCCCTCAAAAGACATAAAAACCTTATAGAAGCAAACAAATGAAACAAGTTATTCTAAAGACCTGAGGTGTGAGAATGGCACAGTGATCCTTTGCATACTCCCTGGACACATTTCCAAGGGAGTCATCTTCCCATTTAATGGCAATGTAACAGGATGTGAAGTGGAACTGTTCCTGGAACTTGAAATTGGTGATGAAGGTCCAAAGCTGAGGACAAAGGATCTCTCCTAGCCCACATTCTAATCAGCCAGCCCCCAAATTTTCTAACTGTTAGCAAAATTACTCTCACTGTCACCACCCCCACAACATCATACAACCTGAGCTGTGAGAATAAGGGTAGGAGAGCAAAGAAGAGGAGGGGGTCCTGGGCACAGTCAACTTTGTGGTATGTGTAGTATTTCAGATGAGATGCCTTCTCTCTCTGGAAGTCAAGTGTATTTTTGTCACCCTTAATTTTGGGCACATTCTCCTATGTTTCTATGTTTTCTTCTAATAGTTTAAAGTTTTGTTTCTCACATTAATGCTCTAACCCTTCTGGAATGGATTCTTGTGTGCAGTGTGAGGTAGGGATCCAATTTTATTTTATTTTCACTTACAGATAACCAATTATCTCTGTGGAATTTATTGAATGGCTTATCCTTGCTGTACTAGCCACAAAACCAGGTTTGTTAAATATTAAGTTTCCATCTTTGCTGGTCTCTTTCAGGGCTCTGTTTTCATAGCTCTGTTTTCCATCTAGGGGATGGAGATCTCAGGGAAGGTGCATGGGTGAGATAAGGAAGAGGTACCACAGAGACATGAGGCCTCAGTTTTCACTGGAGGAATTCCATACATGATGCCTAAAAATGAAAAATGAAGTAATTTCAGCATATTATTTAGAGGTCTTATGGTATTATCAAAATAATTAGCTAAATGATTGGTAAGTTATTATCTGTAGGAAGAATAGTGGAATGAAAGAAGGGATGGGGAATTTTGAATTTTCTTATTGAGCCACATAGACCCTATAAACTGAAAAGATACATGACCTTGCTAAAAATGAAAGCAACAAATAAATACCATCAGACAACATGCCTTTTTTGCATTATGGAAGGTTAGGAAACCCTAAGGTGAATTTTTTTTTGCCATGTGGCACCTTGGAACAGTCATTTCTCTTCTCTTCTTTACTTCATGAACAACATTCTCAACTGTCACAGAGAGAGGTACCAATTGGGGTCTCCTATTGTATTAGCAATGCTTCCTTTAACTGGGTATGTGATGTTCATTATTTTTTTTTTTACATGCTTGTGCATGTCTGCAATATTTCACAGAAAATTCTTACCCTGGAAAATGTCTCTACAGGGTCCTATAATATTACATTAACCTGATTAGGTCTATTTTCTTTATTAAAGTGAAGAGCAAAAGAGGAAAGGGCGGCTCCCCTCAATATCCTAACCACAAGCACAGTGCCTGACACATAGCTGGCTGTAAAAATTTTATTTGTGGATTAAGTAAAAGGTGTCCTGTAGTTCGGCAAGCTAGCATAGCTTGCTCTTCCTCATTCTCCAAACTCTACCCAAGCATTAAAGCTGAGGTCAGAGCCCCCTCCCCTGACTCCTTCCTGAGCCTTAAACTGATGACTAGTGTCATCTCTCTGAATACATCCACTATTTGTAGTCTGTACTATAAAAGAGGGAGAGAAAAGAGAATAGACATTTTATTGAGTTCTTAGAAGCAGACATTTCTTCTCATTTCATCTTCCCATCATTTCTGTAAGATACATATACCTTTGCTAGCATTTGTTCATGCCAATACAATTTGGTAAGCATTCACTATTGACCATGCATTTTAGAAAGCTCTGGAAACACAACAACGGAAAAAATGCAGCAAAACATTGTCCTTTCCTTCAAGAGGATTAATCGGAAATAGGAAAATAGGAAATTAATACTCATAGAGGTCTATGATCTTCTAGCATAGCCAGGATCTAAACTTAGTAACACAGCTTTCATGGTCTATAATATACTAGGCATTGTGCTAGGTGTGGTTCCTGTTTTTCTTGATTTACTCACACAATAACCCAATAGTATAGCACTTGCGTATTTTTAAATGAAAGAACATATTCTCTGAGAAACTTATACAAATGGTAAGAGATTGTATTAAGTTGAATAGTGCCATCTAAAAATTCCTTCTCACTGAGAACCTCAGAATGTAACCTTGTTTGTAAATAGGATCTTTGCAGATGTAATTAAGATGCAGTCATAGTGGGTTAGGGTGGGCACTAAATCCAATGACTAGTGTTCTTATAAGAAAACCATGTGAAGACACAGAGGGTCATACAAAAAAAAGGTCATGTGATTGTACAGGTGGATATTGAAGTGAAGCAGCTGCAAGCTAAGAAAACCAAGGATAGGCTGGGTGCAGTGGTTCACGCCTGTAATCCCAGCACTTTGGGAGGCCAAGGAGGGCAGACCACCTAAGGTCAGGGGTTCAAGACCAACCTGGCCAACATGGTGAAACCCCATCTCTACTAAAAATACAAAAAATTAGCTAAGCATGATGTCAGGCACCTGTGATCCCAGCTACTCGGGAAGCTGAGGCAGGAGAATCACTTCAACACGGGAGGCGGAGGTCACAGTGGGCTGAGATCACACCATTACACTCCAGCCTGGGCAACACAGAGAGACTCCACCTCAAAAAAAAAAAAAAAGAAAGAGAGAGAGAGAGAGAAAAAGAAAGAAAGAAAGAAGAAAAAAGAAAGGAAAGAAAAGAACACCAGGGATTGCTGCCACTGCCATAAGCTAGGAGAGAGATGTTATGGACTGAATGTTTGCATCCCCCTCAAATTCATATGTTCAAAGCTAATCCCTGATGTGATGGTATTAGGAGGTGGGTTTTGAAAGATAATTAGGTCATGGGAGTGGAACCTTCATGAATATTATGATCAGGGATTATTATTATATCATATCATTATAATAAGGGATTATTGCTCTTATAAGGGGCTGAAGACACCAGAGTTTCCCTCTTCTGCTATGTGAGTTTATAAATAGCAGATGGCCATCTCTGAACCATGAAGAAGGCACAACTGTGCCAGTGCCTTGATCTTGGACCTCTCAGCCTCTAGAACTGTGGGAAATACATTTCTATTATTTATAAGCTCCCAGATTATAATATTCTGTTATAGCAGCCTAAATGGACTAAGACAAGGCATGGAACAGATTCTCCCTCCAGAAGGAACCAATCAGAACAATACTTTGATTGAGATTTTCTGGCCTCCTGAACTGTGAGGCAATGAATTTTTATTGTTTTAAGCCACCCAGTTAGTGATAACCTTTCACAGCACCACAGGAAACTTTTTTATTTGTTGTTGTTTTTTGAGACAGAGTCTCGCTTTGTCACCCAGGTTGGAGTGCAGTGGCACAATCTCAGCTCACTGCAACCTCTGCCTTCCAGGTTCAAGCGATTCTCCTGCCTCAGCCTCCCTAGTAGCTGGGATTACAGGTGTACACCACCATGTCTGGGTAATTTTTGTTTAGTAGAGACGGGTTTTACCATGTTGGCCAGGCTGGTCTTAAACTCCTGACTGCCAGTGATCTGCCCGCCTCAGCCTCCCAAAATTCAGGGATTACGGGCATGAGCCACCATGCCCGGCCAAGCCACAAGAAACTAATGGAGAGAATGAGGCAGAATTCAGGCCCATATTTGGTTCCAGGACTCTTGATGGCTTCTCTGTCCTCCTTCACACAAGGCTAAGGAGAAAAGGAGCTGATGCAAATATGCTTTGAAAATCTCAAAGTATTCCTCAAGGACTGTGGATTTTATTGTTATTATTTTAAGAGACTATTCTCCAAATTGCCTAAGAACTCACTGAAATGTCATTAGTAAATAAAATGAGATACAGGACACAACCCCTTTTCCATTAAGTCAATTCTTTAAATGATATTTCTGGGATTTCTCCTGCTTTCATTCTCTGTCCCATTCTGCTTAAAATAATGCCCTGGGTATTTATACCCAGAATTTCATGAGAGAGCCCATAGGTAAGTATTTAAAAACAGCCCATGCTCAACTGTAATAAATTACACTAGAATGTACAGGGAGCTTTCTGGCTTAGGACAGATATAATCATGCTGGACTTGCTAAAACTACATTATATGTAAACCTGGGTGCTATGTGTATTAGTTCATTCTCACACTGCTATGAAGAAATACCCGAGACTGGGTAATTTAATAAGGAAAGAGGTTTAATTGACTCACAGCTCCACATGGCTGGAGAGGCCTCAGGAAACTCACAATCATGGCTGAAGGCAAAGGAGAAACAGGCACCTTCTTCACAGGGCAGCAGGATGGAGTGAGTGCAAGCAGGGGAAATGCCAGATACTTCTGAAACCATCAGATCTTGTGAGACTCATTCATTATCAGGAGAACAGCATGGGGGGAACCACCCACACAATCCAATTACCTCAACTTGGTCTCACCTTTGACATATGAGGATTATCACAATTCAGGGTGAGATTTGGGTGGGGACACATAGTCAAACTGTATCACTATGGTCTGAATCTTTGTGTCCCCTCAAAATTCACATGTTGAAATTGTAACTCCCAATGTGATGTTATTTGGGTTTGGGGCCCTTGAGAGGTGATTAGGTCATGGGGACAGAGCCTTTATGAGAGTAGTGCTCTTTTTAAAAGGGACCCCAGAGAGACACTCACTCCACATAAGATGACGAGAAGGTGCCACCTATGAGCCAGAAAGTGGACGCTTATCAAACACCAAGTCTACCTTGATCTTGGACTTCCCAGCCTCCAGGAAGGTGAGAAATAAATTTCTGTTGTTTATAAGCTACTCAGTTTATGGTATTTTGTTATAATAGCCCAAAATAGACTAAGACTTTGGTGTTAGATTGTGTCATTGTTGTTCAACAATGACTTAAAAAGTCATCTTTGGATGCATTCAGGTTGTAAACAGAACAGAATTGGGTCTGGTCTTTTAAGATTTTCTTAAAGGCAGGGTTTTTTTTCTTGAGTATTTGAGTCCCCTCTATTCCTACCACAACTGCATATACAAACATGTGCACACACAGGCATACATACACACATACATGAAAGTATGCATACATATGTGCAGGTGCACATATACACACAGGAATGTGCACAGTGTCTATGCACAGGTATGCACAGGTGTCTAGTCATGTACCTGCACATGGACATATATATGCATCAGCACATGTACATAACCGTGTATGCACACATGGACACACACATATGTACATGCTCTCTAAAAGGAACTACATGCTCCACATTTTCTTCAGGCCTAATTGTCTCCTTTTTTGTATCTTCATTGTTAGCCTCTCCTTTTACTGATCTTCAATAATGCTAATGGTAAAAGCTGAATTTATATCGTTTAACTACATGCTGTACATTTTTAAAGCTCCATATTACAGATAAGAAAGCTGGAATACAGAAAAGTTATAAAAGATGACCCAGCTTCTCTCATGGGTTGATCTTGGGTACTCTACAATCCTTCTCTGTACATTTGCTCATGTATTTTGCTGATTTAAAAATCTACCCCTATGTTGATGATTCCAGGATTTTTTTTTTTTTTTTTTTTTGAGACAGAGTCTCGCTCTGTCGCCCAGGCTGGAGTGCAGTGGCATGATCTCAGCTCACTTCAAGCTCCGCCTGCCGGGTTCATGCCATTCTCCTGCCTCAGCCTCCCGAGTAGCTGGGACTACAGGTGCCCGCCACCATGCCTGGCTAATTTTTTGTATTTTTTTGAGTAGTGACGGAGTTTCATGTGTTGGCCAGGATAGTCTTGATCTCCTGAACTTGTGATCCACCCGCCTAGGCCTCCCAAAGTGCTGGGATTACAGGTGTGAGCCACCATGCCCAGCTGATTACAGGATTTCTATCTCTAGCTCAGACTTTGTGCTCCAAGTTTACATAAAGAACTGCATAACTGCCATCTTCACTTGGATGTCTCAAGCATCTCAAATGTAATGTGAAGGGAAGAGAACACCCTCTCTTCCCCCACTCCAACACACCGTAAACTGTTCCACAGTTGTAACCTACTCTGCCTGCCTCCTTTCTCTCTCAGTAAATACACCATCATCCATTCATGCAGTTGCTCAGTCTAAAAACAAAAAATTCCCATAATTTTTCCACTTCCATCTCCCCTTCTCTATCACATGCATTAGCAAATCCTGTCAACTTTACCTCCAAAATATACCCCATTTGAGCTACGTGCCTCCATCTCCATTATTGTCACCCTTCCCAGACCAGCTGGAGACAGGGTCTCCTGACTGTTCTCTTCACTTCTGCTCAATCCAAGGAATCCCCTTAAAAACAAATCCAATCAGATATTTTCTGAGATGACTCCTGTATATCATGTCATCACAGCACATACCTTTTGATCAATCTTAGAAAACTCAGAGGAATTTCCCAATTATGGGCTGAGAAATGCCACTGAGTGTTATTTGCAAAAACCCTGTGACCACCAAATTTGATAGGTTGTAAATACTAAAAATGAACTGTAGCCCTGAATGATGGGGGAGGGATGGGCCTCACGCAGCTGCCAGTTTTCATGTCCCTGGACACCAGCCCTGTGCCCGACCACTGGGCACTTGCTAGCTCATTCAGCTCTCATCAGCATACTTGGAGCCAGTGACTTCCCCATCACCCAGGCAACCAACCCAGTTTCTACTGTGGTGGCCACATTCCAGAAGTGGGAGGACAGGAGCAGAGGAGGAGAGCTGGTCCACAAAGCAGTGTCAGACCTAACAGAGCCTCCTAAGTCATGGTGAAGGGGTTGGATTTGATTCCCAGCAGAAAAGCAGGGAGGGATTCTGTGTGATCCTCCCAGGCTCAGGTGAGCATTCACTTTTGTGAGCAGTGAATGCTATGTCATTTGAGGTTTTGTCTTATGGGGCAGCAGAGACACACTGCCCAAATCCCAGCCAGAAGGGCAGGCTGGGAAGCTGGCATGAAGGAAGGAGCTCCAAGTCACTGGGGGACCCCGGCATCCAAACAACAGAGTAGGATGCAGGTATGGCCAGAGACAAGGGGAAAGATCAGTTCAGTGAATTTGGCATTTAAACAATCTTTAAGGAGATCACTGGGCAGAGAATGAGTGGCCGACTTTTCAGGCAGTGAGAACAATATGGGGAAAGGCCACAGAAGCAGGGGCACGCTGGTAAACACCAGGACTCTGGGGCTGGTGCCAGAGGATGGGTAAATTTTGATGGGCACCTGAGAATCCAGGATAGTCCAGCTCATTGGTGATGTTCAGGAGAGTCTGATTTGTAGTGGAAAGATGCCCCTATTCAGAGATGCCAGGCTGTGGTAGGAGAGCTGGGAAGAGAGATGGTACAAAGGAAGATAGCTCAGAATCCACTTCTGAGTTCCCCAGGGGGTGTTGTAAGGCTCTTCCCTGTGCTCCTAGACTGTGCTATACTTACCCCTTCCATGGCACAATCTGTGCCTATCACTCTGATTTTATGTGTATTGTTTTATGATATCAGAATCTAACTTTCTTTTCAGGAGATTCAGAACATGGAGATGAATTATTAAAACAAAAAACAAAACAAAAGTAGAAAAGACTGTGCTGTGGTTCGAATGTGTCCCCTCCAAAATTCAGGTGTTGCCAATGTGACAGTATTAAGAAGTGGGCCTTCAACAGGTGATTAGGCAATAACGGCTCCTCCCTGTGAATGTGAATGTGATTGAGAGCCTTAGGAAAGCTTTCATGCGGCATCCGGTCTCTTGCCATTTGGCCGTCCCTCATGTGAGGACACAGCATTCCTTTCCACCCCGAGATGTGGCAATAAGTTACCCTCCTGGGAGCAGGGAGTGGTCCTTGCCAGACAATTGCAGCTACAGGTACTTAGATCTTGGGCTTTCAAGACTCCAGGAATGTGAGAAATACATTTCTGTCCTTTATAAATTGCCTCGTCTTTGGGATTATGTTATAGCAGCAACAAACAAACTAGGACACACCTATAATCCAATCACCCAAAAATAACCTCTGCAAACATCTGGCCGATGCTCTTTGGGCATTTTTTTTTTTTCTATGTTTGTGTTTGTGTGTTTTTCTGTATGACAAATTAGGTTCAAAATATGCACATCATTTTCTAGCCAGTTTTTTTCACTCCATAATATATAGATATTAGAACTATATGTCAATGTCCACACATATCCATCCATATTGCAATATTTAGTAGTTTCCTGGTATTTATATGTTATATGCACATAACACAGTTTCTGCAGCCGATCTGCGGCCTTTGAATGTTAGGTCATTTCTAATTCTTGGCTTTTATAAATAAGCCACAGTAAATACTGCAGTACTCATACATTTTTAAACTCTAAATATTTCTTTAGGATTATGCCCCCAGAAATATTCTTTTTCATTAAAGATTGATACACTATTAAGGATCTAGGATATATTACCAGATTGTTCTTAGGAAAGTTTATTTCTCTTAAGGGTGCCTATTTCCCCACAACCTAGCAAACATTGGAAATTATTCTCCCTTTTTCTCCCAATGTAATAGGAAAACAATGATATTTCATGATGTCTTTATTGTAGATTGTCTTTCTTTCATTCTTGATAAAAATAGACTTTTTAATAGGTTTATAACCACTTAATTTTTTTCTTTTGAAAATGACCAGCTCATATTATCTGCCTGTCTTTCTATTGGGGTATTTACCTTTGATTTGTTTTTTACCAATATGAAAATATTTTTATATAGATAAGCTTTGATCATTTATATTGCAAAAAAACTATTTCAGTTTGTCTGACATTTTAACTTTGTTTACAATATTTTAACCATTCAGAATCTCTTTAGCATGATGCAACCATATTTAGCCCTAGTTTCTTTCATGATTTCTGCATTTGGGGTCATGCTTTCAGAGCCCATCACCACCCTGTGATTAGGTAAATGGAAACCAGATGTGAGTGCAGTAGCAGTCGCTGCAGCTGTGGCATCTGCCGTCGCAGGATCTGTGTGCAGGAAGCTTAGTCCATCCACACACCAGTTTCAACAATAAATCCATTCACACCAATTGTTTTGTGCTGATTGGGGGAGGGTAGAAAGAGAGAGAGGGTTTTATGATGAAGGAAACATCACCGTTTAGTACAATACTTCCTATTATCATTTTCTTTTTTTCTCTTTTCTTTTTTTTTCTTTCTTTTTTTTTTTTTTTCTTTTTGAGACAGGGTCTCACTCTGTCCCCCAGGCTGGAGTGCAGTGGAATGATCATTGCTCACTGCAGCCTCAATCTCCTGGGCTCAAGTGATCCTCCCTCCTCAGCCTTCGGGATAGCTGGAACCACAGGCATGCTCTCCTTTCCACTTTTCTGTCTCTGGTGAGAACCAAAAGGTTTTTTTGTTTTTTTTTTGTTTGTTTTTTTAATTGCGCAGAGCAATTAATGAACTGCTTTTTGATGTGCAAGCATTCCTTGAAGGTCTTGGTCTGAAACCCAAGCAGCTTATTAAATATGTCTTCCAAACAAACATAATACTGTCTTCCAAAAGATTTTGGTGAACATATTTTTTTTCCTCCAATGTATTATATAAATACATTCCTACATTTTATTTTAGTGACTTACTAATTTTATACTTAATATTTGATTATATATCCAACCCTCAAGTGGTTTTTGTATCAGGAGTGTAAAACTACAAGATAATTTTTGGAATTCTTAACTCATCTGTATCAAACAATGATCACTAGCCTAAGGGCTACAGAAGGTGTATGTGTTTTTGTTTGTTTGTTTGCATCCTCACTTCTTTTCACAGAGTCTGATAACATTGTAAGTGAGGCCAGATTTAGACTTTCCCAAATTCAAGTAAGGCATTGCCCCTTACAAATGAAATTCAAGAACATTGTCTCAACTGGACAAACTGAAAGTTTTCGCTTTGTTTACAATGCTCTATAGTGAAAGGCACGTTTTATCCTGCCTTGGATCTTTTTCCTCTTTATTTTGGTAATAGCACCCTGATATTCCTCTGCAGAACTGAGGGTGAGCTGGGAAGGTTATGTGTAGTCAATCAGAACACTGTATCCCCATGGCCATAGTCATTGTCTCAGGGATGGACAAGTGACTTAAACCAGATCAATGAGAGATTCCACAGGCCTTTTGATGGAAGTTTCAGAAAGTGATGCAGGTATAAATGTGGAGAGATGTCCTATGGAGCCCACCTTTGCCACCCTAAATAAATATGTCAACATATAGGAAAGTAAAACTGAGAGAAAAAGACATATTTCTGAAATGGTTATTTGAACACTAGCTCTATCGTGCACAATTCTTTTATGAGAATGAACAAATTTCTCTTTAGGCTTAAACCAACTTGAGTTAGTTTGCTGTTTCTTGCATCCCCAGATTTTATTCACTATCTCAAAATTGAGGCAGTCTAACATACAACCCTTGTATGAAAGATCTGTGCTTATTAACACAAAGATCTCAAAGTCATTGATAGTTCTGGTCCTTGTTGCCCCAGTTTATCCCTATGAGCTTCCTGAGATATACTAGGATCCACAGCCAATAATCTTCTTGGGCTAGTGTATTAACTAGCATTGATGGAATTCCTAGTATGTATAATGCATCGTAAGTACATTCATTATCTCTATTCCTTCCACCAATATGTAAAATTACTCATGAGGAACTGAGGCTTTTACTAGGTCCTATAAAATGTGGAAGTCACAGAGTTGGTAACTGAGGTGCAGGTGTGTGGTGATTATGAGTATGTTCTCAGCAGCAAGACTACCCAGACATGAAGATCTAGTTCTACCGCAATCTAGTTGCATATCTAGGTCTATCACTTAATAGCTACAAGACACTGGAGAAGTGACTCAAGTGGTCCTTGTCTCACTTTCCTCATCTATAAATGAGAATAATGATAGAACTCATATTAGTCTGTTTTCATGCTGCTGATAAAGACATACCTGACACTGGGAAGAAAAAGAGGTTTTATTGGACTTACAGTTCCACATGGTGGGGGGGGGGGCCTTACAGTCATGGCAGAAGGCAAGGAGGAGCAAGTCACATCTTACGTGGATGACAGCAGGGAAGAGAGAGCTTGTGCAGGGAAATTCCTGTTTTTAAAACCATCAGATCTCATGAGACTTATTCACTATCATGAAAACAGCACAGGAAAGACCCACCCTCATGTTTCAATTATCTCTCACCAGGTTCCTTCCATGACATGTGGGAATCATGGAGTTACAATTCAAGATGAAATTTGGGTAGGGACACAGCCAAACCATATCATTTTGCCCCTGGCCCCTCCCAAATCTCATGTACTAACATTTCAAAACCAATCGTGCCTTCCCAACAGTTCCCCAAAGTCTCAACTCATTTCAGCATTAACTCAAAAGTCCACAGTTCCAAGTCTCACCTGAAACAAGGCAAGTCCCTTCCACCTATAAGCCGTAAAATCAAAAGCAAACCTATAAGCCGTAAAATCGAAAGCAAGTTAGTTACTTCCTAGATACAATGGGGGTACAGGCATTGGGTAAATACAGCCATTCCAAATGGGAGAAATTGGCCAAAACAAAGGGACTACAGTCTGCATGCAAGTCAAAAATCCAAAGAGGCAGTCAAATCTTAAAGCTCCAAATTTATCTCCTTTGACTCCATATCTCACATCCAGTTCACACTGATGCATGAGGTGGGTTCCCATGGTCTTGGACACCTCTGTCCCTGTGGCTCTGCAAGGTACAGCCTCTTGGCTGCTTTCAAAGGGTGGTCTTGAGTGTCTGGCTTTTCCAGGCACAAAGTTCAAGCTGCAAGTGGATCTGTCATTCTGGGGTCTGGAGGACAGTGGCCTTCTTCTCACAGCTCCACTAGGCAGTGCCCCAGTAGGAGTTCTGTGTGGGGGCTCTGACCCCACATTTCCCTTCTGCACTACCCTAGCAGAGGCTCTTCATGAGGACCCCACCCTTACAGCAAACTTCTGCCTGGGCATCCAGGCATTTCCATACATATTCTGAAATCTAGGCAAAGGCTCCCAAACCTCAATTCTTGACTTCTGTGCACTTGCAGGCTCAACACCATATGGAAGCTGCTGAAGCTTGGGGCTTGCACCCTCTGAAGCCACGGCTTGAGCTCTACATTAGCCCATTTCAGCACAGCCGGAGCAGCTGGGTTGCAGGGCACCAAGTCCCTAGGCTATGCACAGCACAGGGTCCCTAGCCCGGCCCATGAAACCACTTTTTCCTCCTAGGCCTCCAGGCCTGTGATGGGAGGGGCTGCTGTGAAGACCTTTGACATGCCCTGGAGACATTTTCCCCATTGTCTCAGGGATTAACATTTGGATCTCCATTACTTATGCAAATTTTTGCAACCAGCTTAAATTTCTCCTCAGAAAATTGAATTTTCTTTTCTATCACATTGTCAGGCTGCAAATTTGTGAACTTTTATGCTGTTTCCCTTTTAAAACTGAATGCTTTTAACAGCACCCAAGTCACCTCTTGAATGCTTTGCTGCTTAGAGATTTCTTCCGCCAGATACCGTAAATCATCTCTCTCAAGTTCAAAGTTCCACAAATCTCTAGGGCAGGGGCAAAATGCTGCCAGTCTCTTTGCTAAAACATAACAAGAGTCACCTTTGCTCCAGTTCCCAACAAGTTCCTCATCTGCATCTGAGACCACCTCAGCTTGGACTTTATTGCCCATATCACTATCAGCATTTTGGGCAAGGCCATTCAACAACTCTCTAGGAAGTTCCCAACTTTCCCACATTTTCCTGGCTTCTTCTGAGCCCTCCAAACTGTTCCAACCTCTGCCTGTTACACAGTTCTAAAGTTGCTTCCACATTTTCAGGTAACTTTTCAGCAGCACCCCACTCTCAGTACCAATTTACTGTATTAGTCTGTTTTCATGCTGCTGATAAAGACATATCTGACACTGGGAAGAAAAAGAGATATTAATGGACTTACAGTTCCACATGGATGGGGAGGCCTCACAATCACGGTGGAAGGCAAGGAGGAGCAAGTCTCATCTTACATGGATGGCGGCAGGCAAAGAGAGAACTTGTGCAGGGAAACTCTTGTTTTTAAAACAATCAGATCTCGTGAGACTTATTCACTATCACAAGAACAGCATGAGAAAGACCTACCCTGATGATTCAATTACCTACCATCAGGATCCTCCCATGACACATGGGAATTGTGGAGTTACAATTCAAGATGAGACTTGGGTGGGGACACAGCCAAACCACATCAGAACTACAGTAAGTAGTTACTTAAAGAACTTAGTGAGATAATACATAAATAAAAGAACAGAGGCTGACATTTGGTAAGTACCCAATGGGAATGAACTATTTTCATTTCCTGGTGTTTCAGGGCCAGACTAGGAGAACAGAAGTCCATATCATGATAGAATACAGACGGTCACTTGGATACTCCATAAATGACTAAAATCTCTTTCATATGGAGTTACCAGGACCTCGTTTTAGTTGTTGGACTTGGAAGCCCAGTACATTTCCTCCCCACCCCTTTTATCATCTTGACCTTAGAACAGGAAGGATGTGAAGCTCAGGGCACTGGTGCTGTCTTCTCCTTTAAGCATGGAAAGTTTGGCTGGCAAAGTAGGGAATGTGTGTGTGTGTGTGTGTGTGTGTGTGTGTGTGTGTGAGAGAGAGAGAGAGAGAGAGAGAGAGAGAGAGCAAGCCAGAGAAAGAAAACCAACAGCCTCACTTGAGCCCTGAATCAACTCTTAGACAAAAGGCAACTTGGTCCCCTGGCTTCCCATTTGTAGGAGTCAGTAGATTTTACTTTGCTTTAATCAAATCCAGGTGGTAATTCTGTCAAAACTGAAATAGCCTGGCAAATACAGCCCTTCAACTTTGTGAAGGACATTGTAGATAAATCTTACTCTCTTCTAACTTTTGATGTATCCTCTCTCTGAGCCCTGATGCCTCCCTGATATGGTTTGGATTTGTGTCCCCACCCAAATCACATGTCCAGTTGTAATCCCCCATGTTGGAGAGGGGACTGATATGGGGTGATTAGATCATGGGGGCAGAATTCCCCCTTGCTGTTCTCATGATAGTGAATGTGTTCCCATGAGATCTGGTTGTTTAAAAGAGTGTACCACCTCCACCTTTGCTCTCTTCCTCCTGCTCCAGCCATGTAGGATGTGTTCACCTTCTGCCATGATTATAAGTTTCCTGAGGCCTCCCAGCCATGCTTCCTGTACAGCCTGTGGAACCATAAACCAACTAAACCTCTTTTCTTTATAAATTACCCAGTCTCAGGTAGTGCTTTATAGCAATGCGAGAACAGACTAATACAGCAGCTCACTTCTTTCATCCATTCCATTACTTCATCAGTTCTTATTGAGTATCTACCCTGTGGCCACATCACTTACATTGCTTCCGCACAGTCTATGACATTAACTTGGTGGTCTCACTTCATCACTGTGAATCTCTCTCATCCTCAGTAGAATGATGCTACACATCTTAACTCCCAGGAATGTGTGGTGAGCAAATAAAAGCCATAGTTTGAAAACCCTGAAGTGCTCTATAAACATGGAATGATATCTGTATGTTCTGGTAACCTGAGCAGGAAACAACTTCTGCAATATTGTAAATGTGTGCTTTATGTTCCTTTAGGGAGCAGGTAGAGTATAATGGTTAGTTAAAATATCTGTGGTAAATTAGACTTACCACAAGATTCCACATGTGAATTGGCACAAAGTGGCACATGGTGATAAACATGTAAATCTGAAGTTGTCTATTGGTTATGTGAATTTTTTCATAGTCTTTCTAAAGTCTTGCAGGAATTATTTTAAAAGCAGAATAAAGTGATAAGAGGACATTTCTTGCCACTATAAAATAAGGTAGAACAGGGAAAACATAATAATACATTAAAAAATGGAGTTTCTAATCACTTACTATGTGTTTGTCACTGTGCTAAGTACTCTATATGATTTTCTCAGTTAAATTGCATGCCACCCTGTCAGTTTTTCTCATTTTATAGTGGAGTAAACTGAGGCTCACAGAAGTTACATATCTAACCCCAAATCATAGCACCATTAGGTGAAAGGGCACGTCTACAGTAAAGTTGGCTTTCTAAAAACGAATACGTAGTCTTTAATACTTTTCAATACCAAAACTATAGTCAAATTTTCCCTTTTTCCTCAACAGTATCTCTTTTAAGTTGGCTTAAACAAATCACATAAGAATATAGAATTTAAACTGAGATTCTAAATGGCAAGAAAGAGGAGGCACAAGACATAAGAAAAGGCCACCAAAACCCCAGGAGAAGCCAGCAGCAAGGCCTGAGGTGGGTGCTCATTTGGTGTGTGTGGCACCAAAAGAAGGCCATTGTAGCTCCAGCACAGTTTACAGAAACCTGACCCACAGTGAAAAATGTAAACACTAAAGCCAGAAGCCATTAGTTCTTTATGATGAGAATATAATCAGTATTACAAATAGCTTAAGGTCAAGGTCAAAGATACTGGCATGGATAATAAAGGGATACAAAAGTGCAGAAGAGGAAGACAATGGCATGAGCCTTGGAGAGACTTCCAAGAAGTAAGACTTCTAAGTAAATCTTTCAAGAAAGACTTCCTAGATGGGGTCTTGAAGTTGTACAAGACCTTTAATTCAGTTCTGCCACCATCTGTTTATGCAGAGGATCTAAACTTCATTACTTTGACAGTTCTGGCAAGTCAAGTAAATGAGTAAAGGAGACTGAGGGTAAACAGATTCTCCCTAGAGCCTCCCATAGGGCGAATGTCCCCATCAACACCTTGATTTTGAATTCCTGATCTCCAGAATTGTGAGAGAATACATTTCTGTAGCTTTAAGCCAGCATGTCTGTGATCACTTGTTATGGCAGCTATGAGGAACTAATACATCCTCCTTCACAGTGTTGTGTGGATTAAATGGCACATGGTAAGGACTAGGTGAAGGTTAAATCTTCTCTTCATCTATTTCTCTTCTGTGAAATGATATGAATACCACTGACCTGGAGGCCTAGCTGGTCATGTGCAGAAGAGGATTTTTGCTGAAGGTAAGAAACATCTGCCTCAGGCTACTCTCTTGCATGGTCCCCTTAAAAGATATTCCTCATGTCATCTGTTTTTGCAGAAATTGCAAAAGTGCAATATCTTAGTACTTTTTATCCCAGAGAACCTCCCAAGCTATACAAGCCTCTGGCTTCACAAGCTGGATCTGGCTTTGGTTGCTGGTTGTGTGGACTAAAAGTCTGCAATCCTCAGTAGGTTATCAAATAGATACGCACCGTGTACCTCTTATGTGCAAGGCATTGCAAGGCTACCTGGAAATGGAGAGAAGAGAAAGGAAACGCGGTTCTTCAAATCCACTGTAACTTCTGCCCCATCTCTAAAAAGTGGGACTTGTTTATATCCTGCCTCATTCCACCAAAGATTTGACGTGCTTACAGGAAACAAGCTCAATAAAACTATAAACCTCAAAAAAAATTGAAGTCAGTAAAAATACTAGAGATAGGACAGAGGCTTTGTGGATGAGGCCAGTTACCTTGGCCCTATTGTCTGTGAGGGTGAACAGGAAATCAGCAAGGTTGGGAATGATACTACAGAGAACAAGAGCACTACGGTCACTGACAGGTCCACAGCAGCTGGAGTGTCACTCAGAGGGACACACTGCAGTCACCAGATCAGCAAAGTGGTCCAGGGCAAGGGCACATAGACTGCAGATACCTTGCTATAGAACTTGGACTTCACCTGTTAGCAACTGGGAGCCACCCAGGTGTCTGTGAGCATGGTGGTGATGTGAGGTCACTCAAGACTATTTATGCGATGTGATTTCAGGCTACTCAGATGTCCTCAGTCCTGCATTTATGCCTTTTCCTATATCTGATTGTCTGTCTGCATCTGGCAACAGATCCTTCTCTCCTAGCTTCTAAGGGATCACATGACCCAAGATTGGCCATTTTTGTCTCTTGGGAATTTGAATATTGAGGCACACAGATGTGGCCAAAATGGACGGTAGAGCTGTGTACTGTGGTCGCAGTTGCAGGAGAGAAGATTCACCTATCCTTACTGCCAAGGCCCCCAGAGCCACACGGCTCATGTCTTTCCTGAATCTTAGTTGTTGATTCCTTACTTCTGTGGGATTCCCCTGTTGTGTTTGGCCATTTTTGCATTGCTATAAAGAAACATCTGAGGCTGCGTAATTTATAAAGAACAGAGGTTTATTTGGCTCTTGGTTCTGCAGGCTTTACAAGATGCACGGTGCTGGCATCTGCTCAGGGAGCTTACCATCATGGTGGAAGTTGAAGGCGCAGTGGGCATGTCACATGGTGAGAGCAGGAGTAAAAGAGAGATAAGAGCGAGGTCCAAGACTGTTTTAAACAACCAGAACTAACTGAGCGAGTACTCACTTATCACCAAGGGGATGGCGCTAAACCATTCATGAGGGATTCGTTCCCAGGGTACAGTCTCCTCCCACCAAACCTCACCTCCAACACGGGGAACACGTCAACAGGAGATTTTGAGGAGACAAAGATCCAAACCATGTTACCTGTGTTCTTCAAACAGATTCATTTTGTGTTCAAGTTAGTTGGAAGTAATTTCTGTTACTTGCAATCAATACTTGGCAGCTGTAACCCAAATCCTAACTGCGAATTTCTTCATTTCTCCATACAACTGCCTAATACAGTCTATTTATTAGCTTTAGATTTTATCCCTTAGAAGTAGGCAAAATGACTCTGGGAAGAGAAGATTGTGGATTCTAAGAAGCCATTTACGTGTTAGCATGAATTAACATTATCCTTTCTTGAAGAAGTATTTTGAAAGTGCGGAAAATAAAGGGTGGGAAGAGTGTATCATTGGGCAAGAAAGAGGAAACTGAAGTTCTGGGGAACCACTTTAACAGATTCTAGAGTTCTATCTCATGTTAAACTCATATTCCTCTTACTGTTCTCTCTCTCATTTCCCGACTCCTGACAACCCCAGTTCTTTTCAGCCTACTGGACATCTCTAAGAAATTCTGGGACCTGTGGGGCCGGTGGCTCAAACCTGTAATCCCAGCTCTTTGGGAGGCCGAGGCAGGCAGATCACGAGGTCAGGAGATCGAGACCATCCTGGCTGACACAGTGAAACACTGTGTCTACTAAAAATACGAAAAATTAGCTGGGCGTGGCGGCGGGCACCTGTAGTCCCAGCTACTCGGGAGGCTGAGGCAGGAGAATGGCGTGAACCCGGGAGGCGGAGCTTGTAGTGAGCCAAGATCACACCACTGCACTCCAGCCTGGGAAACATGCAGGACTCCGTCTCAAAAAAAAAAAAAAAAAGAAAAAAGAAATTCTGGGATCTGTTGATGGTCACTAAGAGAAGGCTACATTTTAAATAATTTAGACTCTTCCATTAACAGGACCCACAGCTCTCTTTTCTCTGCAAGTGGCCATGAGGCATATGCATGGACACTCCCAGGTACAGAAAGCAGCTGTCCCTCTCAGCAGTCAATCCCTTTGAAGATTAGTATTTACATGAAGCTAAATTCAACTTCATGGATGATTTACCTATTGACTAGAAGTTTTTCTTCTAAAATCAACCTGCTTTATTGTCAACATATAGTCCTTCAAACACTGGAAAACAGTTATTGAGGGTGCATAAAGATTTCACTGAGCAAAATGTATCTAGGCCTCACAGGCACACATTTAGATTTGTTGATGCGCTTCCCATGCTGGGTTATTTCTCCATCTTGTAATTGTCTCTTTGCAAATGTAAGGCCAGAACTGGGCAGAGAATGAACTCCAGATATGATCAAATCAATGCAGAAGAATGCAGGCCTATCACTTCCCTTGATCTGGAACTTAAACTTCTGTGAGATTGTATAACATTTTGTTAGCTTTCTAAATCATTGGTTTGTTGCAAACTCAGTTTATTCAGAAGAAAGATAACGATGGAGTTAAGAATGGAAAGTAGAAAGAAGTCATAGAGGTTTATCTGCTTGCTAAGGTATTTTGACTTTTACCTATTGATGATGAAAAGCATGCCTGTAGCTAGAACAGGTCACATATGTTCTAAGTGCTATATTTTCAATTCAGTGTTTGAACCCAAATATAGGACTTCTCTTTTGCCCTACTTGTCCTGGATTGGGGCTGCTCCCTATGTAGTTTGACCCAGTGGGAGCTCCTTGCTAGGGAGGGGCTGGATCCTGAAGGATGTTGTCTTCCTTCCTCCAAGGAGATTTCCATTTCTTATTTTTAAGCATAACTCTCTACCCCCACCTCGACCCCCGCCTGCCTTATGAAGTATCTGGAGAAGATAGTGGTTGATTATATCAAGAAATGTGAGGTCAGAGAAGCGGCCATTGGATCTGGCAAGGTCAAGGTCATTAGTGACCTTGAACAGAGACATTCCTGTGGAGTGAAGGGAAATGAAACCTCTCTATTTCCACCACCACCAGATTGACTTGGACACTTCTCATCTAACTCCTGGGTGACCTCCCCCTCCTAATCTCCCTCATCAACCCATCCTCACATCACCACCATCTTGGGCACAGGCCCAGACATAATTGTTTCCTACTTACATCTTTGGTGCTGCATTTTCTTGATGACAAGGCCCTTCACAATCAAGTCCCCACAACGTTTCTTGCACTGTCTCTGACACCCAGTATTCTAGTTACTCTGGACTATTTCTTATTTCTCAAGTCGTGTGCCTGCTACCTCTGTGGTTTGATCATTTAGTTCCTTTCTGCAGCAGGTAGTTTTTCTAAGACTTTGCTCATGGAGCCATCTGGAATCTCCCCAAACTCCCCCTGCCTCTCCCTCTTCTGTTTACCTGGCAGAGTAGGGGAGAGGTGGCAAGCTGAGAGATAGGGGAACTTCACTTCTAATTCTGGCTCTGCCACTAATAGGCTTGGTGACTTGAGTAAAGCCTTTCTCTGCTCTGGGTACCGATGTCCCACTCTCTGAAATGAGGGGGTTTGACTGCAATGGTTTTAAGGGCCCTTTCATCTGGAATATGCTCTGATTCCAAGGACAGTGGTATAGATTACACACGGGACACCTACCACCAAAACTGTAGAAAGAGAGGCTATTAAACCCTGTTAATTAGAAGCTAACCTGGTCTTTGGTTAAATGGGAAAGAAGGTGATGGTGGGGGCTTCTACGGGGAACCTGCTTTGCTGGCTGGTTTTCCACGCCTAGGTCTGGGGCACAGCATCTGACAGGTAAACTTGGCCAATGTTCAGGATTGGCCAGTGGACCCTCACTGAGCCGGCATGGCCAGTTCCAGGTTTCAAATACTTCTTCAAATGTCCAAAGCTTTGGGGCCTGAAATAGAATTTTCTTTTAAACCATTGTTATATGACGGTAGAAGTGTTCCTCACTTCGAGATGCTTAGTGATGACTAGTTTTATTTTTATACCCACCATTTCCTCTTGAAGAAATTAAACAAATAAACAGATGCCACCCTCTCTCCCTCTTCTCTTTTTTGGCTTAGGTCCTCCGACAATGCAGTGCTTTCTGCACCATCTGCTGGCTCTGCAAAGGTAATTAACAAAGGCACACTATTCCCAGATGAGGCTGGTTTATAAAGGACAAACCATGCTAGGAAAACGGAGAGGAACAAAGTAAGATCGTAGCAGACAGGCAAGGCTGCTGCAGTCCTGACTGCCAGTGGAGTGTGTTGTTAGAGCTTCTTGTCAAATTATAACTCCTAAAAATGAATTCAAACAGATTTAACCAAGGACATGGAATTTCACCCCTGCTGGGAGCCCTAAAGAAAGGGTGAGGAAAATTGTAGGGTGTCCAGTATTTTCTGACTCCCAGATCTTATTTTCTATATTTAATGTAATTTTTAAAGAAGGAGATATAAAAACTAACGTCAATGGAAGCTCAAAGTGAAAGATTGTGTGGGACGTTGGACTTTGGATCAGAGGCAGGCAGATTCTGTCATTCACCAACTCTCTGACCTTCAACATGTTATTCAACACCCCCCACCACCCCGAGCCTAATCCCCATACCTGTAGGTTGGGAACAATAATAACCCGAAACCTTCAGGGCCATTGTAATAATCAGTGAAACAATAAATTTGAGTCCGAAATCGTACCCAGTGCCAGGCTAGTACCAAGCCCATCCTAAGTAGTAGTTGTTAACATTCTCTTCGTCAGGTAAGGATCGTCATGACAGATGGCCTAATCCACCCTTAGCGGCAGGGAAGCAATAACCCTTCTAACAAAATTCACGTTCTAAAAGGAGCAGAAACACTGGAAATAAAATGAAAGAATAGAGGGGTTGACTTTAACAAAGAAAAGTAAGACCTAAAAATGTGTTCGGGGGAAGAAGGCATAATTATAGACTACACATATTCAAAACACATAAATCCCAACAAAGTAAGGGTTCA
Organism: Homo sapiens; assembly: GCF_000001405.40. Lineage (NCBI taxonomy): Eukaryota > Metazoa > Chordata > Mammalia > Primates > Hominidae > Homo > Homo sapiens. Next base: position 15,145,307 of record NC_000004.12, read on the forward strand.
TTCAGATTAAGATTTAGGGGTTTAAATAGGCCTATGTGGTGGAAACGTAAAAAGTGAAAACAATGAAAAACAAAAAGATAGGTTGTAATAAGATTAAAATATAAATTGCAGGAGCAGAAAACTGTCTTCTTGAGAAGGAGGATGTCCTTACTTGGCACGTTTAAAGTTAGATAGGACCAAATGGAAGATGGTTCTTAGCCATCTTATAGAGGCTCTTAGAAGACAGAGAGTGCCGTGATGATGATGATGTTATTGATGATGATCACAACAATGATGGTGATAATGACAGTGATTGCTTTTTTGTTCTCTTTGCTGGTGTGGTCTGGACTCAAGGAACCTGCTTCTGGTTTCCCAGAGAAAAACATCCCAGATAGTGCTGTTTTATGAGAGTCCCAGGCTCCTAAAGGCAGTCAGAAGGTTGGTGTTTGTTTTCTGACAGCAACAAAAGGTGTCTGAGTCAGTAAAATGATGACAGCTGTCAACAGTGCATAGTCCCCTCACCAATGGCTGGAGCTCGATGTTTGTGAAGCAAGTGAATCTTAGTAAATATCAAATTAACCCACACTTGCCACTGGTGCCAGAGCTCTTAAAATGTCAACGTGCCAAGGGACACCTGGCTCATTGCCCTAACCAGCGGCCGGCAGCCCAACCTAGAGGAACAAAAGACACGGCGATCCTGGTTTATTTGGGAGACTTTATCTTCTTCATACTCAACAGGCTTCAATATTGACATTCTCCCTGGTGATGGCTGGGAATCCAAGTCACAATGGCCTAATGCATCCAATTTTTCCTTCGAAATCCAGCTCAGATACTGCCAATCTGTGACGTGTTCCTAAAGACTGTTACCAGCGACAGAGAGTTAAATGCTCCTCCCTTTGTCCCATGTTATGTCAGGGACATCCTGGTATCATCATTCATCAGATCAACTTTCTCCTACTACAACTCACAATTATAGTAGACAGTAACAGGTATGGGTTGATTAGCTGGGCATATGTTGATTCAGAGAGGCTTTTTATAAGAGGAAACCTTTGATTTTAAGACATGAGTAGGGTTTTCCTAAATTGATGAAAGAAAAAATGGAATTCCAGCATACAGACCATCTTGCACCATTGGCACCCCTCCCTGCCCCCGTGGAAACCAGGGCTCTCGGTGTACTTGCCCTTTCTGAAACATCCCTGGCTGTTTCCTGTCTCCCTGATTTCCTGTGTTGTTACCTGCGCTTGAACTGCCCTTTCTGCTTATGTCTACAGGAAAAAGAAAAGCTTGCCGCAAGTCTCTTCTCCTCCACAAAACCTTTGCAGACCTTTGTAGGCAGAGATGACTACTCCTCCCTCATGACCGTATCTGCATTCCAGTAAAAATAATGATGGGTTCTTTGGGGCTTCATATATACAGTATTGGTATATATCTGAAATATACATTTGTGAAATATGTATGCCAAATATAAATAGATAGATAAAATCTCATTCAATTCTTACAGCAACTCTGCATTATTATCCCCATTTACCCCCAAGCTTCCTGAACAGAGGCTTGGAGAGTTTAAGCAAGATTATTCAGCTCCTAAGTTTGGACCAAGACTCAAATTATTGCCTCCTCTTTCAGACACTACAAAAGGCTTTCTATAGTATAATGCCTATGCCCTCCGATTCATATACCTAACTGCCTCCCCTTCTATCAGGGCCTGGCTCTGAGTTGAAATCCAGTGCACATCTGTTGAATGGAATTGATTTGAAGAGAGCTGGCAATTAGAAGACTTGGAAGATGGCTCTCAGATGATGGGACAAGGTGCTTCAGAATGAAAGATGAATTAGGGAAGCAGGCACCAATTAGCAGAGGATGCTACAGCCTATGATAAGGAGCTTTAATTTGATAGGAGACAATTGGGAGCCATTCATCCTGCAGCTCAGAGAAAGCCATTGACAAGCCCCTAATGACACTCAGGGGCCTTTGAAACCTTTAATTGCTAACGGCAATTTTGCTATTTCCGTGTAGAAGTGACACAGGAGGATGAGCTCGCAGCCGCCATATGCACCCAGGCTGCACTGCCCACAGCAAGGTCACTGTAGGAGCATCCCTCCTCTCCTCTGTGCACAGCAGAAACACTGCAAGTGAGCCCAGGTCACTTTCCTTATGTGTCCCTGAACCCCAGGTAAAGGCCCCCCTGCCTCCCATATCCCCATGCCTTACTTACATGGCTCTTGGGTTATAAGGAGCCCTCATATCACTGTTTCTCTTCTGCAACTTCTGCTCCCCACCTTTGCCCCACTAGTTAACCCCCAGGTCTCCATCCAAAGAAAGGATTCACAGCTTCCAGAATTTCAGTTCCAGTGAGGCAAAATGCTGCTCTTCCTCTCCCATCACCACTTTAAAACACCACCAGGTCAAGACCAGTGTGGAAAAGGGGGAAGGAGGCTATGAAATCCTGCTGATAGAGAAGTCATGGGGGACTGTTTTGTGTTTTTATCTTTTATTTTTCCAAGTTTTGGATCCCTTCCCTTCTTCCATCTGGCACAAAAGCACTTGGAGGCCAGTATCTGGACCTGGCCTTCAAAAGCCAGTGAGTGTCAACAGGAGAACGGATTCCAGACGCACGGGACAATGGCCTTTTCAAGGCACAGAATGCTGCTCAGTATTGTACGGTTTGCATGTGATGCAGCTTCTTGAATGCACACAAACACTCCCATTTTCACCAGCTCCATGATGGTGACTTATTTACTGCTGAAGATCCCAGGGCCGATTCAAACTGCAAACATCTATCCCCACCCCAAAAGGGAAGAAAAAAAAAAAAACCTGACAACAACAAAAAGCCACATATGAAAAAGGAAAAGCCAACCAGTGTGCGACTGTGGGACTGGAACTCTGAAGTGGGCACCAGGTGCATTAATTACACTTGATTGCGTGTTGGTTTATGACTGCAGTCACTTGTGTGCTATGTTCTTGCCCCGCAGCATCTGTGCCGAAGGATGTCCTTGATATTTCACTAAGCAAGATGAATATTGGCCAGATGGTGACTTCACAAGGACATAATTCACATAGCATTTTCCTGCCCCGACACAGATTTCTGTGAAGGAATCTTGAATGCCACGCTGAACAAAACAGAACAAGAAAACTCAATGCCCCGAGAAGGCTCAGTCGTCGTAAGTTGAAGATTAATGGTCTCCACAGTGATGCCGACAGCAGCCCAAATGGCAGCCGGATCCCAGGCTCATGCTGCAGATCTTGCCAACCCATCTCTCTGTCGCTTGCAGAGTGAGCTGACATCATCTGAGGCATCTCCAATTCACTTGAGGGGGGAAGGGCACTCCCTGGGCCCCAAAAACACACACCACAGGAAACTGGGTCATTTACTTTTTAAAATGATTAATTTTGTGTAGTGACAGGCTTCGTCAGTACCTGCGTGCTTGGTAATTTTATTTTGATGGTGACCAAGTGAAGAACGTGCCCTAGGCTCCAGCAGCGAGCTCATTCTGGTGCCCTGGAAGGGGAAAATGGGAGAGAAGCAAATCTCTCTCCTTGGAAACTCTTAGCAACACCGAGAAGCCCTGGTATTATCAGGCCGCCAGCAAGTAAGCAAAATGGCCCAGTTCCGAGTTGCTTTAGGAAAGTTCTTACTCCCTGAGAGTACTATGTAGCTGACCTACATGGAGTTAAAAAGGTAGGCATTACACACTTGTCAGTGGTATTTTAAATGTGGTAAGCCTGTCTGGAATTTGTAAAATTTCTACAACCTACACATTTGAGTCCTGAACCATGAAATAAAGATATGGAGAGTGAAGGTCATCCTGCTACTAAAGAAGGTCAACCCAAGACAGTCTGAAAGCAATAGAAGTAGGGGGCCGGGGTGTCACATTCCTGAGGTCTCTGTGTGCAGACTGCCCATGTCCTAGTGATGTGGAGTCAAGACACAAGACATGTCCTCAAGCAGGACCAAAATCATCCCTTCAAAATCACATCGCCATGTTGAATGGTTGCTGTTTGTTTGTTTAGAAGGAATAAATAATAGTGATAAAAGGGATGGAGGCTATTTCTTGTACACCCACTGCGTGTGAGACTCCCTGCTGCACACGCCCCCAGTAACTCCTACAGCCCTCTGCAAGGTGTACCCATCGAGAGATTGTGCCCCCGCATCAGACTGCCTGCTCTGCCACCTTCTGCTGCGTGACCTCACACAACTGACTTAACCGCTCTGAAAGTCAGTTCCCTCGTGGGTTAAACAGAAATAAGAAGAGAACCTAGTTCACAAGCTGGTAAGGACTGAATGAAAGAATGCTTTGAAAGCTTGGTAGAGAGGCTGTCATACACCAAGTGCTCAAAAAAGTCAGCAATCATTATTACTCAGCATGCGTAGCTCTGGAAGTGAAACAGATTCTCACAAACTCTACCAAAGGGTACCTCATTCTTACACGATAAAAATAAGACCAGGCCTTCCTAGGCTGCTGCCTCCTGCCTCCTGCTAGGATGCAAATTCATGGCCAAAAACCCAGTGACAACAGTCCCTCCTTTACCAGCACTATTTGGCAGGCCAAGCTTTGGCAAACAGCCCACCATACCCATTAAAAAAAAACCACCATTGTTTCATCTGGAGGCTTTTTGATCCCCCTAAATAAAATGTTACCACCCTCCCCACCCCACCCCCAGGACAGATTCAGCCTGCAGGGGAGCCAGCTCCTCCTGCTATGTCACTCCAGCCAGGCAGGCCAGGCAGGATGACTCAGCAGAAAAGAGCCTGCTGCGGGGTCCGCCCACCCTCGGGTCAGCTGCGGCCAGAAAAGGAAGGCCTCTGTGAGACAAACAGAAAAGGACACTGCTCAGGTCCCCTGGGTGCAAAGCATCCTTTGTCTGTGGGGACTTCAGACAGGAACCGCCCATGTTGACATTTCAGCTGGCAGAGCAGGCTTGGCCTGGCTGGGAGAGGCAGGAACCCCTGCAGAGGCTACAAAAGATAGTCCACACTTCTTTAGCCCAGCCAGATACCACAGTCCCTGTCCTCTGTACGTATTAATATACATAACCTCAGACTTATGCGTTTTCTATTATTATCCCTACTTTTGAGATGGGGACACTAAAGCACAGAGAAGGCAAATAACTTGTCCAGGGTAACACAGCCATGAAGTGGGGAAGCAGGGCTTACACCAAAGAGTTGTGGCTTCCAAGCAGGTGCACACAGCATCCAGGTCTGTCCTTCTGGCTGCATGTTATTCCCTCCCTCTGCTCTGCTGCTTCTCGGGAGCTCAGAGCCGAAGGCAGCATTTCATGGTTTCTGGAGCCTGGCTCCCTTCCTCCATCCCCTTCACTGCCCAATTACAGGACTCACCCTCTCTTCCCTGGATGCCATCACTACCTTCTAACCAGTTCTCCTTCCACCCAGGTTCACTCTTCTTGACCATCTCATCTCCCATTTGATGCTCCAGCAGCAAATACTGCTTGGAGGGCCCTACACATGCAGAGCTGGCATCACCCATGCCTTGGCTGGCTCATGCTGTCCTGATTGCCCAGAACACCTTTCTTTTCCAGCCTCTGCATGCTCGACTGCTCCTGTAGGACTCACCACCTCCAGGAATCTATTTCCCTTTCCTCAGGCTGGATGAAGTGGCTGGTTGAAGCTCACAGAACATCCAGTGCATATTTCTTGTGTGGCATTTTAGGACCGAGAACTTATCTATGACTTTGCATCTCCCATGCTGGGCATCATCCCTGACATCTAGGATGTGCTCCATAAAAGTCTGTTACATAATGCAAATAAAGGTGGTCTCCATCAGTACTACCAGTCAACATGCTCTACCACTGCAAATCCATGGAGGGTGCATGTGGTTATTGAAAATGCTGCTCTCTAAAAACTTCTAGTTCTCTGCCTTCCAGGCCCACAGTAGAATGGCCCTCCCTTGTTCTGTGAGGTTGGGAGAGGGCCATGTGGTCAGCTCTGGCCAATAAGATGTGAGCGGAAGTGAGTGATGTCACTTCAGTTGAGCATTCAATTACAGGGGTGAGATGCCCAGAGCAGCATTTCCTCCCTTATGGTGACCCAACATGGGAGATGGTGGCTGCTCCATCAACCTGAGGCCCCAAGTGATTGCAAGAAGGAAACTTTGCAATGAATATATAATGTGACCAGGAGGTAAACCTTTGTTGTTTTGAAGCCCCTGAATTTATTTTTTAGCATAACTTATCTAATCCTGAAGGGAATAACTCGAATCTGTTATTAACTCATAAATGTTGTTTTGAACATTTGCCAAGAATGGTCTTTCAAATAGAAGGTGGGATGCAACACCTAACATTCATTCATAATAGTAAACACAACAAGAACTAGCAAAGATTAATGAGTGATTTAGAAATAAATAAATGGTCACGGATGTTCTTTGTGTTTCCAATCAGTACATTCATCTACCAAGCACGCTCAGCCCTTTTATCCTTTTGCTCCTCACCACAAGCCTGAACAAGACTCAGGGCATACATTGTCCACTCCATTTGGAGAAAACTGTGTCTCAGAGAAGATGTTACCTGCCCAAGGTCACACAGCAAGAAAAGTTGGATCAGAGCTGGGTTTTCTGACTCCAAGCCTAAGAGTCTTCATCCTGAACCAGACCTCCAAATGCACAGGGCTTTAAAATTTTATGACCTGTAAAGTAAAATTTGAGCCAATCTAAGGAAAAAAAATCAAATGCTGAATCATTTATAAAGGACTTAGTCTTTTGATTCTAAAGCATTCATAAATGGTAAGAGTCATATTTTACTGTTCTTTTTATCATAATTCTTGTCATTTTTATAGCAAATAAATATTCAGATACTATAGAAATGGTATCACGAAATTAATAACTGCCATTTGGTTGTGGTGATAGATGATCAGTGGCCCTGTTGGAGCCTGAACCAGAGGGCAGTTGGTGGTAACTTGAGAAAATGTTTGGGAATTCCAGTCTGTTCTCCAGCCACCTTGGTGTACATCACTCATGCCCAAATAATCAGATGTTTTTTGAGGTCAACTGCATATAGATTCAAGGTGGTGGTCCTAAGAGCACCATCTGGGGCCCAAAGGACTTTAGAAAGGTATCTTTGATCTTAAATGAGGCCCAATTCATGTAAGAGTCAGAGATGAGGGGACACTTTGGAACGATGGTCCTTCTTCAGCAAATTTTTTTTGTTCCTGTTTTCCCTTTGGCTTCAGGGTGTTCTGTAGTCCTCTTTCACCTTCTCCTCGCTGAGCTTGCCAGGTGTCTCCACTTTCTCCTATTGTCCCTATGATTCTGTTGTACATTAGACTTGCTCCTCAATATCTTCAGACTGCAGGCTTCCTCTCCTCTGAATTCTATTGGTGACGTGATCTACTAGGAGAAGCTGACTTCTTCCACCATCACCAAGTCACCCTGCCAGGATGGTGCTTCTGAATTGCTCACACCCAGGACATCATTTGGCAATGGCAATGGGGTACAGGAGAGTTCTTGTAAAACAAAACTTTTGTTTTAGAGTCTTGACTTAATAAAATGACACCATTCTCCCTTCACTCCTTTTCTCTCTCTCTCTGTTTGTCCCTCCCACTCCCTTTCCTCTCCTTTCCTTTCTCTCTCTAATTCCAAAATGCAGTTGTAATAAAATGGGCATTGGCTTTCATTGTAGGGTTGGGTGCTTGTGGCCAGTTCTCCTATTGAGTTTGTTCTACCTTGACTTTTATTACTATTTTAATGATAAGACCTCAAAGAGAGGCTCAGGATCAGAGAATGAGCTCAACAAAAGAGGATTGATGTAACTGCTGACCTCACCTTGCACCTGAGGTAGGATGGACCAGACTCCCCAGTTCTTGTGTGCCGGGATTCCCCATTGAAATTTGTAACCCAAGTGCCTCAGTAATAAACCATGTAGACTGGTCCAGAGCATTGTCTCTGTCAACTTCCCTGTGTGACCAATGGCAACAGTAAACAGCTGGTTGCAATTTAGAGATCTGTCATCCTCATGATCACTCTATTTACTTTTCAAAAATAACTAACATCTTCAATTATCACCTCTGAAATGACTTCAATGTCTTTATCTTTATTCCCAGTTGAATTTGAATGATTCAATTCTTGCTTCCAATATTAATAAACAGAGATAGAAATAGAGATAGATAGGGAGCATGCACTTACTGAGCATCACCCACTGCTATGCACTTTAGATGCTTCATCTTAGTTCACCTTTAAAGCCATCAGATGATTAAATAACTTCTCTAAAGTCACACAGCTAGGGGTGGTGGAATTGATAGAACCCTGGAGTCTGCCTCGAGGGCCCATGGTCTTACCACCACACTTTATACACCTTCTAGGTCAACCTAATATCCCACCATCTACAAACTCAACCAGCCCAAACTCCAGCTGGGTCCTCCTAAGTGCTTTCCTTTATAAAATCCACTTTTCGTCATGCAGACTGGCCACCCAGGCTTCACATATTGCCTTCATCCTTATCTCTTCTTTCTCCTCTCCCCCACCATCCGCTGAGTCACTGAAGCTTGTTGTTTCTTCCCTTGTGGAGTTCTTCACCCTTCCCTTTCTTTCTCATTTCACTGCCACCCCTCAAGTTTAGTTCTTCCTGATGTCATGTCTGAACTAATGTAACTGCCTCCTGATTGATTTCCCTGATTCCACCCTGATATGGTTTAGATCTGTGTCCCCACTGAAATATCATGTCAAAATGTAATTAATCCCCAGTGTTGGAGGTGGGGCCTGGTGGGAGGTGATTGGATCTATGTTTTTGCAGTACATGTGGTATTTGGTCCTTCATAAATGGTTTAGCACTATTGCCTTGGTGCTATTCTGGGTGATACTGAGTGAGTGAGTTATTATGACATCTGGTTCTTTAAAAGTGTGTAGCACGTTCCCCTTCTCTCTCACTGCTGCTCTGGCCATGTAAGATGTACCTGCTTCCCCTTTGCCTTCTGCCATGATTGTAAGTTTCCTGGGGCCTCCCAGCCATGCTTCCTGTACAGCCTGTGGAAGCATGAGCCAATTAAACCTCTTTTCTTTTTAAATTACCCAGTCTCAAGTATTTCTTTGTAGCAATGCTAGAGAGGACTAATATACTCCCTTCATCCTAAACTTAGAACTTGATGAATCTCCCTGGAGCATCACTCTCTGCACATCAGCTTCTCCATGCTTAGAATCTCCAGGAGTGCCACATTTGATAAAGTCCATCGCTTTCCCCAGCCTTCTCTGGTAGAATTCTCATCACCTACCATACTTGTTAAGAAGCCATTGTTTCTTCAACTACCCACATGTATTCTGGTGTTTTGTTTTGTTTTGTTTTGGTTGTTTGTTTGTTTTTTACCTCAGTGTAACTTTGAACTTCCGGTTCAATAAGATATACATATACGCACATATAATATACATAGAGAGAGACAAATCCCAGAGCCATTATCTTGTATTTTATTTTATTTTTCCATAAGTTATTGGGGTACAGGTGGTATTTGGTTACATGAGTAAGTTCTTTAGCAGTGATTTGTGAGATTTTGGTGCAACCATAACCCCAGCAGTATACACTGCACCATATTTGTAGTCTTTTATCCCTTGCCCCACTCCCACTCTTCCCCCCAAGTCCCCAAAGTCCATTGTACCATTCTTATGTCTTTGCATCCTCATAGATTAGCTCCCACATAACAGTGAGAACATATGATGTTTGGTTTTCCATTACATCACTTATAATAATAGTCTTCAATCTCATCCAGGTCACTGTAAATGCTGTTAATTCATTCCTTTTTATAGCTGTGTAGTATTCCGTTATATATATATATGTATACCACAGTTTCTTTATCCACTCGTTGACTGATGGGCATTTGGATTGGTTCCATGATTTTGCAATTGTGAATTGTGCTGCTATAAACATGCGTGTGCAAGTATCTTTTTCGAAAAATGACTTCTTTTCCTCTGGGTAGATATGCAGTAGTGGGATTGCTGGATCAAATGGTAGTTCTACTTTTAGTTCTTTAAGGAATCTCCACACTGTTTTCCATAGTGGCTGTACTAGTTTGCATTCTCACCAGCAGTGGAGAAGTGTACCCTGTTGACTGCATCCACGCCAACATCGACTGTTTTTTTTTATTTTTTTGATTATGGCCACTCTTGCAGGAGTAAGGTGATATCACATTGTGGTTTTGATTTGCTTTCCCTGATCATTAGTGACTTTGAGCATTTTTTCATATGTTTGTTGGCCATTTGTATATCTTCTTTTGAGAATTGTCTATTCACATCCTTAGCCCACTTTTTGATAGGATTGTTTGTTTTTTTCTTACTGATCTGTTTGAGTTCATTGTAGATTCTGGATATTAGTCCTTTGTCAGATGTATAGATTGTGAAGATTTTCTCCCACTCTGTGGGTTGCCTGTTTACTCTGATGACTGTTGCTTTCGCTGTGCAAAAGCTCTTTAGTTTAATTAGGTCCCAGTAATTCATCTTTGTCTTTATAGCATTTGCTTTTGGGTTCTTGGTCATGAAATCCTTGCCTAAGCCAATGTCTAGAAGGGGTTTTTCAATGTTATCTACTAGGATTTCTATAGTTTCAGGTCTTAGGTTTAAGTCCTTAATCCATCTTGAGCTGATTTTTGTATAAGGTGAGAGATGAGGATCCAGTTTCATTCTCCTACATGTGGCTGGCCAATTATCCCAGCATCGTTTGTTGAAAAGGGTACCCTTTCCCCACTTTATGTTTTTGTTTGCTTTGTTGAAGATCAGTTGGCTGTAAGTATTTGGGTTTATCTCTAGGTTCTCCATTCCATCCCATTGGTCTATGTGCCTATTTTTGTACCAGTATCATGCCATTTTGGTGACTATGGCCTTATAGGATACTTTGAAATCAGGTAGTGTGATGTCTTCACATTTGTTCTTTTTGCTTAGTCTTGCTTTGGCTATGCAGGCTCTTTTTTGTCTCCATATACATTTTAGAATTGTTTTTTCTAATTCTGTGAAGAATGATGGTGGTATTCTGATGGGGATTGCATTGAATTTGTAGATTGCTTTTGGCAGTATGGTCATTTTCACAATATTGATTCTACCCATCCATGAGCATAGGATATGTTTCCATTTGTTTGTGTCATCTATGATTTCTTTCAGCAGTGTTTTGTAGTTTTCCTTGCAGAGGTCTTTCGACTTCTTTGTTAGATATATTCCTAGGAGTTGAGTTCTTGATTCGATTCTCTGCTTGGTTACTGTTGATGTACAGAAGAGCTACTGAGTTGTGTACGTTAATCTTGTATCCAGAAACTGCTGAATTCTTTTATCAGTTCTAGGAGCTTTCTAGAGGAGTCCGTTGGGTTTTCAAAGTAAACGATCACATAGTCAGCAAACAGTGACACTTTGACTTCCTCTTTACCAATTTGGATGCCCTTTATTTCTTTCTCTTGTCTGATTGCTCTGGCTAGGACTTCCAGTACTATGTTGAAGAGGAGTGATGGGAGTGGGCACCCTTGGTTCATCCTCTGTTCCAGTTCTCAGAGTGAATGCTTTCAATTTTTCCCCATTCAGCATTATGTTGGCTGTGGGTTTGTCATAGATGTCTTTTATTAGGTTAAGGTAGGTCCCTCGTATGCTGATTTTGCTGAGAGTTTTAATCATAAAGGGATGCTGGATTTTGTCGAATGCTTTTTCTGCATCTATTGAGATGATCATGTGATTTTTGTTTTTAATTCTGTTTATTCAGTGTATCACATTTATTGACTTGCATATGTTAACAATCCCTGCATCCGTGGTATGAAGCCAACTTGATCAAGGTGGACTATCTTTTTGATATGTTGTTGGATTCGGTTAGCTAGTATTTTGTTAAGGATTTTAGCATCTAAGTTCATCAAGAATATAGGTCTCTAGTTTTCTTTTTTGGTTATGTCCTTTCCTGGTTTTGGTATTAGGGTGATGGTGGCTTCATAGAATGAATTAGAGAGGGTTCCTTCTTTCTCTGTGTTTTGGAATAGTGTCGAAAGTATTGGTACCAAATCTTCTTTGAATGTCTGGTAGAATTCTGCTGTGAATCCGTCTGGTCCTGGACTTCTTTTGTTGGTAATTTTTTAATTACCATTTCAATCTCGCTGCTTGTTATTGGTCTGTTCAGGGTATCTAATTCTTCCTGATTTAAGCTAGGAGGGTTGTATTTTCCCAGGAATTTATCCATCTCTTCTAGGTTTTCTAGTTTATGTGCATAAAGGTGTTCATAGTAGCCTTGAATGATCTTTTGTATTGCAGCGGTGTCAGTTGCAGTATCACCTGTTTTGTTTCTTAGTGAGGTTATTTGGATTTTCTCTCTTCTTGGTTAATCTTGCTAATGGTCTATCAATTTTATTTATTTTTTTTCAAAGAACCAGCTTTTTGTTTCACTTATTTTTTGTATTTTTTCTTGTTTCGATTTCATTTAGTTTTGCTCTGATCTTGGTTATTTTCCTTCTTCTGCTGGGTTTGGGTTTGGTTTGTTCTTGTTTCTCTAGTTCCTTGAGGTGTGACCTTAGATTGTCTGTTTGTGCTCTTTCAGACTTTTTGATGTAGGTGTTTAGGGCTATGCACTTTCCTCTTATCACCACCTTTGCTCTATCCCAGAGGTTGTGATAGGTTGTATCATTATTGTCATTCAGTTCAAATAATTTTTTAATTTCCATCTTCATTTTGTTTTTGACCCAGCACTCATTCAGGAGCAGGTTATTTAATTTCCATGTATTTGCATGGTTTTCAAGGTTCCTTTCGGAGTTGATTTCCAGTTTTATTCCACTGTGGTCTGAGACAGTGTTTGATATCATTTCAATTTTCTTAAATTTATCGAGGCTCATTTTATGGCCTATCACATCGTCTGTCTTGGAGAAAGTTCCATGCCCTGTTGAATAGAATGTGTATTCTGTGGTTGTTGGATGGAATGTTCTGTATATATCTGTTAAGTCCATTTGTTCCAAGGTATAGTTTAAATCCATTGTTTCTTTGTTGACGTTCTGTCTTGATGACCTGTCTAGTGCTGTCAGTGGAGTATTGAAGTCCTCCACTATTATTGTGTTGCTGTCTATCTCATTTCTTAGGTCTGTTAGTAATCTGGGAACTACAGTGTTAGGTCATATATGTTTAGGACTATGATATTTTCCTATTGGACAAGGCCTTTTACCATTATACACTGTTTCTCTTTGTCTCTTTTCTCCACTATTGCTTTAAAGTTTGTTTTGTCTGACATGACAATAACTACCCCTGCTGACTTTTGGTGTCCATTTGCATTTAATGCCTTTTTCCACCCTTTAACTTTATGTGAGTCCTCATGTGTTAGGGAGTCTCTTGCTCTATTTTTGTGCTGATTGGCCTCCTGCTAGGAGGTGGCGCTTTCCAGAAAGCATCAGCTATAGTAGTGTGGAGAGGGACCAGTGGTGGGCGGGGCCCTAAAACTCCCAAGATTATATGTCCTTTGGCTTCCACTACCAGGGTGGATAGGGAAGGACCATCAGGTGGGGGTGGGGCTAGGCATGTCTGAGCTCAGACTCTCCTTGGGCAAGTCTTGCTGCAGTTGCTGTTGGGGATGGGAGTGAGATTCTCAGGTCACTGGAGTTGTGCACCTAAGAGGATTATGGCTGCCTCTGCTGAGTCATGCAGGTTGTCAGCAAACGGGAAAAGCCGGTAGTCACAGGCCTCACCAAGCTCCCATGCAAACTGAAGGGCCTCGCTCCACCGTGTCCCCCGCAACAGCCCCAAGTCTGTTTCCTGGTGGAGTGTGAAAGGGGCTTGAAAACTTGCCGGAGGCTATCTGCCTCCCAGCAGCTAGAGAAAAGGGCTTTATTCTCCCCCTCCCTGTGAAGTCTGCACACCTGATTCACGCCCTCCCCTGAGTTCTGGCCAGGAGGCTTCAAGCCCTGTTCAAATTGTTACAGAGTTCAGCTAGAGAATTCCTTCTCCCTGTGGAGTTTTACCCCCTGCTCCTCTGGCCACCCTCCTGATGGATCCCTGTGGTGTCAGGCAGGAATGGGCTGCTTGGGGGTCCAGTGAGCTCCCAGGGCCTTTCTGCTGCTTCCTCTACCCCTGTATTTTGCTTAGCTCTCTAACTTGACTCAGCTCCAGATAAACTTAGAAACTTCTCCCGCAAACAGACCTTCAGCTTCTCCAGTGGTGGGTGTGTTCAGGAGAGGGGGGTCTCCCTTTCCCACTTCCACAGTTGGGGAACTCACAGTATTTGGGGTGTCTCCTAGGTCCTGCAGGGGCAACTCACTTTCTTCAGAGAGTCTGTGGGTCCTCTTGGGATTGCTAGTTTGTTCTTGCAGTGGATCTGCAGCTAAAATTCACAGTGTAAGCCTCCGCATGCTGCTCTGTCCAGAGCTGGAATCTAGTCCTGCCTCCCGTCCACCATCTCTCCATGGTATCTTCCCACATGTATGCTGTTTTGCACACCTTTGCTCAGAGTTCCCTCTCTAGTGAATGTTTAACCCTCTCTCCCCTGCTGAGGTTCTAACTTCCCATCAAGGGCTCCCTTATGTACAAAACCCTTCATGAAGCATCCCCTATGGGCCCCAGTGTTTCCAGATTATTACCACTTTCTGATCCTATACTGCCATCTGGACCACACATTTGATTCTAAGCCGGGGATGCCCTACTCATCTTTTTATGAAGAAATCTAGTCTCAGCTACTAGCTTATACATTCAGTGGATCTTAGGATCAACTATGCCCAGACATCTCTAATGTTCTAGACAAGTCTGAATTCTAAATATTTTGCTTGTTGGCAAGAGCATAAACCCTGATTTTAGCTTCAGAACATAAAGTAGATGAAGACTAATAGAACTTTTCTCCAGTGCCTAGTTCAAGGGTATGTAATAAAGACTTTTCGGGCCGGGCACTGTGGCTCATGCCTATAATACCAGCACTTTGGGGGGCCGAGGCCGGTGGATCACGAGGTCAGGAGATCGAGACCATCCTGGTCAACATGGTGAAACCCCATCTCTACTAAAAATACAGAAATTAGCTAGGTGTGGTGGCGGGTGCCTGTAGTCCCAGCTACTCAGGAGGCTGAGGCAGGAGAATCGCTTGAACCCAGGAGGCGGAGTTTGCAGTGAGCCGAGATCCTGCCACTGCACTTCAGCCTGGGCAACAGAGCAAGACTCTGTCTCAAAAAAAAAAAAAAAAAAAAAAAAAAAGAAAGGCTTTTCAAGTCTGACTAGGTCTTTCTGTAGCTACATGGCCATACCTGAGACTCATTTCATCTGTCAGCTTGTTTTTTTAACATGGTGGATCAGGGTTAGATGAGTGGTTGTCTGAGTCTAAACCTGGGAATTCTAATGTGCTAGAGACGTGATCTTCAGGAGTGTTCTGGGGACAGGGAAAGGAAGGAGGAGGGCCAGGCAGGTAGGATCCCTCATCTTCCAGCTCTTCCTACCTTCTTCAGAAACACTTTTCATGGATCTAATTCACAAGTTTATGTTTCTGCCGACAGTTTCATTTCTACGGAACATTCTCCATGGCTTTAAAAGATTTCAAAGTTGCTGGAATGGATGATTTCTAAAGTCTATTGCAGTTTTTCTATTTTTTTTTTATCTGTTGCTGAGGATGGAGGAGAATGAGGGCTAACATGTACTGAGTCCTCACTGTGTGCCAAACACTGTGCAGAGTGCAGCCACTCTGATAATCCCCATTTTATATATAAGGACAAGGGCTTACAGTAAAGACATAAGATCAGTTAGTGATTAATAAGGTTGAGATGTGAGTTGAAGTTGATGGGGCTTAACTACTATACTGCCTGCCATTTTTAGTTGTCTATGGAGAAAGGTTAGGAGCTGGAACATAGTCCCCTTTGCCTGCTTTGTGAGGAGAAGATGGTGCAAATGACAAAGCAGGACATTTGCACTTGCAGAAGTGTTTGATGAAGGTGGGTCAGCCACATGGTCAACCTTAATCTCATCTATAGAAATGAATAGCTTGAATAGCTGTAGTATCCATGACTGGTGAATGCTCTTATCTTTGACAGTATTGCTTGAAATCTGGAAGAAAACTGGACTAGCAGGGATTTAACTAGACCTGATCTTCCAAGAGGTTCACATTTTTGACAATATTGCTGACCTCTTCAGCAAGACACAACATGGCTCAGAACTCAGGGTGTTGAATTCAGCCCAAAAGCACCTTCTCTAAGGTAGCCTACAAGTCCAGATACACAAGGCAGGTGTCTCAAGCTAGTGAATATCTTATATATAACTACAAAAATCTTAAGACTTCACTGACACAAAGACACAACACAGTCTCTTAAATTAAAGAAAAAAAAAATGAGTCAAGGGAACTGCCAATTTCAATTCAGAGAGAGCAGGGTATTGCCTGAGAGTGGTTCCAAGACAAGCAAGATTTAGCCACAGCCAGACCATTTGCCTGTGAACCTTAATCAGGAACTGAATCATACCATAAAATCTGTAAATTCCTTGTATCTGGTGCCACCAAGATGTCTGAGAGGGGCTGGTCCAACCACCCAATCAACCCATCAGAAGATTTTTCCCCTCTGCTGACAGGGGTTCTCTGTGTATAGCTTGACTGGGAACCAGGCTAGGATTCAGCATAAGCTGCTCTGTAAAGCTGATTTTTTCCGGGAGCCACAGTATAATTTCACTAAGAAGTTGCAAGCGTGGTTTTGAAATTCTTCATATTGTCACAGAAATTATAACTGCACTTAAGTCCAGTGAATTGTGTGTGTGGCAGGGGGTGGGGGAAGGAGGGTTTGTTGTTTGGTTTTGTTTTTAAACTGGGACAGAGGAATTGAGTTAAGGGGGGAAATTAGGCCTTTACTAAAGGGAAAACACACATACATACAATAGAGCATTTCAGAGGATGCATACAGTAAATTATACTGCTCAAAAAAGAGAAATAGCATTTCTCTCCTGTCTTTTTTCATTTCCCACCTCCTCCTGCTTATTCTTCAAGAGTCATCTTTCTTCCCCAACACACTCACAAAAGGCCTCCTTTATTACCTTTTGTTATGTTACCTCCTGATGTGGGAGTGGTGTGATAATGGGGTCTCCCAAGCTGAGTCCTTGAGGATAGATAATCACTCTTTGTTAGCGGGCATTCCACCTTTCTTCTGAGGCTTTCAAAGGCTTAAAATAAGGCTCCACCAAATAGGTATGGCAGATGTTATTAAACTTCTATTTTTCTGGGTAAAAAACTGAAGTAAGTGGCAACTAGTGAAAGAGCCATGGCTTCTATTTTACTCATTTTGAAAGCCAAGCTTGAGGAGTTGTCATTATGTATATTTAAAAATAAAAAGAGGAGAAAAGAGTTCTCAAATAGTCTCCAAAGAATACACAGTGATGAAAGAAAGAAAGAGACAGAAAGAGAGAAAGAAGGAAAAGATGACAGAAGGAAGGAGAAGGAAGGAAGGAAGGAAGGAGAAAGGGAAAGGGAAGGAAAGGAAAAGAAAGGAAAGGAAAGGGAGAAAGAAAGAAGAAAGAAAGGAAAGAAGGAAAGAAAGAGAGAGAAAGAAAGAAAGAGAGAAGAAAGAGAAAGAAAGAAAGAAAGAAAAAGAAAGAAAGAAAGCTGCAAAAATAAAGCTGAAGTGAAATCATTTGCTGTGGTATAAACTCACCGACCCAGGTTTTCTCCCACAATATCTGGAGTTTGCAAAAGAATATTAAAAAAAAATAGATGGGGCCCCATCTTCTGGCAGTCTGAAGCAATAGCGGTAGCAATCTGATCTTTCAGATACAGTCTGTTTTGTTTGGTTTTATATTTTAAGGTGCTCTTCAAGGTTTGTACTTCCTTAAGGTGATTGCCATCTGAAGACAACTATTTCCTTATCAGCATTTCTATTCCCAAAGGCAGAAACCAGTTGGGTGAGGGTCAAAAAAGCTTTGGGATCTAACACCAAGCCCATCACAGGTCTGGCTGTGGACAGGTCAGGCATTGGTGTGGGAGTCTGTGCATGGGCAGTTGCCTTCTGTACAGAGAAGTAGACAATACCCTTTGGATTTGCTGACTGAAACAGACTCCATGGGCCTGAATGTTCTATAAAGGTATTTTGCCAGCTGATGCTGGTGACAACCTCCACCCTACAACTCCAGAATAACTGGACAGTTCCTCGAGTTCGGCAAGAATGATGGATGATGTGCACAAGCCACATCTTATCTGCTTCTCAGCAATGATTAATTGTTCCCCAAGACAAAAGCTCAAAGAGTCAAGATTCACTCAGGGCTCAATTTTGACCATGAATTCTGTGGTTGTTTGTGTGGGTTGTTAAGGATTAGAGGACAGACTGGGGTGAGAGGAAGGCATGGTAATGCATTGTTTCCTCAGATAAAGCTAAAAGAGATAATCAGCTGGCTGAGTCTAAGGTTTGGATAAGCTCATCTGCTTAGTTATCTTCCTCCGAGGGATCAGTGTCCACCGAGGTTGCCTGACTGTAGACCCTGTAGTGTGATGAACCCAGAATTTCCAAAGCCTTCCCAGCTGGGGTAGATTTGGACTAGGGGCTATGCAAAAAAGCATGTTCCCTCTCCCACAATTGCGAATGAGGCTTCCCAACATCCCATGGAAATGGTGACATGTGTAGAGGTCAGATCATAGTGATATCATAAAACTTGAAACAGGATGGTAGAACAGGTTATTAACTACCTATATAGACCATAAAACATAGGGCATGGGCTTGTTTGTTCTCAAGCCAGGTAAACATCTCCAATTTCATGTCAAAGTATAAATTAAAAACAAGAGCACCTATCTATGACATCTGCTGAAACAACGACCACCATCCCTCTAGACCGTGCTGGGCCAGCTCTCTCCTGTCTCCTCCATCTTGATCAGCTTTGTAATGAGGAACACAGTAGTACATTAGCCTCAACATAATCATATGACAACAATAATACAGCAATAACTAATCTAAACTGTGCTCTTACTATATGCTACGTGCAATAGGGAACACTTGGCATGAATTGCCTCCTTGAATTTTTAAAACAGAACAGTGAGAGGTATTTTTATTATTCCCTTTTTATGGATGAGAAAAGGGAAGATTCGTGAGGGCAAGGACACACCAAAGACATTCTAGCTTTTTTTCACTTATTCATTAATTCACAGTTCATCACAGTTTTTCTTGAGCTCTAATTACGTCAGGCCATATTTGAGACAGTAGGACACAGCAGTGAACAGAACAGGTAGGTTCTTGCCTTCATGGAGTCTGCATCAGCAGATGATAAACAAATATGTCATGCTATGGACTAAATTATCTTCCCCCAAAATTCTTATGTGGAAGCTATAACCCTCAGAGTGACTGTATTTGGATAAGGCCTTTAGGAGGCAATTAAGGTAAATGAAATCACAAGGGTGGAACCCTCATTTGATAGAACTAAGGTCTTTATGAGAAGAGGAACTCAGAACATGCACTCAGAGGAAATGTTATGTGAGGACTGCTGCGAGAAGGTGGCCATGTACAAGTCAGAAAGACAGCTCTCACCAGGAGTCAAACTCTACTGGATCTTGATCTGGAATTTCCAACCTCCAGAACTGTGAGAAATAAATGTCTGTTGTTTAAATCACTGTTTGTGGTATTTTGTTATGACAGTCCAAGCTGACTAATGCATGTCATATGTCAAGTGATGATAAGTGCTGTGCAGTTTGCTATTTTGTATTTCAATGCTAGGGATTACTGTTTTATATACGGGCTAGGTATCTCCTCTCTGATAAGGAGTTTTAAGGGAAGAAAGACAAAGAACGTGGTGAAGCAATTCCATGGGTACCTGGAGAAGGACTGATCCAGGAAGAGAGCATGGACATGGAGGGTGTTCGGAATTTCTGAGGACCAGCAAGAGGGACAGATTGACTAGAACAGAATAAATGAAGGAGAAATATTAGGAGATGGGAATGGGCAGGGATTCAAACCCAGGCATCCTACTACAGAGCCTTGTTCTTAAATAATTCACACAGCATAGATGCCTGACTTTGATTATTTCCATTTCCTTGGTAAGTTTTTGTCCATCCCTTCATTTATAGTTCTTTTGATTCATTCATTTAAAGAGTGTCTCTCATATATGGTATTGAGTTGGGTTTTGCTTTATAAACCAATTTGAAATGCTGCATACTTAAAAAATAGATATGCTAAATCCCTTCATGTTTATTGATAGGACTGACTGGTTTGGTCTCAATTTTGACTATTTTATGTTTTGATACATGTGTACATTTCATTACATTTACTGTGTTTCTTCTCTATTTGATGTGTTCTCCTTTTTTTACTTTTGGTTTTCACAAAAATTTTCTTTTTAGCATAGTGTTTTTATTGGTATCAATACTTTTTATATTCTACTAATTCTCTATTTTCCTACTTACCCTTCTTTATTATCTTTTCAGTTCAAAAAAATTCTTCTACTTACACCTAAATGATTTATTCTGCTTTTTACTATTTCTCTGTCTTCTCCTCCTATTTTAATATTGTTACTTATTTTATAATTTTTTATTTAAAGATAATTCTAGATTCACAGAGGTTGCAAAGATGGGACAGAGTGGTCCTATGTACACTTCAGTTTCCCACAATAGTTACAGATGACAAAATTGTATAGTATAGTATCAAACCAGAAATTGACATTGGTATAACATGTTTATATAATTCTATGTTGTCTTATCACAATGGCAGATTTGTGTAACCACCACTGTGATCAAAACACAGACATTCCATTACCACAGAGATCTCCCTTGGGCTACTTCTGTATTGCCACCTCTACTCCCATCCCTCCCTAAATCCCAAAACACTGGCCATCAGTAATTTGTCCTCCATCTATAGTTTGCCATTTTGAAGGTGTTGCCTTCAATTATTGATGTAATAAAGCTGAAGTCTGCCATATTGTTTTTTGTTCTCTGCTTATTTCTTCTGTTTTCCAGCTTTGCTTTTTCTGCCTTCCTGTAGGTTACTTGAACTTTTTTTAGAATTCTGTTTTGATTTATCTCTAGTGCTGGCATGTTTCGGTGCACCTTTCCAATTCAGGGCCTTTTGTCAGTCTCTAGAAGTCTATTTTCTTCTCTTCACCTTTCCAAGCCTTCTTATGTTCATTTTACATGTAATGTTCAGATTTTTAGCTTCACACAGTGGTAGAAATATAGGAAAATGTGTCCTCTTCACTTTTGTAGAAGTTGAAGTCTCCTCTCATTTTTAAAGTTGTGTTCGTTCTTATTTGTGAGAACATGTAATGTCTACATATTATTTTTTATTAGTACTTTTGGCAAAGCTTTCCCAGACATCTTTTGGTTGATTGAAGCTCATTCCCTAACAGAGAATGCAACTCTGCTATTGCCTTGCTTTTCATGTTGTTTTAAAGAAGTCTGATGACAAACTAATTATCTTGCCTTTCTAAGTTATTCTATCTTTGTGCCTGGAGGACTTGAGGATTTTTTCTTTTCCTTTAATGTCTATTGATTTTACTAGACCATGTCCCAGAATCAATTACTCCATTTTTTCCTAGTTCCCTTTAGGCCCTGTCTATGTGTAAATTCAGTTTTCCTTTTAGTTCTGGAACTTTTCTGGAATTTCACTTTTTAAAATATTAGTTCTATTTATTTTCTTATTTGGGGATGCCAATCATAGGTATGTTAGACACCCTTTTCCAATTTTATGTCATTTCAACCAGTTTCCCTCTGACCTTTTTTACTTTGTTCTTCATGTCATCATTATTTTGATTGGTGATCTATTTTTGTCAACATTCTTTCCATTTTATTTGATTCTATCCTCCTCTTCAGTCTTCATTACTGATGAACTTTTATCTTTTGCCCTATTTCTTTCCCAAGTCCCTTCCCAATTCATTTTCACTCATTTTATTATTTTCTGGGTTTTAAAAAATTGTTTGCATTCTTTTAATTTTTTAAAAATCAACACAGTTATTGCACATATTCATGGGATGCACAGTGATATTTTGATACACATAAAGTATAGTGATCAGATCAGGGAAGCTGGGTGGCACCCACCTGCAGTCCCAGCTACTTAGGAGGATGAGCAGCAGAATCACTTGAGCCCAGGACTCTGAGTTCAGCCTAAGCAACATAGCAAGACCCTATCTTTATTAAAAATTATTTTGAAAACCTACTCTTTGGGGTTCTTTCTGGGTAGTTGTTGTGTGTGCTTTTTTGGGGGTCTATTTCTGTTCCTAGTTTTCATATTTCTGATTCAATGTGTTTTTTCATATCTGTAAATTGATTCACTTTGGAGTGTTCCTTTACACTTGTTTTAGAGTTTTCTTCTGATTTTTGGCTAAATTTCCTGGGGAGAATTTCTGTTAACAGAAATGCTTTGATTCTCATTTTCTAATTTTTTATAACAATCTCATATAAATATTATATGAGATATATATTATTATATATATTATTTTATATATATACATATATATATATATATATATATATATATAAATATATATATATATGCTTGATTTTCTTGATTCTTATTCGTTTCATGAACAGGCTTCCTAATTTAAGAGCTTCCCTTTCTTCGCGTTCTTCCCTCTTCTAGGTAGTTTCTTTTATGGATGATTTGGGCCCTAAGTTGGGGTGGGATGGGGTGAAGGAGGGTATATTTCTCTTGGAGAGTAATTTATCTCCCCTGCTGATGTTCTTCATTGGTTTGTCTCCCAGGGGCACCAGCTCTTCTCTCTCTGCAGCTCTTCCCTCTCTTCCCTCTCTTCTCTCTCTGCCCTGTGTCCAGTACTGACAATTTCAGGTCACAGGATACATTCTGTACTTTGGATTTTAATGTTGGACTTTCGTTTCTGGGTTTATTTTGTTTGCACATTTTATGAAGACTCTCAAGCCTCCCCTTTTCTAATCTCTCACCCACAGGCAGGGGCTCTATTGGAATTCACCTTTTTCTCTACTTACAGGTAAGTTAGAGGTTGTGATGCTTCTGTCTCCTACTAACAAAAGACATGGTCATGTGTCGTTTTGTCTGCTTTTTCTCCTTGTTATTCTTTGTTTTCCTTTTGGGAGGGTGTGGTAAGTTTTGAAATCAAGGAACCTCCATTGTTCTCTGAATCCAGAAATGTCCTCTGCCTGGCTTTGTTTTAGACAGTCAGCAAAGCCAACTATTCCTATCAACTCTAACCCTTATTCAGTGACAGGTTTTGTGAGACAATGTCCCCCAAAGCTCCAGTTATCTTTTTCTTTTTATTGTTTTTATTTTCCCTACAAAGACATCAGGTTACCAATGATTTTGTCTACTTAGAAAGAACATCCTATTGACTAAGTAATAATTTCATTATTGATCTACGTGTAGCCAATGATATCTTATCTGACAGCTGTATTAGCACAGAGTTGATAAACTAACCACCAAGTAAAGGGGCATTTCACACAGCTGGAGCTAAGCTCTTGAGAGTAGATGTGCAATATTCATTAAAAATGTTTAAGATTAATAATGGCTTATGCATCCTAGTTATTGCTATGGTGAATGTCTGGAGGATCAGCAGTCCCTAGGTTGGGAACTATTCCCGTGCCCATTCCACCTCATTTAATCAGCAAACATTTACAGAAGATGGGGGTTAAAGAGAAAAGTATGAAGCCAGCCCATGAAGGAAGACTATGGACTGGAGGAGACAGATAAGCATTTAATTACAAGATTGGAAGCCCCTTAATAAGTTGCTAGTGGTAGAGTGGGGTCAAAAGAGGAAAAGGATCAAGTCTGCTTGGGTGAATCAGAAAAGCCTTCAGAAAGGATATGTCTAAACCAGGTCTTAAAAGAATGAGTAAGGAAATTTGTCAGATCAGCTTATTCCAGGATTCAGCATCTCTCCCAGCTGCTTCCCCAGAACAATGAGCAGCACAAGTTAGAACTCACCTCCACACTTTCACTCCTAAACACACACACACACACACACACACAGACACCAAACTCAAGAAAAAGTGGATGCATTCTGTTTTTAAATATATATATTATATTTTTTACTATAAGAGTGTACTGGAATCATCCAGGGAACTTTTTGTTTTCAAAATACCCAAGCAAGAGGCCTCTCTACTCATAATCTTGCATCACCCTCAGTGTGAACTGGGACCGGGGCATTCACTTATATAAAGAGGTTTATACGATTTTGGTCCTTAATGTGGAGAGAATTAGACTAAAGGACCTCCTGGTCTCCTGCTCTAGGTTTCCTCCAGGAACAGAAGACTTTTCTCTGCAACAATGATGAGAAGACTCTCCCGTGGAATGCAGAGCTATGTTGGTCACAGTCCCTCTGAGTGTTTCCAGGGTACCAGATGGAAAGACCTCAGTTTCCAAAGAATAGGTTCCTGTCCTCCATGATGGGGATGGGGCTGTTTCTCCAGCCCTGTCGGGCGATTCCAGTCAACAATACCACCTGAGTGCTCGCTTCTGAAGTAAACTAGCAAGTCATCTCTCCTAGTGCTTTTTCTTTCCAAGAAAATGTAACTCCACTGAGCTGGTTGTTAGTTCACTCCACTTTGTTTGATCAAAGGGAACAGGGAGTCCTTTGAGAACCTCTCTTGGGTGGAAGGGCAGGCCCGCATCTGCTGATTATCTACCCCCACGCCCCATGGCACCCAACTGTGTCCTGGTGAGAAGCTGTAGAACTCCATGAGCCAATCTTCAAATCTGACAGGGATGGCGCCCATGGAATGAGGGGCCATGTGCAGGCACATTTACCCGGAAGATCTGTGGCTCACGTGTGTTCGTATTTTCAACTCAGGAGCCCGGTTTTCAGCTTCTCAGGTCTAAGCTTCCTGTATGCTGGGGTAGGTGGACAGTGAGCGGGGAGAGTAGTTCAAATTCAGTGTTGGGGAAAATGCCTTCACCCTGGAAGCCTGGCCCTTGTTTGAGGGATGTGCCTGCAGCTACAACCTTTCTTTCTAAACAGCCTAACAGCTCTTTGAAGAAACATAAGAAGATACCTGCTTCTCTTTCCTATTCAATCTCAAATCTGGCAGAATTGTAGAGTTTGTGGCAAGAGACCCAAAAAAATGCACAGGAATTAACAACTCTTCATTTACTGAGCAGTTACTAAGAGCTGGCTGTGTGTGTGATGCTGGGGAAATACCAGTGATGAGATACAGTGCTTGCCTTCTTTAAGCTCCTTGCCTAGGGAGAAAGCTAGACAAGGACACATATGAGTTATAAATCATTCGGAATTATTATAATGCTCTAAGCAGAAATATGGGTAGCCAAAAAATCAGGCAGCCTAGAGATCTCCAAGTGTCCCTGCCTGCCTCCCAAACCTCACCTAAAACCACTTTCTGTCTTGCTTACTTTTCACCTTTTTCACATTTGTCTTCTCTTTGTTGTTCAAATTGCTGAGGTCTTTTCCTGCCCGGGGCTTCTACACTTGGTGTAATCTCTACCTAGGATACTCTTTCCCCAGCTTTGGGGGAGGTCTGCCTCATTTTTGCCCTTCAGCTTTTGATTTAAATGTCTCTTCCTCAAAGGGACCTTCTTTATGACTACACTATCTAAACTTGATGTCCTCAGGCTAAGAAGTTATCGTTTTACTTGATTACTCCAATTCTTATCTAAATATTTTTATTCAGGCTCCTGCAGTAGGAGAGTGACCAGTATAAACTGAGCTCAATTCTAAGCAAGACAAGGGAAATAAGGCTGCAAAGGGAGAGCAAAGAGGGAGCTGTCAGGAAGTATGAAAGCAGGAACCAAAAGAAAGTAGGGGGCTACAGAGAAATTGCACAAGAAAAATTACAGAAAGAGGTAAATAGAGAATTAATTACTAAAATGGTTTGGTGGTGTGGGCTGGAACAATGTACTTTCTGAGGTCTGGCAGCATTATCTTTTCTTTTCTTTTCTTTCTTTTTTTTTTCTTGAGACAGCCTTGCTCTGTCTCCCAGGCTGGAGTACAGTGGCATGATCTCAGCTCACTGAAACCTCTGCCTCGCTGGTTCAATTCTCCTGCCTCAGTCTCCTGAGTAGCTGGGACTACAGGCATATGCCACCATGTCTGGCTAATTTCTGTATTTTTTTTTTTTTTTTTTTTTTTTAGTAGAGACGGGGGTTTCACCATATTGGCCAGGCTGGTCTCAAACTCCTGACCTCAAGTAATCCACCCACCTCAGCCTCCCAAATTGCTAGGATTGCAAGTGTGAGCCACTGCGCCCAATCAGCATTGTCTTTTCTTGAGCAAAGACTTAGCTGGGGCTGAGGTCACCTTTGGGGAGATAACCTAGTGGAAGCCAGAGGTCAGCTTTAGGGACACAACCTAGTGCATATGGAAGGCTGGCTGAAGTGTGTTCAAGTCTCTTTGCACAGTGTTCAAGCAAGTCCTTTGTGCATGGTTCACAACACATGCATTTATGCTTAGCATTTCTTTTTGTTTTAGTCTATATCTAGAGTTCACTGCTATCTATAGTTACTCCCAAATAGAACAAGACCTAACCACACTTTAAGTTTTCCTTTTTCTTTCATTTGCCTTCAGCTACCATGTGAGATAATCTGAGATTTATTAAAGTTATTACATATTCTAATAATTAAAATGTTGTTATTGTTAGTAGCATATTTTACTGGTTTTGTTTTCTCTCTTCTCCTTTTACCTCACATCTTCCTCTTGGGTTTGTTTTTTGTTTGTTTGTTTTTTTTCAAGTACAATTTCTAGTGATTTTTTCAGTTACAGATTAAAGATGATAAACTATCCAAGTTAGTGATAAGTGCCTATTTTGTATTTCCATTTGAAGTGAACAATAGTTTGGCTGGGTATAGAAATCCAGTTATACTGTTATATTTTCCTCTTGCATCCAGTGTTGTAAATGAAAGATTTATGCCAATATAATTTATTCTCTCTTATAGGGAACTTTCTTTTTCCTTGTCTGAAAAGTTTGGGATTTCCTCCTTTTTTTTTTAAGTGGTTTAAAAATTTTTAAATATGTTTAAATCTGGAATATTTCACATTCTTTCTGTCCAGCACCTAATAGTCTTTTTAAATCTGAAATTCATGTCTTCTTCAAGTTGAATATGTTTCTCCTTTTTTTACTATTTCTTTCTATGCTCTGTGTTCTTTTCCTCTAGAACCCCTCATAGGACTTCTGATTTCTACACTCAGTACAACTACTGATTTTTCCTTTTATTTCAACAAAATATCCTATGTCAATTATTTTTATTTGGATGCAATGTCCTCTCTCATCACTCCATAATTGCTGTATTAATTTGATTTCCTTAGTTCTCAGAACTTGGGTTTGTTGAGTTTGCTGTCTTCCTTTATTAGATTGACTTTCTTAAATGTCTGATGTTTCTAATGTTTTGTGCTGATCTTTGTATTTCTGAATCTCTGTTTGTCTTTTTCAGAACTAGACTATACTGCCTGTTGCCTGCAATGATAAAACGAAGGTGAGATGTTCTGCGTACTGGGAGGGTCAGTTGCTAGGCTTCTGGTCATGGAGGCTCCCTGTTTCCCTTGACTATCATCTGCCACTCATGGGGTTATTCTGCCTCTCAGGCCCAATGCCTCCACTTAGTGCTCCTGCCTAGGGAGGACCCTTCTGCTACTGCCCTTAAAAGTGGGTGCTAATGGCAGGGAGGAGAGAGAAGCAAGCCATCTGGTTTATCCTGCTGTGGTTTTGTAGAAGTCACCTTGACTATCAAGAGCTCCCTAGAGCTCCCTCCTGCCCCAGTATCCAATCCTTAGCAGTTACACAGAGTATTTGAAGCCACTCCCAACTGCGAGCAGGCACCCCCTGGGTGTGTTTAGGACTAAGGCTTCATCAATTATACATATACCATCTGCCTCAAGCCTCTCAGGCATTCTTTATAATTTCTGGTCTATGTAGAGTAGTTCTTATTTTTCAACATTGTTATGGATAGTTTATTTTATATATTTGGGGCAAGAAAAGGAAATTTTAGCATGTGCTCAGTTTATCATCTTAATACCATCTCCTTTATTTAATTTCAAATTTGTTTTTAATACATAGCTGTACAAAAGCTATAAGCATAAGAGTATATATCCAATGTATTTGTACACATTTAAGTAATATTATAATTAAAATAATTGAACACTAGGAAAACACCATATTTTAAAAAATAATTTCTTTAAAAGAGTGTCTATATATTATTCCTGTTTCAGAAATATTGTTCTGGGTTCTTAAATGAAAACGCACTTTATTGAGACTTGACTCAAGAATTACAGATAAAGAGATGAAAAGAAATACCTCCTGCCTCAGCCATGAAGCCTTCACTGTAGAAACAACACATGTGCTGACTGTCCCCTGGAACGGCCTCTCTCTTCAGGCCAACACAGTCCACTTTGGTTCTGCCAACCTGCTGACCAACCCCAACAGATGGAAGGAAGGAAGAGAAAGCCGAGGTGCAGATGACATGGCTTATGCAATATTTTTATTGTGCCAGTATTCAAATGTATTACATTGATTTGTTCTGACTGACAATAATGTGGATGCTTTGATATCAGTGCGTTGGGTATTATCTTCATTTTACAAAAGAGAAAAACAGACACTCAGACTAACCAAGTGACCTGGCCAAGGTCCCACTGTCACTCTTGACTATGAAGTCAAAATCCTTTACAGGGTTTATCAGTCAGTGCCCTAGCAGGACACAGACAGCGTACTGAAATTAGGATAATGTCAGGAGGGACTACTTAAAATGGTGTGGAGAGTGTAGACGAACCACAAGGTAAAATTCCTGTCCTTCTTAAGACTGGTGAGAGTGGAGCAGTTGCCACCAATAGGCTGATGAAATAAGGGCAGAAATGATTACTCTGCGGGCTCCTAACCTTTTGTCACTCTGATGAACTCCAAAGACCCTATCTCAAGGGAATGTCTTTAAATGAATTTAATAAAATACTAATTACAGGGGGAGGAGCCAAGATGGCCGAATAGGAACAGCTCCGGTCTACAGCTCCCAGCGTGAGCGATGCAGAAGACGGGTGATTTCTGCATTTCCATCTGAGGTACCAGGTTCATCTCACTAGGGAGTGCCAGACAGTGGGCGCAGGTCAGTGGGTGCGGGCACCGTGTGTGAGCGGAAGCAGGGTGAGGCATTGCCTCACTCGGGAAGCGCAAGGGGTCAGGGAGTTCCCTTTCCTAGTCAAAGAAAGGGGTGACGGACGCACCTGGAAAATTGGGTCACTCCCACCCAAATACTGCACTTTTCTGACCGGCTTAAAAAACGGCACACCACGAGATTATATCCGGCACCTGGCTTGGAGGGTCCTACACCCACGGAGTCTCGCTGATTGCTAGCACAGCAGTCTGAGATCAAACTGCAAGGCGGCAGCGAGGCTGGGGGAGGGGCGCCCGCCATTGCCCAGGCTTGCTTAGGTAAACAAAGCAGCCGGGAAGCTCCAACTGGGTGGAGCCCACCACAGCTCAAGGAGGCCTGCCTGCCTCTGTAGGCTCCACCTCTGGGGGCAGGGCACAGACAAACAAAAAGACAGCAGTAACCTCTGCAGACTTAAATGTCCCTGTCTGACAGCTTTGAAGAGAGCAGTGGTTCTCCCAGCATGCAGCTGGAGATCTGAGAACGGGCAGACTGCCTCCTCAAGTGGGTCCCTGACCCCTGACACCCGAGCAGCCTAATTGGGAGGCACCCCCCAGCTGGGGCACACTGACACCTCACACGGCAGGGTATTCCAGCAGACCTGCAGCTGAGGGTCCTGTCTGTTAGAAGGAAAACTAACAAACAGAAAGGACACCCACACCAAAAATCCATCTGTACATCACCATCATCAAAGACCAAAAGTAGATAAAACCACAAAGATGGGGAAAAAACAGAACAGAAAAACTGGAAACTCTAAAAAGCAGAGCGCCTCTCCTCCTCCAAAGGAACGCAGTTCCTCACCAGCAACGGAACAAAGCTGGATGGAGAATGACTTTGACGATCTGAGAGAAGAAGGCTTCAGACGATCAAATTACTCTGAGCTACGGGAGGACATTCAAACCAAAGGCAAAGAAGTTGAAAACTTTGAAAAAAATTTAGAAGAATGTATAACTAGAATAACCAATACAGAGAAGTGCTTAAAGGAGCTGATGGAGCTGAAAACCAAGGCTCAAGAACTATGTGAAGAATGCAGAAGCCTCAGGAGCCGATGCGATCAACTGGAAGAAAGGGTATCAGCGATGGAAGATGAAATGAATGAAATGAAGCGAGAAGGGAAGTTTAGAGAAAAAAGAATAAAAAGAAATCAGCAAAGCCTCCAAGAAATATGGGACTATGTGAAAAGGCCAAATCTACATCTGATTGGTGTACCTGAAAGTGATGGGGAGAATGGAACCAAGCTGGAAAACACTCTGCAGGATATTATCCAGGAGAACTTCCCCAATCTAGCAAGGCAGGCCAACGTTCAGATTCAGGAAATACAGAGAACACCACAAAGATACTCCTCGAGAAGAGCAACTCCAAGACACATAATTGGCAGATTCACCAAAGTTGAAAGGAAGGAAAAAATGTTAAGGGCAGCCAGAGAGAAAGGTCGGGTTACCCTCAAAGGGAAGCCCATCAGACTAACAGCGGATCTCTAGGCAGAAACCCTACAAGCCAGAAGAGAGTGGGGGCCAATATACAACATTCTTAAAGAGAAGAGTTTTCAACCCAGAATTTCATATCAAGCCAAACTAAGCTTCATACGTGAAGGAGAAATAAAATACTTTACAGACAAGCAAATGCTGAGAGATTTTGTCACCACCAGTCCTGCCCTAAAAGAGCTCCTGAAGGAAGCGCTAAACATGGAAAGGAACAACCGGTACCAGCCGCTGCAAAATCATGCCAAAATGTAAAGACCATTGAGACTAGGAAGAAACTGCATCAACTAACAAGCAAAATAACCAGCTACCATCATAATCACAGGATCAAATTCACACATAACAATATTAACTTTAAATGTAAATGGACTCAATGCTCCAATTAAAAGACACAGACTGGCAAATTGGATAAAGAGTCAAGACCCATCAGTGTGCTGTATTCAGGAAACCCATCTCACGTGCAGAGACACACATAGGCTCAAAATAAAAGGATGGAGGAAGATCTACCAAGCCAATGGAAAACAAAAAAAGGCAGGGGCTGCAATCCTAGTCTCTGATAAAACAGACTTTAAACCAACAAAGATCAAAAGAGACAAAGAAGGCCATTACATAATGGTAAAGGGATCAATTCAACAAGAAGAGCTAACTATCCTAAATATATATGCACCCAATACAGGAGCACCCAGATTCATAAAGCAAGTCCTGAGTGACCTACACAGAGACTTAGACTCCCACACATTAATAATGGCAGACTTTAATACCCCACTGTCAACATTAGACAGATCAACGAGACAGAAAGTCAACAAGGATACCCAGGAATTGAACTCAGCTCTGCACCAAGCGGACCTAATAGACATCTACAGAACTCTCCACCCCAAATCAACAGAATATACATTGTTTTCAGCACCACACCACACCTGTTCCAAAATTGACCACATACTTGGAAGTAAAGCTCTCCTCAGCAAATGTAAAACAACAGAGATTTTAACAAACTATCTCTCAGACCACAGTGCAATCAAACTAGAACTCAGGATTAAGAATCTCACTCAAAACCTCTCAAATACATGGAAACTGAACAACCTGCTCCTGAATGACTACTGGGTACATAACGAAATGAAGGCAGAAATAAAGATGTTCTTTGAAACCAACGATAACAAAGACACAACATACCAGAATCTCTGGGACGCATTCAAAGCAGTGTGTAGAGGGAAATTTATAGCACTAAATGCCCACAAGAGAAAGCAGGAAAGATCCAAAATTGACACCCTAACATCACAATTAAAAGAACTAGAAAAGCAAGAGCAAACACATTCAAAAGCTAGCAGAAGGCAAGAAATAACTAAAATCAGAGCAGAACTGAAGGAAATAGAGACACAAAAAACCCTTCAAAAAATTAATGAATCTAGGAGCTGGTTTTTTGAAAGGATCAACAAAATTGGTAGACTGCTAGCAAGACTAATAAAGAAAAAAAAGAGAGAAGAATCAAATAGATGCAATAAAAAATGATAAAGGGGATATCACCACCGATCCCACAGAAATACAAACTACCATCAGAGAATACTACAAACACCTCTACGCAAATAAACTAGAAAATCTAGAAGAAATGGATAAATTCCTGGACACGTACACTCTCCCAAGACTAAACCAGGAAGAAGTTGAATCTCTGAATAGACCAATAACAGGATCTGAAATTGTGGCAATAATCAATAGCTTACCAACCAAAAAGAGTCCAGGACCAGATGGATTCACAGCCGAATTCTACCAGAGGTACAAGGAGGAGCTGGTACCATTCCTTCTGAAACTATTCCAATCAATAGAAAAAGAGGGAATCCTCCCTAACTCATTTTATGAGGCCAGCATCATTCTGATACCAAAGCCGGGCAGAGGCACAACCAAAAAAGAGAATTTTAGACCAATATCCTTGATGAATATTGATGCAAAAATCCTCAATAAAATACTGGCAAAACGAATCCAGCAGCACATCAAAAAGCTTATCCACCATGATCAAGTGGGCTTCATCTCTGGGATGCAAGGCTGGTTCAATATACGCAAATCAATAAATGTAATCCAGCATATAAACAGAGCCAAAGACAAAAACCACAGGATTATCTCAATAGATGCAGAAAAAGCCTTTGACAAAATTCAGCAACCCTTCATGCTAAAAACTCTCAATAAATTAGGTATTGATGGGATGTATTTCAAAATAATAAGAGCTATCTATGACAAACCCACAGCCAATATCATACTGAATGGGCAAAAACTGGAAGCATTCCCTTTGAAAACTGGCACAAGACACGGATGCCCTCTCTCACCACTCCTATTCAACATAGTGTTGGAAGTTCTGGCCAGGGCAATTAGGCAGGAGAAGGAAATAAAGGGTATTCAATTAGGAAAAGAGGAAGTCACATTGTCCCTGTTTGCAGATGACATGATTGTATATCTAGAAAACCCCATTGTCTCAGCCCAAAATCTCCTTAAGCTGATAAGCAACTTCAGCAAAGTCTCAGGATACAAAATCAATGTACAAAAATCACAAGCATTCTTATACACCAATAACAGACAAACAGAGAGCCAAATCATGAGTGAACTCCCATTCACAATTGCTTCAAAGAGAATAAAATACCTAGGAATCCAACTTACAAGGGATGTGAAGGACCTCTTCAAGGAGAACTACAAACTACTGCTCAAGGATATAAAAGAGGATACAAACAAATGGAAGAACATTCCATGCTCATGGGTAGGAAGAATCAATATGGTAAATCTGTAAGGTAATTTACAGATTCAATGCCATCCCCATCAAGCTACCAATGACTTTCTTCACAGAATTGGAAAAAACTACTTTAAAGTTCATATGGAACCAAAAAAGAGCCCGCATCGCCAAGTCAATCCTAAGCCAAAAGAACAAAGCTGGAGGCATCATACTACCTGACTTGAAACTATACTACAAGGCTACAGTAACCAAAACAGCATGGTACTGGTACCAAAACAGAGATATAGATCAATGGAACAGAACAGAGCCCTCAGAAATAACGCCGCATATCTACAACTATCTGATCTTTGACAAACCTGAGAAAAGCAAGCAATGGGGAAAGGATTCCCTATTTAATAAATGGTGCTGGGAAAACTGGCTAGCCATATGTAGAAAGCTGAAACTGGATCCCTTCCTTACACCTTATACAAAAATAAATTCAAGACGGATTAAAGACTTAAACGTTAGACCTAAAACCATAAAAACCCTAGAAGAAAACCTAGGCATTACCATTCAGGACATAGGCATGGGCAAGGACTTCATGGCTAAAACACCAAAAGCAATGGCAACAAAAGCCACAATTGACAAATGGGATCTAATTAAACTAAAGAGCTTCTGCACAGCAAAAGAAACTACCATCAGAGTGAACAGGCAACCTACAAAATGGGAGAAAATTTTTGCAACCTACTCATCTGACAAAGGGCTAATATCCAGAATCTACAATGAACTCAAACAAATTTACAAGAAAAAAACAAACAACCCCATCAAAAAGTGGGCGAAGGACATGAACAGACACTTCTCAAAAGAAGACATTTATGCAGCCAAAAAACACATGAAAAAATGCTCATCATCACTGGCCATCAGAGAAATGCAAATCAAAACCACAATGAGATACCATCTCACACCAGTTAGAATGGCAATCATTAAAAAGTCAGGAAACAACAGGTGCTGGAAAAATAGGAACACTTTTACACTGTTGGTGGGACTGTAAACTAGTTCAACCATTGTGGAAGTCAGTGTGGGCATTCCTCAGGGATCTAGAACTAGAAATACCATTTGACCCAGCCATCCCATTACTGGGTATATACCCAAAGGACTATAAATCATGCTGATATAAAGACACATGTACACATATGTTTATGGTGGCATTATTCACAATAGCAAAGACTTGGAACCAACCCAAATGTCCAACAATGATAGACTGGATTAAGAAAATGTGGCACATATACACCATGGAATACTATGCAGCTATAAAAAATGATGAGTTCATGTCCTTTGTAGGGACATGGATGAAATTGGAAATCATCATTCTCAGTAAACTATCGCAAGAACAAAAAACCAAACACCGCATATTCTCACTCATAGGTGGGAATTGAACAATGAGATCACATGGACACAGGAAGGGGAACATCACACTCTAGGGACTGTTGTGGGGTGGGGGGAGAGGGGAGGGATAGCATTGGGAGATATACCTAATGCTAGATGACGAGTTAGTGGGTGCAGCGCACCAGCATGGCACATGTATACATATGTAACTAACCTGCACAATGTGCACATGTACCCTCAAACTTAAAGTATAATAATAATAAAAAAATAAAATAAATTGTAAAAAAATAAAATAATAAAATAAAATAAAATACTAATTACAAAAGAATACAATGATATTAAAATCCAATGAATAAAATATGCTAATAAGTGTGTAATATATTAACATAAGGGTTTCTTTTTTAACACACTATCTAACAAGGCCTGATGGTGGGTCTAATAATGACTGCAACTTCAAAGTAGGGGTGAGCATAAAAGACACTTTGACATGCCTGCACCCTCTGTGATGTTACACGAAAATACTCATGACAGCAGTCACAGGTATTGCTAATACCATTAGGATGTGTTGCCTAGCTTGGTGATTGAAGGAAATGGTCAATTTTGGTTGGAGATTAGTGATTGTAAAGATATATTTTTAGTTTCCCCATTGAAGTTCACAAACCTCCTAAACTTTACAGATCTCAGATTAACAACTTCTTGGCTATTGGAAAACAGAAGAAAAGAGTCATGTAAAGAGGTTACTTGGAGGGACAGAGCCAGCACAAAGACCACACCACAGGGAGGAACAAATACCCCAACAACCTTCTCCTCTTTCCACCCCATCTCATGCCAGCTTTCCCTATTGGTGTAATTCATGCAGATTGGCTTCTCAGGCCAGAGAACAGGGTGAGGAAGGCTGGAGAGTGAATCTGGAGGCAAGCTAAAGACATCCACCTCTCAACAATCTGCCAATCTGCCTATATCTATACCTCATCCACCTGCTTCCCACCTCTTTGCTCTACGTAGTCAAGAATGATTTATTTGAGTGAGAGTAAGTCAGAAACTAGAAAGTACTCAACCCCCTTCCAGCATCAAGGGATATTTCTACCCCATGGAAAATTTTGCCTCACCCCACTGATTCTACATTCTCCAGTAATAATTAAATCTACTTGATGACAGATTTTTCAATTAAAATAAAGGTATCATTTATATGAGTATTTGTTTAATGTTTTGTATCAATGGCCATTGTGTTTGGCTGCAGGTAACAGAAACCCACAACCAAAAACCAGTGGTTTAAGTATATCAGAAGTTTTGTTTTTATTATGCAACAAGAAGTCCAGAGGTAGGCAGGGCAGAGATAATTAATATAGTGGCTTATAGCTGTCATCAGAGATCCTGGGTCTTTCCTTTTCTGTACCACAACCTTAGCATGCTTCCATGCTTGCAGTGGCCTTATGGTTACGGGATGGCTGCTGGAACCCCAGAGGTATACATTAAGGCACGAAGAAGGGGTAAGACAAGAGGAAAAGTTTATTTCAGCTGGAGCAGCCCAGAGCTTTGGAGCTTTTACAGGAGCTATATGAGAAAGGGTCAACTGCAAGATGTTTGTTAAGGAGTATTGGAATTGACACTGTGGAAGGAGGGGAGTGGAAGCAGGAGCAGGCAGAGAAACACTTGGAGCTTCCAGAAAGGGCCAGCAACAGCTCTGGCTGATGCCTCTAGAAGCTCCTGAGAGACAGCAGCTCTTCAGAGCCATCACTGTTGAGCTAAGATGCCTGGTCTTCATATGCCCTCATTGACCACTGGGTATGGGCTACTCCAGAAAGAACATGACCTTGGGCAAGGCAGCTCTCCACAGCTGAGACCATCCATCAAGGAGATGACAACTCCTTTCGCATACAAACTTCAGGGGACACAATTCAGCTCCTAACAGAGAGGATGTGATGAAGATAAAGAGGGTCGTCCCATTTCATCAGAGATCTTTATCCCTGTGAGTTTAGTTCCAGGCTTTTTGATGTTCCTTCATTGGCTTCAAGAAAGTTGTACCCCACCCTCAGTAGCCTCGCAGTCACCAACCTGACCATGGTGACCCAAGCAGGAAGTGTTGGAAACTTGGAGCCTGGAGCCCAGACAGGAAACAGCTTTCCTCAGAACTATGTTCCATTACAGTGTCCTTCTTCATACTAATGATATGGATTGTATTAAGGAATCATTGTACAATATATCTCTCTTTGAGGGAACTGTAATTAAATTGTTCTTGATATTCATGTATCTTGTATATGTCAGGGTTACGAGCTGGGTCTCAAATTAAACACATATAGCTTCAAATCTCAACTTTTATACTTCTAAGTGGACAGCTGTCAAATTCTCTCAGTTTCCTCATTTTCACTATAGTTAAAATTATATATAAATATATACGAATATATGATACATATTTCATAAATATTTTATAAAAATATATTTTATAAGTTTGCTAGTATAGCAGGTTATATACAAATATAGTTATAGTTTCTACATTGTGGGTTATTGCAGATACTAAATAAGGTTATGCATTTAGAAGCTACATAAATGACAACTGTTATTTGGAAAACGTGTTGAACATGTCCGCGTGCTCTACAACAGAGATATAGAAATAAAGGTGCATTTCCTATCCTAAGGAAATTCATTATATACAAGGGAAGTAGCCAGAGCATTGTGAAGAGTAGAATAAGAGAGCTAAAAACAAGCCTCCAGGAGAACACAAATGGTGCACATTCTCACTGACTAGGATGGCTCCCTGAAACAGAGGACCTTTTTGCTGAAAAAGCAGGAGACACAGAAGATACTGAAGAACTTTATAAGCACAGGGGTCAGCATAGGCAACTCCACAGAGGCAGAGGGATCTGGCCTTTGCAGGGAATCAAAATAGGCCATTATGCTAGAGAGATAAAGTATGGTGAAAGAGGAAACCCAGGGTGGGGGGCACAGGGAGCAGGTTCTAAATTTCTGCAGTGGGCTGGGTCTGCCTTCAAAGGAAGTGATTCATGTGGGAAACTAGGTCAGAGCTGCTTCTGGTGAATGCCATGATTAATAGCAACCTACGTGTTACTGTCCTTATGGAAAAAAAGAATAACAGGACTAATAATAATAGTCCTCCTGTAGGTATGATGTATGTTTCCAGCTTGGTCGCTAGTTTAATTACCTGCAGAAGACACAAGGACCAACATGATTTCTGCCTCCATCTTTTTTTGTGATTCATCATGGGAATTGTGAGTAACAGGTCCTTGTCATTCTGAAACCTTACCTAAAGTTAGGCATTAAGGGAGACACGGTGGAAATGGCTGGTGCCATCAACACTGTTTGATAGCTATATCTTCTCCCCTTTTGGTTTCATTTTACCTCTTCTTCCTTTTTTTTTTTTTTACCCTTCCTTCCAATCAAATTTTGATCCTCCTAAAGAGCCTTTGATGAGTCCTTTCAATGTGATTTGACACTAATGAAGGTTTCCCACTGCAAATGATAAACTGAGAATCAGAATCAACATTTATTAAGCACCTCCTGTGTGTGCTGTTTTCACAGCTGCTCTATCATTTCCATTTTATAGATGAGGAAAATGAACATCAGAAATATCAAGTGCTTTGTTTATCAATATTCATGTTCTCCTTTTCCTTCCTCCATTTCCCAGGCCACTCACATGGGGGTCACATGGTGAGTGCTCATCAATGGAATGTAAGTAACAGTGACTGTCACCTCCAGCCCAAGGTGGTTAAAAGTGGGTGAGCCTTCTCTACACTCTTGCTTTTCCTTAATCACTTGGCTGAACTGGGTGATCCAGTGGAAGATGCTGGGACTCTTGGAGAAGGCAAAGTCTATACTGGAAGAACACTGATTTCCAAATGACTGTGTAGAGTAAAGCACCCTCAACCTGATTTCACCTCCTCAACGTACCACTGACCTACATTGAACTAGGACATAAGCCAGCAATGAAACTTTATTGTTTTGTGCCACTGAGATTTACAGATTGTTTGTAACAGCAAATAACCTAAACTGATTAATATATAGCTAGGGCAAGATTTGTGTCAGTCAACTAATATTTATGGAATGCCTTCTATAAAACAGTGCCATCAGTGCAATTCAGAGTATTATATGATAAATTCCAAGTGAGTGGCATGCACAGACAAGGCATAGGTGATCAGAGTTTGGAGGGAGGGTGAGTTTTGAAGGCTAGGCAGAACTTACATGGTGCCCTCAACCACACACAAGGCAAAGGCTCCTGTAATGGCCAAGATTCTGCCTCTGGAGCCAGGGCTACGAGGCTTAACTCTAGATTTGCTCTTTACCAACTGAATGACCTTGTGGACCCCAAGCCTCCGTTCCCCTATCTGTAAAATAGAGCAAAAAATACCTATCTTCCAATGTTATTGGTTATTATAAAGATTAAATTCAGGGAGTGGGGGATGAGGGGAGGGAGAGCATTAGGACAAATAGCTAATGCATGTGGGGCTTAAAACCTAGAAGATGGGTTGATAGGTGCAGCCAACACCGTGGCGGACATATACCTATCTAACAAACCTGCATGTTCTGCACTTGTATCCCGGAACTTAAAGTAAAAAGAATTAAAATAATAATAATAATAAGATTACATGAAATAATGTGTATTAAGTAAATAAAATGGGACGTCCTTGATAAATAATAATTATTGTCACTAATATCGGTGTCATAAATATAAGAAGAAGTTCAGCTTCTCACTGGTTTAGACACAAATAAATCAAGTACTCATCTTGACCATAAGCATTTTCATCTATCGCTATTGGATACTAGTGTGACTATGGCCACCTCATTTTATGTTTTTATTTTCTCTAAGAATAATCAAAAGCTGAATCTAAAGTTTATCACATAAAAGATTTTACATACTTTGGACCTCAACTAATTCTGTCTTCTTATCTTGGATTTACAGTTTATTTAATTACAAACAAACAAACCAAAAAACAGTCATTTGACGAGTGGGCCTGGCCCAGAGTGCAGCTGTTTCTTCTTGGTGTGTACATTGTTATGCAGAGTGAGTGATTTTACTCTGTCACTTTAATTCATAAGATACTAGAGCAGCCAGGGGCTTTGGAGGACATCAGATCCAACCTACCATTTTACATCTACGGAGGAGGAAACTGAGGCCCAAATGTTAGTGCATCACAGATGTCCACATGCATGTTTTTTTTCTTTCTCTCTCAAGCTTTAAGGGTTCTAGCAGCTTAACTAAACGGCCCCAGTCTCACCCACAAGGCTTGATGGAACCTCTGTTAATCAAATCGCATGAGAAATGAGGTGCTACAGCCAATTAAACTTTCTGATCCAGTAAATTAACAGAGAATATATTCTTTATATATATTTTCCCCCTAATATACAGCAGTTCCCTTTTCCTGCCTTGTTAGGACAGTCTTGTGAACAAACTCAAGTGTGTCTTTAGTTAGCAGTGAAAGGAACCTAGGGATCACTTAGTCCATCTTGTTCATTTTTCAGATGAAAACAAAAAGATTTTATAATTGTCATACAATGTAATCTTTACAATGATCTTTTTAAAATTTTATTTCCTCCATGATGTAGATGAGAGAACTAAAACTCCTAACAATTGAATGACCTCCTCTGGATCATAGAACTCATAATACAGACAGTGGCACAGGCCCAGTTACCTGTCTCTCTGGGCTCACAGTAAGATTCCATTTCCCAGTTGGGTCTGGCCGTATAACTGAGTTCTCACCAGTGGAGTGTAAGCAGAAGGCATCCACGCCAGTTCCCACATGTGTTCCTCCATGCTCGCTCCCTTTACAGTTGGCTAGAATGGAGATGAACCCCAGGGTGAACCTGGAAGCCATGAATAAAGATTCTGCAAGCACCAGATAAATAGAGCCTGAGTTCTTGAATCATTGCCAGAGGAGGATGGCCACCTCCTGGTCAATACTACTTGTTGTGGACTGTCTGTAATGAGAAATAAACTTCTTTCATATTTGGTCCCTTGTAAACTTGGGGATTTATGTGCTGAAGCAGCAAGTATGTCCTTAATGCATAGCTTGCTAACGGCAGAACTACAGATACTTACTATGGGCAAGGCATTATGTTTGTGATAAAAGATAGGAAGATGACTTCCAATATTTTGGGTCCTTAAGAAGCATTAAGCACAGCTGGGTTCTGAGATATGGACAGACATAGCATAAAATGAAATAGAAATGGAAAAAGAAAAGTCTAAAGAAAGATAAATATGAAAGAACCTAGGAATCCAGAGAAGAAATAAGTCGTGCTGTTGTGTAAAGAGGAGTGATTTTTTGGAAGAAGGGTGGGAATTTTGGACTGGGAGGATGGGTAGCATGCACAGTCAGAACTCATAGGAAACAAGAAAAAGCCTGGTACAGTGAGCTGTTTATTGGGATGGAAATGGGATACACAAACAAATGGAACGGTAGGATAAAGCTCCATCACGAAAGATGCTAATGCCAAGTTAATAACTTTGAGTATTGTTTACAAGTTTGGCTAATGCTTGTCACCAACGCCTGCTGGCTGAGAAATCTTGAAAATGAATGGCATGCCATGCCCTCAGAGTGTGATGACAACCATTGGAGCTCAGAAAACAGGGAGTTTTCATTTCTGAGAGCTGACTCCCTAGTCTGCGGTAGATAGAGAGCAGAGGTGGGGCTGGGAGTGTGGAGAAAGAGCATTCAGAATTGGCCCACACTGGCAAGTTTCCAGGCTCTGAACAAGGTTGGGAGGAAAATGATTTGATGAGCTTTTCAATCCTGTTCCATTTCAGCCTTGCTCAGGGGACGTATGTTGAGGGAATTTTTTTTCCAGAAGTACATATGGAAATGGCAAGGTTGGTGTTTGATGGTGTGACAGAGAAAGCCACACTGGGGAAATAGTGTGCTTTGAAATCAGGTCACTTAGAAAAAAATAAATCCAGAAAAGTCAAAGCTTAAATGAAGCTATCAATTTAGGGACTTTTCACAGCCTTACTTACTGGGTTCTCTTTCTAACTTAAAAACTAGGAAAGGCACTTCTGAGTCTCTATCTTGGTAAAGTTTGTTTGAATCTCTTTTATTTTTACAGTGCACACATTGATCTCAAGTTTTAAGATCCTTTTTATCACTGTAGCTAGAAGTAAAAAAGCCACCCAGCTGTTCAGTCTGTTAGTGCCAAATCTGGTCTCTTCTGAACACTATAATTCTCATACTACAAGATATCCCAAATGTACAGAAAGGTCAAGCAGAAAGAGATGATGACAACTCTGAATTCTCATGTCATTTTAAAGATGAATCAGTTTGGTATGAGATCCTTCTTGGTAAGGGAAAATACTTCTCATTCTACCCCAATTCATGTCAAATTTCCCTACAGGGATTTCAATCCAATGTGCCTATTGTTTTAAGGAATAGTCACTGACACTACAACATTACATCATGTTTCTGTAGAGGGAAAGAGAAAGGAATAAAAATAAAGCCAGTATTTATTTTTCACCTTCTACCTATCACTTGCTTACATTATTATTTAATTATCAAAACAACCATATAATACAGGAATCCCTTTTCCCAACCTTTACAGAATAGAAATCAAAGTTTAGTTAACTTAAGGGACTTATTCAAGATCATATAACGGTAAAGGACAGAGATAAAAACAAGTTTATCCTGGCTTGAGAATTCATGTTAATAAGTTGCTTATAACCAAATATGCAATCAAATAGTAGAGATTTCATGAAATGGCATAAGAGGATAAAATAGGCCATATATATGCAAGTACTAAATAACATGGTATTAATCTCACTCATAAATATTGAATGAAAAGAATGTAATCAGTTGAGATTATCTCAAGAATGTATCTGGAAAAAGGTGAGATTTTTAGGAGATTAAAAACTGCTCATTTTGGACACTATTAATTTGTAAACATCATTACAATATAAGTATTACAATACAGAATATTATAATATTCTGCTGTGAACTCTACTATGATGCTCTTTTCTTAATGCACTTATTTCAAAAGGTCCTCTTTATAATTCATTGCTTTTAGAGCCTAATAATTCTAATTAAACATGATTCTTGACAGATTCATGAAATCATTCATACATACACAAATTTACCAGACACTTATGATATCCCACTGATTTGAGGATTGAGAGGTTCATGCTTTGTTCTCAAGAGATTTTGTTGTCAAAATCTCTATACAAGGAGTTCAAAATTCATCAAGCCAATAATCCTAGGTCTAGGACTGAGAAGAAGAAAGAGGGGCCAATATAGTCTCACAGTAAGAAGAAAACAAATAAATATACAGTCATAAAATAATGTAGCAAGTGCTATGCAGCAAGAAGTCCAGAGGTAGGCAGCTCTTGAGACCATTTTTCCCTCCTAGGTCTCTGAGCCTGTGATGAGAAGGGCTGCCTTGAAGATGTCTGACATGCCCTGGAGACATTTTTTCCATTGTCTTGATAATTAACATTTGGCTCCTCCTTATTATGCAAATTTATGCAGCAGGCTTGAATTTCTCCTTAGAAAATGGGTTTTTTATCTTTTATATCATATCATCAGGCTGCAAATTTTCCAAACTTTTCTGCTTTGCTTCCCTTTTAAACGTAAGTTCCAATTTCAGATCAC
Organism: Homo sapiens; assembly: GCF_000001405.40. Lineage (NCBI taxonomy): Eukaryota > Metazoa > Chordata > Mammalia > Primates > Hominidae > Homo > Homo sapiens. The sequence continues at coordinate 15,188,333 of NC_000004.12, forward strand.
TTTTCTCAAATTCAAAGTTCCACAGAGATCAAGAGCATGGACAAAATGCCACCAGTCTCTTTGCTGAAGAATAGCAAGAGTGACCTTTGCTCCCATTCCCAAGAAGTTCCTCATCTTCATCTGAGGCCACCTCAGCCTGGACTTCATTGTCCATACCACTATGAGCATTTTGATCAAAACCATTCAATAAGTCTCTAGAAAGTTCCAAACTTTCCCACATCTTCTGTCTTCTTCTGAGCCCTGCAAACTGTTTCAACCTCTGTTACCCAGTTCCAAAGTCACTTCCACCTTTTCAAGTATCTTTACAGCAGTGTCGCAGTCCCAGCATCAATTTACTGTATTAGTCTGTTTTCATACTGCTATGAAGAAATACCCAAGACTGGGTTATTTATAAAGGAAAGAGGTTTAATTGACTCACAGTTCCACATGGCTGAGGAGGCCACAGGAAACTTACAATCATGTTGGAAGGGGAAGCAGGCACCTTCTTCATAGGGTGGCAGAAGAGAGAGGGTGAAGGGGGAAGAGCCCCTTATAAAACCATCAGATCTCATGAGAACTCATTCACTATCATGAGAACAGCATGAGGGAAACCTCCCCCATGATCCAATTACCTCCCAAGAGGTCCCTCCCTCAACACCTGGGGATCACAATTCAAGATGAGATTTGGGTGAAGACACAAAGCCTAACCATATCATTAGGTGTACGGCTAGGTAAGGTATTGCAGGTCAAGGCAAAAGTGTGTTTCAAGGCTCAGAGAAGTGAGAGAATGTGTGGGGTTTTGTCTAATTTACTAGAGAGTGGATAGGTAAATAGAGGGCAGACCAGTGAGGGTGAGGTTTGAACACCATAGGGTCCACTAGACATGTTGGAACTCCCCTTCTTTTCTCTAGGTTTTGGAGAATGGCACCTATGCTGTTATAATACATACTTAAATTTTGCTTTCTATTTAAAAGTGCTTTCTATTCACCACGGTTTGGGTTCCTTCTGACAGAGGTCATTATCAGAGATTCAGACCTTTATTTACTCAGTTCCTTGTTGTGGTTTTGCAAGGGAGGTTTTCTTGTTCCTCTCCAAAAACAGACTTGCCTGTGAAGGTGGGTTACACTTCCATTCTCTTAAGTCTGTCATAATAAAGATATTTCATCAAGCACTAAATGAAAGCCAGTATTTAGAATGTACTTTGTGACTTTTGTGGGTTATGAGATGCTGAATGTGAGACACTGTAGCCAGTTGCTTAGGGAAATTGAAAACAAATTCTTCTCTAGACAAATTAGAAAACCAGGTCAATGCCTCATTGCATAGTCCTGCTGGAAGACAAGAATTAAGGCTGAATACATTGTCAAGGTCATTTCAGATCCTATTATTCTGCTTCTCTGGTGATAACGATAATAAAAATAGCACTTTTTATTTGTGACTCACATAATTTTCAGAATTCTTTCACCTATGATCTCCTCTGAACAGCTGATGAGGAATTTGTGCCATCAACCTGGAGGATAACTTGGAGGACCAAGTGCTCCCAACCAGACCTCAAGGTTAAAAAGAATTTCAAATAGGAGGTATGAGATATTGACCAACGTACAACATATCCTTTTGTCTTTTATACCAAAGATGATTTCATAGATGTTAGCTTGCCTCCATATTTCCAAACTTAAAATTTAGGAATATTCCCAGAACATTCTACTCTTCTTGCAGAGTCCTTTATAATTACTTGTTTTTAAAAAAGCTATGTAAATTTTCAGTTCATTTATGCCATGGAGAAAGGAGTTTTATAATTACTATCTATCTTCACTAATATGGTTTTAATTTTTGTTTCATCTATACTAAGTTTTCTAAATGTAAGCAGTTCTCCATAGTTAATTGTGATATCACTATTAACAAAAATGTCTTTCAGGGACATACCCAACTGACAGAAACATAGTAATCAGAGACAGAAATGATCTGAAAGACTGGAGGAACTCTGCAGAAAACAATGAATACAATGAAGAACTGGGAACCATAAAATATGTGTGAGCCACAGGGTAGAGAGAAAAGAGGTCAGGACTTAGGCACAGGCATCCTTGCCCAAAGTGTATTCTGTAGAACCCATTCTGCTACATGTTCTCAGAAGAAGAGTGGGGTCTTATGGTCAAGTAAGTAGAATGTATCCCCTTTGATGGTATACATGCTAGCATAACCAAGCCTCTGAGAAGTCTATAATAAAGAAAGTTGCAAAACTTTGTTTAATCCAGAGGCCTTCAAGCATTTGGACAGCAGATACCATTTTTTCCCCCATATAGCTTTGGATCAGGGTTCCATGAAATACACTTTGAGAAATGCTGTTTTGAAGTTAGGGAAAGTGAGAGAGAGGCCGGCCTACGTTTTTGAAGAAAAGGAGACCTACCAGCAGTCCTATCATATATAAAAGGTTATTTTGCAATTTCCTTCCAAGAGATCCTTCAAAAATATAACAGCATGCATGGTGAAGTGTTTGGAGAGAAATGTATTTCTGTTTTCAACTTACTTTGAAATGTATCAGAAACAGGTGAATTAATTGACAGAGGGATGGATACATACATGATCAAACAAGTATAATAAAATGATAATTATAGAATCTAGGTGGTTGGTACATTGAGAATTTGCTGTACCTTTTTTATAATTTTTCTGAATGTTTGAATAAATTTCAGGTAACATGTTGAAAAAAAATAGAATATATATCCAACCAACACTTGCATGAAGTATGGCTTAGAAGGAGGTAGAAAGGCTTATTGGATTTTCAGCTTTTCATGATAGTTTCTATCTGTTGACCATGGGCTAAGTATTAGGCTGGATATATCACATACATATATTATCTAATTTATTATTCAAACCAACACCAACAGAAGTTTGGACATCAACACTTTAATGATGAGACAAATGAGATTCAGTGAGGCTAAGTATCGTGACAAAATTTGCCCTTGTTAAACCATGTGTTAATGCTATGTGTAGAAGTCGCCACAATGAGCATTTCCTTCCTCTCATCCCATTCCCCATATAGGACTATCTGGCAATGCCCACAGGAAATTTTTCCCTTCCTCCAACCTCCTCTCCTTCCTACTCTTCAGCCTTCTTTTGTAGTTTGGTGGGACTAAGCAGCTGTGGTGAGAAGAAGAAAAGTAGACAAGAGTTATCTCACCCAAAAAGAGCCCATATTTATTGACCAATGAGGAGGAATGGGAATGAAAGGAAACAAAGAGAAGAAGCTGTGGAGGAAACATGTGAATATGATAGAGAAGGAGAAGGAAATGAGGGAGAAAGAAAAGGCTTCAAAACAGGTTGGTGACCCAGCTGAGTGCAGGGGGAATAGACGAAAATTTTTTTTAATGCTGCAGTGGCATATATTAATAAATTACATATTTACTATTATTTGAGGGATACAGTATTGAAGTTACTTTTATTTCTTTGCAAGAACAATACTTCTTTGAATGTGATATTTCTGTGCTCTATATTTTTAAAAATATGCATAGGAGGCCGGGCGCGGTGGCTCATGCCTGTAATCCCAGCACTTTGGGAAGTCGAGGTGGGTGGATTACCTGAGGTCAGGAGTTCAAGACCAGCCTGACCAACATGGTAAAACCCCATCTCTACCAAAAATTACAAAAATTAGCCGGGAGTGGTGGCAGGTGCCTGTAATTCCAGCTACTTGGGAGGCTGAGACAGGAGAATTGCTTGAATCTAGGAGGCAGAGGTTGCAGTGAACTGAGATCGCACCATTGCACTGAAGCCTGGGTGACAAGAGAGAAACTCCAGCTCAAAAAAAAAAATGCATAGGAAACAGATTTCTGTTTCCGCATAAATCTCGGCAGGAAGCATATCTCACATTGATCCACTTCACTGGGGTCATCAACTTTCTTCATGTGGCAAAGGATCCAAATCCTTGGATGCCAATGGGTGGAATGTTGGGAAAGACAGGCAGTGGTATGGGACAGACATCCTCCTTCTCTTCTTGGTAATGTGTGAACTTAGGTAAGTTACCAAGCTGCTCTGACTGTCAGCACCATTATGCCAATCAAAATGGTCTTGACTGTGCAGATCTTTGACTACTTACTTATGGGGATCCTAGAGTGGACATCAGTGGGCAGCCCACTGAAATACTTCTTGAAATGTGATGAAAAATCTCTAGGTCAGCAGAAGAGAGGCCTGACATAAGCCATTAAGCAAGAAGATCAGGTATGGGTTTAGTTTTGTCTGCTTCAGCTTTGCAGCTGCACAAAATGAGTCAGTCTTTAGCCCAGCCAATGAAAGTCTTTAATTTCGGGTCTTTACACTGAGCCAGGAATTTAGGACTGTGTACTTAGTATTTTCTTTCTCTAGAAGCCACCACCCATTCACACATCTTAGAATTTCTTATAGCAAGTTCTACGGCAAGGGACCATGTGGTCTCCATACCTCATCTTCACTGGGGGTTTTATTACAGTTGACCATGCATGATAATTGGATTAATTGTTTTTGCCAGTCTCTGTCTTAGGTTGCCAGAGTCCCATTCCTCAACAAGAACTGGATTTTCACTATTCATAGCCCTAAGTAAACCAGACAACCAATGCCAATTTTTCCAGTGTCCTGAGGGTCTGCTGCTATAACCACACCACTTCTGGTATTGACAAATCCGGGTTCTTCAGTTGAGAAGATAATTCTGAGGAATCTACATAGGAAACAGATTGTCCAGAAGCATACCGGATAAGACAGGTTTTCTAGAGAAGACAGAGAACCAGACTCGGGAGCCATATAACTAAGAAAAATGTAAGCCACAGAAGTGGTTCCAGGCTGCCACTTCCTCTGGGTGGACACAAAGCTGGACTCCGGATGCTGCTACCAGAAACACTTCTGTGTCACCTCTGCAAGCAGGTGTTACTTTCTCTGTCTCTGCCTATGGCCAGGTAAGAGTGAGTATCGTCCCTGCCTCGAGGGACCACTAGTTTCTCATCCAAAGTCAAGGGACAGTTCTGAATGAAGGAGCCTAGGTCATTTGCTGTCCTAGGGTGCCTTACCCAGAAGCAGGCTCTGAGATAAGGGTTAGTATAAAAGTGGCTTATTTTAGAAGGGCTTAATAATGTATGATATGAAAAAATACAATATATGTTACAACAAATAAAATAGTCTAGCCCAGATTCAATTTTTGTATTTGGGAATCAGTGCAGTAGAGCCGAAAACTTTACTACAATGAGAGCATCTTGGGCCTAGATGTGGACACTAACCAGCTGCACATTCTTATTTAAGTAAGAGTGCCAGAAAAAAGAAACATAGAACTTTCAATTGAATTTATATTCCAGATATTTTGACAACAAAATATTGTTAGTATTTTTAATTTTTTAGCTTTTAGTTTATTGCATGGGACCTGCATATACTAAAAGTTATCCATCATTTTTAAAAACTGCATAGGATACTTAAAGCTATCATTGTATATCCAACACTCAAATTAACTAGGCTTTCCTTAATTTATTTGCTAAAGCTGGCAACCCTATATTTAGGTCACTTAACTTCTCTGATCCTTAATTTCATCAGCTGTGAAATGGTCTGATAGCCCATTAGTCCACAGGAGACACTCAGTAAGTAGTCGTGACTTTCAATTTTCTAACAGTTTACTCCTAATGCATATGGGGCAAGATCACATCTCGAAAGCACAGAGTTAAGGTGTTTTTATATTTCCTCCACTTTCTGAAACATGAGCCAGATCAATTGTTCCTTGATCAGATAGAAACCTGTAAGGCATGGATGGGTTGTCATTTAATGCATTGTCCATGTTCCAGCTGGCTACCTCCCCAGCTGGCCAGCACACATTATTCCCTGGGTTCAACTTTGCTCCTGGCTTGCAGGAGGCAGCTAATATCCAGGTCGGGCTGTTTGGCTGGTGTATTCTTCCCAATGACTTCCCCTTCCCTTGCCTCTTCTATCCATGACATTAAAAAAAAAAAATCACAGCCTCTTCTTTACCAAGCAGCTGCTTCCCCTAGGACTTACTATCTCTCAGGCTCGAGTTCCTATTGGGAAACCCATAAAAAGGGATGTTTAGACAACATGGGGCATTATAGTAATCACAGAACTCTGAATATTTGTTGGAAAAATAATTTATTAGGCTTATTACTTTTCAAAATATGTCTGTTAAAGCATTTCCAGGGATTTGGGGAAGAAAGGGGAAGGCAGTATCATGTGCTTGGTCTGTGATCTTCAAATGAAACCCACTTCATTGCAGTGTAAAATGCTTTCCACAGATTTTCACTTCGTCTTCATGGTAACTGGGAGCACAGTCCCCCACAGCATTTTCTGCTACGTTCTCTCTCATCTTGGTCTTTTCTGCAAGACTACCTAATGATAAGGGTGAGAGCCTGGGCTTTTTGTAAAAATATGACTCAGAATCTTCTAAGGAAATTAAGTTCACAGCTACCAGAAGAGGTCCTGCATAGGAGCTATTCATTTTCTGTGTGTGTTGACCTCTAAATTCTTTTTGTGTTTATTCATGTAACAATTACTTACTGAGCTATGTCTTAGTTTGGAGTATCCAGCATCAGATGCAGAGATCAGAGTGTGTATGAAAATGATCAGAGAACTCCCATGGAGGGATGCATGGTCTATTGATGACCCAGCTTCTGCCCTTCCAGACCCACCTCCACATCAATGGTGAGGACAGGCTGCTTGTAGGCCAGCGGTTGAAGACAGCGGGCACCCATATAGGCCCTTTCCTATGGGACACAGGACTCCTCAGGTGAGTGACTTAAGTTCAAGAGTCTGATCAGCCTGGTCAGAACTTTCTTAGGACTGCAATGCAATCCATGACTCTTCCAGCCCAATCCTCCTGCCTTCCCACCTCCTCACAAGGGCCAGATCAGCATCACCGTCTGAAGACTCCCTGCCTACCCCTCACCCTCCCGTTTACCCAATACACGTATTCCCCCAATGGGTTCCTTACACATTTGATGTTCTTTGGCATTTCTTCTCAGAAGACCCAAACTAATACAACATGCCATCCCAAAAGCACAGTGAGGGAGTGGGGAAAAGAGGCAGGGAAGAAGAGAGAGGCCACAGAGAATGTTGACAAGGCTACCTCTGTGGGCAACTCGAGGTTCAGACCTCCCCAGAACCTTCTGAGAAACTGCATGGAACTCGCCTCAGAATTCTACCCCTAAGCAGCAAGAAACCTGGAGTGTTTATTCACAACTCCTGTCCCTCCATGAGTGAGGGTCACTCCCGGGCATTAACTGGCTTGCACTCCCTGGCTTGCTACATCACCTTGTCAGGGGTGACCCTGGTACTGGGCCAGGAAGTCTGACTCCAGAGCCTAAATTCTTAACCACTAAGCCATGCCCTTCAAATTTATTACATTTGAAAGTTTGAATTTAAAACTAACATAGCATCTATCAGCTACTTTTTTTTTGTCCCCAATTAAGGAAAATTTGGCAATAAACATCTTTCTTACTAAAATATTTTATACAGCTGGGCGCGGTGGCTCACGCCTGTAATCCCAGCACTTTGGGAGGCCGAGGCGGGAGGATCACCTGAGGTTGGAAGTTCGAGACCAGCCTGACCAACATGGAGAAATCCTGTCTCTACTAAAAATACAAAATTAGCCGGGCATAGTGGCGCATGCCTATAATCCCAGCTACTTGGGAGGCTGAGGCAGGAGAATTGCTTGAATCCAGGAGGCGGAGGTTGCGGTGAGCAGAGATCGCGCCATTGCACTCCAGCCTGGGCAACAAGAGCGAAACTCCATCTCGAAAAAAAATTGCTAAAATATTTTATACTAGTAAAGTTGTCAATCTATCCAGCTAGCTGATAGAAGACCATGGCCTCTTACTCACTGTGTGACCTTGGGTAGATGACTTAACCTCTCTGTGCCTTAATTTCTTTATGGATCAAAAGCAGGTAACAGTCTGTCTTGCTGACTTTACAGGATTATTTTGAAGACCTTCAGAGTGCACGCTTATGAAACAGCTTTGTAATAAACTGTTAAGTGCCTTCCAAGTGGAATGGATTATCCTTCTTAGATAAGCTTGAACTTTCTCCTTCCCTGCTCTGCTCTACTTCGGAAACAAACGCATACACTGGCCACTCTGGCCTTCTCCTATCCCTGACCCCACAATGTTATAGGAGTTCTCCTCTGGTTCCTCCTCTGGTTCCAAAACCAGTTTCACAATCTCAACAGCACAAAATGTTTCATTCTATTCCAGTATAGCTTAGATAATATAGATAAGAATCTGTAATTCATCCTTCCTTGATCAATGTTCTTGACTGTTTCATGCTTGCCTGAACACGGTCCATTCAGTTGTAAAGCCAGAGGCTTAAGAACAATGAATGGTTTCAGAACTTTCTCATGTCAGTTAGGCAGCTTTTTCTTAATTCTCTCTTCCTAAGGAGGTTTCTAAAATCTTATTGGGTCATTCACCTCTTTGAGACTCTTATGAAAGGCAAGGCTCCTCTCCTTGGGAAAAATAAAAAATAAAAACATAAGCCTGTATACACACAGAGACCCACAGCCCCCAAGCCCTCACCACTCCCCAGCATACATATAAATTAAGTACAATTTTGTAGGTACTCACAGCCCTCCGAAACCTATAACTGAAGCTCCTTGGTAAAACATTTGCTCTCTGATGTCAGCTAGATCTAGTTTTACATACTGGTTGTATGTAAAATAGCTACCAATAATGCTGGCACACAGTAAGTATTCAATAAATAAGAGCTGTTTTTATCATTAATGTAACATTACCTTCTCCGGAAACATTACACAGTCCTGGGAAACGTTCAAAAAAAAGGGCTGGGCAGTTTCAAACAGATGGGACCATTTTCTAAAGAGAAGAGGTTTGCTTTAAACCTGGAAAGAGGCTAGTGTGTTGGTTCTCCCTCTGCTGGCCTGAGGTTAACATACATTCTTTGTTTTGATTGTGGTGAGTGTCCATGTACCCTGGGGAGAAGAAAATGGGGCCAGAGGTGGGAGATGGGCAGCTGGGGAGGTCATGGTTAGTTCTAAGCCATCGCGCATACTGGGAAAGCTAAGGACAGGGAGGATGTCTAACCCTTTGTTTATTATTCCCCAAATACTGTATTTGCTGAGCAAATGAGTATCTGTTATTAGGAGGCTTCATGACAATGAGATGAATGAATGAGATCCAGCCCTACTCACAAACCCTGGCCTCATCATCAAAAAGTTTGCCTTCACTTCCAGACTTGGAGTTATAGTTGAAATATGGGGACTCTGGATAATGGTTAAGAACAAGAGCTTTGGCCTCTGGGCTCCAGCTCTGCCCTTATTAATGGAGGGAATGATTTACTGGAACTTGAGCTCCCTGAGTCTCAGTTTACTCACCTGTAAAATAGGCGTAATAATAGTCCCCACCTTATGAGTATTAAATAGTATATCAGGTGCTTAGTGGAGAGTCTAGCAATAAAACAAACTTAATAAGTGGCAGATATTAGCATTATTTTGATTCTAACATAGGAATAGTATTTTAAAAGCCTTTAGTACATTTAAAATTCACAATAATCCTTGCTTGTTGTATGAGGTCAAAACACTTGAACTTGCTAATATTCAGCCACTTACAAAACCAGCAAATTTTCATATGGTTTAATGTAATAGAAGAATTGGAAAATTCATAATAAAAATAGAAATTATGCATAGTACCGCCATCCAGAGCTACACATTTGGGTGTAAGCTTCTGATATCTTGTCTATCTGTAAATAAGTCATGCTAATATGAAGTAGGAGTGCAATCCTGATCAGATCAGGTTTTCTAAAAATCCAGTCGGACTGCCAGGTGATCAAGGAGCAGTCAAAATGTCCCCCAGAAGATGCCAGGGTAATGGGCAGAGCCTGCGGACAGGAGAAGGGCATTGTTAACATCCACCGTGCTCGAGGGAGACCCTGGGTGTTCTGTTCAGTGTCTATACAACCCTTCCTGTAGCAGCACCCTCTGCCTGTTAAGGGCAGACTGCTGCCTCAGCAGATACACTTGGCCCTGGCAGCGAGGGATACAGCCTTGACAGGCGATTTCATCGGCTCCTTAGAGATGAGATAAATTGTAGCTTTGACTTTATAATTTCCCAACCACTTTGGGTAATCAGGGTTTCTGCTAGAGCACAATGACTTATTAGAGTAAAACCGTGGTAGGGTTAAATCCACCATCTCTCTTTATTGTCCCAAGCTTTTTGCCAACATAAATAACTCCTAGCTATTTTTGGAATGGAGATGTAGCTATCAAGCTGTGCACGGCCTAGCAAGGCTTCGTGATGCATATGAAAGCTTTCTAAATGTCCTGCTGCTCCTGTTAAGAGGGTAGAGGAGGCTGGGCCCAGAAGGGCCTGCTCTTTTCGTCTTCTGGTCCTGGAGTTGTTGAAACTCTTATTGATGCAGACACAGATTATCAATTGTCCTGTCACTCCCCATGGAGACTCTTTTCCCATTACTCCAAGTTAATGAAATAGTGAATGTGCCTGTGCAAAGAACGATGGGCTAGGAGATGAGAGCCCATGATTTAATCTCAACTTTGCTACCAGCTCTGTGACCAGGAGCAAGTTACCCATCCTCTCTGGCTTGTAGTTTCCTAAAAGAAAAACCCAGGGAACTGAGAGAGATGATCTCTAAGCTTTTTTCTAGTACAGTTTTCAAGCTCTCTGTATACCTAATGGAAATCCTTTCTCTCCTCTTTCAGTGAGTCTATGAACTAGGAAGTAATGAGGATCTAAGAGTCCAAGGGTCCAAGAGAAAATTAGAAGTTGTGGGAGATTATTTTGTTTATCAAGAACACTAATGAGAGAAGGAAAAGGCCCGTAAGATGGCAATGCATATATCTGACAATGGGCATATTCCCAACATATATAAAGAACTCCTACATATCAATGAGCAAAAAGGCAGACAACGCAACAGAAAAAGGGCAAAATAGTTTAATTAAAAAGGATACACAAACAGTGGATAAAGTTTAGAAAGATACTCATTAGTTATCAAGGAATACAAATTAAAACTACAAAGAGATGCCCCTCCACATACACCAGAATGGCTAGTGATGAAGCCAAGCACTAATGAGGATGCAGAGCACCAGGGACCTGCTTATACCTCAGGTGGGATAAAAAAAAATGGTACAACCATTTTGGAAAATGGTGTAATATTATCTATGAAAGCTGAACATATTTATAATTTATGACCCAGTAGTTTTACTCATTAGGTATATACTCAACAGAAATGCATATACTCATCTCTTAAAAGACTTGTACAAGAAAGCAGCATTATTTGTAAGCAGCTAAAAACTGGAAACCACCCAAATTTCCATCAACAGAAGGACAAATAAATAAATGGGTATATTTGCACAATGAATTCTAAACAGCAATGTGAGTAGACTACCACCAAGCACAACTTGAATGAATTTCAAAATATAATTTTCAGCAGAATAAACCAGACATAAAAGGGCATATTACATAATTTCATTTAAAGGAAAAACTCACCTCTGCTATTACATGTCAGGGCAGTAGTTTTCTTGGGGTTATGTAGTGACTGAAAGGGAATAGAAAGGGGCTCCTGAGATGCTAGCAATGTTCCATTTCCTGAGCCAGGTCTTAGTTATGGAGATGTGCTTACTTTGTAAAAATTCATTGAGCTGTATATTTATGATATATATAATTTTGGGAGCATATTTTATACAACAATAAAAATGTTTTTACTTGAAAAAATAGAAAAATATGAATTCTGTGATATTTTTGGTATTGTTTTCTTAACGCCACCCCAGAGGCTTTTTTTAAACCATTCTAACGTCCGTTGATCTTTTTTTTTTCCAAGCTTGCTCTGTATCACATAACCCAGAATTTGATAACCGGCTATCTTTTTATGGTTCTCTGATTGTTTCATTTGCTAAAATCTTACCCTGTCAACTGCATTGTGAGTTCTAGAGCCTGGTAGCTATGCCTTTTACTACTGGACTCCGGAAAGCAAAAAATGTAAAACCTTCCTATTTGTCCCTCTGGTTTCCATTATTTAGTGCACCCATATTCCCATGTGCTATTACACAGCCCTCAGTCCTGGCTTTTTCTATACTTGTGCCATGGATTTATAAACCTGCCAGTTTTTTCTATCCCTAAACTTCCCACTTATAACATCTGCAGAATAACCTGCCTTTTTTCTCTTGATAACTGTAGCTTTATGGTTTAGTTCTGTAAACTTAGCAGCTGACCAAGCTAAATACTATGCTATGCTGCAGGGAGGTATAGGTAATAACAGCAAGTCCCTGGTCCCAGGAGTTCCTTGGATGGCCAGGAAAGACAGCCTCCTCAATGCAAAATGTCTCATCAATGCATTAAGTAGATAGAAAGAAAGAGAACAATTACCCAACCCAGTCATGGGTGGCTCAGAGAAGGCTTCCAGATGAAGGAGTCACCTTAGAATCACCTAAAGGACGAATAGGGCTGGGTGCAGTGGCTCACGCCTGTAATCCCAGCACTTTGGGAGCCGAGGCGGGTGGGTCACCTGAAGTCAGGACTTCAAGACCAGCCTGGCCAACATGGTGAAACCCCATCTGTAATAAAAATACAAAAATTAGTTGGGTGTGGTGGCGGATGCCTGTAATCCCAGCTACTTGGGGGGCTAAGGCGGGAGAATTGTACCCGGGAGGCAGAGGTTGCAGTGAGCCAAGATCACACCATTGCACTCCAGCTTGGGCGACAAGGGCAAAACTCCACCTTAAAAAACAAAAAAAAAAAACAAAAAAAAAAAACACAGAATTTGGCCAAGTGAAGAGAGTGGAAAATCTGTTCAGGTAGATGAGACAGCAAGTGTAAAATCACAGAATCATGAAACAGCAGAGTGTCTGTGTGTACCAGTGTATGTGTGTCTGTATCCATATTTGTGTAAGGCAGGGTTATTATAACCAGTTGGGTATCTCTGGCTTCTAGATAGAGAGGCTGGGAAGGCATAAAGTGGGCAAGGACAGTATGTGGAGATATAGAAGTAGATGGGGGGCCAGGTATTGAGGAGCCCTGAATCCTAAGCTGATGAGCTTGGGTCTTATGATATGGAACAGGGGTAGGCAAACTAGAATGGCAGCCAAATCCAGCGACCTGTTTTGTAAATGAAGGTTTATTGGAACACAGCCACACCCATTCATTTAGGGATTATTTGACTGCTACACAGCAACTGCAGAGTTGAGCAGTTGCTCCTGAGACCGTGTGGCCCAAACTTTGACAACTCCTTGTTTTGGTTTGAATCTGTGTCCCCACCCAAATCTCATGTTGGACTGTAATCCCCAGTGTTGGAGGTGGGGCCTTGTGGGAGGTGACTGGATATGGTGGTAGCTTTTTCATGAATGGCTTAGTACCATCCCCTTGATACTGTCCTTGCAATAGTGAATGAGTTCTTGTGAGATCTGATCTTTTAAAAGTGTGTGGCATCTCCTCCCTTCTTCTCTTGCTCCTGATCTTGTCACATGGGGTGCCCGCTCCCCCTTCACCTTCTGCCATGATTTTAAGTTTCCTGGGGCCTTCCCAGAAGCAGAGTAGATGCCAGCACCATGCTTCCTGTACAGCCTGCAGAACTGTGAGTCAATTAAGCCTCTTTTCTTTAAAAATTACCCAGTCTCAGGTATTTATTTATAGCAGTAGGAAAACAGCCTAACATACCCTTGATCTGGAAGATAATGAGCCACGGAGAGGCTCTAAGTAAAGGGCAGAGATGACTAGGTGTATGTGAGAGGAAAGTCACCCAACATAGTCTCAGTGCATTCTGTGGAATGGAGATGGCTTATTTTGCTTAAGTAATAAAGAAGCATTATGGGGGCCTACTTGAGTCAAGTACTGTGTTTTCTGAGCACAGGACTATACTGAGTCCTTCTCCATACCTGCAAGGAACCACAAACATAATGTACATGTCCATGGATATAATCAGACCCCAGGAGAGGGAACAGGAAGTGAACTGAGGTGGGCACAGCTCTACCAACCTTGGGCTTTGTTCTTCAACACTGAGATTTTGGTTTAGAGAGCTAAAGTGACACTCCCCTTTCCCATTTTTTGAGTTTAGAAATCAAGTAGTAGAAAACCTTAGGAATCAAGTAAATAGAAATGAAAATATTTCTTATTAAAACTTCACCCCTGAAGTAAACAAATGTACCACCCCACAGACATTGGCAGGGCTGAATGACCTCAGGTTCTATGAAGACTTGTTCCTGAATGTTCACTTCAGCAAATATGCAGTGACGGAGGAGACGAATGAGCCTAGTAAACACACTTATCAGACAAGTCATTACTCCTTCCCTGGAGAGGGAACAAGGTGAGAGCCAAGAGTGTCACTCAGTGGAGCTCTCTCCACATGGAAGCATGAAGGCATGAAGGTGGGGAAAGGAGCTCCCTCCTCAACACTGTGAGTTTATTTTCCTTGGAAGAACTCTATCTTTTGGTGATGTACCAATGTTAGACAATTGTGGGATTGTCTCCTCTGAGTCACTGGGCCAGGCTATGGCTCTGTGGATAGTGGTTTTCCTTACAGAGAACTAAGGTCCTTGCTATCACTCATCCTGGAAGATGCTGATGCTGAGAAGGGAAACAAGGACCTGCATGAGTCCCACACTAGGTGAGAATCAGTTTAGCCCAGAACCCAAAGTATGAAGATGCCTGGAGAGTTTGTGGTGGTGGGAAGCTGGCTGAAAGGCCCAGCACATGGAGAACACACCATCAGATACGAAGGGAGGGGGTCTGAGAAAAGCCCCTGGGATGAGATTGAGCCAGCTGGGAGGAATGATACGTTATTACCCACAGTGCACAGCCCTTCCATTATCCCTGAAGCTTCAATGCACTCCTGTTCCACACCCCAAATCCAGTTTTTTTTTTTTAGGTATTATATGTGGTAATATCTTGTGCTGCAGATGGAGTAGCAAGAGGAAGAACAATGCCACAATCCCCCGATGCAAAATTGGTAGAAAGAATAACTACTAGCTACCCCTCTTCACAGAAGAGTGGCCATCCCACCAGCCATCAGCAGTAGAGGAAGTAGCATGGGAGCATAATAAGAACTATGGGTGGAGGAACTCAAAGTTCATGTCCCTGAGCACCTCGGACCTCTGAGATACAGCCAGATGCCTTGCAAAGGGCTACTTCCCAGAAATCATGTTAGTAGGACTCAAACTGTTCTAATTTGGGCATAAAGGTAAATGAGGCATTGTTTTGCAGTCACAGGCAACATACACAAAGCACTTAGCCCATCTGCCAGCTTTTAACAAGCAATAATTACTCCACATACAGGACCTTTTTTTATTTCAGTAGTTATATTATCATGTTCTGGGAATCTTGGCTTTCATTTCCTCAGAGTGGCTGATCGACAGGTCACGATGGCTTTAGAGCTATTTGGTGGTCTCCAGTCAGGCACTTGACAAGGATTTGTGGAGAGGAAGCATTCTAAGTTCTGCTTAAAATACAATAAAGATTCGACTTTGCAGACAAAAAGCAGGGCAAGACAAAATGTGGGACAAGGCCATTGCAAGCTGGGCTGCCCAGGGAGAGATCTGGCAACAGCAGTGACGTGCAAAGGACAGGAGAACTTGAGAGCTGGGAGAAGAGAAAGAGAAGCAGGAAGTTTATACAAGGTGGTTTTGTAGAAGAAGATCAAACCTGACATATTTTTAGGACTTGCATATAAAATGCAAAATAGCCATGCCTTTTAATAACCATCTTTGTCAGGGATCTAGAACTAGAAATACCATTTGACCCAGCCATCCCATTACTGGGTATATACCCAAATGACTATAAATCATGCTGCTATAAAGACACATGCACACTTATGTTTATTGCGGCATTATTCACAATAGCAAAGACTTGGAACCAACCCAAATGTCCAACAATGATAGACTGGATTACGAAAATGTGGCACATATACACCATGGAATACTATGCAGCCATAAAAAATGATGAGTTCATGTCCTTTGTAGGGACATGGATGAAATTGGAAATCATCATTCTCAGTAAACTATCGCAAGAACAAAAAACCAAACACCGCATATTCTCACTCATAGGTGGGAATTGAACAATGAGATCACATGGACACAGGAAGGGGAATATCACACTCTGGGGACTGTGGTGGGGAGGGGGGAGTGATAGCATTGGGAGATATACCTAATGCTAGATGACGAGTTAGTGGGTGCAGCGCACCAGCATGGCACATGTATACATATGTAACTAACCTGCACAATGTGCACATGTACCCTAAAACTTAAATTAAAAAAAAAAATGAAATTGCAATAAATTCTCCTTGACAGAAACTCAGTCAAGCCAGCATGTAATCTTCTGCTGTCAGGAAGAGTAATGATGAGTGGTATACATTCTTCTGTTCTATGGGAAAAAAAAAATAAATAGATGAAGGATGTTGCTTGCCTGGGAAGATGGAAGTTAATTTTCCAAAGCTGCTTTTCAAGGCTCGGCTTGCTTTCTTTGTGGGGTCTCCTTTTTATCACTCTTGTGAAAAATGAATACTTTTAGGAAGGCACTCTTTGGTCCATTCCTTGTCACCACTTCTTTCCCATGAAGAAGAAGTAAGAGGATCTGGAATTAGATAAATTGGGGCTTGAACCCAAGCTCTGCCAGTTATTAGCTATGAGTTCTTGAGCAAGTTGTTTCCATACCCAAGCCCCAATAAAGGAACTTGTAAATAAGAGTAATAATAGTACCTCTCTCCCAAGTCTTATTATGAAGATTGACTGAAATAAGACATGCTACATGCTTAGACTAAAATGGTGGCATTTTGTTAAGTGCTCCATAAATGTTAGTTGCTATTATCATCACCATCATTCTCTTTCTCTTCCTCTTCCTCTTCTTTTTCTTCTTCTTCGATAGCTTCTCACTTTATCACCCAGGCTGGAGTGTAGTGGCACAATCTTGGCTCTTCCACCTCCTGAGTTCAAGCGATTCTCTTGTCTCAGCCTCCTAAGTAGCTGGGACTACAGGTGCACGCCACAACACAGGCCAAGTTTGTATTTTTAATAGAGACAGGATTTTACCTTGTTGGCCAGGCTGGTCTCGAACTCCTAACCTCAGGTGATCCACCCACCTCTGCCTCCCAAAGTGCTTGGATTACAGGCATGAGCCACCGTGCCTGGCCACTTTCTTTATAGTTGTCATTACTTTCTACCATCTCTAGAGATATCACTTTTTTTTTTTTAACAGAGTGTTTTCCCAATTCAAGGTCAGAGCTTTGGGATTCCACAATCATGTTTTGGGACCACTGCAAAGGGTGAATTTGAGAAAGTGAAACCAAATGGACTTTAATAGGCTTCTTCCCTTCTGCTAGTTCATCTCAAGAAGTTTTGCTTTGTGTGTGTATGTGTGTGTCTCCTCTCCATTTTATTTTGAAAACTCTATTATAATCCAATCATGCAACAAATATTTTAGAAAAGTTACTATGAATCATCCCTATCAACACACAAATATCTTGACTATCCACCAATTTTAAAGATAAAATAACACTCCATGACTACCTATCTCCTTTCAAGCACTGCTCATTAATCTGCTTCTCTTCAAGCAAAGCTCCCAAAGAGGTAGATGCAATTGGTATCTCCTGTTGATCCCCCAAACTTCTCCTTTCAATGCAAGCTTCCTTCCCCAACACTATTGAGACCACCCTTGTCAAAGCCAGCAGTGACTTGAGTTGCCAAATTCACTGACCATTTCTCTATCCTTCTGGCACTTGACTTCACAGCAGCATTCAGCCAAGTACACCCTCCCTTGTTCTATTGTTGTTATTCTCTACCATCTTTAGAGATACTATATTTTCACCAGCTTCTTCTGGTGTCCATGTCCTCACTTTCTTCAGACTTCCATCTAACCAGTTTTGCAGTTTTGTTATTGTTGTTGTTGTTAATTTCTTCCCAATGGCTTGAAGTGCCTAGAGCATTTCCCAGGCCCCCTTTCCCTTCTCAACCTCTACTCTCCTTAGGTGATCTCATCCAGTCTAACGGCTTTAAATGTCATATATACAACTTTGAAGCCCAAATTTTATCTCAAGATTTTAATCTTTTTCTGACTTATATATTAACTCCTACTAAATGTCATCTGATATGGTTTGGCTCTGTGTCTCCACCCAAATCTCACCTGGAATTGTAATCCCCATAATCCCGATGTGTTAAGGGCAGGACCGGGGGAGGTAATTGAATCATGGGAGCAGTTCCCCCATGCTATTCTTGTGATAATGAGTGTGTCTCACAAGATCTGGTGGTTTTATACACCTCTGGCATTTCCCCTGCTCGCACTCATTCTCTTTCCTGCCGCCCTGTGAAAAGGTGTCTTCTACCATGATTGTAAGTTTCCTGAGGCCTCCCCAGCCATGCAGAATGGTGAGTCAATTAAACCTCTTTTATTTACAAATTACCCAGTCTCGGATATGTGTTCATAGCAGCATGAGAACAGATGAATATAGTAAATTAGTACCAGGAGTGGGGTGCTGCTATAAAAGTATAGCTGAAAATGGGGTGCTGAAAATGTGGAAACAACTTTGGAACTGGATAACAGGCAGAGGATGGAACAGTTTGGAGGGCCCAGAAGAAGACAGGAAAATATGGGAAAGTTTGGAACTTCCTAGAGACTTAGAGGGCTCAGAAGACAGGATGATGTGGGAAAGTTTGGAACTTCCTAGACACTTGTTGAATAGTTTTGACCAAAGTGCTGATCACAATATGGACAATGATGTCCAGGTTCAGGCTGTCTCAGATGGAGATGAGGAACTTCTTGGGGAATGAAGCAAAGGGGACTCCTGCTATGTGTTAGCAAAGAGACTGGTGGCATTTTGTGCCTGCCTAGAGGTCCATGGAACTTTGAACTTGAGAGAGATGATGTAAGGTATCTGGCAGAAGAAATTTCTAAGCAGCAAAGCATTCAAAAGGAAGCAGAGCATGAAAGTTCCTTTTGGAACTTTAAGGTTTAATGACCGCCCTGTTGGATTTTGGACTTGCATGCAGACTGTAACCCATTTGTTTTGACCAATTTCTCCCATTTGGAATGGGTATATTTACCCAATGCCTGTACCCCCATTGTATCTAAAAAGTAACTTGCTTTTGATTTTACAGGCTCATAGGTGGAAGGTACTTGCCTTGTCTCAGATGAGACTTTGGACTTGGACTTTGAGTTAATGCTGGAATGAGTTAAGATTTTGGGGGACTGTTGGAAGGGCATGATTATGTTTTGAAAAGTAAGGACATGAGATTTGGGGGGGACCAGAAGCAAAATGACATGGTTTGGCTCTGTGTCCCCACCAAATGTCACCTTGACTTGTAATCCCCACGTCAAGGGCAGGACCAGGTGGAGGTAATTGAATCATGGGGACAGTTTACCCATGCTCTTCTTGTGTCAGTGAGTGTGTCTTAAAAGATCTGATGGTTTTATAAGTATCTGGTTTTTCCTGTGCTTGGACTCATTCTCTCTCCTGCTGCCCTGTGAGGAGGTGCTTCCACTATGATTGTAAGTTTCCCAAGGCCTCTCCAGCCATGCAGAACTGTGAGTCAATTAAACCTCTTTTTTTTAAATAAATTACCCAGTCTCAGGTATTTCTTCATAGCAGCATGAGAACAGATGAATATATCATCTTAGATTTATCTTGTTCTTAGTAAACCAAAGAAAAAGTTTGACCATGTCATACCCTCATTTAAAATCCATCAAATTTCTTGGATCTGGCCCCTGACTCACTCTTCAAGCCTCATCTCTCAATATATTTTGACCCTGCTTATGCTTAATACTCACTCTATGCCATGTGACCAGTGTTGTTTTCTCTACACATTGTGCTCATGTGTTTCCTTTTTCATAGAATGTGCTTTCTCTCTATCTTTGTTAATGTCCCACAAATTCCTATGTACACTACTCAGACCCTATATCTGATCAGACTTAAATGTCCCTTCTTCTACCCACCTGGTGCCTTAGCCACCTGTCAAGTACTTATATCTTGGTTTATCATTACCTATTCTTTCCCTCACCAGCATGTGAGCATCTCAAGAGTGCAGTCTGTGTCATTCAGCCATATAGTCCCAGCACCTGCCATAGTGTCTTGCAGACCACACCAGCATTGTCAGGATCAACATTTAAGATTTATTGAGATTACTCTGTACCAGGCATTGTACCAAGTGTTTAGAGAAACCCTAATGTTAGGGAGAAAGCACCTTCTCTTTCTCCATGCTTCTGTCCATGGTGTAGTGCTTTTATCCTCTCTCCTCCTCCCCAGGTCAAATGGAATTACTTTTCTGATTGGAAGATGCAGAAGACGAAGTTAAGCACACGTAGTTCAGCACCATCTTCATTGCTTTCTCATAGGAGAGTATTGTCTGCAATGAGCAGTTGCTTCTCCATGCCAAAAATGCCCCTGTGGCTGGGTGTGTCAGTCTTTCTAATTCTGGGGATTGCATTAAAAATCCCACTTTTCTGTTTTTGCAATATCAGTATTATCAGGGTTTTAAAAAATGATATATTGGCCCTGCCTACTGACTCTTTTACTTTTCATTTGGTTCAAAATTCAGCTGGGGGAAGATGAGGGCTTTTTATTGGGTCCCCACTTGAAGGTCCCAACCCTTATGAAGCCTGAAATATTATCCCACATAGTAAGTTCTCAATTAAAGTCAATTGAACTAAAAGAAAACTAAGTCTAATATATTTATGAATCACAGTAGATAGCTTATGCTGTGGAATATATTAACATTGATATTTCATGACTTATAGACATTTGTTTCTTGCTCATACTACATGTCCCAGACATGATCCCCATAATAAAGACCTAATATATGGATGTACCACCATCTTGTCATTATGTCATTTCAGCACATGACTACAAGGTACTCCCAGCAAGAGAGAAACATTTGTAAGTTTACATCATCCTTTATTATTTCCAACTGGAAGTTGCACTTCCATTTATAGCCATTTGGCCAGAACAAGGAATATGGATCTGTGCTAACCACAAGGAAAACTGAGAAACGTAGGAGGGCGTGTGGGATATTTAGCAAGCCTTAGGGTCTCTGCCACAACACTTGAACACCATGCAATAGTATGTCTGGAGACAAGGAACTCTTGACTGAACTTCATGGTGAATGCCTCGCTTCATTCCTATGCTGCTATCACAAAATGCCTGAGACTCCGTAATTGATAAAGAACAGAAATCTATTTTCTCACAGTCCTGAAGGCTGAGAAGTCCAAGATCAAGGTGCTGGTAGGTTCACTGTGTCAGGTGAAGGCCCTCTTCCTGCATTTCACATGGCAAAAGATGAAAAGGAAAAAAGAGGACAAAGTCTGTGTCCCTACATGGCAGAAGACAGAAGAGAGTGAACCCACTCCCTCAAGCCCTTTTTTTTTACATTTTTATTTATTTATCTATTTATTGAGATGGAGTTTCACTCTTGTCGCCCAGGCTGGAGTGCAGTGGCGTGATCTTGGCTCACTGCAACCTCTCCCTCCTGGGTTCAAGCAATTCTCCTGCCTCAGCTTCCCGAGTAGCTGGGATTACAGGTGCCCACCACCACGCCTGTCTAATTTTTTGTATTTTTAGTAGACACAGGGTTTCGCCACGTTGGGCAGGCTGGTTTCGAACTCCTGACCTCAGGTGATCTGCCTGCCTTGGCCTCCCAAAATGCTGGGATTACAGGCGTGAGCCACTGTGCCCAGCCCTCAAGCCCTTTTATAAGGGCCCTCATCCCACCCATGAGGACTGCACCCTCATGACTTAATCACCTCCTAAAAGACCCCACCTCTTAATAGTATACATCGGCCACTAAGTTCAACATATGAATTTTGGGAGACACATTCAGCTCACAGCAGTAAATGAGATGCATACTACGTGAAATCAGACAGATAGAAAGGGGGAGGTCAGGCATCATGTACAGAAAAAGGTCAAGCAAGTGGGACTGGAGGGATCCCCTATCCACTTCTCAACCTGAACACTCAGTTTCCTTATTTATAAAATCAAGATAATATTTCCTTCTCCATGGGGTATTGTGAAGATTGAATAAGATAAAATATATAGACTGCCAAGCACAGTATCTGGCTTTTGGTAAGTTTTCAAGAAATAATACTTCCTGTCCCCTTGTTGACTGAAAGATTGCATCACAACCCCTTTGATTTCCACTAAATACATATTCCTAACGATATGAGGGTTTTCCCTAAAATTATTTTTCAGAACAAAGGAAGCTGCCTTATTTTCATGAGTTTACAATAGATCTCATATAAAAAGAGTTTTTCTAATTATCTGGACCAATGAACTATTTGTCAAGATATATTTGCCTGAAATGTACTCAATGTTGATTTTCAAAGTGATAGAGGTTACTGCTTGACAGCACTGGGTTTTTAAAAGGAAGAAAATGAATTTAACACAGATTTAGTAATTATTTCTGGGGTTAAAGAGTATGATTTCCAGATAGAAGCACTGCTTATCGTTTTAAACAAGCCTTTCAAAAATGATTTTAAATACCAATTTAAATAAAAATACATGAAATACTGATACACGCTATAACATAGATGAACCTTGAAAACATAATGCTAAGTGAAAGCACCAGTCACAAGGAAACATATTGTACAATTATGTTTATATCAAATGTTCAGAACAGGCAAATTCATGGAGATAAAAAGCAGATCAGTGCTTGATGAGGGCTGAGGGATTGGGAGTAATTATACAGCGACCACTAACAGATGTGGACTTGGAAGGTGACAATATGTGCTAAAGTTGAGCGTGATCATGGCTGCATAGCTCTGTGAATATACTAAAACCACTGACTTGTACACACTGAAATTGTATGGCATGTGAATTATATCTCAATCAAGTTACTACAAAAACCAATTTAGTAACTAGTTGCTGTGTAAATATTACACAGAAAGAATGAAAGAAAACTATGACAACAGGTATCTATAGCTTGGAATAAAATGTACAGCGGGCCGGGCGCAGGGGCTCACGCCTGTAATCCCAGCACTTTGGGAGGCCGAGGCGGGCGGATCACGAGGTCAGGAGATCAAGACCATTCTGGCTAACACGGTGAAACCCCGTCTCTACTAAAAATACAAAAAATTAGCCGGGCGTGGTGACGGGCGCCTGTAGTCTCAGCTACTCGGGAGGCTGAGGCAGGAGAATGGCGTGAACCCGGGAGGTGGAGCTTGCAGTGAGCTGAAATTGTGCTACTGCACTCCAGCCTGGGTGACAGAGCAAGACTCCATCTCAAAAAAAAAAAAAAAAAAAAAGTACAGTGACAGCATCATGGATCCAAAAGGCTTTGGATCCCAAATAACTTAAATGGGAATAAAGCTGATTTGCTCTAGACATCTCACTTAGATGACTCACAAAGCAGATCTAGCAATGACCAAAAAAGTAACAGCAAAGAGTTACTTTGTGGAATTGAATACAGTTCTTTCATGAAATGTGACATAGGAAAAAATATTTTTAAACTAACATATCATTTTATATAATATTGTTCATATTATACTCTATCACGTATATTAATATAGTATTTAAAATATGTAACTAAATTAATAATGTGAACATTATAAGTAGACTTCAGGCCATGTCTTCAATACCCCTAAAGTGTATTTAATCAGATTGACCACAAATTTTTAGAAGATTTTTGTACTAGATAAAAGGAATTTCAGCTGAGAGTAGTAACACCTTAAAATCCTGAAGTTATGTAGAAAACTAGGGAGACTTCATTGTCCTGCAGACTCCTGCTAGTCCTATTGGCCACACTATTTTCTACATCTTGAGATTTGGGCCTTGCCCAGGTTCAAGCCTGAGCTAGAGAGAACATTTCTTAAAGGTAGAAAATGCTTCATTCCATAGTGTAGAGTAGTGCATGACATAAGTAGGCACTATTAAAACACAGTTCTTCAAAACCTGTTACACAAATTGCCAGTTTTCCTTCTTGAAAACTTGCGACAACATAGAGGACATTATGCTAAGTGAAATAGCCATACACATAAAGATAAAATACTGCATGGTCTCATTTAAGTATAGGATCTAAAAAATTCAAACTCACAGAAGCAGAGAGTACAACAGTGGTTACCAGGGGTTAAAGGTGAAGGAAATGGAGAGGTACTGATCAAAGAGGACAAACTTTCATTTAAAAGATGAACAAGTTCTGGAAAGCTAATGTGTATCATGAGTGGTGATCAACGTGTTAGCCCTAATTTGATTGTGGAAATCATTATGCACCATTATATGTGTACCTAACCAATTTGTTGTATACCTTGAATATAGTCAATCTTTAGTTGTTAACTGAATACTTAAAAAATTTTTTAAGTATTACATATATGAATACTGATCGTAAAGTATAAAACTCCTCCATGCTGTAATTGTGCAAATGAAAACGAAATGACCAAATATCTGACAGCAATTCTGTAGTCCAATGTTTTTAAACTGCAGCTTGCAATACACTAGTGAGACATGAAATCAATTTAGGATGTACCTAACAGCATTAATACATATCATATATATATATATATTATATATATGATATAACACATATCATATATATATATATTATATATATGATATAACACATATCATATATATATATTATATATATGATATAACACATATCATATATATATATCACATACCTACCTATATGATCAGAATACAGTAAAATGGAAGAAATTATAATAAAATGAATAATAATCAGTTATCAGTAGACAGAATAAAAGTAAAGCTATTGGTATACATTGTATATAGTAAGGGCATTTTGAACTTTTTTCACAAATTTGTTTGTGTGTAAGGCTGCACATGCAAGACATGTTCTTGGTTGTGGTGTAAAATGTATTTTTTACTATGATTTGCAGTTTAGGAATCATTGAAGCACACTGTGGTAGAACAAATTTCTGCATTCAGTGGGTGGGAAAGTTGGCTATAATAACCCCTATATTTTCACCCAATTCTTGGTTGAGGATGCTGGAATTCTTAGCATTGCGAGGAAGAAAAATTGTTGGCCTCTTCCAAGACCAAGCTCAGAATTGCTGAAACGCACATCGAAGACCCATGTCCCCCAGCCATTTAGTAATTGCAAACACATTTCAAGCTGATGAACAGTGTTCAACAGCTCCAATGAAAAGTCAACGGAGAAACGAAATCCAAAAACTCTTCCACTGCTGTTAACAGGGAAGCATTCCAGTGGTTTAAATCACAAATCTAATGAATGTAAATGGCCAGCATATTTAAATTTCTGGACAGAGCAGCCTTGTAATCAGTACATTTCTTACCCTCAGTTCCTCTTAGGAACCCTCGTTTGCCTCATTTGTGCTAATAAAATCCTCAGTAGTAGGTCTCTTACCACTGATAATATTTTCAACAAGGCACTGGTGCCAACTTTGGGTCTGGAGTACAGCAATACAACTGGAGACATGAGTACAATCTGACCACAGAGCATTGGAACACCTCTTAAAAATTCCAAAACAAGTTTTAAAAAAATGAATCAGAGTTTTTTCCTCTTAAAACATGAAATGTCACCACTTCGCAAGAAGCTGTATGAGCCGTATATAATTATAAACATATTTCGCTTTTTTTGGAGTAAAGTGACTGAAACTGGAACAATCTGGTTAGGTCATTAACTCTACAACTGTTCAACTCACAAGTGCAATGGTCCAACTTCAAAATAAGTTAACATTTCCTGAGTATAAACTCTGTGCCAGGCATAGTGGTAAGCTCTATGGGTTGGCTGAAAAATATATCAGGTATAGTTCCTGCTATGAAAGTCTCGAGGATGTACAATTTAATAGTGGAAATGGATTGTACCCAAGTAAAAAAACAACACAGAGGGCAGGCTATGGTAAGAATTCAACTTTTCTAGGTAAAAACTTTTTCAGATGAGATGAAAGTTATAGACTTTTCACCAGAAAAAAATGCATATTTACATAAACACCCCACTGCCAATGCATTTGCTAACCATTTAATTCTATAAGTGCACTCTAGGTTTCAAACATTTAAATTAAGAGTTCAATGAAAATTTCATGGAAGAGTAAAGAATGAATTCACAAAAGAAGCTTTCTTAACCAACCTCTTCTTTACCAACTCAACGGCTTAACTAGCATTCTTCATTTCCTTAAAAAAAGAAAATACCAACAGGTGCCAAGATATACTGATTGTTCCCTCTTCATAAGCTTCTCCCTATATATACTTCTACTCCTATCATTTGAGGTTTACACTGACCAGTGGTCAGTGGTGTTTGCTCCTGTCTTAGTCTGCTTGGGCTTCCACACAAAATACCATAAGCTGTCTGGCTTAAACAACAGAAAGTTATTTTCTCACAGTTCTGGAGGCAAGAATTGTAAGACCAATGTTCTGGCCAATTTGGTTTCTGGTGTGGCCCCTCTTCCTGGACTTAGACAGCCGCCCTCTCACTATGTCCTCACATGGCTTTTCCTTGGTGTGTGTGTGTACTCGCAGAGAGAGAGACAGAGAGAGCAGACTCTGATGTCTTTTCTTATAAGGACACTAACCCCTATTGGATTTGTGTCCTACCTTTAATTTAACATTGATTAATTCACTGGAGGCTCCATCTCCAAATGCAGCCACTCTGGGAAT
The DNA here is from genome assembly GCF_000001405.40 of Homo sapiens. Classification (NCBI taxonomy): domain Eukaryota; kingdom Metazoa; phylum Chordata; class Mammalia; order Primates; family Hominidae; genus Homo; species Homo sapiens. Next base: position 15,214,820 of record NC_000004.12, read on the forward strand.
TAGGATTCCAACACATGAATTTTGAGTGGAACACAAACATTCACTTACAGCAGCTTCCGAACCTGATTTACACTGGCAGTTATGCAATTTGCTCAACAGAATGTGCATCAAGGTAAAACAAGTATGGGCTCTCTGGTAGGCAGAGTAATAGTCTCCCAAAGATGCTCCCATCTTCATCCTTGGTAACAGCGAATATGTTAGATTACATGATAAAGGGAAATTAAGTTTGCAGATAGAATTAAGGTTGCTAATTCTTTGCTTTTAGGATAGGAAGATTATCCTGAATTATTTAGGTGAGCCAATGCAATCGCAAGCACCCTTAAAAGTGGAAGAGCCTGGAAAAAGGTAGCTAAAGAACTAGAGGGACGGCAGCATGAGAAGGAATCAGCCTGACTTTGCCGGCTCTAAAGATGGAGGAAGCGAGACTTAAGCCAAAGAAAGCTGACGGCAAGGAAATGTATTTTCCCCTAGAGCTTCCAGAAAGTAACCTAGTCCAACCTTCATTTGAGTCCAGTGAGAATTGTGTTGGACTTTTAACCCACAGATTTGTAACATAATAACTGTGTGTTGTTTTAAGCCACTAAATTCGTGGTAATTTGTTATTGCAACAATAGAGAACTCAAATAGGATTTTTTTTTTCATAAGAAGTAAGTGGAATGTTTGGAAAAAGTTGATAACAAGTGAAATTAAACTAAATATCCGCTGCTATGTTAGGCATGGCAAGATTCATTTTAAATTAATGGTGGAAAGAATATAAAAACTAACATGTCTTCACTAAAATTATTTTACCAGCATCAGAGTCTAAAGAAACAAAACTGAATGTCACTTATGGTACATTATGGATATGATTTATTGTATTTTCCAGAGCTCTTGAGAGAAGTTGAACCAATAAGATATATATGTATATATATATACACACACACACACACACATATAGATAGATAGATCCATATATTCCAATAGGAGCGGGACACACACACACACACACACACACACACACACACACATACACACATTGATATGGTTTGGATTTGTATCCCTGCCCAAACCTCATGTCAAATTGTAATCCCAAGTGTTGGAGGTGGGGCCTGGTGGGAGGTGATTGGATCGTGGAGGTGGTTCTTCATGAATGGTTTACTGCCATCTCCTTGGTGCTGTTCTTGTGATAGTGAATGAGTGAGTTATTGTGAGATCTGGTTGTTTAAAAGTGTGTAACACCTCCCTGCTCCCTCTCTTGCTCCTGGTCTGGCTGTGTAAGATGTGCCTGCTTTCCCTTCATCTTCTGCCATGCTTGTAAGTTTCCTGATGCCTTCCCAGAAGCTGAGCAGATGCCAACACCACACTTCCTGTATAGTCTGTGGAACTGTGAACCAATTAAACCTTTTCTCTTTAAAAATTACCAGTCTCTGTTATTTCCTTATAGCAGTGCAAGAACTGAATAATACATATATGTAATATACACACACATATATGTATATACATATGTATTAGTATATAGATGTATTATGTATATATGTGTGTATGTATATGTATATGTATAGTTTATGACAAGGTTACAAGGTTACAAGCTCATAAAATTAGGGAAGCTGAGAAATCCTTCAACTTGCTAGTCTACAAGGTAAAAACCCAGGAAAACCACAAAACCAGTGATATAATTCAGTCAGAGTCTGAAAGCCTGTGAACCAGGGAAGCCAGTGGTGTAAATTCCCATTGGAGGGCCAGAGAAGAAGAGATGAAATGTCCAGCTCCAGCAGGCAGGGAGGAAGCAAAAAGGGCAAATTCCCTCTTCCTTCATTTTTTGTTCTATTCAGGACCTCAAAGCACTGGATGATGTCCACCTACACTGGGAAGGGTAATCTACTTTACTGGATCTACTGATTCAAATGCTAATCTCATCTGGAAAAACCCTTATAGATACACCCAGAAATAATATTTAATCTGGGCACCATGTGTTGCAGGCAAGTTGACACATGCAATTAACCATCACATTGATAAAAGAAAGGCAAAGTCTACTCCTTTGTAGACTTTGCCATGTTCAAAGAAAAGGTGTTAGCCCTACCTAAAAAGATTGGTAAATGGACATATATTTATATACGTTAGGTTAAATGAATAAGGGAGAAATACATTTTTGTATTTGTGAGTTCTTACATTAACAGATTTTATTTGCTTAAACAACCAGCTATCCATCCTGATCATGTTGAATAAAAAGGCTTTCCTCTAACCACATTTTCTCATGTGGACAACTCAAAAGTGAGGAAATAATGATATTTTTATAGGATCACTCAATCGAGACCATCAGTGGGCTGAGCTAAGTTGGTTTGTGTCTCTTTGATGACAGTTTATGATTCAGCAAATTCAAGAGATATTCATGGGTTACCTGCACAGTGCCTGGTAACTGGCTTCGCACCAACAGTACAGGAAAAATAATTATATAAATGTCTCCTTTCCTTGTGGCGATGTCTTTTTGAGTGCAGTAGGAAGAATTAATTGGGGTTGGGGGAGCATGTCACAGGGGCCAGCTGATGGGGCGGAGTCCTGGTCTTGGAGGCAGGGGTGGAGAGGCAGGGCTTGTTAAGAAATATCAGTCCTGTGACAGCAGGTGTTGTGGGAAGACACAGGCGACTCCTGAAGCTTTTCTTGAAGCAGTTTGCTGTGATCCCCTACAGAGACTGATTACCCCTGGTTCAGTTCTGAAGAAAATGCCTCTAGGATCTTCATGTCAAGAAAACTTTAAATGGGGGCTGAAAGATGTAGAATTAGACTGTTAATAAAGAAACAAGCAAATGTATCTCTATCGAAGGCTTTCAGTCCTCTCTTAGGGCACAAATAAGGACCATTTCATTTCATCCAATATGAAAGGCACACCCAAGCAAACAGTCAGGGAGGGAAAAACTTGGAGGAAATAGACATTATACAGGAGAAGAAAAAACACGTATCAACAAAAATATTAAAAGAAAACGATACATTTTCCCCTTTCTTTTGAAATGAATAATGTTATTTTTTCTACCTGCCAGTGTTCTCATGATATTTATGCCTGACTTAAATGTGGAGACTAAAACCCTTACCCAAGTGTGACTAGAGGGAAACAGTACAATGTAATAGAATTCTCTGATTAAAAAATGGTTGGCTTAATGCACTCAAACCTGTGTTAGCCTGTGTTCCCCTTTGAACCCTAATAAAATGAAAATAACTGCATTTTTGGAGCACATAAGCCCACAAGGACAAAGAGAACGAAAGAGGAAAGAGGAGGCATCTCAATAATATTTTGGAAGATAGAAAGAAGAAAGATTGGGTGACTGGCTTAAAAGACTCTAATATCGAGTCCTAAGAAGGCAAAGAAAGAAAAGGTGAGTCAACCAGGTTTACATTATGGAAAATGTGAATTACCATAAAGCCTCAGGAATTTACATTGCCATGTCCTTCTCACAGCAAGGGAAACGTGGGCTGAAAACAGGACTAATTGAAGATTTGTTTAAAGAACTCCCACATCCCTTTCTTTGTCATCTCACGGGCATACAACTGGTGGAGGAGTCTCTGAAGGAGGTAAAATGGAGAATCTGTGATACCAGAAAAACACAATACCACATTAAAAGCTGGGGCATTAAATAAAAGTGTTTACACCAAATATTGAGATCCTCAGCCAAGCTTGCATTTTCCAGACTAAAAGATTGAAATATTTTTTCAAAGGAATTTGATCAGCTCAAAATAGAGAGACACAAAAAGAGACAGAAATTTGAAATTCTTCAGGGAAAATGCTTAGCCAGATAGCCCTTTAGTGAAGTCCACAGGAAACAAGCCCTACAAGCACACAGATTTTTAGTCCCCAAATCTTAAAATGTCTGCAGACAACTAGGAATCATCAGATATTTAGAAAATTATCCAATATGAATGGTACATCCAAGCAAACAATCAGGGAGGGAAAAACTTGAAGGAAATAGAGATGATACAAGAAGAAAAAAATAATATCAATAAAAACATTAAAAGGAAAGGAAACTACACATTAATATCCTCAGACACACAGACACAAAAATTTTCAGCAAAATATTAACAAATTGAATTCAACAGTAAATAGAATGGATAATACCTTATGACCAACTGCAGTGCATTCCAAAAATGCAAGGGTGTTTTACCATTTGAAAATTATTCTATGTTACATGCCACATTAACAGACTAAATGAGAAAAGTTAGTCATCTCAATGCAGAATAATCATTTAACAAAATTCAAATCTCAGCAAAGTAGAAATAGAAGGTAATTTTCTTAACCTAATAAAGCACACCTAATAAAGCATGTTCCTGTAAATATATTTGGAGAGAGAGATTGTGGAATAGTGAGAAACTGAATACTTTGCCTATAACATCAGAAACAAAAAATGGATATTCTTTCTCTCTGCTCACAGTTCAATATCATATTGGAAGTACCAGCCAGTACAATCAGGCATGTCAAAGAACAAAATATTTAATACATATCAAAAAGAAGAAACAAAACAATACCTATTTGCAGCTGAATGATTGGCTATGTAGAATATTTTCCCCAAACCTACAAAAAAACTCCTAGTTTAGGAATGTTTCACAAAATAAGGCCAATGTGCAAAATCAAATCTATTACTATCTACCAGCAACTGGCAATTGGAATTTGAAGTAAAATAATAAATACCATATAAAACAGCATGAAAAATATAAAGTACTTAGATATAAATCTAACCAAATATGTGCAGGATTTGTATGCTGAAAACTACAAAGCACTAATAAAAGAAATCAAAGAAGATATAAATAAATGGAAAGCTATCTGGTTTTCATAGATTTGAAGACTCAATATTGTTAAGAGGTAATTCTTCCAAATTTGATCTATAAATTGAATGCAATCACAATAAAAGTCCCAAGAGATTTTTTTAAAAGATGAATCTAAAAAATTTAAGCTAGTTCGAAAATTTATACAGAAAGACAAAGAAATAGATTAGCCAAAACAATTTGCAAAAAGAACTGAGTTGGAGGACTCATATTACTCAGTTTTAACACTTACTACAAAGCTATCATAATAAAGACAGTGAGGTGTTAGTGAAAACATAACCATATAGATCAACAAAGCAGAATAGAGAGCCCAAAAATAAACCCACACAAATGTAGTGAACTGAATTCTGGCAAAGTGATAAAAATAAATCAATGAAGAAAGGATAGTCTTTTCAACAAATAGTGCTGGAACAACTGAATATTCATATAAAGTAATAAATCTCAACACACACCTTATCCCTTATACAACAATTAACACAAAATGAATCATAGACCTAAAGGTAAAATGTAAAATGTTAAAACTTCTGAAAGACTACATAGAAGAAAATTTGCATGATTTAGCTTTTGATAAGTTTTTAAATATAATACCAAAAACATAATCCATAAAATTAAAAAATGATAAGTTGACATCAAAATTAAAAATATTTGCTCTTCAACAGACACTATTAAGTGAAAGTAAAGACAAATCACCAACTGAGAGAAAACATTTGCTAATCATACTAATCACATATCCGATCATGGATTTGTATCCAGAAATCTTACACCTCAATAAGAATAAAACAAACAACCCAATTTAAAAGTAGACCAAATAAGATATGAAAAGATGCTTTACCAAGAAAAAGATATTCAGAAGGCAAACAAGCATGTAATAAATGCACTCTATTATTTGTCATCAGAAAAACACAAATTAAGACCACAATGAGATACCACTATATCCGTATATCAGTTAGAATCACTAATTTTTTAAATTATAATGAGAACATGTCAAAAAAAAAAAAAACCTAAAGGAGCTTTTAATAGCAAAAGCTGTAATAATTTGAGCACAAAATAGGCAACAATAGTCTTGGATTGTAACCCAAAGAATAAAATAAAGATCCATGAGTCCATGCTAGTATAATTAAATAATCAAATAAACAAACAAATGAGGAGGAATTGACAAATCTTTACAAGAGAAACATTTCAGATTATAAATATGAAGCAATGTGATAAATAAAAAATAACCATGAGCATACCACAGGAATAATTGCTACTGTCACGATCTACTGATAAATGCTAAAATAGTAGGAGAAACTTTAAAGAGCAATAAGATATTTAAATAGCCTCAAGATTTCTTATTTGTAATATTTAAATATTGTGATGGTTTTAACATGTACCTACACATTCCCCAACCCTTGAGTGTAGACTGGACTTAGCGATCCACTTCTAATGAATCCAGTAAGAAAGGGGAAAAATTATAGCTTTTGAGTAGAGATATCTGGAACATACCACCTTAACCGTAACTTCTACTGAAGTTAATATCATCAGTAAGAAGTCATGTTGATACCCACTGATAAGAAGATATAAGATGGGCATGTCAATTCTGTAATATTCTTGCCAAAATCCCAAAACCCCATGTAATCATGAGAAAACTTCAGATAAATCCAAATAGAAGGGAATTCTGTAATATATAGCCAGTATGCTTCAAAATATCAAAGTAATAAAAAAACAAGAAAAGACTGAGAATCTGTCACAGATTGGAGGAGGCAACATGGTATCCTATATTAAATTACGGAGGAGAAAAGCACTAGTGGAAAAACTGGTGAAACCTGAGTACCATGTTATAGTTTTAGCCAATAGTATTGTATCATTGTTAAATGTTTAGTTTTGATAAGTGCAGCATAATAGTGTAAGATGTTAACATCAGGGGAAGGGTATATGGGAACTGTTTATGCTATTTTACAACTCACCTGTAAATCTAAAATTACTTCAAAATAAAAAATCAAAGTATTCAGATTATTTGAAAATAGTGAACCATATAAGAAGATAATACATGACAAAAAATAAAAAGAGAAAGAGAAAAAGCAATCAAAGACCAATAGGGGATAGAAATAATGGAATTAGCAGATGCAAATTTTAAAAGAGGTATGATTAGTATCTTCAGAGAATTAAAAGATGAGATTAAAATTTTGGGCAAACTATAAACTGTAGAAAACAACTAAACATTCTAGAACTAAATACATATGGTAACTAAAATGAAGAAATTGGTGAATAAACTTACTACAGATGGTACACAACTAAAGAGAAAATTGGTGAACCAGAAGATAGGTCAGAAGGAAATATGAACTGAGACACAAATGGGTGGAAAATTACAGAAAATAATGTATAAGGCATATGAACGTAATGGAAAGGTCCGTACACCAGTCACTGAGGTCCTAGATATAGAAACTTTTTATAAAAGAGATACAAGTAATATTTGAAAACCTAATGACTGAAAACACATTTTTAAAACTATGGAAAGATACTTTGCCACAGATTCAAGAAGCACTACAAATCTTAATCATAACATCATAATAAAATGGATGAAAAATAAGTAAAAAGAGAAAATAAACAAGAGAATGGATTAAAAATACATATTACTATTAGCTGACTCTTGCCGGAAACAATGGAAGCCAAAAATTCAGAGTGTGATATCTTTTCTTTCCTTTTTTTTTTTTTTTTTTTTTTTTTTTTGAGACGGAGTCTTGCTCTGTCACCCAGGCTGGAGTGCAATGGCATGGTCTTGGCTCACTGCAACCTCCACTTTCTGGGTTCAAGCGATTCTCCTGCCTCAGCCTCCCAAGTAGCTGGGATTACAGGCGCCCGCCACTGTGCCTGGCTAATTTTTGTATTTTTAGTAGAGACGGGGTTTCACCATCCTGGCCAGGCTGGTCTTGAACTAATGACCTCATGATTCACCTGCCTTGGCCTCCCAAAATGCTGGGATTACAGGCATGAGCCACCGCGCCCAGCCCAGAGTGATATCTTAAAAATGCTAGAGAAAATTACTGCTGACTTAGACCCCTACGCCCAGGGAAAATATTCTTCAAAAATAAAGGCAAAATATGGACACTTAGAGACAAAAATGGAGCTAATTTGTAACAACAGACAAAAAGGAATACATGAGAGAAGGAAAATGGTCCCAGATGGAAGCTCAAAGATATATGAAAGGTAAAATAATTAACATATGTAAATCTAAATGAGTATTGCCAATGTTAAATAAAAATTCTCATAGGATTTGAAATATAAAGATAATTGAAATAACCAATGACAATAACAGATATGTCAGGAGTAGATAAATGGAGTTAAAGCATTCTATTATCTTTGCATGAACTGGAACATTTAAAAACATTTAATAAGTCAGGAAAGCATACTGTAAACTCTAAGGTAACCAATCAAATGTCATTAATTTATATTTTTTGTAAAACTTATTATGTATGTTTTGCATACCAATTATGATATGAATAATACCATAAACTACAACACAATAAGTAGTTTATAACAAGCTAGTAAAGGGGAAGATTGAAATAAATTTTTTAAGTGGCAAATAAGTAAAAAAGTAACATGCTGAGACAAATAGTAAGATGGTATTGCCTCTGAGAGGCAAAAAGGAATATTATAAAGTGATGGAAATAGTATTTATCTTGCTCATAGTGGTGCTTCCATGGTTACACAAATTCGTCAAAACTTGGTAAAGGGTACACATACAAAGGGTGAGTTATATTACATGAAATTGTATATCAATAAATTGGATTAAAAAAATCGTTGGTATGATCCAGCAGACTTCAAGGCAAGAAGCATTACTAGAGGGTCATTTTGTAATGAGATAAAATATTTACTTCATAATGAAGATATCATATTTATAAATGTGTATGTACCTAATAATATGGCCTCAAGACATCTAAAGCAATAATGATTAATGGAGCTAAACAGAAAAATAAGCAAATTTATAAACACAATGGTGGAGATTAATACAGCTCTCTCAGTAAGTAATAGAACAAGTAAAAAATTAGTACAGATATAAAAGATTTGATAACACAGTTAAGATTATTTTACTTATTTTGAACTCTGCACACAAGAAGCACGTAATTTACAAACTATCATGTGTACACGTGGGACACTTAACGATATTTTTTGAAAAGCAAGTCTAAATAATTTGCAAATATTACAATCATACAGAATGTATTCTGACCAGTGTAGAATTAAACTGGAAATTGCTAACAAAAAGATAACTAGAAAATATTCATATTTGAAAATAAATAAACATAATTTCAAAAAACTCATGAGTCAAAGAATAAATCAGTGGAAATTTTAAAATATTCTGAAGTAAGTGGTAAGAAAAATGCCATATATTAAAATTTTTAGAATGTAGATATCTGTGTTTACAGGGAAATTTTGAGTCTATTAGAAAAAGATAAGAAATTGAAAATCAATAATCTTAGGAGAAAAAAACTATTCTAAAATTCATGTGTAACCAAAAAAAAAAAAAAAAAAAAAAAAAAAGCTCAAATAGTCAAAACAATCCTAAGAGGAAAGAGCAAAGCCAGAGTCATCACATTACCTGACTTCAAACTATGCTGTACGGCCACAGTAATCAAAACAGCATGGTACTGATACAAAAACAGACACATAGACGAAAAGAACAGAATAGAGAACCCATAAATAAAGCTGCACACCTACAGCCATCTGATCTTTGGCAAAGTCAACAAAGATAAGCAGTGGGGAAAGGGATCCTGATTCTATAATGGTGCTGGGATAGCTAGCAATATGCAGAATGAAACTAGACCCCTATCTTTCACCATATGCAAAAATCTACCCAAGATGCATTAAAGAATTAAATGTAAGGCCTCAAACGATATGAATCCTAGAAGAAAACCTAGAAAACATCATTCCGGATGTGGGCTTTGTCCAGAATTTATGATTAAGTCCTAAAAAGCAATTGCAACAAAAACAAAAATTGATAAATAAGACCTAATTAAACTACTAAAGGGCTTTTTCACAGCAAAAGAAATTATCAACAGAGTAAATAGATGACCTACAGAATGAGAAAATATTGACAAACTATGCATCTAACAAAGGCCTAATATACAGAATCTATAAGGAATTTAAATAATTCAACAAGCAAAAAACAAATAACCCCATTAAAAAGTGGGCAAAGGACATGAACAGACAGACACTACTCTAAAGAAGACATACAAGTGGTCAACAAACATGGAAAAATGCTCAACATTGCTAATCAACAGAGAAATGCAAATCAAAGCCACAATGAGATACCACCTCACACCAGTTAGAATAGCTATTACTAAAAAGACAAAAATTGACAGATGCTGGCAAGGCTACTGAGAAAAGGGAATGCTTATTACACACTGTTACTGGGAATGTAAATTAGTTCAGTCACTGTGGAAAGCAGCTTGGAGATTTCTCAAAAAACTTGGAACTACCATTCAACCCAGTAATCCCATTAACAGGTATATATCCAAAGGAAAATAAATTGTTCTACCAAAAAGACACATGCAACCGGGTGCGGTGGCTCACGCCTGTAATCCCAGCACTTTGGGAGGCCAAGGAGGGCAAATCACAAGGTCAGGAGTTCGAAACCAATCTGGCCAACATGGTGAAACCCCATCTCTACTAAAAATACAAAAATCAGCAGGGTGTGGTGGTGCACGCCTGTAATCCCAGCTACTCGGGAGGCTGAGGCAGAAGAATTGCTTGAAGCCAAGAGGTGGAGATTGCAGTGAGCTGAGATCATGCCATTGCACTCCAGCCTGGGTGACAGAGTGAGACTCTGCCTCAAGAAAAAAAAGAAAAAGCTCTAGAAAAGAAACAATGTGTAATAAGATCAGCAGTTGCCTGGAGCTGAGAATGTGGTGTGCTATTGCCTGGCCAGGGACACGAGGGAAAGGTTCTTTATCTTGTTTGTAGTGATACTGACCTGGGTACACACATGTGTCCAAAGTCATTAGATTGTACACTTAAAATGTATTCATTTAATTGTGTATGAATTATATACCTCAATGAAGATTACTTCAACAAAAAAGGAATGAAAATTAAGAAGGGGAAAAATGCAATTATACAAAGATATGATTATGAACGTAAAGAGGCAAAAAAACACTACAAATAAGCTGTTGGAATTAATAAGCTAATATAGCAAGATTGCTGGATACATGGCCAATATAAAAGAAAATAATGACATTTTTAATTACCAAAAACAAACAGAAAATGAAATCCAACTGAAGATACTATTTACAATAGCGTCATAGTGTATTCCACGGCATAGCTGTCAACAGAGTTTACCTAGTCATAGTAATATATCTATTGAATATTGATAGTAGTTCTAAGCAAAATTATGATAGAATTGTAATGGTGGGTTGGGGAAAATGTGATGATAGCAGAGCAGGGGGCTGGAAAGAGAGTTAAATATTAATACCTATATTCAGTACTTACAAGTAAGAGAACGATAGTCAAAGCAGATCAAGAAATGGCAACAGAAGCAGTTTATTTACAGCCATAGAGGTAAATACAAAATATCAATAGTAATTTAGCATACATAGTTTTGATAAAAACAAAAATTAAAAAACTTTAGAATGAGAACATGAATTTTGGAATCAGACAGCCCCGAGTTTGAAATCTGTTTCCACTATTTTCTAGCTGTGTGGCCTTGACTGAGACACATAACATTTCCATGACTTAGATTTTTTGTCTGTAAAATGAGGAATAATCATATCTGTTTTATAGAATTGTCATGAAGATTGATGTGGGCAAAAGTATAGTCATAGGGAACAAAATGATTAAAAACAAGAACGATTGTAGCTTAAAAAAAAAAAAAAGATTGTAGCCAATTCTGTATCTAAGGAGCAGGCGCTGAGGCCAAGGACTGGGGAAACAGAGGACACAATTTAGGTCATCAGTGGCAAATGTCTCTATATAGGGAAGTAGAAAGAGAGATGGAAGAGTAAAGAGAAATGCAGAACAGATAGTTCTTCATTCACCAAAGCCTAAGTTGTGGTGGACAGTTGTCATTTTACTTAAGTCTCCAGGATCTTGAGCCTCTTCTTATGTCTATGGGGCTTGGTGGGAGGCAACACCAGTCTGCAGGGGCAGGGGGGCTGCAGCAGACCACAGCGTTGGTGGTGGTGCCAGCCAGGACATGTAGCAACCTAGCAGTGGCTCCACCATGTGTCTCTGCACCATTTCACACTGGTCTTGGAACCCACTCTCCCATTTTTGCCTGTTCATTTCCTGCGCCTGATTCTCCAGCAACCCTGTCAATTCTTGAACTCTTTTAATTTTCCTTCAATAAATTATTCTGCTTAATTCATCTAGAACTCATTTTTGTTGCTTGCAACTAAGAACAGTCTTGGATACATGGGTCCATACAAAAGATGGTCTGGATTTGAACTTGGGAGAGACAACAGAGGCTGAGAGTAAGTTGGATTACTCCGCAAAAAGAGATAAAAACTTCGCCTTTTTCCTCCTGAGAAAGAGGAGGAAAGAGAAGAGAAGAAATAGAAATGGGAAAAAAGAGAACATAGCCAAGGAGCATGAATGGCTTAAAGGAACACTGAAGAAAAGGAATTTGGTTGCTAGCATGCAGTTAGGAGTGATTTGTGCATTGCTACCTAACCCTCATCCCCATTAAGCCAAACAAGCACTCACGTGGGTCTTGTGTGGGTAGATATTTTTGGTGGAAATCAGTGAAGGAAGAGGTTCAATTTGAAACAGAACAAGGATACACTTTGCTGAGCATTGTGACAAAACTGTCACAACCAATTACCCAATGAATATATGGGCAGCGGGAGATTTAGAGATGATTGGAAAAGGCTTAAACTATCCCATCCTGCCCCACCCTTCAAATCCCTTCAGAGATGGGAAAAGATAAATAACCCTTGCAGTATACAGAATTAGATTTAAGTCTTTTCACTTGAATTTCAAAAGACAACCCACTTCAGCTGATGTATGGGTTCAAAACAAGAGCTCAGCCAAAAGAAAGTAAATTAAATTTTCTTTAAACATGATGTTTGAAGGTTCTCCAAAAGCTTGCAGTTTTTCTCTATTTTCTGAGCTCAGCTGGTGGGAGACACAGGATGGCCTCTATCCAGGATACTCCAAAAGTCTCAATGATTGGATATGACCCCTTGTGTCAGTCAGGTTTCTCTAGACGGACAGAACTAATAGGATATTTGTATATATGAAAGGGAGTTTATGAAGGAGAATTGACTCACCTGATCACAAGGTGAAGTCCCACAATAGGCCGTCTGCAAGCTGGGGAGCGAGGAAGCCAGTGGTGGATCAGTCCAAGTGCCAACACCTCAAAAGTGGACAAGCTGACAGTGCAGCCTTCAGTCTGTGGCCGAAGGCCCAAGAGCCCCTGGCAAACCCCTGGTGTAAGTCCAAGAGTCCAAAAGCCAAAGAACTTGGAGTCTGATGTTGGAGTGCAGGAAGCATCCAGCACGGGAGAAAGATGGAGGCCTGAAGACTCAGCAAATCGGCTTCTTCCACCTTCTTCTGCCTGCTTTTCCTAGCTACGTGGGCAGCCGATGGGATGGTGTCCACCCACATTGTTCGTGGGTGTTCATCTCCCAGTCTACGGATTTAAATGTTAATCTCTTCTGGCCATACCCAGAAACACCCAGATACATCCAGAAACAATACTTTGCATCCTTCAATCCAATCAAGTTGACACTTAATATTAACCATCGCAATCTTATAATCAGAACAATATCACAGGGATGAAAGGAAGAAAGTGAAGTCCTATTTTCTTGGAAAAACTTAGGGTCAAAGCCAGCGAAGCTGGGATCAAAAAAGAGATACAACCCTCAGGCAAGAAACGAAGCAGGAGCTGGAACTGAACAAGAAGCACCTGGGTAATCAGAGCACCTGGAGAGGAAGAGGCTTGGGCTTACATTTGCTGATGTCTGGGAGGTTCCAGCTGACCTGAAGTTCAGGTTAAAGGAAATAGCTGCAATCTATGATGAAATCCCCATCACCCACTAATAAACATCAAGTGTTCCTATGCGGGCCCTCCAATATCAAGTAACAATGTGTGCTAAATACATCAGCCCCCGTACTTCCTTGCTGTTTTGTAGAAAGATTGGTGTACTTTCCTCCTACCAAAGTCATCTTACAGATAAATTAATTCTGCTGTTTTTAAACTGCCTTTATCTCCATGGTCTTGGCATTTACGTGCCACATTTTTTTCGGTTGTATGTTAATGTGATATTTGTCCATTAAAATTCTGAAAGTCTTTAAAATGAGAGGAAGAAAAAACTTCCCGGATGTTCAGCCTAATATACCTTTCTGGGTGATCTCTGCCTTTCATTGTCTTTTAATTTTTTTTTTTTCTTTTGAGCCAGAGTCTTGCTCTGTCACCCAGGCTGCAGTGCAGTGGCACCATCTCAGCTCACTGCAACCTCCTCCTCCCAGGTTCAAGCGATTCTCCTGCCTCCGCCTCCCAAGTGGCTGGGATTACAGGCGTGTGCCACCATGCTCAGCTAATTTTTGTATGTTTAGCGGAGACAGGGTTTCACGATGTTGGCCAGGCTGGTCACGAACTCCTGACCTCAAGTGATCTGCCCGCCTTGGCCTCCCAAAGTGCTGGGATTGAGCCACCATGTGAGCCACCACGCCCAGCCTCATTGTCTTTGAATCCTTCTACTACTCTGTAAATTGTAGAAAGCTGAGTCATGCAAATATTTGTGACCAGATCAATGCAAATGAATTGTGTCCCATAGAATGCAATTGCTCTGTGGATACTTATCAGTTTGTATCTATTAAGAAAATTTATTTCTGCATTCCTGGTTGCCTCAGAGTAGACACTCAAAAATGTTTGTTGACTGAATAAATGATATATGAATGAAGCTTAAAATAGAAACCATAAGAACCCTCCAATTAAAGTGTACCATTCTTATAGGTAAGGTGGGATTCATAGCACACCGCTCATCTTTCAGCTGCCAAGGAGCCTTGTCCACAATGCCTCTAGGCCCTTCAGCCTCTACAGGTTCAGCTACTCACTACTTAATGCTCACTCAAATATAGTCTCAAATGAGGGCACTCCCACTTGCTGTCTTTTTTTCCCCCTCCAGTCCTTGAGATACCATGCATGGGTGGGATCTTTGATCTTCTGCTGAATAAAGGCAGCAGACTACCTAGAAAGGAAACTGCAGAGTTACAATAGGTACACCTCACCATGGAACACTATACATCAATTACAGAGAGAAAAAGAAGACAGAGGGAGAGAGAGAGAGAGAGAGAGAGAAGTGGCAGAAAGATGTGGAACTTATCCAGGATGCCGAACGTTAAAAAAACTCAAATTGCAGAAGAACATGTTAGTATGATCCCATTCTTGTTAAAGCACTCGCATATAAGTTGGTGTATTCATGAAACAAAATGAACACAATCATATGCCAAACCTTTAAAAGAAAGTTGGGATTACGGAAAATGTTTCCTTTACAGACCATGTGTTTCTGTAATGTTTCAATTTTTTTTTTTACAATAATCACATATCACTTTTGTAGTAATAAAAAAAAACCTACAATTTTTTTAAGAGGAAAAGCAGTTGATTCTACAAATAGAAACCCATCTTAGTTCACTTGGGCTTCCATAAAATATACCAAAAACTAGATAGCTAATAAACAGCAGAAATTTATTGCTCACAATTCTGGAGGAAGTCTAAGATCAGGGCACTGCAGATCCACTCTCTGGTGGGGGACTGTTTTCTGGTTCATAGGTGGTGCCTTCTTGCTCTGTCCACACATGGCGGAAGAGGCAGCGCAGTTCTCTGCGGTCTGTTTTATAAGACACTAAACATTCTCACCTTACGGTATTTCTACCTCCTACTACCATCACATTGGTGGTTAGGTTTCAACACATGAATTTTAGGAAGATACAAACATTTATCCCATAGCAGAACCCTAAGATGCAGGCCCCAAGGCAGTTTTTGTGGGTGCCCAATGTAGGAAACATTAGTTTTTATAATATAATACTATTTTCAATCAGAACCAAAGAAAAAAAGAAATTGGGCAAATAGTGTTATCTTCAAACACAAAAGATAGCAACATTTTCAATGTAATGGTTTTCAAAGTACTCTGATAGAAACACACCTGGAATAAAACAAAGTTTATTAGGATTTTTCACTGTTTGATAGTGTTCATTATCTTACAATGACCTTAGTGCCAGGAATAATTCATCAGAGAAGTCTTCCTGTCACTGACGAATCTTGAAATGCTTTGTAAGTTTCCATCAATGTCAGTGTTTCCCAAGCTTGCTTTTAAAAGCATTTATTAAGCATCTAATGGGTGCCTGATATTTTATTACTTTCTTTCACATGACTATTTTCTTTTTGATTAAACCTTATTTAGTAAGTATTATTTTTCTCCTGTTTTTAGATGAGAAAACAAGGACTTAGGGTGGTTAGGAAACTACCTGATTACCAGCCACCTTGATATGAGGTAAAATGGGGAATGTGTGTATAAACGAAATAGAATTCAAACTGGAACCACTGTGCTAAGTGAACACAAGTGTCTCATTTCGTGGAGGACTCACCTTGGGCAACTGGCCCAGCACTCCTCAGTTATTTAGATCTAACACTTCCTTACACATTTGGGGAACATTGTTCTCAAACAGAAGGTCAGATGGTCCCTGAAGTCTACACATGAACTCCTTAAGAAACATTCCCGGAGTCCTATGACTAGGAAATAGCTTAGGTTTCTATGAGCTCTGATCCATTTGGATAGTTATAAACTCCCAAAAAGTGATATCTGAGCAGACATCATGTGTCATCGTGAAAATAAAATCATTGCACTGACTTATCTGAAATAGTCCTTAATATTCTAGCCACTGCCCCCTTAAGGCCATACTGTACAGACTTTTGGATTTGACAAACGTGGTCATCACCACACTGACAATTTAATCCCAATACTTCAGTGATGGTGCTGTGTGCTCACTGATATTAGGTTGGTGTAAAAGTATTTGCAGTTTTTGTCATTACTTTCAATGGCCAAGCCCGCAATTACTTTTGCACCAGCCTAATTCATTTTACCCTAGAGGTAAGCAAATGTGGCCATATTTTTATACCAGCACCAGGGGGCAGCAATGTGCAAATAAGGCCGCTCTGTGGCCTCCTCTGTTTGGCCTGGTTTGGGAGGAGGATGTGGTTCTCATTCCCTAGTGCTTCTCAGATTTAAAATAATGGTAATGTAATCATTTCAGCTCTGCTCTGGAAACTGCTGGTGCTAATTCATTTCAGATAAAAATACGCAGACTACACACATGTGCATCAAATCAGTCTTTTCAGGACTCAGGGTCTGCTCATTTGGGCATTTGTTCACCTAACCTTTAATCAGAAACTACTGCGTGCCAGGTACCGCCCTGGATGAGGCCATGCTCCCATCCAGTGGGGAAACAGACACACCCCATCCAAAACCACAACCTTCCCTACTTTTTCAGTTTCCCTTAAGCACTTATTTTTTAAATTTTTTTCTTGTGAGTGATTTGTCTACCTTGTTGGAACATAAACTCCTTGACAGCTGGGATTTTTATCTGTTTTGTTCACTGGAGTATCCCTAGCTACTAGAACAGCACCTGGGACATAATTAGGGTTCAATAAATATTTTTTGAATGAACAGGTATAAAATTATTGAGACACACCATAATGGAGGTGGACGTGCATATCTTCATATGAACTAGATTACGCTAAATTATTCACTTGAATAAATTTATTGTTTTATCATTCCCACTAGCAGTGAATGGGAGTGATGCCCGAAAATAACATTAAATTATCTGGTATTAGCATTAGAAGGAATTTGGGACATCACCAAATTCTCCTTTTACAGAAGAAGAAATTGAAGCCAAAGTGAAGAAGAGATTTGCCCAAGGCTACCTACATCCAGACGGTCGCGTCAGGATTCCAAGCCAGGACTTCTGACCCCAGCCCACTGTGTTTTCACCACACACCCTGCTGCCTGCCTGACTTTTTCATTTTCCTCAAATATCACCTCCTGGAACTATCAACTGCATAAGTTAATGACCTGATCTGTCTAATTCTTATTTGGTAATTGGCAGAGACCAGACTTGGCTGTCTGCATTCAAGGTCTCCAAATCAACCCTCTTAAAGGCATCTCTGCTCAGCCTCTCTGCATGAGATCTGGTATTTAGTTCCTAGCACCCACTGTGTACTAAGTTCTTCAGAAACATGTGGTCATTTGAACCTCACAACAATCCTACGCAAGTGCTATTACTATTCTCGTTTTACTGATGAGAAAATATAATAACAGTGTACATTGAACCCACAGGGCATGCAGCAGGAACTCAGGATTGTTCTAAGGATTCCATACTTGTGAGCTCATTTAATTCCCTGACAGCCTTTGAAGTGAGTGCTGTTACTGTTTTCTACTGTAGACATGGATATTGAAGTCAAAAGAAGGCAAGATGTTTGTCCAAGGCCATATCGCTGGGAAATGGCAAAGCCACCCTGTGTTTCATTACTGTGCTCTCCTTCCCCACTGAAAACAGAGGAGCTGTGGAGTCACGGGCACAAGGTCACACGGGCTGTGCCAGCTGAATCCACTTTTGTGCATGGTTTTTTCACAACGAGCTGGAGGTTTGGGCCAGAAAACCCTTTTGTTTGAAAGTCACAGATCTGAAACTCAGCACAAAAGAGGAGAAAGTGATAATGCAAAAGCTGCCTGGGCTGCAAGCAGCGTTTCCTCTTTGGGTTTGTTTTCCTTTCTAATTTGCCAAGCTCTTTCCAGGCTGAGGCAGCTGCCACACAAAGCTCTTGAGGAGATCCCACTAGCTGGCCAAGGGACAACCATTAGACAGATGGGCTGGACCTTCTGTTTCCACCCTTCCATCTGGGCACCAAGAGCCTGGGTCTGCCGTGGGTGTGGGGACACCCTGAAGCTTGCCCATTCCAGGCTCAACCGGATAATGAACTGAAGTCACCTCATAGCAACTTGGACGTGATGTTTGTGGGAATGAAGCTGGTTTGCTCTGTTATTCTGTTGAATTAATCTGGGCTCTGAGCCCCCTTGAAAATCATCAGGAGAACACAATCTAAAAAGATGGGCAGGAAGTGGTTCTTTTGCTGGCCGGAGGTGATTTTGCTGATTGAACTTTTACATGTGGTACGGAACAAATGAACAGAAAAGGCTCGGCTTACGAATCCTCTGCCGTTAGTTCATCTGCACATGTTCTGACCTCTGAAACTGAAGCATGCTGGTAAATCTCAGAGCCTCTTTCCAGCAGTGTCAAACAGTGTGATGAACAAAGGCTTTGAAGTCTGGTATACCAGGGGGTGCTTCACAACATACCCTGGGTGACTATATGACTCTGCCAGGTAACTTTGCCTCTCTGAGCCTCAGTGTCCTCATCAATGAAATGCAAGTTATAAAGCCTTTCTCACAAGGTTGTTGTAAATGTCTGGCACCTAGTATGTGCTCAATAAATAATGCCTATTATCATTCGGGAGAAAACTTTCATGGCCTAAACTATGGCAAAGGAGCAGGTCTGAGTCCTGGCTCCATCTCCTGCTGGCTAGCGGGCTTCTGACATGTCATCTCCCTTCCTGCAACCTTGAATTTGACCTCTGACTGGAAGCGAGGAGATTGAAATATTCCCATCTTTAAGGTCTCTGACTAATCTGCAGTGACTCTCCCACTAGATGATCACTTCCTCCCGTACACACGCTCGCTCACTCTCTCTCTCTCTCTCTCTCTCACTGTCTTCTAGAGTTCATGAGGGAGGAGGATAATACAGGGATCCCAGGCTCTTTGCTGCCAATCTCTGGGAGAAAGACAGGATTTACTGAACAGCTACTAAGTGCCAGGTGCTCATTATTTATTCTCCCACTTAAACCCCTCAGTAACCCTTGATTGGATACTGTCGTCTGTAGTTTACAAAAGAGGAAATAGAACCTGGGGAGGTTTCCACAACCTTCCCAAAGTCACAGTAACTGAAAGAGGCAAAATCCATGCTTATACCCATCTGCCTATTTCCCAACCACTTCTGCTCTAGATGATCTCAAGACTTTGGTAAAATGAAATTTATTTTTCTATAGACAGGTCAGGCACCCATGGTCTATGAAAAACTCACAGCAAATATTGCTGCTGATAACAGCGAAGCACTTTTCCAACTCCACTGTAATGCTGAAATGGGAAGCAAATAAAAGAGGTATTTCCTAGCCTTTTATGATGGACACATTTACAATTTAATTTAGTCATACTGGTTTTGTAGAGTAATGAATCATTTAAGAAGAAAGCCCACGGTAAACAATTCCAATTAGCCTTTGGAAAGCTCCCCAGATGCTGTGGTTTTGGGTTTTCCATGTTGCAGCTGATTATCCCAGCTGTAGCCACATCAGCCAGCTCATCGCATAGTGCAGAAGAAAACACAGTCATCACTGAGCAAAAAATCACTGAAGACAAAATGAAGTCCTTCTTGCCTTGGCTTTTCTCCTGTTATATTTTTGATAATGTCTGTTAGGGAAATGACCAAAAACAACTAAGAAACAACTTGATATTTCCCTCATTTCACATTCCCTGGGCAGCCACTGATGGGTTGAAGAGAACCAAATTACTAAAATGCACTTGGTTGTTGGATAATCAGGGGAAGTGTTTTGTATCTCAGGGTTTGGATGTGACATTTCTGGCCCACTCTACAGGGCAGAAACCTAGCCATTCTTTCCTAATTGCTAAGTTCCCCTCATAAAATCCATCTCCAGGGGAAAACTTTAATTTAGATAGGTCATAAGTTGGAGCCTCTGCCAAAGACAGCACAGGCCGAGAGAAAAGACAATAGTTCTGCCACGGTAATCCTTGGCCACCAGAAATGATGGGGACAGCTTCCTTTTTCCCCTCCCTAAGAAGCTATTTTTCTATTTGGTTCATTTTACTTGTAACAGCAATGGATAGGATTATTAGACATCAAAGCCAATCTGAAAGAAACTCCTTCGACCCTAAACACACACACACACACACACACACACACACACACACACACACACCCCATTGAAAAGAAACTTAAGGGGAATGCTTCTGTTTAAATACATACTTCTTGGCAGAATTTGTTTTAAAATCGGTCAGATTTTCTCCAGAAGAAGCACCAGCCTAGAGAGTCAAGGAAACTGGTTTGGAGCCTCAAAGTCTGGGGCACGCAGGTGTATTGTATTAGTCAGTGGAGGCCAACTGCTGTAACAAACAGCCCCCTTTGTGGCTTGACACAATAAAGGCTTACTTCTTGTTAATGCCACATTGCAACGAAGGTAGGCAGGTGGGGGTGCTCTGTTTTAGTCAAGGACACAGGCTGTTTCATCTGCTGACTCTGCTATCATTTAGGGCTTCAGGATCCTTCATCCACTAGCTCTGATCTTCTTAAGGGCCTCTGAGTCCATCACTGGACACTCTGCCTCCAAACAGCAAACAAAGGAAGAGAGGGCACTGGGGTTAGCTATGGAGAATTTTAGAGAGCAGGCCTGTTGGCGACAGACATCTTTCGTGTACACATTCCATTGGCCAGAACTCATTCACATGGCCACCTAGCTGCCAGTGAGGCTGAGAAATGCAGTCTGGCTATGTGCCTGTGCCATAATAAGAAATACATATTTGGTCTTTGTCCCCAGTTCCTGGCATGTAGCTCCTAAAACCCTTGCAATGTGCAGAGTGATAAGGTGTCTTTTTGTGTGCTAATAAGATGGCTGGTGGCTGGAGGCTGGAGGCCCCTGCCTAGCCTCAGGAAAGACCAAGGCATAAGTAGAAAGCTGGAACTTTCAGTACCACCCTCAGACCCGTGAGAAGGGGAAAGGGGCTGGAGAATAAATTCAGTTGCCAATGGCCAATGATTGAATCAGTCATGCCCATAAAATGGAACTTCCGTGAAAACTGCTAAATGACGGGGCCCAGAGAGCTTCGAGGTTGGTGAACGCATAGAGGTACTGGGAGGGTGGTGCACTCAGATGTGTGCCTCCCCATACTTTGCCCCATGCACCTCTTCCATTGGCTGTTTCTGAGTTTGTAGCCTTTATCATAAGCCAGAGGCCAGGTGCGGTGGCTCACACCCGTAATCCCAGCACTTTGGGAGGCCGAGGCGGGCGGATCACGAGGTCAGGAGTTCAAGACCAGCCTTGCCAATATGGTGAAACCCCGTCTCTACTAAAAATACAAAAATTAGCTGGGCATCGTGGCGTGCACCTGTAATCCCAGCTACTCAGGAGGGTGAGGCAGGAGAATCACTTGAACCCAGGAGGTGGAGGTTGCAGTGAGCAGAGATCGTGACACTGCACTCCAGCCTGGGCGACAGAGCGAGACTCCGTCTCAAAAAAAAAAAAATCGAGAAAACATAAACGAAATGTTTCCCTGGGTTTTGTGAGCTGTTCTGCAAATTATTAAACCTGAGAAGGGGGTCATGGGAACCCCCGATGTATAGCCTATTAGAAGTATAGAGAGCTCAGGACTTGTGACTAGTGTCTGAAGTGGGAGCTGTCTTATGGGACTGAGCTCTAACTAAGAGGTGTATGCTAACTCTTGGTAGTTGGCAAAAAAATTGAATTGAAATGTAGGGGACCCAGCTGGTGTCTGGAGAATTGGAGAATTGGTAGATATAAGGGGAAAAAATACATCTTTGGAATGAAAGTGTTGTGATAAAAATAGCTCAGTGACCAAAAGATGAAAGG
The DNA here is from genome assembly GCF_000001405.40 of Homo sapiens. Lineage (NCBI taxonomy): Eukaryota > Metazoa > Chordata > Mammalia > Primates > Hominidae > Homo > Homo sapiens. The sequence goes on from NC_000004.12 coordinate 15,237,291, forward strand.
AAATTGAAATTGATGGACACATGGCATATTTTTACTACTAAATGTATTGAACAACTACTGCCACAGGAGGGGTCTGTGACATTTTCTTAGAACAAGTTAATTTTGGGTTTTTTGTTCCTGAGAATGTGTTGATATTCTAAACAGTTTATTACTCAGAAAACCATTGTTCTTTCACGTAGGGGTTAAGAAAATGTAAGTTAGTGATCAAGCAAAGATCAGGAATTAGGTGAGATGGAAAGAGGGAGACCCATTTTGCTCATTACTTGAAGATCTTGTTAAAGTTTGCTTTATAGATGGCATCTAAAAGGGTGTGTTTGGGGATATAGTTTCCTGACGCACGTAGAAACGGTGTTTGGATTCAAACTCCACGAATGGCACTACCAAGCCAGTTCTGGAGAAGGCAGAGCTGCCACTGGCTCCAAGCAGAAAATATGGGGCCAGGAACAGAACATTTAGTCAAAAGGGCTTAGGAGCCAGGAAAATTCAGAATCAAAATAGTCTTAAAGGCAGTGACCAGGAGAAGCCAGGGAATTCTGCCATGAACATTAATTTCCTCTATTCTCTGAATGTTCATTTCATTGAGCACCTTCAGCATGCCAGTTTCCATGTTGGAGAGTACAATGATGAGGGAAACTCCATCCCTGCCTGCAAGTTGGAAATGCTTGTGGGTGGACACTGGCCACGTGGTGTGTGGGTAGGCTTGACTGACCTAAGAGTCTACGGTTAAAGGGTGAAGCAGAGTTCTGACAAATGTCAGCTTTAGCAGCCACTAAGATGCCTCCACCCACTCAAGGCAAAATACACTCCTGATACTCTTGTCTTCCTTTGTAAGAATTCCCAAGTCACACCATACCCAGTTCACATCATGGAAACACTGAACTGGGGAATTTTAGAATTGAAAGAGGTTGTGCAAATTACTTAGTCCAGCCTTTTTGTTTTTCATCAGGGGAGAAGGAAAAACTGACCTGTATTGTATGTAGATGAGCCCCAAAGACTCACTTGGACACCAAGATCAGGCAGGCTGTCAGAACAGGACAACTACCATTTGGAGCCAATGGCAGCTCTGCCTTCTCCAGAACTGGCCTTGATAGTGCCATTCATGGAGTTTGAATCCAAACACCGCTTCTACGTGCTTCAGGAAACTATATCCCCAAACACACCCTTTTAGATGCCACCTAAAAAGCAAACTTTAACAAGATCTATGCAGCATGGTAATGGCTAAAACTATTTCATTCAGCAAGCATCTATTGCAATCTCAATACAAGAGCCATTCACCTTCCTTGACAATTGCCTTCACATTTCTCTGATGTCTTCTCCTTCAAACATGCCACTAGCCTGTTTCACTGATTTCTACCCAGTGATCTCAGTTCTCCACCCTGGAGCTCTTATGAAATTCATCTGATCCTTCTTCCATTTTAATACATGTAACGAAAACTTATTAAACATCTATTGCATCTGTTAGAGACTCAGCAAGACAAAGAAAGCATATTAGGATGAAGTCCCTGAGAAACATTTAATAAATGATACACATATTTCCAAAGGTTTGGGTGAGGTTAAAATAAAACAATGATTTGGTGCATTAACTACGGCTAGCCACGGAGGGGAGCCATTACCACCTCTACCACTCCAAAGGGGCAGGAAGAAGGAGAAGTTAACTCTAGGAGACAGCCCAGACAGAATCTGTGGCTTGGGATAGAAGGATTCCACCTTACACACTGCAGCCTGCTAACCTGCATGGGACGGAGCAAAAGGATGAAAACAGACCTCCCTCTTCTGCCCTTTCATCTCCCACCTGCACCTCTTGTTGGCAGAACCTAACCAGAAGCCAGAGGTCATAGGAATCTATGGATGCAGTCAATGCAGGTCAGCTTCCCACGTCCAGGGCAGGACGAAGACTGGAGTGTTTGGGTTGGGGGACAAATGGAGAACACCCAGCCCTCACACATGCCAGGCACTTAACAGAGGAGTTAAGAAAACAGACTTGGTCCTTGATTGCATAGACTGTAAAGGGCATTGGTTGAGAGAGGAAATAGACAAGTACACTTACTAAAAAACTCTGCTAAATGTATGAAGGAAAGACTGGACTCTATGAGAGGTAATAATAGGGGATCAATTTTAGACTGGACGTTCAAAGGTCTTTCCGTGGATGCAGCATTTATGCTGAGATCTGTCGGACGAGAAGGAGCCAGCCAGGTGAACCAGGGGAAGAGGAGCATCCCAGACAGAAGAAGAGTGTGGTCAAAGACCCTTGGGACAGGGCAGCTCTTCAGATATTTGATTGTTTGAACTTGATTTGAATTTGTCTGAAATATACATCGGTTATTTCCTATGGGTTGCCCCCGAAAGGGCCCAGATTGAATGGCAAGGGCAGAGTCAGGAGGCCTGATCCACCAGCCCTGCTCTGGCCCTCATTGGCGAGAGGCGTTGCCCAAGTCCCTGGGTCTCTCCTGTCATGCTTTATCTATAAAATGAAGATGTTGGCTTGTTGGCTTCTGAAGTTGCTTTCAGATCTGAAATCTAGTGTTGGTCACAGACTTTATTTATCTTTTTAAAGATGCTTTTTGACACTTCCCAAAGTTCTATTTCTGCTAAGTGAACGCCCAAGAGCCAGTTACATTTTCTTCAAGTCTTCAGATGAATGGCAGTTGAATGAGATCTGCAATGAGCCGAGGCTGAACTCCATGTACAACTCTACAGGGATTAGATAATATTCCTTGGTATTTGGCCAAAGGAAAAACACAAAGTCATAAAATTAAGGAAAGAGGCTCGGGTGATTGGCTTTGAATTTTAGGAATGGAGAGTTTCATAGGATTGGAGACTGTCTGAGTCATCTCTCTGGCACCCTACCAAAGCTGAATTTCCCTTACAGCCCCCCTAGCCTGCTTAAACACTCCCCGGGACAAACACTGAGCAGGCCCATGATGTCACTGGTCATTGTCTTCATTGAATGTTCCCATCTACCAATTTGAAATCTGTCTCCAAGATGTTCTCTCAGTTTCCCCATCATTCTGCTTTGGGTCCCATAGAACTCAAAGCCCCTCAGAAACTAACTGCCATATTCCCTCTTCCCTCCCCATCATTGGACGCTCCATTCTGTCATTCTGGAAGACTCTTCTGTTTCTCTCAGAGTGATTCTTCCAGTCTCACTGAAATGTCTCTTCTGTGGAGCAGCCGCCCCTCACTTTCTATGTGAAGACAGATTCCTTCTTGTCCCTCAGACTCCACAGCCATCACTCGTGCTTTTGGCTTTATGTCCTGTTCCCCCAAAAAGACTTACTGCTCAGGGAGAGCAACCCCTGTGCCTGCCTCACTATTCCCAGCACCTGGAGCAGTGATGAGTGTTTGGATAATTCCATCCTGAATAAAGGATTTTGAGACCTGGGTATTGCTAATAATTTTAGAATTCACAAACTAGAGGAATAAATTAGTAACAACTAACTATAGAGATGTGTAGACATAACCTATCAGAGACATAGGTTGTTGGCAGAACCTAACCGGAAGCCAGAGGTCACAGGAATCTATGGATATGGTCAACGAAGGTCAGTTTCCCAGGTCCAGGGCAGGATGAAGAAGACTTGAGTGTGTGGGTTGGGGACACACTTCAGGTGTCTGTCTCCAGTTGGTGAGAACAGTTTACACAGTGTGATGAAAAGCAGTCTCTGTTCTGGCTGAGTCAGAGTTATTGTCTATGTCTCAAACATTGTAAACCACGATATACTGATAAGCCAAAAGAGCAAGTTACACCATGCAACCCTATTTCTGGGAGGAAAGGACTATCCACACAATGATGTACAACAGAGAGGAAGGAAGGTCACAGTGTGGAGGGATATATAGTAGTGGAATATAGAAACATTTAGAATCTCATCATAAAATCAAGATAATATCTATCCATCTGCACTTCTAAAAAAACTGACAGGAGTCAAAGAACCTTAAATCTAGAGGTCTAAGTCAATGTTCATCTATGTTGATGCCGTTGCTGAAGCCCCCTTGGCTCCTAATCAGAAATGCTCACCGTCTTGGGATCTACATAGCTATGTACACTGGGCCTTGTGTGCAGAATCTCAGGAGTGATTATACTGTTAGTTTAAGATTCACTTTTATATTTTTAAATCATTTTTGTATCCTCAAACAATGGCAACCAAACTTTTGCTGGGCAGTGGTACTACAACGGAAAAACCTTTCTCAAAATCAACAACTTTGGAATTAAATGTTAGATGCAATTGAATATTATAAAGAAGGCCATAAAATTACCTGAAGTGATAGGCTGAACTGTGAATTTTGGAGTGAGAAATAGATGAAATGAGGAAATGGCTTGCTGGAGTCATTATAGAATCAGGAAAAGGTAATTAAAAAGAAATCAAGGAAAAAATTCTCATGAGTCGGCTACAGGACGCATGTTGCAAAGGAGTCTTTTGACTTAAGGGTTGGCAGTTCATGTGCTCCAAAAATACATTCCTGGCTACTTTATATTTTAATTCCTATGAAAGAATCTGCTTTAGAGTTTGCTGTTTTTTAAATTAGATGAGCTCATTTTGGGAGTCCATCTCTCAAATCAAATAGAATTACACAGATAAAATTTGGAATGATACACACCAAAATTATAAAATTTACAAGATTCTTTTCGGGGGAGTAAGATTATAATTGGCTTGTATTTTCTTCCTTTTATTTATATTTTTTCTTGCTTTTAAAAATTCATATTAATGACTATAAATAAATGAATGTTGCATAATCTTTTTTTAAGAAAGAAATTATGCCACAAGTAGTAGAGCTCTAAAGCCAGAAACACCTGCTGCATCAAGAACATTTCTTTCATGCCAATGTGTGGTAGCCCTGACACAGCACAGATGCGCCCTGGTTTCCTTCTTGCTGGAAGGAATCTCATTACCACCAGGAGTAGTTGACTCCCAAGAACACATATTATATGTTATGCACTTCACTGAAAGGGTAGCAAGAAGGGGTGAGGTCATGGGAGAAAAAAAACTGCCCTCAAAATCTTTGGGGTGTTTTGGAGTCATAGGAGCTATGAACTAGCATGAGTGTACAGTTGCCTCATCCACTTAAGTCCCAGAATGTTTGAGAATACATTTCTGTTCCTTAAACTAGAAGAGAGATTTCCTTTCCAACTTCTTTATCTGAGATTAAACCATGACTAAAGCTTGCACACCAACATCCCATTCTAAGTTTAGGGTCTGAATTCTTCTGTCTAAATTTTCCTCAGGTATCTCCAGGTGGTCCCCCAATCTGTGAGACCAAATAGGACCAATTGTTCATTGTAAGAACATTTCTAGCTCTAGAAAGGGGTGTGGCCCTCTAGGGACTTCTCAGTAATGAAAAAGAAAGGTTGAAAGAAAAGAATCCCTCTTATGGGCAGATGTATTGGGCACATGACTTTGGCTACACAACAATTTCTAGACACCTTCCTCACCCATTCTTCTCCCTAGCTCTAGAGATGAGCAGCTGGTCAGGCCGCCAATCCCAGATGCTTCAGCTTTCTGGCCACAGTGACAGACTTAGGGATAGACATTGGAACCAGATCAGGCCAATCTACGGTTTCTCAGGTCTTTTGCTGAAATTATCTAAAAAGAGATCCACTGTTTTCTCTGACAGCATGGTCTGGGAAGATGTGACAGGCCCAGAGCTGCCCTGAACTATCTTGTACCTCATGAAGAGAGACTACTCAGAGTGAAGCAACATTAAAGAAAAGAGACACAGGCCTCACGACATCACTTGAGCATATGAGTCCATCATTTCAGTCCAGCCACCCACCAAGCCAGGTGCCCATGAACGTGCCAGTTGTCAGACACAATAAGTTCACTTTTTTTTTTTTCTTTTTTGAGACGGAGTCTTGCTCTGTCGCCCAAGCCGGACTGCGGACTGCAGTGGCGCAATCTCGGCTCACTGCAAGCTCCGCTTCCCGGGTTCACGCCATTCTCCTGCCTCAGCCTCCCGAGTAGCTGGGACTACAGGCGCCCGCCACCGCGCCCGGCTAATTTTTTGCATTTTTAGTAGAGACGGGGTTTCACCTTGTTAGCCAGGATGGTCTCGATCTCCTGACCTCATGATCCACCCGCCTCGGCCTCCCAAAGTGCTGGGATTACAGGCGTGAGCCACCGCGCCCGGCCATAAGTTCACTTTTTTTTGATGAACGTCATGTGAGTTGACTTAGAAAGGTGAAATAAAAAGCTTGCAAATAAATACTCCTGAATAACAGAATCAGTCTTATTCTAGGAATGGATTCCACATGAACATAAAGGATAAAAAAACTTCTTAAGACTCAAAATAACACATTTTTCCCGTGATCAAAATTCTGGGGCTACACATTTGCTCCCTGGTTTGACATATCTCTGCTCCCACACATCACCGGGTTTCTGGCTTTAACAGCAGGGGCCATAATTCAGGCACCCATTAGGCACCAGGCATTGTGGCAGGCACTGTGTTTACATTCTCTGTAACTTCACCACAACCTCCAAGTCTGGGATTCCTATCCTTAAGTTGTTAATGCGGAAACTAAAGTAAAGCAGGATTAAGAAATAAGCCCGAAACATCCCAGCTAGTAACTGTCAAGGCTGGCATGTGAATGTAGGTGTGCTGATCTGTTTTGTGTTGCTATAAAGAAATACCTGGGCTGGCCACGGTGGCTCTTGCCTGTAGTCCCAGCACTTTGGGAGGCCGAGGTGGGTGGATCACTTAAGGTCAGGAGTTTGAGACCCGCCCGGACAACATGGTGAAACCCCATCTCTACTAAAAATACAAAAATTAGCCAGGCGTGGTGGCGGGCACCTGTAATCCTAGCTACGTGGGAGGCTGAGGCAGGAGAATCACTTGAACCTGGGAGGCGGAGGTTGGAGTGAGCCGAGATCACGCCACTATATTCCACAGCCTGGGTGACAGAGCAAGACTGTCTCAAAAAAAAAAAGATAATAAAATAAAAATAAGTAAATAAATACCTGATACTGGGTAATTTATTTTAAAAAGAGGTTTATTAGCCTCACGTTTCTGCAGGCTGTACAAGAAGCATGGCTCCAGAACTTGGTTGGTTTCCAGTGAGAGCCTCCAGAACTTGCTTGGTTTCCAGTGACAGCCTCAGGAAGCTTTTACTTATAGCAGAAGGCAAGGGGAGCAGGTGTGTCACATGGCAAGAGAGGAAGCAAGAGAGAAGGGAGGGGGTGCCAGGCTTGTTTTTAACAATCAGTGAACTAATAGAGTAAGAACTCCCTCATTACTGTGAGAAAGTCACTAAGCTATTCATGAGTGTCTGCCCCATGACTCAAACACCTCCCGCAAAGGGCGCACCTCCAACACTGGGGATCAAATTTCAACATGAGATTTGGAAGGGACAAACATCCAAACTATATCAGCACATGTGGCCAGTCATGAGTTTTTGTTTTGGCATGTTGCCTCTCATCTGCCAGAATCCCTAGAATCTCATCTGCCAGAATCCCCAGGTAATCATCCTGTCCAAAAGCCTATTGGGTCCTTGCCACATTTCAGTCAATGTGTCTGGTCAAGGGATAAGGTCAAGGTTGGCAGGGAGTCATGTGCTGCCGATCCCTAGTCTGGTTCTTTGTTTAAAACTCCCACCAGCTCCTTTGGTTTCCCTTACCTCAACCACCACCATGTACCCAAATCTATGTGCCAAATAGGTTTTAAAGCCCCCTGATCATAAACCTTAAAAAGTAAGCCTTTCTATGCACATGTTGAACTGCTTCATGTTGAACTGCCCTCCCCACTTCATTTATCCCATCTGATTGCAGTCTGCTTCCCCCTCCTTGCTACTAGCCTGACCGGGTCATTCATCAGTTCTTGTGCTTCTTTCTCTTTAGAGATGTGGTGCTTCTTCTACTCTTCCAGGTTCAACTCTGACTCCCCTCCAACTGTCCTGGGTGAAACCCCCTCCCTTGCTGACTCATCCCCAAGGCCCTCCCACTCCAGGCCACCCTCACAGATGCTTATCTGCCTGGGCTGGTTCTTAAAATCCATAATCAACGGCCAGATAATTTAATCCTACAAAGTGATTGGCAAATGTGACAGTCCAGGTCCTCCCAGGGACAGGTAACAAGACAGGGTTAAACATGTAAGGACTGTATTGGAGAAATGCCTGTGTAAGAGAGAAAATGATGGGAGCTGGGAAGGTTAGGAGGTCATCAGAACATGATAAGAATCTGACTCAAGCGAAGGAGAGAGGGAGAGGAGGTTGGGGGTAGGGGAAACATCACAGACTGCCTGTCATGCAGTCAAAAGAGGGTTCAGCAAAGCCATCGCGGAGTCCTTGAGAAAAAGCTGCTCACCCAGAGGGATCCCTTAGTCTACTTAGTGTCTGCACCAGGCTCTTCCTTGCCAGGAGCTACCCATGGGAGACACAGCCTTGGTACAAACACCACAGTGGATTTCAAAGCCCAGCAGCTGACTCTGCTGTCTGTGGTGGGGGGTCTGGAGGCAATGCTCATGGCCACCATGGTAGGCCACTTCATGCCAGATGGAAAGGTTGTCATGGGGGAGTCTATTCATTTATTCAGCAAATCATGTATGGAGCATCTCTATGCCAGGTGCTGTGCTAAGATTAAAAATCAAGGCCAGTTTTCTATGCCAGGCTACAAAATAGATTTTTCTGGGGTAGCTGCTCACTGATACTCTCATCAACCTCCTGAAAAAAATGTGCATTACTCCAAGGCCACTAGGATTTGCCCTCTCTTTCTTTAACCTCTGTGAAAGACAATCCTGCTTAGGAGTACAGAACATGGGCTATTTGATAGAGTGATACAGCAAGGTGGCTTGCATTGGGATGCAGTGGTTTCAGAGCAATTCCATGTCACTCAGAGGATCCCTGGGAAGTGACTCAGGAACATCCTTTGGAATCAAGAGGAAGCCAGTTGGGTTGGACTCCAGATCTACCAACATCACATTAACCAGAATAATTGTCCATTTAATATTTCATATCCTACAATTACAAATAGAAACTATTTTTTTAAAAGAGCATAACACTTTTAGAATTTTAAAGTCCAATTTGCAATGGAGTCAGATGACTCCTTTCTATTTTCCTAGAACTTAGCACAGTGCCTTACATACATTGGCAGTTAGTAATGTTAATACATAAACAAATTAGTGAATGAATGAAGTTAACCCAGTGAATCTGTTCCCAGAATGGCTCTTTTAGACAGTTACTATGTTTCCATTTTGCTGATCACAACTTGATATTCTCAGAGTTTCTATTAACTGGTCATGACAAGAGATTACCCAGAGTGGATACTGAGCTTCAGATCCAGGACATCTGAGTCCAAACTTAGAGCCCTTTGTACTGCACTCCTCTGTAGAGACTGTGTGTTCTAGAGCCTTCTTCAAAATCCCCCACTATATCCATGCAGTGTCTAACTGCAGGCAATATAAGGTTCTAGCATTTCTATCTTTTCATCATTTCTCCCCATTGGCCATTAGCAACAGCTACTCTCCATTCCCAGATACCAGCAAGCTTAAAAATAATCTCCCCTCTGCCTATTTCCACATTCTTCAGAAGGTTTTTAAATGCTTAGAGGATATGTGCTCTCAGGTATAGGCCTGGAGCAAGGAAACTTCAACTCCCCCTTTGGTTCTCTTTTTATGAAGTTTTCTCTGTACTTAGGAACATGCACCATGCCATAACAGAATTAAAACCTTAGATCTCTGTTTATAAAGATACAAGAGATAACCTAGTGAACAAGATGTGTTTTTTGTTTTTTGTTTTGGTGTGGCTCTTGCAGAAAATAAATTCCTTTCTTGGCGCTTGCTGAAAGTTTGGACTGTGTGTTTGATGTGAAATTTATATGGAAGCAAAACCTTGGACAATTAAGCCAGCTTGGAATGTTGAAAATGACAATAATAAAAGCTATTCTCTCTGGGGTCTGGTTGCTGTGCTAGGCCTCCATAAACATTATCTCATTTAATCTTCCAACTGCCCTAATGAGAGCTACAATTAATATCCTTGCTTTACAAATGAGAGAACCCAGTTACAGCTTAGATGAGTAATTTGGCAAAGGAAATACAGCTAGTATTAAAGTAATGAATGAAGCATGTAATGTAGCTGACATGTAAATCTTAGTGTAGCACATTTGAAAACAAGTGCTATGTAAATACATAAATTATTTATTTATATGTCATAGAATTAGTATTAAGAGCAGGAATATTGATGTTAATGTATTTTTTTAATTTTTTGATTAATCAGATATAGGCTGTTAATAGCAATAAGGGTATTAGTCAATATGTCACATTCATTGGGTTACAAAATAGTTTTTAAAAGCCAACCTTGGAAATCTCATTAGAGTCCCCTGGTTTCCCAGTTTCTGAAAGTTTTCTATATTAGAGTGATCCAAATGCTGACATGATTAATGATTACATTTTCATAAGCCTCAGTTCCCACATTTGTTGTAGTTCTTCTACCAAATCCACAAGATTCTTTGACAGCTTTGCAAACATTCTTAAAAAATGTTTGTCCATAAACAGTAATAACAAAAACTCCACTCTCAAGATGCACTGATGGCAGAATGTCTAGTCTATAGAGCACAGTTCCTCATCAGCGCTCTGGTCCAGATTCCTCAAGGCAGTTGTTACTAACAATTGCTTCAGTTACTCTTAAAAGAACACACTGTATTCTTCCGAGTGTGCTAATATACATTTACACCAGAGTGGTGTTTCATTTAGATTTAGTTATAAAAATTGATTTATGTATTTGTGTCTTCTTGTATGCCCATGAAGAGGAACAAATCAAAACATCCCATTAAAGATTCCTCCACTCCAGGGTACAAGCAAGACTCCTATGGAAGACAACGCCCATTAATAATGAATTCATGTTTAAAAAATTTACAAAGCACGCAAAGATAGCAACTGTTAAAAGAAAGAGCCATTAAATTCAGTAAATAGGATAATTTATATCGAAACTACTCATGGTCATAGGGTAATCTGAAAAGAACATTAGTATAAGTAAAGCATGTTGGAAATATCCAAATGGATAAAGAAGAGAATAAGATAAAAACATTACTTTTTTTAATTAAAAAAAGCAAGTAGATTTGACAATGAACCAAACAAATCTAGAACTGAAGAATTATGGTATGTGAATTAAAAACCCATTAGACGATAGACTAGACAATTAAAAAGAAAATTTCAAAACTGTGGAATAAATATGGGAAAGTTATATCCAGTAGCACAAAAAGATATAAGGAGATGGAAAATAGAAATGTGAAGTTAAGAGATACAAAGGCGAGAAGGACAGGATGAACAGATATCTAACGGGAGTAACGGATGTTGAGAAGTGAGACATTAAGGAGAGCAACAGTGAGAGAAATATTGGGATATTTCCCAAAATTCAAAAAAAAGAATCTTCATATTTAAACAGAAAAGCATACTCCTAAGTAGGATGAATGTAAATAACTTGCAACTAATCATGTAATATTGAAATTACATAGTTGAGGATAAAAGGAAAATCCTGGAATCACGAGACAGGAAAGTTGAATGACCTTCAAGCATCATATGGAGAAACTGGCATCTCCTCAGAAACGACAGATAATAGAAAAGATCCAACCTTTTCCAAAGTGCTGAAGAGTAAGAAAAACTCCACCAATCTAGCTTTTATTCAGGAGTAGGAGTGGCATTGAGATACTCTCAGATCGAGACACTTGCTGAAAAACTTACAAAAGGATGCAACTCAGTGCATCAGTTAGCAGTACTTTTGCTACAATTTTGGAAAATCTAACCAACAGTAAATTACACAGGTAGGCTATTTTTCTTCTCTAACAAGAAGTCTATAAGTTGACTGAGCTGTTGATTCACTTATTCATCATTCACCCAACAAGTATTTATTGAGCACCCACTGTCTGTCTCCTGTGTACCTATCATGTATAGCTTATATTCTATCCTGATCATGCTTTTTACAATTGCAACTAACCCCTACCTTTACACTCCCATGCCCTTTACCTTGTTTTACCTTTTTTTTTTTTTACTGCATCTATTTTTTTCTGTATAATTATGTTGTTTATCATGTCTGTTGCTTAATGTCTGTCTCCATCTGCTAAGTTACAACCTTGGGGACAAGAATCTTGGTGCATAAATGAACTGCTAGGTAAATAAAAAAGAAACAAAAATGTTAAATCTGATATGATATTAGAACTAGACTTTCTGAGATTTTCTTGGTCTTATCCTTATGGCTGTCACCTCATGGTGACAAGATGGTGGTTTCAGGCCTATACATCAAAAGAAACAAAAATGTTAAATCTGATATGATATTAGAACTAGACTTTCTGAGATTTTCTTGGTCTTATCCTTATGGCTGTCACCTCATGGTGACAAGATGGTGGTTTCAGGCCTATACATCAGAACTTCATTCAAGGTAGAAAAAAAGGGAAGGGGACAGGGTAGATTCAGCAAATTTCAACTCATTTATCATTGACCAGAATTGTGTCAAATTATTTTTCTAGCTACTAGGAAGGCTGAGAAATCAATTATTTCACTCTGACAGTTTCTATCATGGAGGCAAGAAAATGGGATTGTATTTGGATTTGGAGCTTGGGTGAGTCGACATTTAATAAACCATATTCAATAAGCCATATTCAATAAGAAGAAGTTGGAAGATAAGAGGAAGAAGAGGACCATAAGAAACAAAAAATAACAGTAGAACTATCATATCTCTAAAAGAAAATAAAGTAAGAACTTTTTTGTTTTATATAATATCTGAAAGGTTATTGTTTATCCCTGTAACTCATTATCTGAAGAAAGGGATGATGAACAGGAGGAGGGAGTGCAGAGGAAGAACAAGACAGAAAAGCAGAATGCTGTCGATGATATCATGGCCTGGCCTGCCTCACACAACAGCTGGAAAAGTGGTTTCTTCTCAAACCTCTTTCCTCCCCCCAAAACTTGAATTTGTTCCCAATAGGCCCCTAATTAGCAATAGGCAAAGGAATCCCTCCTCCTAGTTCTAGATAAAACTGTTTTCCTTGTGTGTCAGGGGCATAGCCGTCTTGGGACAAAAAAGGAAATAACTGGCAGTTGGAATGGAAGACAGAAAGCCATCTGGCCAGATGTCTAGAGTTTACACTGTTCCCTTCAGGGGTGCTGAGAGACTGTGGAATGTGGTTTGGCATCACTCATGAGTGAAGAGGCTGCAGCCGTCATTTGGGTTTTACATTTAATGGCTCTTAGGAAATATATTTAAAAGTATATACACCTACTGACCACTCATACCTATGGGTACCCAGGAACTGGGCTGTATCAGTGCTTCTTCTATTTGTCAACATGGCATGGAGATGTTACTTTTTTTTTTTTTTTTTTTTTTTTTTGAGATGGAGTCTTACTATGTCGCCAGGCTGGAGTGCAGTGGCGCAATCTCGGCTCACTGAAACTGCAAATGCCTCCCGGGTTCAAGCTATTCTCCTGCCTCAGCCACTCGAGTAGCTGGCATTACAGGCACACGCCACCACACCCAGCTACTTTTTTTTTTTTTTTTTTTTTTTTTTTTGTATTTTTAGTAGAGACAGGGTTTCACCATGTTGGCCGGGATGGCCTCGATCTCCTGACCTTGCGATCCACCCGCCTTGACCTCCCAAAGTGATGGGATTACAGGTGTGAGCCACAGCGCCCTGCTGAGATGTTACTTTCTTAATAGGGCTTATTAAAAGTCTGCTTTTAAAAGAAAGAAGTTTGAAATGTGTCTTGCCAGGAGGAGAAGGTTGCTTGATGTTTGGTGACTCAATTTGGACACAGACTTAAACCCTTTCTCTGTGTCTGCCATGACACGCTCTCCCTGTCTGACGGCTCTGACAGTCTAATTCTAGCCTATACCAGGATGAATGGAAAAGGGGCTTGGAAGGGAGAAAAGGTCTGCACCCTATTTAAGATGGCTTAGTTTGAAAGCAAGTCACTACAAAACTTAGATGAAAATGCACTGACAATAGAAAGAATCCCACATCAAAGCCAAACAGTGATAGAGTATTAGTCCATTTTCACACTGCTGTAAAGAAATACAGAGTTCCCACTGTAGGATGACTTCTGTCATTTAGATAAAGGGAATCTAGTGCCCTAGACCACAAAGCATCTCCCTATTTAATGACTTAGTGAGGAAAAATAAGGCCAATTAGGAAATTACCTAGAACTAAGTCTTCAAAAGAAAAGACACTAAAACTGCCACTCCTGACAGATTGGCATGGCTCTGATGGCTTAGTGGATGGCTTACCCAGAGACTGGGAAATCTATTAACAAAAGAAGTTTAATGGACTCACAGTTCCTCATGGCTGGGGAAGCCTTAGGAAACTTACAATCATGGCAGAAGGTGAAGGGGAAGAAAGCCTGAACCTTCTCACATGGCGGCAAGAAAGAGAGGAAGGAGCAAAGTGGAAAGAGCACCTTATAAAATCATCAGGTCTCCTGAGAACTCACTCACTATCATGAGAATAACATGGAGGATATCGCCCCCGTGATCCAATCCCCTCCCACCAGGTCTCTCCCTAGACACGTGGGGATTATGGAGATTACAATTCAAAATGAGATTTGGGTGTAGATACAGCCAAACCATATCAGAGAGCATGGAGACAGAGATGGGCTCTGGTTGCTGCTGGGCAGAGCCATGCCAATCTGACAGTAGTGGCAGTTTTGGTGTCTTTTCCTTTGAAAACTTGGTTCTAGGTAATTTCCTAATTGGCCCTATTTTTCCTCACTAAGTCATTAAGTAGGGAGATGCTTTGTGGTCTAGGGCACTAGATTCTCTTTATCTAAACGACAGAAGTCATCCTACGGTGGGAACTCTGGGTTGCCTGTTATTCCATCCAGAATCCCCTCTTTCTGAAAGTTGTTTTTGGCAGCCGGGGTCTATCTCTGCCCTCCTGAGCATTCTATTAAGTTTGCTGCTGTTTTTCTATTAAACCTAAAGAATAGTCATTCTGTCTCCACACAGTCCCCTTCAAAGAAGAAAAAGATGAGATATTACAGCAGCAGATATTACAGATATTACATGCAATGGTAAAAGGGGCAAGCCCTTGAAACAAGTGAGATCTAATTTTAAAATCTCATTTCTGAATGTTTCTTCATTGGCAAAATAAGGATAAGACTCATAGTGCAGTGTTATTATGAAGACTAAAGATACTGTATGTAATATTCTCAGCACAGTGCCCTGTATACAACAGAGGCTTAAAAAATTGCTCCTACATATTCTTATGCTTATTTTACTGGGCTATACTGTTTCTCAATAGATTTTCTCTCTCTCTCTCTCTCTCACACACACACACACACCCACATACACATACATGTGTGCACACACACACACACTACTGCTGAATTTCCAGGTCATATTTGGCAGACTAGTTAAGGAAGCACTGTGTACATGTTAGCTACCTTGGACCTTGAGTTGCTGCCAGGTTTTATGCTACAGAAAATGTAGTGTGGCTGGAAATGTAGCTCTACTGAAAACTGACCAACCCTGTGTAATATATCCATTTGTTTCGTCATAAAGGAAAGAGTAATGGACTAAAAGTCTGAGTTCACAGCCTTGCTTCTGCCAACACTGTGTATTATCTTCATATCTAGAACATACATTGCAGTGGGTATCAACCAAGGACTTCACATATAGCACCTCATATAAAGATCCATAAAGGGGAATAGTGTCTTGTCCTCTTTCCCAAAGAGGGAAGACAGATTTCACTAATGGCTGGTGTTGAGAGGAAGAATTTAGTAGTAGCTTCTTGCCCTCAGCAATAGCTTCTTGCAATAGCTCTTATAAGTGGACACAGATCTCCCTGATCCTCAATTGGGTAAGTTTACAAGGAAACCCTTTGCCACTTCCTGGGAGGCAAGTTGTTCTTAGGCTTTACCTGGGACTAGCAAAGAAAT
Organism: Homo sapiens; assembly: GCF_000001405.40. Lineage (NCBI taxonomy): Eukaryota > Metazoa > Chordata > Mammalia > Primates > Hominidae > Homo > Homo sapiens. The sequence goes on from NC_000004.12 coordinate 15,253,134, forward strand.
TGAATTCAGTGAGACTATTTTAGGGGCCCAGGTGGTTAAAGTTTCACACCATGTTTCTTCAATTCAGCCTTAAGAATAATAAAGCTGAAGTTTTGATCTCCATCTGTGTGATGCTTTTAGCTATCTTTCAAGGGGTTCCAGACATATTTGGGATGACAAGTGCATGATTTAATGGCCCCCTTAAGCCAGAACAACTAATATTTCCATTCCCATTTTAATATATGAAGAATCTGAAGGTCAGCGAAGTTGAGTAACTTGCCCAGGGCTACAGAGATATGGGTCACAAAGGTGGAATTGAACCCAAGCTCTTTTAGCTTCCAAGACTGTGGCCTATCCTCTATGCTAGACCGCCACCTTAAAAAGCAAATGTCCCTTCCTTGAGTTATTTGAATTACAATTTTTCTTTTCACAGCGCAGTTTGGGAAACTCCCCTCTACTGCTTTCAGTTTTCATATCAGCAAAATCAAGAGGTTGAACTAAAAGACCAAGAAAGCTCTCCCAGATGAAAAAGCTTGTGATTCTATGATTTATTTATTTTTTAGTTCGTATTAATTCTCCTTCCATGTTTTCAGTGCTGTGAGTTCCTGAGTTTTAAACTCCAGAAAGCAGATAAAATCATTTCCTAAAATGAAGTGTTACACATTTCATTCAAAGGAAGTGTATAATCTTGTAAAATGTATAGATTAATAAATTAAAAATTAATAAAAACAGCTGATTTTGTTACAGTGGCCATTGAGAATGTACAGGCAAATACTTCTGACTACAGCAACTATCTCCACAGAGGCGGAGTCATCTCAGCGCAAATCAGGAGCATCCTGGAACCCAACTAGAAAATCACTGGAGTATCAGGAATAACATAAGCTTTGGAGTCACAAGGCCTGAATTTGAGTCTCAGCCACCCTATCTATGAGCTGTGTGCACTGAGAAAGCCATTTAACATACTGCGCCTCAGATAATCATGTGTAAGTATTAGTATTCTTACTGTCTTCATGGTAGCTATGATGTAAACTGTTTTGGAAAGCATCAAACACTATACAAAGTCATTAGTATTAATAAAGGTGGCATTCTTCTCTCATTCATAAGACCATAGCTTCCTATGAAATCTAGGTGAAAATTACTGGGGAGTGCCACATTAGAGATGGTATCTTAGTAATTCAGAGAAACTTTGTGGAGGTTCAATGATTCAGATCCAATAGGGTTAAAGGCAAGTGGTGTTGGAAAGGCTGATTGCGAGGCTGAGATGAGAGTCTCCCTCAGGCATTGAGCTGTCAGCAGGACAGGAATAGATATTCCAAGCCCATAGCACCTCAACAGCTCTCTAAAACGCTAACATCATGCATGCAGTTGAGTAACACATGTGTTTTCAATGTCATGCAACTTTGTGCTGTAATTTAAAAATTTTGTGTGACAAAGAGCTGGATTTAAAAATGGAATATTAAAATATTAGTCACTTCTCTTTCTTCTACTGCTGTTAGCAGATTGGACATAGTTTTTCTTATAAACTTTTTTTTTTTTTTTTTTGGAAACAGTCTCACTCTGTCACCCAGGCTGGAGTGCAATGGCGCAATCTCAGCACACTGCAACTTCCGCCTCCCACGTTCAAGTCATTCTCTTGCCTCAGCCTCCCAAGTAGCTGAGACTACAGGCATGCACCATCATGCCCGGCTAATTTTTGTACTTTTAGTAGAGACCAGGTTTCATTCAGCATGTTGTCCAGGCTGGTCTCGAACTCCTGACCTCAAGTGATCCGCCTGCCTCGGCCTCCCAAAGTGCTGGGATTACAGGCATGAGCCACTGTGCCTGGCCTCTCATAAACTTTTGATACCTTTTAGAAAATGTATCTCCTTTGTGACATTTAACCTTTCCAAAAAGAATTGATCAATTTCTTCTCTTTATTTTCATTGCAATTTGTATTCTTGTATTTACAGTTGATTCTCATTTACAGTAATTATTTTCTATACAGTCACTGTGAATGCTGAATTAGCATAGCTTTTGCCGGAAAGAAAGGGTTATGTTCCTGCAAATCTCTGGCTATGTTTTTGTCAACTGACTGTTAACATAATCTTGTTTTACGTGTGTTTCTGTTTAAAAAATCTAATACTTGTTGATTCATTAACACTGTACTCATGGCCAACAGCACTGTAACTTATGCTTGACTGAAGCTTCTCTAACACACATATTTTCTCCGTAAGATGCATCACAGCCTTTTGGTACTAAGAAACACCGGCACACTTTAGCTCTGTGCTTGAGGGCCATATCACAAAAAGTACAAAAATTCAAAAAAATAAATAAATAAACCCCACCCATGTATCACTAAGCAGAACTGAAAAAGGACACATTATAAGAGCTGCAACAAAAAGACAGAGCAGGAATTTTTTCTACCTTTGCTGGAAACAAGCACGTTGTGTGACTCAAATTTTGTTACTCCTCTGTGCACATTCATGAATGACCGTAACAGTGCCATGAGTATTGATTTTTCTAATTACAAATAAATTTTAGCAGGTAGATGAAATCAGAAATACAGAATCCACAATATTGAGGATCAACCGTATCTCTCTACTCTAGAGCTTACCAAACGGCATTGTACTATTGATTTACGTGACTATGCTCCATTCTAAGCCAAATTCCTTGAGAGCAGTGATAGGTCCTTTCATCTTGTTTTAAATTTTTTTAACTTAGGACATCTCTTTGTCTCTTGCAGACTGATTCTATCCCTCATGCCTACAGTGATCTGATTCTTGGGCTTAGGGACAACAACAAACTCCAAGGCATATTTTTAAGGTGAAATCTCAATAGAAAATTCTACCCTAGCCAAATTTAGCTGGAAGTCACTGCTGCCACAGCATGTTTTTACTTATTTCTGGCTAACACTTCCTTATCCCCTTTTGAAGATCTTCCAGTTGCTGTGCTCTCAAAACCTCAATCCACTATCAACTCTATTCTCTTGAGATGCTTCCAGCATTTCTGAGATCAAGGTCATCCAATGTATAGTCTTCCCATTTTTCTACTTTCACTTCAAAATGTCTCATCATTTTTCTCTATCTTCCCCTCTTCATCTATTCCTTAAAAACATCATTTTTCCACTCTTTACATTGTCCCACATTTCTCATGTCCTTGCATCCATCCCTCGTTCTTCTAGCTTTGTCTGTCTACTTCTGTCCTCATTCCTTCTCCTTGACCTGCAATTCCCTCAAATCTCTCCTTTAAGATGTCTTTCCTTTCCTTCCTTTACCCACAGCAACTTTTGAAAAGTAGTTTGCATTCTCTCCCATCACTCTACTCCTCAGCTCTTGGCTTCTACCTCCAACCTTCACTGAAACTGGTATCTTCATAGTCACCAAACCCACTGGCCTTTTCTCAGGCCATAGCTACTTAGACTTATAACATTTGGTCCTATTGACAATTCTCTCTCTTGAAACTCTCCCCTTTGACTTCCACACAGAACTGCAAGTTTTTCTCTTTTATCTCTAATTGTTCTTTGCCTCCTTTGGCTGTTTCCCCAAGTTACAATACCCGGTCTCATCTTATTTTGCCCCATTTTGCAATAGACATTTTGGTGCAATTGAAAGCATGGGCTTTTGAGTGACCAGACCTGGGCTTGACTCTTAACTCCCCACAGTTCTAGCCACAGTGACATTGGGAATTTGTTTCTGTGAATCTCAATAATACCTACTATATAAGGATGCTATAAATAATGAAATATATGTGAATAAGGTAGCATAGTGCATGCACAAATTAAGTGGCCAATAAAAGACAGTTCTTCCACTGACCTCTCTTCCACTTTAAGGGCATTATTGTCTCTCAGGAATCTTATTAGCTCCTGCTGCCTAGATCTGCCTGACAGGCTAAATTATCTTGGAAGGAGACTGTCCTCATGAAATAGAGATTCTTGCAGCCAGGTCAAGCTGCGAGGCATGTCACTCAGAAGTCATTCATAGACTCTCTGTGTCAAAAATGGAGGAGGAAAGCTATAGTTCAATGTAGTTCTGACAATGAAGGTTATGAGAAACCAAATTTACATGACAAAATGAAGGAAATTGACAAGAACATAAACAGAAAATAGAGCCAGTGGTTTGCCTTAGAAGAATTTGAGAGGTAGCAGAATGAGATGTGAAGTAGCTAGAACCAGACAGTTGAGGACCTAAACCTAAAAATGCTAGCTCATTCCATAAGAAATTGTTTTTATTCAGCCCCTGTCCCTCTTGGCCAGAGTGGTGACTAATTTGGGGGAGAAAATGAGTATATTCAATGATCTTGCAATGAGGCAGACTCAGCGTGGACTCCTGCATCATCCACTTAAAGTTTTGGGACTCAGGCAAGTTCTTCAGAAAGACAGCATAACAGAGGTTAAGAGCATGGACTCAAGGTTCAGTCTAGGTGGGATAAAATCTCAGCTCAGCCACTTAACAGTGGGATGCTGGACACAGTTTCTTCGCCCATAACTCAAAGACAATTAGCAGTACCTACCTCACAGAGATTTTATGAAGATTAAATAGCTTAATATTTGTAAAGGGATTAATAGGGTATCTGCCATGCCATAAGTACTGTAAAGTGGTTTGTGATATAAATACACTTAATCTTTTATGTCTCAATTTTTACATGTGTTTAGTAAGAAAAATGCAACTTCAAGTAATTGATTTGAGGATTAAATGAGATAAGGTGCATGTACAACTCTTAAAATACCTAGCATAAAAGAAAAAACATCAATGATTTCTGTTATAAATTAAGTGACCCAAACTAGGTAAAATGCATAAAACATCAAATATGATTATTTTGAAGAAACTTTTTATATATGTAGTTTTGACCCCCAACTCACTCTTAAATACTAGATGCATGTTCCTATATGCTTACTAAAAATGTGCACACAGTCTTCATAGAGACAACACAAGCTCAACAAATTCAAAGCTGAATGCATCCACTCTCTCCCTAAATCTTTCTTTTTCTTCTTTTATTTTATAGTACGGACACCTTCTCTCTAGGAATCCTCAGTACCCACAATTGTAGAGGTTCTGGATACTCAGCTTCAAGGCAAATATCAAAGCATTTTCCTCAACAAAAGAGCTCTCTTGCTAAAAAATGACTTGTTGCTTCTTGCTAAGAGAATGAAAATTCCCCTTTACCATAGCTAATATTTTTAAGGACTCACTCTGAGCACTTTACATCTATTACTTCATTTGATCCCAACAAGAACCCTATGAAATAGGTACTACAATTATTTCCATTTTATGGATGGAAAAGCTGAGGCATGGAAAATATAAGTGCATTGCCCAAATCTTACAGCAAGAAAATAGTAGAGCTGCAATTTGAATCCAGATAGTTTAACTTCAAAGAATGAGTTATTAATTGGTCTATTATACTGCCCCAACCTTGATAAATGTAAGTAATTTTTGATAGTTATTTGCTTAAAAGTCTTTAATGACTCTGTTAAACCTCCTTGGACGGTGATTTAGGACCCTTCCTGATCTACTTCCAAGTTTTCTTTTTTAATTTATCTTCCTTTACTTCCTTTTGAATACTACTTTTTTTTTTTTTTCAGACAGAGTCCCCACTCTGTTGCCCAGCCTCTAGTGCAGTGCTACGATCTTGGTTCACTGTAACCTACCTACACTTCCTGGGTTCAAGCAGTTCTCATGCCTCAGCCTCCCGAGTAGCTGGGATTAGAGGCGTGCACCACCACACCTGGATTTTTGTATTTTTGGTAGAGACGGGATTTTGCCCTGTTGGTCAGGCTGTTCTCGAACTCCCGACCTCAGGCAATCCATCCACCTCAACCTCCCAAAGTGCTGGGATTACAGGTGTGAGCCATCACACCTGGGCACTACATTTCTAATACCTTTCCTTCAATGTTTCTACCTTCCTGCCTTCATGCATTTGTGCATACAGTCTCTTCTGCCTAGAAAGCTTATTTGTGCAATGTAGTGGATTCTAATCATATCCAATTTATGTGGACAACACATCATAGCGCTAATTAACAGAAGAACACAACACAACAGTTAGAGATCTATTTAGTGGCAAATGATATTAAAAGTTTTCTCTTGGAGATAGATTCTTAAAGCAGGAGGCAACACAGTAAAGTCCCAGTTAATGCCATGGCACCTCCAATTTCCCAAAGTCTTTACCAGAATACTAATACTGCACATGTTGCAAGGTTCTGCCATTCTCATCATGTGGAGTAGCTGAAGGTCAGAATTTACCGCCCTTCTATCCCTTCTGACTGTTGTTGGAACCCGGGAAATATGCCTACCTGTTAAGAAATGCAAATATGCAAAGTAACCCCAACGTGAGTGTTTTCTACAAAACTGGTTAGTTGGAGGTGAACTATTGCCTATTTTTAGGTATTTGGGTTTTTTTGTTTGTTTGTTTGTTTTTGTTTGTTTGTTTTTTGAGATGGAGTCTCACTCTGTTGCCCAGGCTGGAGTGCAATGGCATGATCTCGGCTCACTGCAACCTCCGCCTCCCGGATTCAAGTGATTCTCCTGTCTCAGCCTCTCGAATGGCTGGGATTACAGGCACTGACCACCGCACCCAGCTAATTTTTGTATTTTTAATAGAGACGGGTTTTCATCATGTTGGCCAGGCTGGTTTCGAACTCCTGACCTCAGGTGATTCACCTGCCTCGGCCTCCCAAAGTGCTCTGAAACTTTCTATTCAGGCATCTCTTCTCACTGTTTGTTCATCTGAGTGGTGCTGGTTCTGAATTTGTTTGAAGGTCAAAGAGCTCATATTCAGGTCCCAACAGCATATTTTAAAGATAGTCTTGAATCCAGTTGATCTTTCACAGAACCTTCTTTCCCAGACACTCCAAGTCATAAACTGCTCTTTCCCTCATCTGAATCCCAAAGTTGTTCTGCTTGATAATATTTTTGTATTTCATATATGGGGAGAGTAGCCACTTCCTGAATGTTTAACAGCAATTTGGTAATAAATATTTCAGGGAGTGACATCAACAAAATGGTGCAGTAGGAGATTCCAGCCCTCATCCCACCATTCTTTGAGCTGAATGTTTGTGTCCTGCCCACCTCCCCCAATACCAAATTCATACATTGAAATCCTGTCCCCCAAGGTGATAGTATTAGAAAGTGGAGCGTTTAGGAAGAGATTAGATCATGAGGGCGGAGCCTCAATATTTGTATTAGAGCCCTTATAAAAGAGATTCCAGATGGATAATTCATCTCATTTACCATGTGATGACACAAGAAGAAGTAGGCAGTCTGCCATCCAGAAGGCAACTCTCACCAGGAGCTGGGCCATGCCGAGACCCTGATATCAGACTTCTAGTCTCAAAAACTGTGAGAATTAAATTTCTGTTGTTTACAAGCCACCCAGCTTATGGTATAGGCATACCTGTTTTACTGCCCTTTGCTTTATTGAGCTTGGCAGATATTACCTTTTCCACAAATTAAAGGTTTGTGACAATCCTGCATCGAACAAGTTTATCTGTCATTTTTCCAACAGCACATTCTCACTTCATGTCACTATGTCGTATATTGGTAATTCTCACAATATTTCAAACTTTTTCATTATTATTATATTTGTATGGTGATATGTGATTAGTGATCTTTGATGTTAGCATTGCAATTGATTGGGAGCAGCACAAATCATACTCATATACGATTGCAAACTTAATCGATAAATGTTGTGTGTGCACGGGCTGCTCCACTGACCAGTAGTTCCCCCATTTATGTTTCTGCTCTTGAGTGTCTCTATTCCCTGAGACACAATGATACTGAAATTAGGCCAATTAATAACCCAGCATGGCCTCAAGTGTCCAAGTGAAAGGAAGAGTCACATGTCGAAACAATTAGCTTAGTGAATAAGGCATGTCAAAAGCCAGGATAAGCCAAAAGCCCATGCCAAACAGCCTCAAGTTGTAAACACAAAGGAAAAGTTCTTGACGGAAATTCAAAGTGCACTCCAGTGAACACAAATGATAAGAAAGCGAGACAGCCTTATTGTTGATATGGAGAAAGTTTTGGTGATCTTAATAGAAGATCAAACCAGCCAAAACATTCCCTTAAGCCAAAGGCTAATCCAGAGCAAAGTCCTAACTCTCTTCAATTCTCTGAAGACTGAAGGAACTGTAGAAAAACATTGTAAGCTAGCAGAGGTTGGTTCATGAGGTTTAAGGAAAGAAGTTATTTTCATAACAAAATTGCAATATTAAACAGCAATTGCTGAAGGAGAAATTGCAGCAAGTTATCCAGAAGATCTAGCTGAGAATATTTACAAAGGTGGCTACACTAAACAACAGATATTTAATATTAATAAAACAGCCTTATATTAGAAGAAGATGCTATCTAAGACTTTGATAGCTAGACAGGAGAAGTCATGCCTGATTTCAAAGCTTTAATTAAAGGACAATCTGACTCTCTTATTAGAGGCTAATGCAGCTAGTGACTTTAAGTTGAAGCCAATGCTCATTTACCATTCTGAAAGTCCTAGGGCCAGTAAGAATTATGCCAAATCTACTCTCCATGTGCTCTATAAATAAAACAACAAAGCTTGGATTTCAGCATATCTGTTTATATCACAGTTTACTGAATATGTTAGAACCACTGTTGAGACCTACTGCTTAGAAAAAGAAAAGATATTCTTTTCAAAATATTACTGCATATTAGCAACGTACCTGATCACCCAAGAGCTCTGATGGAAATGTACAAGAAGATTAATGTTGTTTTTATACCTGCTCACTCAGAATCCTTTCTGCTGCCCATGGATCAAGGAGCAATTTTTACTCTCAAATATTATTTAAAAAGTACATTTATAAGGGTATGGCTACCATAGATGGTGATTCCTCTGATGAATCTGGGCAAAGTAAACTGAAAACTTGGAAAGGATTCACCATGCTAGCTGCCATTAAATTCATTTTATGGGAGGATGTCTAAATATCAGCATTAGCAGAAGTTTGGAAGAAGTTTATTTCAGCTCTCATGGATGACTTTGAGGGGTTTAGGACTTCAACAGAAGAAGCATATGCAGATGTGGCAGAAATAACAGGAGAACTAGAATTTAAAATGAAGCCTCAAGACGTGACTGAATTGCGCAGTCTCATAATAAAACTTGAAAGGGTATGAAGTTGCACTTATAGTCTATGGTCATACCACCCTGAACGTGCCCAGTCTCATCCATGTTGCATTTATGAATGAACAAAGAAAGTGCTTCTTGAAATGGAATCTACTTTTGGTGAAGATGCTGTGAACATTGTTTAAATGACAACAAAAAATGTAAAATATACATATGTTTAGTTGATAAAGCAGCAACAGAGTTTGAGAGGGTTGATTCCAATTTTGGAAAAAGTTCTACTGTGGGTAAAATGCCATCAAACAGCATTGCATGCTACAGGGAAATCTTTTCTGGAAATAAGTCAATTAATGTGACAAACTTTATTGTTGTCTTATTTTAAGAAATTTCCAGTGTCAACCCAACCTCCAGCAATCACCACCTTGATGAGTCAGCAGCCATCAACACAGAGGCAAGGCCCTCTACCAGCAAAAAGATTATGACTCACTGAAGGCACAGATGACTGTTAGCAATTTTTAGCAACACAGTATTTTTTGTTTGTTTTGAGTTTTTTTATTTTATATTTTTTATTTTTGAAACAGGGTCTCTATCACCCAAGCTGGAATGCAGTGGCATAATCATGGCTCACTGCAGCCTCAATCTCCCAGACTCAGGTGATCCTCCCACCTCAGTCTCCTGAACAGCTGGGACTACAGGCATGTGCCACCACACCTGGCTAATTTTTTGTAATTTTCTTTTTCTTTGTAGAGATGGTGTTTTGCTGTGTTTTTCAGCCTGGAATCAAACTCCTAGGCTCAAGCAGTCTTCCCACCTCAGCCTTCCAAAGTGCTGGGATTACAGGCATAAGCCACAGTACTTTATTGTGCCCAGTCAGTAAGGTATCTTTTAATGAGGGTACGTATATTGTTATTTAGACATAATGCTATTTTGCACTTAATTTACTGCAGTATAGTATAAACATAACTTTTATATGCACCGAAAGACCATAACCATTGTGTGACTCACTTTCTTGCAATATTCACTTTAATGCAGTGCTCTGGAATACAACCTGCAATATCTCTGAGGTATGTCTGTATTTTGTTATAGCAGCCCAAACAAACAGATACTCCACATAAACAATAACAACATTCATGGATAAAAATAGCTCTGGGAGAATTGTAAAGTAAAATTAAGAAGCTAGAGCAACACAGTCAAGCACTAAAACTGAGATGGCCACATATAAAAGTGTAGGAAGTATCTTACCTGTGTCACCTTGTCCCCTAGCTGGCACAACTCAGTAACAAAAGGAATCCCCTTGGATGTGGCTTTTCCTTATAGAGGAAAATAAAAATAGAAAACCCCTATCAGCTCTCTCTGCCAAAGACTCCCACAGTCTTCAACAACACAGATCCCAGCTGATGGAATGGCCCAGAAATCATGTTTCTATACTAACCTGGATGCAGAGCAGCTATACATGCCCCTGGCTTCTGGACCTGGCACCACCACCAAACAGCCCCTGGATCCAGTGCCTCCACATGCACACCAGACCCCAGCACTGCTGGAAAACCCATGACCCAGCCCCACTGCATACATACCAGATCCAATGCTACCACACCCCCACTAGACCCAGCACTGCTACATGCCCCCAAACTAGAACGCTTACACATCCTCAGAACCAGTGCCTCAATGCACTCTTGGAACCTGCATCCCTATACATCCCTGGATCTGATGCCAGATCCAACACCACTATGCAGACCAACCAGCCAGTGCCCTTGTGTCCACCTACAGGTAAAAAAATTTTCCTATCAAAGTCAGTCCCCAAAGACTGGAACAGGTGACTGCTCCTCCAAATAGGTAGACACCCATGCAAGGATACACACAAGAAGGAAACATGACACCACCAACAAAAAACAAAAAAATTCCAGTAAACAACCCCACAAAATGGAGATCTGTGAATTGCCTGACAAGGAATTCATAATAATTATTTTTAAAATGCTCAGTGATCTACAAAAGAACACAGATTGACAACTCAACAAAGTCAGGGAAACAATGCATAAAAAAATTAGAAGCTAAAGAAAGACAGAAATCGTTAAAAAGAACTCAATGGAAATTATAGAGCTGAAGAATACAATGAATGAAGTTAAAAATTCATTTTGATCAATAAAATGATCTGTCTTTGAGTTTGCTGATTCTTATCAGTCATAAGAGAAAAAAGAAATGTTAAAAACAATGAAGAAAGACAATAAATTTATGGGACACCATTACACAAACTAATACATGCATTACGAATGCTCGAGATGGATAAGACAAAGAAAAAAAAGAAAATTTATTTAAGAAATAATGACCAAAAGATGATCAAATCAGAAGAAGAAAATGGGCATCCTGATTCAAGAATCCCAAAGGACCTCAAATACATTGAACACAAAGAAGTCTATACTGACAGACATTATAATTAAATTGCCAAAAGTCAAAGTCAAAGAGAGGATTTTGAAAGAAGATAAATGTAACTTGTCTCATATAAGGGAATGTTTTTAAGACTTCCAAAAAATTTCTCAGCAGTAACCTTGCAGGCCAGAAGAGGATGGAATGCTATATTCAAAATACTCAGAGAAAAAATATTCCAGCTAAGGATATTATACCTGAAAAAAATTATCCTTTAAAAATAAAGGAGAGATAAAGTCTTTCCAAGACAAACAAAAACTGAGGGAGTTTGTCATTACTATATCTATCTTACCATATACGCTTAAGGGAGTTACTTAAATTGAAATGAAAACATGCTAAACAGCAATGCAAAAGCATATGAATGTATAAATCTTACTGGTGACAATAAATATATAGACAAATACAGTATAACATAACATCGTAATGGTGGTGCATAAGTTACTTTGAACCCTAGTACAAAACTTAAAAGGTGAAAACCTTGTCGTATATATACGATGTAAAACAAAAAAAAAGAAAACTCTGACTATAAGAACACAAAATGTGAGTACAGTAAGCTACATTTTAGACTTCTTGTATGTGACTAAAGTTGTTGTTTTCAACTTTAAATGGTTAGTTACAATTAAGATATATCACGAAAGCCTTGAGATATCCACAAAGAAAAAAACCTATAATAGAAACACAAAATATAAAGAGAAAAAGTCAAAGCAAATCACTACAAATATTACCATATGATATAGTTTATATATTTGTCCCCATCCAAATCTCATGTTGAATTGTAATCCGCAGTGGCTGAAGGTGGCGCCTGGTGGGAGGTGTTTGGATCAGGTGGGTTGATCCGTTATGGCTTGCTGTTGCCTTCATAATAGTAAGTTCTCAAGAGATCTGGTTGTTTAAAAGTGTGGCATTCTCTCTCTCTCTCTGTCTCTCTCTCTCTCTCTTCTGCTTTAACCATGTGATGTGCCTGCTCCCACTTCACATTCTGCCATGATTAGAAGCTTCCTGAAGCCTCCTTAGAAGCCAAGCAGATGCCAGCACCATGCTTCCTATAAAGACTGCAGAACCATGAGGCAATTATACCTCTTTTTTTTACAAATTACCCAGTCTTAGGTATTTAGAGCAATTCAAGCCTGATACACCATATCACAAAGGAAGAGTACAAGGATAGAAAAAGAGGAACAAAACAACTGTGAAACAAACAAACAAACAAAATCAGTAAAATGGCAATAGTAAGAACTCACTTAACAATTACTTTAAAAGTAAATGCATTAAACTCATCAATCAAAAGGCATAAAATGGCTAAATGTATAAGAAAAGATCCAGTAATATGATGTCTACAAGAGACTCGCCTTAGATTAAAGGATATGCATAGGTTGAAAGTGAAGTGATAGAAAGACATATTCCATGCAAATGGTAACCACAAGAAAGCAGGGGTGGCTATACATAGACAAAACTGTCTCTAGAGATAAAGAAGGACATTATCTGATAATAAATGAGTCAATTTAAGAGTAAGATATAACAATTATAAATAGATATGCAACCAATATCAGAGGACCTAAATAAGTAAAGCAAATATTAACAGATATAAAGGAGAAATTGACATAAATAAAATAATAGCAGGAGACTTCAAAAGCCCACTTTAAATAACAGATAGAACATCTAATCATAATATCAATAAAGAAATAGCTGACCTGAACAACATTACAGACCATACGGACTTAGCAGACATATATAGAACTTCCCACCCTACACTAGAAGATACACATTCTTCTCAAGTGGACTTGGAACATTCACCAGAATAGATCATATGCTAGATCACAAAACAAGTTTTAACAAATGTAAAAAGACAGAAATTATTCCAAGTATCTTTACTGACCACAGTCAAATGAAACCAGAAATCAATAACAATCAATAACAGAAATCAATAACAGAAAACTGGAGGTGTACTCAATGTTTAGCTCCCACTTATAAGTGAGAATATGCAATACTTGGTTTTCTGCTTCTGCATTATTTTGCTTAGGATAATGGCCTCCAGTTGCATCCATGTTGCTGCAAAGGACATGATTTCATTCCTTTTCAAGGGTGCATAGTATTCCACGGTGTATATGTTCCACATTTTCTTTATCCAGTTGTTGGATACCTAGGTTGATTCCATGTTTTTGCTATTTTGAATAGTGCTGTAGTGAGCATACAAGTGCATGTGTCTTTTTGGTAGAATTATTTCTTTTCCTTTGGATATATACCCAGTAATGCGATTGCTGAGTCAAATGATTGCTCTGTTTATGCTCTTTGAGGAATCTCCAGACTGTGCTCCACAGTAGTTGAACTAATTTTTATTTCCACCAACTGTGAATTCTCTTTTCTCCACAGCCTTGCCAGTATCATCTGTTTTATTTCTGACTTTTTATTTAGTAGCCTTTTTGAATGATGTGAGATGGTATCTCATAGTAATTTTTATATGCATTTCTCTGATGATTAGTGATGAGCATTTTTTCTTATGTTTGTTGGCTTCCTTGTATATTTTCTTTTGAGCAGTGTCTGTTCAAGTTCTTTGCCCACTTTTTAAAAGGGATATTTTTTGTAATTTGTTGATTTAAGTTCCTTATAGATTCTGGATATTAGAACTTTGTCAGGTGCATAGTTTGCAAACATTTTCTTTCCTTTTACTCTGTTGGTAGTTTCTTTCCTTATGAAGAAGCTTTTTAGTTTAATTTGATCCCACATGTCAATTTTTACTTTTATTGCAATCGCTTTTGGGTAGGTGGCCAAAAATTCTTCGCCAAGGCCAATGTCAATAAGAGTATCTCCTAGGTTTTCTTCAAACATTTTTATAGTTTGAGGTCTTACATTTGAATCTTTAATCCATTCTAAGTTCATTTTTGTATATGGTGAAAGGTAGGGGTACAGTTTCATTCTTCTGCATATGGTTAGTCAGTTATCCCAGAATCATTTATTGAATAGGAAGTCCTTTCCTTATTGCTTTTTTGGTTGGCTTTGTTGAAGATCAAATGGTTGTAGGTGTGTGACTTTATTTCTGGGTTCACTGCTCTGTTCCATTGGTCTGTGTGTTTGTTCTTATACCAGTACCATGCTGTTTGGATTATTGTAGCCTTATAGCAGAGTTTGAAGTCAGGTGGTGTGATGCCGCTGGTTTTCTTCTTTTCGATTAGGATTGTTTGGGCCCTTTGGGTTCATTTTTTGTTCCATTATATGAAAAATGACTTTGATAGTTTGATAGAAATTGTGTTTAATGTGTAAATGGCTTTGGGCAGTAATGCCATTTTAAAGATATTGATTTTTCCATGAGAATCATCTCATTACAAGGAGCTTTTCCAAACTTGTCAAGAGGCCAAGAGCCAAGGCTTGCTGGTCCCTCCCCTGAGAATGGGCCTGGGTCTTAAAGTAGCACTGTTTCCTCCCATCCATTCAGGACTATTGAGCTGCCAGGCTGTGTTTACCCATCCACTGATCTCAACTCTATCTGATGATCTTTGAGGTCAGTGGATCCAAGGGAGCTGCTCCCCGGGCTGCAGTGCCTTTACTTTCACATGCTAGACACAGCAGTCAGCTCTTTCATGGTTGATTCTTTCATATCTAATGAATATTGCAGATCCTGGAACACACCAAGAAATGTGAGATTTCCCTTCTCTTCACAGAAAGTTGGATTCTCTCTCATTAATGGTGAAAGAAATGCTGTACTTGAGAGCCTCATATCTTCCTCAAGTTGAAACACTATCAAACAACATTTCTCAAGACAATGCTTTCTAAATATCATTTATATGTTAATCTTTGGTATGGTTTGGCTGTGTCCCCACCCAAATCTCATCTTGAATTGCAGCTCCCATAATTTCCACATGTTGTGCAAGGGACGTCGTGGGAGATAATTGAATCATGGGGTTGGGGCTTTCCCATGCTATTCTCATGATAGTGAATAAGTCTCAAGAGATACGATAGTTTTAAAAATGGGAGTTTCTCTGCACAAGCTCTCTTATCTTGTCTTCTGCCATGTGAGATGTGGCTTTCACCTTCTGCCATGAAAGTGAGGCCTCCCCAGCCATGTGAAACTGTGAGTCCATTCGATCTCTCTTTTTTTTGTAAATTGCCCAGTCTTAGGTATGTCTTTATCAGCAGCGTGAAAACAAACTAATATAGTAAATGGGTACCAGTAGAGTGGGGTACTGCTGTAAAGATACCTGAAAATGTGGAAGCAACTTTGGTACTGGGTAACAGGCAGAGCTTGAAACAGTTTGGAGTGTTCAGAAGAAGATAGAAAAATGTGGGAAAGTCTGGAACTCCCTAGAGATTTGTTAAATGGCTTTGACCAAAATGCTGATAATGATATGGACAATGAAATCCAGGCTGAGGTGGTCTCAGATGCAGATGAGAAACTTGTTGGGAACTGGAGCAAAGGTGACTCTTGTTACGTTTTAGCAAACAGACTGGTAACAATTTGCCCTTGCCCTAGAGATTTGTGGAACTTTGAATTTGAAAGAGATGATTTAGGTTATCTGGTGGAAGAAATTTCTAAGCAGCAAAGATTTCAAGAGATGACTTGGGTGCTGTTAAAGAAATTCAGCTGTAAAAGGGAAACAGAGCATGAAAGTTCAGAAAATGTGCAGCCTGACAATGTGATAGAAAAGAAAATCCCATTTTCTGTGGAGAAATTCAAGTCAGCTGCAGAAATTTGCATAAGTAATGAGGAGCCAAATTTTAATCACCAAGACAATGGGGAAAATGTCTCCAGGACATGTCAGAGGCCTTTGTGGCTGCCCCTCCCATCACAGACCCAGAGGCCTAGGAGGAAAAAATGGTTTTGTGGGCCAAGCCCAGGGTCCCTCTGCTGTGTGCAGTCTAGGGACTTGGTGTCCTGCATTCCAGCTGCTCCAACTGTGACTTAAAGTTTCCAAGGTCCAGCTTGGGCCGTGGCTTCAGGTGGTGTAAGCCCAAAACCTTGGCAGCTTCCACATGGTATTGAACCTGCAGGTGCACAGGAGTCAAGAATTGAGGTTTAGGAACCTCCACCTAGATTTCAGAGGATGTATGGAAACATTTGGATGTCCAGGCAGAAGTTTGCTGCAGGGGCAGGGTGCTCATGGAGAACCTCTGTTAGGGCAGTGCAGAAGGGAAATGTAGACCCCCCCACAAGAGTCCCCACTTGGGGGCTAGCTAGTGGAGCTGTGAGAAGAGGGCCACTGTCCTCCAGACCCTAGAATGGTAGATCCACGGACAGTTTGCACTGTGCACCTGGAAAAGACACAGGCACTCAATGCCAGCCCATGAAAGCAGCTGGAAGGGAGATTGTACTCTGAAAAGCCACAGGTGCAGAGCTGCCTAAGACCACGGGAACCCACCTTTTGCACCAGTGTGACCTGGATGTGAGACATGGAGTCAAAGGAGATCATTTTGGAACTTTAAGATTTCACTGCCCTGCTGGATTTTGGACTTGCATGGGGCCCATAGCCCCTTTGTTTTGGCCAATTCCTCCCATTTGGAATGGGTGTATTTACCCAATGCCTGTACCCCCATTGTATCTAGGAAGTAACTAACTTGCTTTTGATTTTACAGGCCCATAAGTGGAGGGGACTTGTCACAGATGAGATGTTTGACTGTGGACTTTTGAGCTAATGCTGAAATGAGCTAAGGCTTTGGGGAATGTTGGGAAGGCAAGATTGGTTCTGAAATGTGAGGACATAAGATTTGGAGGGGCCAAGAGTGGAATGATATGGTTTGGCTGTGTTCCCGCCCAAATTTCATTTTGAGTTATAGCTCTCATAATTCCCACATGCTGTGGGAGGAACCTGATGGGAGATAATTGAATCATGGGGGCAGGGCTTTTTTGTGCTATTCTTGTGATAGTGAATAAGTCTTGAGAGATCTGATGATTTTAACACGGGGAATTTTCTTACACAAGCTCTCTTCTCTTTTCTACTGTCATGTGAGACTTGCCTTTCCCCTTCCACCATATTTGTGAGGCCTCCCCAGCCACATAGAACTGTGAGTCCATTTAACCTCTTTCTTTTGTAAATTGCCCAGTCTCAGGTATGTCTTTATCAGCAGTGTGAAAATGAACTAAAACAATCTTATAAGTGAAAAATTTATATTCTATTCCCTATAAACTTATTGCATTATACTTTCAAAACATATGCAGTTTATCAATAAAGACTTTTAGTACACTATAGCAAAAAAAAAAGAAAAAGAAAATGGAAAATTCACAAATACATGGAAACTAAACAGCACTCCCATAAGCAACCATTGGGTCAAAGAGGAACTCAAAAGAGAATTTTGAAAATATTTCAAGGCAAATGGAAATAAAAACAAAATATACCAAAATGTATGAAATGCAGCTAAAGTAATACTAATAGAAAACTTGATTCTGATCAATGCCTACATTAAAAAAGAAAAAAACTAACTCAAATAAACATCTTAACTTTATATCTTGAGGAACTAGAAAAACAGGAACAAAGTCCAAAGTTAGCAGAAGCAAGGACATAATATATGTTAGAGAAGAAATAAATCAAATAGAGAATAGAAAAACAATTGAAACACTGATGCAACTAAGATTTTTTTCAAAAAGATAGACAAAGGTGACAAGCCCTTATCTAGACAAACTAAGAAAATAGAGACAAGACTCAAGTAAATAAAAATAAATTTAAAAACATAAGAAATTATTAGGTACAATTATATGCCAATATATTGGATAACCTAGAAGAAATGGACAAATCCCTAAGAATGTATGATCTACAAGACTGAATGAAGAATAAATAGAAAGTCTGAACAAACCAATAATATATAAGGAGATTAAATCAGTAATCAGAAACCTCTCACCCTCTAAAAAGCCAAAGACCAGAAGGCTTCACAGGTGCATTCTACTAAACATTTAAAGAAGAATTAGTACCAATTTGTCATAAATCCTTTTTAAAAAAATAAAAGAATAAGAAACACTTTCAAACTTATTTAATGAGGCTAGCATTATCCTGATACTAAGGCAAACAAATACATCACAAGAAAAGAAAATGATAGGCAAAATATCCCTAATAAACAAAGATGTAAAAATTCTTAGTAAAATACTAGCAAACCAAGTTCAACAGCACATTAAAATGATTACATAACATGGCCATGTGGGATTTATCCTTGAAATGTAAGGATAGCTAAGCATATAAAAATCAATCAATGTTATACAACACATTAAAAGAATGAAGACTAAAAATCACATTATCGTCTCAATTGATGCAGAAAAAGCTTTTGACAACATTCAATGTTCATTTGTGATTAAAAAAAAACCTCAGCAAAAGAGGTATGAAAGTAATCTACATCAACATAATAAAGGCAATATATGAAAAGCCCACAACTAGCAACACAATTAATGGGAAATAACTAAAAGCTCTTTCTCTAAACTAAGCTCCAGTACAAGTCAGGGATGCTCACTGTCACCACATCTACTCAACCTAATACCAGAAGGCCCAAGCAATTAGACTAAAAAACAAATAAAGAGCATTCAGATCTGAAAGGAAGATATATCATTATCTATGCTGGTAGAAAACACAATCATATATATAGGAAATTATAAAAACTCAATAACAACAACAAAAAACTATTATGGCTAATAAATATATTCAGTAAAATTACCAAATACAAAATCTTCATACAAAAATCCGTAATATTTCTCTATACAAACAATAAACTATCTAAAACAATTAAGAAAACAAACTTGTGTAAAATAGCAACAGAAAGAATAAAATAGGAATAAGCTTAATCAAATAGTTGAAAGCCTTGTACATTGAAAATTATAAAACACTGATTAAGTAAATTTAAAAAGACACAGATGAATAGAAAGATATTCTGTGTTCATGGATTAGAATAATTAATATTGTTAAAGTGTTCATACTTCCCAAAGTGATCTACATATTCCATGTAATTACTATCAAAATCCCAATGGCATACAACAGATAAACAAAAAATAAAAAGCAAGAAATTAAAGCATATCACCAGAGAAAATCACCTTCACTAAAAAGAAGATAGAAAGGAAAGAAAGAAGGGAAGACCAAAAAACAACAAGCAAACAAAGAAAAAAATTGGCAGAACTAAGTCCTTACTTATCAATAATAACATTGAATGGAAATGGACTAAAGTCCCCAGTCAAAAGAAATAGTGTAGATGAATGGATAAAAAAATAAAGACCTGATACTCTGTTGCCTACAAGTAACACACTTCACCTATAAAGACACATATAGATTGAAAATAAAGAAATAGAAAAAGATATTTCATGCCAGTGGAAACCAAAAAAAAGCAGGAGTAGCCATATTTACATCGGACAAAATAGATTTCAAGATAGAACCTATAAGGAGAAAGAAAGAAGGTCACTATATAATGATAAAGGGGTCAATTCAGCAAGATAATGTAATGATTAGTAAGGACTCACTCCTGCCCATTATTTTGTTTGCTGGTTGTTTTGTGGTCTTCCCTTCCTTCTTTCATTTCTTTCTATCTTCCTAGAAAGGAAGGAATACTTCTAAAGTTTTATTATGAGGCCAGTATTACTGTGATACCAAAACCAGGCAATGACACATCAAAAAAAGAAAACTGCAGGCCAGTATCTCTGATTACTTTTGATGCAGAAATCCTCAACAAAATACTAGCAAACTGAATTCAACAATACATTAAGAAGATTATTCATCATTAAGTGGGAGTTATCCCAGGAACGCAAGGATGGTTCAACATATGCAAATCAATCAATGTGATATGCCATATCAACAAAATGAAGGACAAAAACAAAATGACCCTTTCAATTGATGCTGAAAAAGCATTAGAGAAAATTCAACCTGACTTTATGATAAAAAAAAACCTGAAAAAACTGGGTATAGAAAGAATGTACCTCAACATAATAATAGCCATATATGACAGACCCATAGCTAGTATCATACTGAATGGAGAAATACTAAAAGCCTTTCCTCAAAGATCAGGAACAACAAGGATCGCCACTTTCATCACTGTTATTCAACATAATACTGGAAGTCCTAGCTAGAGCAATCACACAAAAGAAATAAAGGGCATCTAAATTGAAAAGGAAGAAGTCAAATTATCCTTGTGTGCAGATGATATGATCTTATATTTGGAGAAACCTAAAGACTCCATCAAAAAACAATCAGAACTAATAAACGAGTTCAGTAAAGTTGCAGGATACAAAATCAACATGCAAAAATCAGTAGCATTTCTATATGCCAACAGTGAGCAAACTGAAAAAGAAATCAAGAAAGTAACCCCATTTACAATAAGTACAAATAAAATAAAATATCTGAAAATTAACATAGCTGAAGAAATGAAAGATCTCACCAATGAAAACTGCGCAACAGTGATGCAAAAATTTGAAGACATTTAAAAAATGATATTCCATATTCATGAGTTGAACGAATCAATATTGCTAAAACATCCATGCTACTCAAAGCAATCTACAGATTTAATGCAATCCCTATCAAAATACCAAAAACGTTCTTCAACAAAATAGAAAAAAACACTCTTAAAATTTATATAGCATCACAAAAGGCCCAAAACAGTTGAAACCATCCTAAGAGAAAAGAACAAAACCAGAGGAATCATATTATCCAACTTTAAATTATACTACAGAGCTATATTAATTAAAATGGCATAGTACTGGCATAAAAACAAACACACAAATTGTTGGAAGAGAACAGAGAATCCAGAGATAAATTCATATATCTACAGTCAACTCATTTTTAACAAAAGTGCCAAGAATATATATTGAGGAAAGGACAGTCTCTTCAATAAATGGTGCTGGGAAAACTGGATATTCATATGCAAAAAAAAAATAGAACCCTATAGCTCACCATACACAAAAATTAAATTAAGGTGGATTGAAGACTTGAATCTAAGACCTCAATCTATGGAACTACTGCAAGAAAACATTGGGGAAATGCTCCAGGACATTGGACTGCAAAAAGATTTCTTTTTTCTTTTCTTTTTTTTTTTTTTTTTTTTTTGAGACAGAGTTTCACTCTGTCACCCAGGCTGGAGTGCAGTGGCGCCATCTCTGCTCACTGCAAGCTCTGCCTCCTGGGTTCACGCCATTCTCCTGCATCAGCCTCCCAAGTAGCTGGGACTACAGGCACCCACCACCACGTCCGGCTAATTTTCTTTTTTTTAGTAGAGACGGGGTTTCACTGTGTTAGCCAGGATGGTCTCAATCTCCTAACCTCGTGATCCACCCGCCTTGGCCTCCCAAAGTGCTGGGATTATAGGCGTGAGCCACTGAGCCTGGCCTGGAAAAAGATTTCTTAAGAAACATCCCACAAGGACAGGCAACCAAAGCAAAAACAGACAAATAGAATCACATCAAATTAAAAAGCTCCTGTACAGTAAAGGGAACAACAAACTGAAGAGACAACCCACAGAATGGGTGAAAATACTTGCAAACTACCCATCTGACAAGGGATTAATAAGCAGAACATACAAGGAGCTCAAACAATTCTACAGGAAAAAAAATCTAACAATCCAATTAAAAATTAGCATAAGATCTGAATAAACATTTCTCAAAAGAAGACATACAATTAGCAAATAGGTATATACAAAGGTGCTCGACATCACTGATCATCAGAAAAATGCAAATCAAAACTACAATGAGATATCACCTCACTCCAGTTAAAATGGCTTTTATCCAAATGTCAGGCAATAACAAATGCTGGTGAGAAATATGGAGAAAAAAGAATCCTCATACAGTGTTGGTGGGAATGTAAATTAATACAAGCACTATGGAGAACAGTTTGAAGGTTCCTCAAAAAACTAAAACTAGAGTTATCATATGACCCAGCAATCCCACTACTAGATACATATCCAAAAGAAAGGAAATCAGTATTTTGAAGTAATATCTTCAGTCCCATGTTTATTTGCAGCACTATTCACAATAGCCAACATTTGGAAGCAACCTGTGTCCATCAACAGAAGAATGGATTTATTAAATGTTGTATTTATATACAATGGAGTACTATTTAGCCATTAAAATGAATGAGATCCTGTCACTGGAGGGCATAGGTTTGGTAAAATAAGCCAGGTACAGAAAGACAAACTTCACATTTTCTTACTTATTTGCGGAGCTAAAGATTAAAATCATTAAATTCATGAAGATAGAGAGCAGAAAGACAGTTGCCAGAGGCTGGGAAGGGTAGCATGGAAAGTGAGGAGGAAATGAGGATGGTTAATGGTTCCAAAAAAGTAGTTAGAATGAACAAGACCTAGTATTTGCTAGCACAACCAGGTCACTATAGTCAAAAATAATTTAATTGTACACTTAAAAATAACTACAGAGTGTAACTGGATTGTTTATAACACAAAGGACAAATGCTTGAGGTGATGTATACCCCATTTCTCATGATGTGATTATTATGCATTGCATGCCAGTATCAAAATATCTCATGTAACCCATAAATACATACATCTACTATGTACCCACAAAAACAAAAACAATATGCCAATGGCACTCTTTATAGAAAAAAAATCCTAAAATTCATATGAAACCACAAAAGACCCCAATAGCCAAAGTAATCTGGAGCAAAAAGATCACAGCTGGAGGCATCACTCTACCTGACTTCAAAACATATACGTCAAAGCTACAGTAATCAAAACAATATGCTACTGGCATAAAAACAGACATATGGCTCAATGGAACAGAATGGAGAACTCAGAAATACATCCATCCATGCATCTGTAGCCAATTGATCTTTGACAAGACTGTTGAGAACACACAATGAAGAAAGAATGGTCTCTTCAATAAATGTTGTTTGGAAAACTGGAGGTCCATATGCAGAAGAAAACAATTGGACTCATCCCATACCATATACAAAGATAAACTAAAAATGGATTAAAGACTTAAACCTAAGACATGACACCATAAAACAGCTGCAAGAAAACATGGACAAAATCCTTTTGGCATTGATCTGGACAATAATATTTTTTATATGATATCAAAAACAAAGGTGACAAATGCAAAAATGGACTGGTAGGATTTCATCAAACCACACCGAGCTCTGCACAGCAAAAGAAACAATTAAAAGATTCAAAAGGTCACCTGCAGAATGGGGGGGCAAATATTTTCAAAATAGATATCTGATAAAGAGTAAGTATCCAAAATATGCAAGTAGCTCATTATATTAGTCTGTTTTCACGCTGCTGATGAATACATACCCAAGACTGGGAAGGACAAGAGGTTTAATTGGACTTACAGTTCCACATGGCTGGGGAGGCCTCAGAATCATGGCAGGAGGTGAAAGGCACTTCTTACATGGTGTTGGCAAGAGAAAATGAGGAAGACGCAAAAGTGGAAACCCCTGATAAACCCATCAGAGTTCATGAGACTTATTCACTATCACGAGAATAGCATGGAAAAGACCTACCCCATGATTCAATTACCTCCCCCTGGGTCCCTCCCACAACACATGGAATTCTGGGAGATACCATTCAAGTTGAGATTTGGGTGGGGACACAGCCAAACCATATCACTCATATAACTCAATAACAAAAAAAATTCTCAATTAAAAAGACAGGCAAAGAGAGACTTCCAGTTTATGTTTTCACATGTGAGGAACTTGAAAATTCCCACTCTAGTATAACAAGAAGTAAAAAAGTTCAGCAGCCTGAAAAAATTAACAACTCTTATTTAATCTACAAGAAAGATGAGGACACACGGCAAACCACTGCCCCCAAGATTGAAGAGACAGACAGGTGAATACAGACAGTCACAGTTTACTAGAGAAAAGAATCAGGAGTGGGAACCACCTAAGGAGCTGTAATAAAACCTTACCTGAAATTGATGAATTGCTAGCAGCACAGTGTGGACCAATCTGAGACTTTAAAACTCTGGAGGCAGCAGGGGGTGGTCAGTCATATGGGGATCCCCACAATTTTGTGAGTTTTATCTCCAGGAACTGAACTAGGTTCTCACAGTAAATATCAGAGAAAATATCCTCTTGCTTCTGCCAGAGGAAGAAGAAGAACCCTTTTGAAGTACATCACAGCACTCTATTCTTTTTACCAAGGTCTGCCCTCAAGAGAAATTATTTAACAAAACCCTAACCTACTGGGGTTTTATCAGTGCCTAGCTCAGGTGGTAAAAGGGAAATACCTGACTCCAGCCAGTTTTAGTCATTCTGTCCCACTTAAGGGAACCAGAGAGAGAAACTGAGGAGCACTAGTAAAGCTTAGAGTACAAAAGTTAAAAGACTGAGACCTGATAATAGAACTATGAAACACTTTCCTCACCTCGGCACTTTACTACCACATTCCTAAATGCATAGTACCCAGTACATGATGTCTAACTATCAAAAAAGAAAAAAATGTGCAAGCCTTACTAAAAGGCAAAAAAAGACAATTTGAAGAGACAAGCATTAGAACAAGACATGACAGAAATGTCTGAATTATCATACTGGAAATTTAAAACAATAGTGGTTAGTATGCTAAGGAAATGTAAGCAGATGAGAAATGTAAGCACAAAGATGGAAATCCTAAGAAAGAACTAAAAAGAAATGCTAGAGATTAAAAAAAAAAAACTGTAGTAGAAATGAAGAACCGCCTTGATTGTCTTATTAGTAGACTGAACATGGCTGAGGGAAAAATCTCTGAGCTTGAGATTTATCAATAGAAAACTTCACAAATAAAAGCAATGAGAACAGAGACTTAAAAAATAGAAAAGCATGTCAAAGGACTGTGAGACTACTATAAAAGTTGTAACATACATTTAACAGAAATACTAAAGGGAGAAGAAAGAGAGAGAGGAACAGAAAAATATTAAAAACAATAAGGAGTGAAAATTTCCTAATATTTATGTCAGACACCAAACCACAGACCCAGAAATTCACAGAACCACCAAGCAAGATAAATGTAAAAACAAAAACAAAAACAAAACTTTAAGCCCTGCACCAAGGCAAATCATTTATATTCAAAACAAAAAATCAAAGATAATAATAAAATTTCTGAAAGAAACTAGAGGCAAAAAACAGACTTTTTTATAAAGGAACAAAGATAAGAATTGCATCCAATCTCTCCTCAGACACTGTACAAGCAAAAAAAAAAGAGTAAAGAAAAAATATTAGATGGCCGAATAGGAACAGCTCTGGTCTACAGCTCCCAGCCTGAGCGACGCAGAAAACGGGTGATTTCTGCATTTCCATCTGAGGTACCGGGTTCATCTCACTAGGGAGTGCCAGACAGTGGGCACAGGTCAGTGGGTGCGCACACCGTGCACGAGCCGAAGCAGGGCGAGGCATTGCCTCACTCGGGAAGCACAAGGGGTCAGGGAGTTCCCTTTCCTAATCAAAGAAAGGGGGGACGGACGGTACCTGGAAAAATGGGTCACTCCCACCCGAATACTGCGCTTTTCCGACGGGCTTAAAAAACGGCGCACCACGAGATTATATCCCGTACCTGGCTCGGAGGGTCCTACGCCCACGGAGTCTCGCTGATTGCTAGCACAGCAGTCTGAGATCAAACTGCAAGGTGGCAGCGAGGCTGGGGGAGGGGCGCCCACCATTGCCCAGGCTTGATTAGGTAAACAAAGCAGCCTGGAAGCTCGAACTGGGTGGAGCCCACCACAGCTCAAGGAGGCCTGCCTGCCTCTGTAGGCTCCACCTCTGGGGGCAGGGCACAGACAAACAAAAAGACAGCAGTAACCTCTGCAGACTTAAATGTCCCTGTCTGACAGCTTTGAAGAGAGCAGTGGTTCTCCCAGCACACAGCTGGAGATCTGAGAATGGGCAGACTGCCTCTTCAAGTGGGTCCCTGACCCCTGACCCCTGAGCAGCCTAACTGGGAGGCACCCTCCAGCAGGGGCACACTGACACCTCACACTGCAGGGTACTCCAACAGACCTGCAGCTGAGGGTCCTGTCTGTTAGAAGGAAAACTAACAAACAGAAAGCACATCCACACCAAAAACCCATCTGTACATCACCATCATCAAAGACCAAAAGTAGATAAAACCACAAAGATGGGGAAAAAACAGAGCAGAAAAACTGGAAACTCTAAAAAGCAGAGCGCCTCTCCTCCTCCAAAGGAATGCAGCTCCTCACCAGCAATGGAACAAAGCTGGACAGAGAATGACTTTGATGAGCTGAGAGAAGAAGGCTTCAGACGATCAAATTACTCTGAGCTACGGGAGGACATTCAAACCAAAGGCAAAGAAGTTGAAAACTTTGAAAAAAATTTAGAAGAATGTATAACTAGAATAACCAATACAGAGAAGTGCTTAAAGGAGCTGATGGAGCTGAAAACCAACGCTCAAGAACTACGTGAAGAATGCTGAAGCCTCGGGAGCCAATGCGATCAACTGGAAGAAAGGGTATCAGCAATAGAAGATGAAATGAATGAAATGAAGCGAGAAGGAAAGTTTAGAGAAAAAAGAAATGAGCAAAGCCTCCAAGAAATATGGGACTATGTGAAAAGACCAAATGTACGTCTGATTAGTGTACCTGAAAGTGATGGGGAGAATGGAACCAAGTTGGAAAACACTCTGAAGGATATTATCCAGGAGAATTTCCCCAATCTAGCAAGGCAGGCCAACGTTCAGATTCAGGAAATACAGAGAACGCCACAAAGATACTCCTCGAGAAGAGCAACTCCAAGACACATAATTGTCAGATTCACCAAAGTTGAAATGAAGGAAAAAATGTTAAGGGCAGCCAGAGAGAAAGGTCGGGTTACCCTCAAAGGGAAGCCCATCAGACTAACAGCGGATCTCTTGGCAGAAACCCTACAAGCCAGAAGAGAGTGGGGGCCAATATTCAACATTCTTAAAGAAAAGAATTTTCAACCCAGAATTTCATATCCAGCCAAACTAAGCTTCATAAGTGAAGGAGAAATAAAATACTTTACAGACAAGCAAATGCTGAGAGATTTTGTCACCACCAGTCCTGCCCTAAAAGAGCTCTTGAAGGAAGCGCTAAACATGGAAAGGAACAACCGGTACCAGCCGCTGCAAAATCATGCCAAAATTTAAAGACCATCGAGACTAGGAAGAAACTGCATCAACTAACAAGCAAAATAACCAGCTAACATCATAATGACAGGATCAAATTCACACATAGCAATATTAACTTTAAATGTAAATGGACTAAATGCTCCAATTAAAAGACACAGACTGGCAAATTGGATAAAGAGTCAAGACCCATCAGTGTGCTGTATTCAGGAAACCCATCTCACGAGCAGAGACACACATAGGCTCAAAATAAAAGGATGGAGGAAGATCTACCAAGCAAATGGAAAACAAAAAAAGGCAGGGGTTGCAATCCTAGTCTCTGATAAAACAGACTTTAAACCAACAAAGATCAAAAGAGACAAAGAAGGCCATTACATAATGGTAAAGGGATCAATTCAACAAGAAGAGCTAACTATCCTAAATATATATGCACCCAATACAGGAGCACCCAGATTCATAAAGCAAGTCCTGAGTGACCTACAAAGAGACTTAGACTCCCACACATTAATTATGGGATACTTTAACACCCCACTGTCAACATTAGACAGATCAACGAGACAGAAAGTCAACAAGGATACCCAGGAATTGAACTCAGCTCTGCACCAAGCGGACCTAATAGACATCTACAGAACTCTCCACCCCAAATCAACAGAATATACATTTTTTTCAGCACCACACCACTCCTATTCCAAAATTGACCACATACTTGGAAGTAAAGCTCTCCTCAGCAAATGTAAAACAACAGAAATTATAACAAACTATCTCTCAGACCACAGTGCAATCAAACTAGAGCTCACGATTAAGAATCTCACTCAAAACCGCTCAACTACATGGAAACTGAACAACCTGCTCCTGAATGACTACTGGGTACATAACGAAATGAAGGCAGAAATAAAGATGTTCTTTGAAACCAACGAGAACAAAGACACAACATACCAGAATCTCTGGGACGCATTCAAAGCAGTGTGTAGAGGGAAATTTATAGCACTAAATGCCCACAAGAGAAAGCAGGAAAGATCCAAAATTGACACCCTAACATCACAATTAAAAGAACTAGAAAAGCAAGAGCAAACACATTCAAAAGCTAGCAGAAGGCAAGAAATAACTAAAATCAGAGCAGAACTGAAGGAAATAGAGACACAAAAAACCCTTCAAAAAATTAATGAATCCAGGAGCTGGTTTTTTGAAAGGATCAACAAAATTGATAGACTGCTAGCAAGACTAATAAAGAAAAAAAAGAGAGAAGAATCAAATAGATGCAATAAAAAATGATAAAGGGGATATCACCACCGATCCCACAGAAATACAAACTACCATCAGAGAATACTACAAACACCTCTACGCAAATAAACTAGAAAATCTAGAAGAAATGGATAAATTCCTTGACACGTACACTCTCCCAAGACTAAACCAGGAAGAAGTTGAATCTCTGAATAGACTAATAACAGGATCTGAAATTGTGGCAATAATCAATAGCTTACCAACCAAAAAGAGTCCAGGACCAGATGGATTCACAGCTGAATTCTACCAGAGGTACAAGGAGGAGCTGGTACAATTCCTTCTGAAACTATTCCAATCAATAGAAAAAGAGGGAATCCTCCCTAACTCATTTTATGAGGCCAGCATCATTCTGATACCAAAGCCGGGCAGAGACACAACCAAAAAAGAGAATTTTAGACCAATATCCTTGATGAACATTGATGCAAAAATCCTCAATAAAATACTGGCAAACCGAATCCAGCAGCACATCAAAAAGCTTATCCACCATGATCAAGTGGGCTTCATCCCTGGGATGCAAGGCTGGTTCAATATACGCAAATCAATAAATGTAATCCAGCATATAAACAGAGCCAAAGACAAAAACCACATGATTATCTCAATAGATGCAGAAAAGCCCTTTGACAAAATTCAAAAACCTTTCATGCTAAAAACTCTCAATAAATTAGGTATTGATGGGACATATTTCAAAATAATAAGAGCTATCTATGACAAACCCACAGCCAATATCATACTGAATGGGCAAAAACTGGAAGCATTCCCTTTGAAAACTGGCACAAGACAGGGATGCCCTCTCTCATCACTCCTATTCAACATAGTGTTGGAAGTTCTGGCCAGGGCAATTAGGCAGAAGAAGGAAATAAAGGGTATTCAATTAGGAAAAGAGGAAGTCAAATTGCCCCTATTTGCAGATGACATGATTTTATATCTAGAAAACCCCATTGTCTCAGCCCAAAACCTCCTTAAGCTGATAAGCAACTTCAGCAAAGTCTCAGGATACAAAATCAATGTGCAAAAATCACAAGCATTCCTATACACCAACAACAGACAGAGAGCCAAATCATGAGTGAACTCCCATTCACAATTGCTTCAAAGAGAATAAAATACCTAGGAATCCAACTTACAAGGGATGTGAAGGACCTCTTCAAGGAGAACTACAAACCACTGCTCAAGGAAATAAAAGAGGATACAAACAAATGGAAGAACATTCCATGCTCATGGGTAGGAAGAGTCAATATCGTGAAAATGGCCATACTGCCCAAGGTAATTTACAGATTCAATGCCATCCCCATCAAGCTACCAATGCCTTTCTTCACAGAATTGGAAAAAACTACTTTAAAGTTCATATGGAACCAAAAAAGAGCCCACATTACCAAGTCAATCCTAAGCCAAAAGAACAAAGCTGGAGGCATCACACTACCTGACTTCAAACTATACTACAAGGCTACAGTAACCAAAACAGCATGGTACTGGTACCAAAACAGAGATATAGATCAATGGAACAGAACAGAGCCCTCAGAAATAACGCCGCATATCTACAACTATCTGATCTTTGACAAACCTGAGAAAAACAAGCAATGGGGAAAGGATTCCCTATTTAATAAATGGTGCTGGGAAAACTGGCTAGCCATATGTAGAAAGCTGAAACTGGATCCCTTCCTTACACCTTATACAAAAATCAATTCAAGATGGATTAAAGACTTAAACGTTAGACCTAAAACCATAAAAACCCTAGAAGAAAACCTAGGCATTACCATTCAGGACATAGCCATGGGAAAGGACTTCATGGCTAAAACACCAAAAGCAATGGCAACAAAAGCCACAATTGACAAATGGGATCTAATTAAACGAAAGAGCTTCTGCACAGCAAAAGAAACTACCATCAGAGTGAACAGGCAACCTACAAAATGGGAGAAAATTTTCACAACCTACTCATCTGACAAAGGGCTAATATCCAGAATCTACAATGAACTCAAACAAATTTACAAGAAAAAAACAACCCCATCAAAAAGTGGGTGAAGGACATGAACAGACACTTCTCAAAAGAAGACATTTATGCAGCCAAAAAACACATGAAAAAATGCTCACCATCACTGGCCATCAGAGAAATGCAAATCAAAACCACTATGAGATACCATCTCACACCAGTTAGAATGGCAATCATTAAAAAGTCAGGAAACAACAGGTGCTGGAGAGGATGTGGAGAAATAGGAACACTTTTACACTGTTGGTGGGACTGTAAACTAGTTCAACCATTGTGGAAGTCAGTGTGGCCATTCCTCAGGGATCTAGAACTAGAAATACCATTTGACCCAGCCATCCCATTACTGGGTATATACCCAAAGGACTATAAATCATGCTGCTATAAAGACACATGCACACGTATGTTTATTGCGGCATTATTCACAATAGCAAAGACTTGGAACCAACGCAAATGTCCAACAGTGATAGACTGGATTAAGAAAATGTGGCACATATACACCATGGAATACTATGCAGCCATAAAAAATGATGAGTTCATGTCCTTTGTAGGGACATGGATGAAATTGGAAACCATCATTCTCAGTAAACGATCGCAAGAACAAAAAACCAAACACCGCATATTCTCACTCATAGGTGGGAATTGAACAATGAGATCACATGGACACAGGAAGGGGAACATCACACTCTGGGGACTGTTGTGGGGTGGGGGGAGGGGGGAGGGATAGCATTGGGAGATATACCTAATGCTAGATGATGAGTTAGTGGGTGCAGCACACCAGCATGGCACATGTATATGTATGTAACTAACCTGCACAATGTGCACATGTACCCTAAAACTTAAAGTATAATAATAATAATAATAATAATAATAATAATAATAAAAAGAAAAAAAAGAAAAAATATTTAAAGTATTAACAGAGAAAAAAAACCCTACTAATCTATAATTCTGTACTGCAAACTTATCTGTCAAAAGTGAATGAGAAATACTTTCTCAGAGAAAACTTAAAAGAATTTATTGCCAGTAGACCTGCCTTGCAAGAAATGTTAAAAGAAATATTTTTTTTAAAGGGGAGGATATTAATATATGTAAGAAACTCAGATCTTCATAAGGAAAGGAAGAACATAAAAGAAGGAATAAGTGAAGGTAAAATAGAATGTTTATTTTTCTTATTCTTAATCTAACAGATAAAAGTTTATTGAAAATAATAAGCGTTTATATTTTTTATATATGCTTATATATAAGTGAAATAAATGATAGTAATAATAAAGGGATGGTAAGAAGAAATTAGAATAATTTTGTTATTATAAGCTACTTACACTACCTGTGAAGTGGTATAGTTTTCTATGAAATCGGATTTGAATTAGTTGTAAATATATATTGCAAACTCTACAGCAACCACTAAAAGAAATAAAAACACAAAAGTAAAACTAACAGGTTTATAAAGTAAACAGAATTATACAAAATGCTCAATTAAAATTATAAAAAGCAGAAAAAGAATGGAAGACGAAAATAGTTACAAAGAACAAGAAGAGCAAATTAAAAAGTAATAAATGTGATAGATATTAACCCAACTATAACAATAATCACTTTGAATGTCAGTGGTCTAAATGTCAATAATTTAAATACAACAATTAAAAGACAGTTATTGTCAGAGTGGATAAAAAAAAAGACCTGACTATATGTTGTCTGTGAGAAACCCATTTCAAATATACACAAATACATTAAAAGTAAATGGGTGGCAAAAATATACCATACTAACATTAATCATAATAAAGCAGAAGTAGCTACATAAATTTCAGACAGAGCAGGCTTCAGTAACAAAAACAGAAAAATCTCAAAATACATAGATTAACAACAAACTTTTTTTTTTAGATGGAGTTTCGCTCTTCTTGCCCAGGCTGGAGTGCAGTGGCATGACCTTGGCTCATGGCAAACTCTGCCTCCCAGATTCAAGCGATTCTCCTGCCTCAGCCTCCCAAGTAGCTGGGATTACAGGCATGTGCCACCACACCCGGCTAATTTTGTATTTTTAGTAGAGATGGGGTTTCTCCATGTTGGTCAGGCTTGTCTCGAACTCCTGACCTCAGGTGATTCTCCTGCCTAGGCCTCCCAGAGTGCTGGATTACAGGCGTGAGCCACTGCGCCCAGCCAACAACACACTTTTAAATAACATGAATCAAAGAAGAAATCTCAAGAGAAATTTAAAAATATTTTAAACTAAATGAAAATAAAAATACAGCTTATCAAACTTTGTGGGATGGAGCAAAAGCAGCGCTTAGAGGAAAAATATATAGTATTGAATGTATATGTTAGGAAAGAATATAAAATCAATAATCTAGGCTTCCATTTTAGAAAACTAGAAAAAAGCAAATTAAATCCAAAGTGAGCAGAAGAAAATAAATAAATACATAAATAAATAAATAAATAAATAAATAAATAAATAAATAAAAGTTAAAACAGAAATCAATGACATTGGAAACCAGGAATCCATAGAAAAAAAATCAATGAAACCAAAAGCTAATTCCTTGTAAAGATCAATAATATGTATAAACCTTAACCAGGCTAATTAAGAAAAAAAGAGAAAGGCCACAAATCACTAATATCAGAGGGGACATCACTACAGCTCCCACGAACATTATAAGAATAATAAGGTCAGGCGCAGTGGCTCACGCCTGTAATCCCAGCACTTTGGGAGGCCGAGGCGGGTGGATCATGAGGTCAGGAGATCAAGACCATCATGGTTAACACGGTGAAACTCGTCTCTACTAAAAATACAAAAAATTAGCTGGGCGTGGTGGCAGACGCCGTAGTCCCAGCTACTTGGGAGGCTGAGGCAGGAGAATGGTGTGAACCAGGGAGGCAGGGCTTGCAGTGAGCCGAGATCGCACCACTGCACTTCAGCCTGGGCAACAGAGCCCGGCTCTGTCTAAAAAAAAAAAGTTTATTGTTTAATCTATGTATTTTGAGATTTTTCTGTTTTTGTTATTGATTTACAGTGTAGTTCCATTGTGGCCTGAGAGCAGACATTGTATGATTTCTATACTTTTAAATTTGTTTAGGTGAGTCTTATGGTACCGAATATGGTTTATCTTGGTGAATGTTCCATGTGAGCTTGAGAAGAATATGTGTTAGGTAAGTGCAAAAGTAACTGTGGTTTTTGCATTGTTAGAATTTGCCATTTGATATTAGAATACATTCCTAAATAAATGTGGTTATGTTATACATCATTTTAATGGGCATTTCTCGCTAGATGAAACAGATCAATTTCTTAAAGACACAATTTGTCAAAACTCACACAAAAATAGACAATCTTAATAGACCAATATCTATTGAAGATATTGAATCAATAATTATGAACCTTCTAAAACAGAAAGCACTAAACCCAGGTGAGTTCATTGGTGAATTTGACCACACATTTAAAGAAGAAATTATACCAATTATCTACAATTCTCTCAGAAGAGAAAAGCAGAGGAAATACTTCCTAACTAATTCTATGAGACCAGTAATAAATATCTTAATATCAAAACCAGACAATGACATTACAAGGAAAGAAAACTGTAGACCAATATCTCTCATGAATATAGATGTAAAAATCCTCAATGAAGTATTAACAGAGAATCCAACAAGATAGAAATAGAATTAGACACCACAACCAAGTGGAATTTATCCCAAGTATGCAAAGCTCATTTAATTTTCCAAAATCAATTAATGTATCACATCACATCAACAGGCTAAAAAAGAAAATCACATGATTATACCAGATTCAGCAAAAACATTTGACAAAATAAAGCCTTCATTTATAATAAAACTCTCAGTAAACTAGGACTACAGGGAAACTCCTTCAACTTTATAAAGAATATCAACAAAAACCTACAACTAACATCGTACTTAATAATAAGAAACTGGAAGCTTCCCATTAAGATCAAGAACAAGGCAAGGGTTTCTTCTCTCACCATTCCTTTTCAACTCTTATTGGCATGATGCAATATTAGCTAATGCAATAATACAAGAAAAGGGAAAAAGGTATATAGATGGGAATTTTAAAAATCATTTTTATTCACCGTTGATATGATTGTTTATGTAGAAAATGTGAAAGAATCAACAATAACGACAACAACAAAATCTCCTAGAACTAACAAGTGACTGTAGCAAGATTGCAAGATACAGGTTAGTATATAAATGTCAACCGCTTTTTTATAAACCAGTAACAAACAAGTGGAATTTGAAATTTAAAAGACAATACAATTTACACAAGAGCCTCCAAAAATGCAATTCTTAGGTATAAACGTAACAAAATGCATATAAGATCTCTATGAGAAAAACTACAAAACTCAGATGAAAGAAATCAAAGATGAACTAAATAAATGGAGACATCAGTTCTTCCCTACTTTATCGATTCAATGTAATCCTAAGCAAAATCCCAGCAAGATATTTTGTAGATATTGACCATCTGATTTTAAAGTTTATATGGTGAGGCAAAAGGCCCAAAATAGCCAAATCAATAATGAAGGAGAACAACAAAGTTGGAGGACTGACACTAGCCAATTTCAAAGCATACTGTAAAGCAGTAGTAATCACAACAGCATTGACAAAAGACTAGACAAATACATCAATGGACCAGAATAGAGAGCACAGAAATAGACCCACATAAACATAATAAACTGATCTTTGACAAAGAAGCAAAGGCAGTTCAAGGGAGAAAAGATAGTCTGTCTTCTCAACAAACTGTTGGGGGAGCCAGGGAACAAATGGATACCTACACGCAAAAAAATAAACCTATAGCCACAGGCCTTACACCCCACACAAAAACTCAAAATGTATCACAGGTCTAAATGTAAAATGCAAAACTATAGAACACCCAGAAAGTAACATAGAAGAAAACCTAGATGACCTTGTGTCTGGCAATGACTTTTT
The DNA here is from genome assembly GCF_000001405.40 of Homo sapiens. Lineage (NCBI taxonomy): Eukaryota > Metazoa > Chordata > Mammalia > Primates > Hominidae > Homo > Homo sapiens. Next base: position 15,288,724 of record NC_000004.12, read on the forward strand.
AGATACAATAAAAAAGGTATGATCTAAGAAAGAAATAATTGATCAGCGAAATTTCATTAAAATTAATAGCTGCTCTGTGAATGTCAAGAGAAAGAATATAAGCCACAGACTGGGAGAAAATATTTGCAGAAGGCATATCTAATAAAGAACTGTTATCTAAAATATACAAAGAATTATTTAAAAACACAAATAAAACAACCTGACTAAACATTGGACCGAAGACCTTAATATATGCCTCACTGAAGAAAATATAAAGATGACAAGTAAGAATATGAGAAGATGCTCTACATCATATATCACCAGGGAAATGCAAGTTAAAACAATCATGAGATACTATTACACACCTACTAGAATGGCCAAACTCCAGAACACTGACAATATCAAATGCTGACAATATTAAATGCTGATAAGAATGTAGAGCAACAAGAACTCTCATTCACTGCTAGTGGGAATACAAAATGATACAGCCACTTTGGAAGAGAGTTTGGTAGGTTTTTGCAAAATGAAACATGCTTTCATCATATAATCCTGCACTCATACTCTTTGGTATCTCCCAAAGGAGCTGAAGAACCCATGTCCACATAAGAACCTACACGTGGATGTTTATAAAATCTTCATTTATAATTGCTAAAACTTAGAAGCAATTGAGATGTCCTTCAGTAGGTGAATGAATAAATAAATTGTAGTACATCCTGACAATGAAATATTCTTCAGCACCAAAAAGAAATAAGCTGTAAAGGCTTGAAAAGCATGGAAGGATGTTAAAGGCATGTTACTAAGTGAAAGTAACCAATCTGAAAAAGGCTCCATACTATATGATTCCAACTATATGATATTCTGGAAAAGGCAAAACTTTGGAGACAGTAAAAAGTTCAGTGGTTGCCAGGGATTGAGGGGTGCAGAAGGAATAAATAGGTGGAGCTTAGATCACTTTTAGGGTGGTGAAAATACTTAGTACGATACTATAATAATGAATCCATGTCATTATACATTTGTCCAAACTCATAAAATGCACAACACCAAGAGTGACCCCTAATGTAAGCTATAGATTTGGAGTGATGGTGATGTGTCAATATAGGTTAATCAACTCTAGCAAATGTACCACTCTGTTGTGGTATGTTGATAATCAGGGAGACTATGCAAGAGGCAGGGAGTATATGGGAAATCTCTGTACCTTCCTCTCAACTTTGCTGTGAACCTAAAACTGCTCTAGAAAATTGTCTTTAAAAAGGGGGAAATACCTAAATAGATAGTTCTCAAAATAAGACATACTAATGGAACCCCATGTACTCTGCTTGTGAGAATGTAAATTGGTACAGCCATTCAGCAAAGCAATATGGAAGACTCTCAAAAAATTTAAAATAGAACGACCTTGTGATCCAGCAATCCCACTTCTAGGTATATAGCCAAATGAAATGAAATCAATATTGCAAAGAGACATCTGTTCTGCCATGTTCATTGCACCATTATCCACAACAGCCAAGATAAAATAACAACCTAAATGCCCATCAATGGATGAATGTGAATGTGGAGTGTGTGTGTGTGTGTGTGTGTGTGTGTGTGTGTATCTAATGTATATGTCTGACAATGTCAATTGACTGTAGTTAATACTGTATTGTATTCTTGAAATTTACTAAAAGGGTAGATCTTAAGTGCTCTTGCCACCAAAAATAAAGGAAAGAAAATGGTAAATAAATGAGGTGATGGATATGTTAATTTGCTTGATTGAGGAAATTATTTCACAATGTGTGTATATATATATTTCTTATACATATATCAAAAATTATGCATATCATAAAAGGTTATATACTTTAAAAAAGAAAAATTTCAAATACATTATCTCATGTGAGCCTCACACAAACCCTGAGAGTGTGGAAATTACACCTTCGTTTCACAAACAAGGAATCAGAGGCTTCAGGAAAACAACAAAAATAACAATAAGTAAAACAAAATGCTCAAATCCTCATTAAATGGCAGAGCTAAAATTTTACTAATTACACTAAACAACAATATTTAAGTGACTATTAGGTCCTGCGCACAGTTCTAGAATACTGAGAATATAATGGGGACAAAGTCAGGCCAGCTCTTTGCTCTCATGAAGGACAGAGATATTAACCAAAGAATCACAAAATTCAGTGTAGGGTTATAAACTGTGATAAGTGAAGAAGAAGGGAGTGGTACTATGAAATGTAAACTCCTCCACCTCACCTAGCCTGGAAGGTCAGAAAAGGCTCATTCCCCAAGGATGAGTTGCTTCTGCTGCAACCTGAACAATAAGCTGGGGCTAACCAGGAAAAGAAAATAGGGGTTGGAAGTAAAAATAGAAGTGGACAGTTTTGAGAGATATTTAGGAGGCAACATCATATAATTTTATGGTGAGTGAATATAGGAAAGGGAGCTGTGGAGGATGACCCTAGATTTCTGGCTGATCTAATTAGACTGCTGTCATTCATTGAGAGCAAGACAGTGGGAGTGGCTTAGCTTGGAAGGCAGAAAGAAATCATGAGTTTGGCTTTGGATACAGGAATTGTAAGATGCTTTTCAATCACTAATGGAGAAGCTGAGTGGGGAATTGCAAAGGAGGCCTTGACTGATATAAATGTGTAAGTCATCAACATACAGATGATGAAATTGAAGCCACGAGTCAGTTGCTTAAGAAGACAGCAAGAAGCAAGAAAATGATCTATGATGAAGTTTAATGAGCTCCAATTTGTCATGAACAGGAAAAGGAGAATAATCCTGCAAAGAAGATTGAAAGTGAGAAGTGTTTTCTATTATTAAAAACAGAGAAAGAGATTATTCAAGAATATAGAATTCTTCTAATTTCAAGTAAAGTTATAGTTGAAAAATATCCTTTAATTTAGTAGTTTAGACACAATCAGTGGCCTTTAGTAAGACCCTTCTGGTGGATAATGATGGTCCAAGGCAGATTAAAGGGTCTTACCAGGAAATGGAAATGGTGATCATGGATTTTTGAGCAGTGTGCCTGAGAAGAAAAGATAGCAACAGGCTGTAGCTGGAGAGGATATTCAACAGTAATGGCCATAATCCTGATCACTTCACCATTTCACCTCCCCTTCTAAAGCAATGAAGCTACTCCTTATTGGTTGTCTTTTCTTCCTCTTCCAGCTTATCCATTCATTCATTCATTTGTGGTCTTTAAGTAACCAATACATTAGATATAAACCATAGCCTGACATGTAGTAGAGCCTTAATTATGGACAGATGGAAGGAAAAAAGAGAAAAGAAAGAAAAAGAAGAAAAAAAAAGAAGCGAGGGAGGGAGGGAGGAGGCAAGGGGAGGGGAGGGGAGGGAGGGAGGGAAGAAAGGGAAGGAAGAAGAGATATAAGAGCTGTGTACATGAATCTCTGTTCTGAAGGATAGGGAAAAGTTTAGATAGTCAAATGTCAAAAAGAAACATCTAGTCAACCAATTGCAAAAAAAATGTCTAATTTGCACTTTCTTCACTGTAGTTTTCTCTCCCTAGTGAGAAAAAATATATATGTTTTGGGGAAAAAGCAAATTAATTTTTATGAATAACTGTTTTTATAGTAGTAGAGTATACAGTGAGTCCCGCAAAACCAATTTAAGGGGAACCAGCATGTTAAGAAAATTACTTATGACAGTAAGAAAGAATTTTTGTATTGAAGTCAAATTCTTGTAGAAGAGCTAGGTGTCTATGAATATGGCAATTGATGTCTGTTACGAAGATACAGCGCTGTCATTAGGGCCTTGGGGGGCTTGATTTCTGTACTTAATGACTCTTCTCTGCTCCCTGAGGCTTTCCCCCTGTGCATTTGTTTCCAGATCCCATTTTAGTAACAGTTCATTATCTGTGTATGGGGAAAGTTAACTAACTCTGAAAGAGCTTGCTTGAATGTGCTTCCCTGGTATTGAAAACTTGCATCCTTTATTTCATTGTTTTGAAAAATATGCATCTTTGCACACAAACAAGAGCATAAAGCAGCCAAATTTTATACTTTTGGCTCTGTTACTCTGAGCCCAATCATCTATGCAGAGTTCCCAAAATCTCCTGACATTATTCTGTTGATTTAACTAAAATCATTTTATTCATCCATTCTCTCATTACTCTAAAGAAAGACCTGAGGTTTAATTGGCTCACAGTTCTGAAGGCTGTACATGAAACATAGTGACTTCTTCTGGGGAGGCCTCAGGAAATTTACAATCATAGTGGAAGATGAAGGGGGAGCTAGTACTTTTATATGGTCCAAGCAGGAGGAAGAGGTAGGGGGAGGTGCCACACACTTTTAAATGACCAGATTTCATGACAACTCTATCATGAGAACAGCACTAGGAAGATGGTACTAAACCATTAGAAACTGCCCCCATGATCCAATTACCTCCCACTATGCCTCACCTCCAGGGGATTACATGTGGACATGAGATTTGGGTGGGGACGTAGATCCAAACCATATCAATCATAAATTATATTCCTTTTGTTTTGACAACACTTACTTACATCAGGAAAAAATTGTTCAGTAGGCACAGCTGTATTCACTGTTTGGCTAGATGATTTGGAGCAGATTAAAATAATCTTAGGATATTTCACTGTCTAAGTTCTGGAGAAGAAAAATAAGACAGAATTATTGTGACATGAGTTTATAAGATCTAGTGTTTTCAGGCCATACTCCCTTCAGGAGACTGATCTTGTAAGTTTTCAATATATACCTGGTGATTTATTGATTTCCTGAGGAAAATACAATGCAAATTATCTATCCAGTGCATTTCTCTGAGGCCTCCAAAGATCTAGGTTGATTTGATTCACACTCTAGGAGAAATGAATTGGAGAGAGCAAGCACTCTACTGGAATAAACAACACTTCCCTCCAGCCTTACTGAAAACCCTACCACCTACTTGACTGCCCATTCTTTCCAGATTAGATATGGTCAAATAAGTGTATAAGTTTGAGTCAAATATTATTAGCTATGAGCTCTTGCATGTAATTTTAAAACCAAAATTTAACTTTTTAATAATAATTATCCCTAACATACTCATGTTGTGGACATTCTACAGAAATATAGGAGGGCCCCCGCCTACCCAACACTTGTTCCATATGTCAAGACTGATGATGCCACACACACCAAGAGTACAAAAAGGTTAAATGCTTACACAATGTGGCTTTCTGCAAAGAGCAGAACAAACGTCCCAAGCTGGTCTGAAAATGGTTAGAGAGCAAGGAAAGGAAACTGGCTTGAGGCTTTTATTGTGGCTAAGGGTAGGGCCAGATAGGAGTTTCAGAGGCTCAAGTATATTGAATCTCCCATTAGCTCTAAATGACAGACCACCCAGGCTTTCTTATCAGCTTGCTCAGATGGGGGCAAAAGGGGAAATAAAAGAGAGGGATGAAGCTTACTTAAAAGCTGTCATCAGTCAAATATTAAAAATGGATTTCAACTTTCAATTGCGCTGTGGCAAGTCCTATGCCAAGGACTTCACATGTGTTATCTCATTGTAGTCTCTCCTCAACCCTCTGAAGCTGCTAATTAGCCACATTTCACAGTTGAGAAAGTTGATGCCCAGAGAGGGACAGAGACTTCGCAAAGTCAAACAGCTAGTTAGTCCAGAGCTAGGACTTTGACCTATGTCTGTCTAATGACAAAGCATGTGCTTTGATGTGATTTTAACCAGACAGCCAGGACAGTCTAATCCAGCCTGACAACCAGTGGGCTGATAAAATTCACAGTGAGGCACCTTCTGCTTAGATAATTTATGTCTTTATTAGTATATATGGCTGTAGCAATCATGGTTTCCAGTTACAAGCATGGCAGAGTAGGGTCCAGAGCTTGGACAGAGTGGTCACATGGCAAAGCAGATAGATGTCAGACACTGGAACAAGAGAGATCTTGGAATGAACCCTACTTTCCTGATTTGAGGGAGTTCAGGAAAGTTATTTACCCTCTTTGTCTTAATGTCCTAAAAATCACTACTTTGAAAGGTCTTCATAAGCATTTCAGGAAAATGGATGTCAAGTACCTAGTACATAATAGGTGCTCACTGATGTAATTATCATTATTTTTATTTCTATGTCCCTAAAATGGGTTAATTTTAATGTAGCTTGCTAATTAACATATAAAGCAATTTCAGAACCTAGAAGCTTCTGTTGTCCTTTTCCTCCAGCCTTTGTTGAACATGAGACTTGACAGCAAACAGATGCTTGTGTATCTACATATCCAATTTAGCATTTCCTATTTCCAGATTAACATTTTCTGGCCAAATGCCAGAAAACTGGCATGAAGTAGGCACAAAATGCCACAGATAAGCCCTTTAAGAGCTTAATGTGAGTGTGATTTATGTTCCTGATGGGAAGGGAACCCTGAAAATGGTCTTTTCTAATCTAATCTAATCCTAATCTGTCCTAATCCAGTTACGGAAGAAAATCAGGAATGATCTTTCCCTTCAAGTGATTTCCTCTCCTTCCCATTTGATAACAACTCTGTGGGGCACGTTTTGTGAACTGCTTCGATCTAATTTAAAAAGATAACGTTGCATTTTATAATTTTATGTAAGATGCAGTCAGATAGGAACTAGCTGCTAAAGATCTGCAGCTGAATTTAATCATGTCCCTTCTGTTTCGGTTTAATCTCCATTTTGTTTCCAAGAGTCAAAGAGTCAAAAATCTAAATAAAAGTCATGACAAACCTAAAAAAAAAAAAAAAAAAAAAAAAAAGAAGTCCCAGGAAGAACTTAATATCGATGTCCAGAAATGAAGCTGGCTTCTTTTCAGAGTGGCACATACTCCAAAGCGTGCTTCCACTTTGACAGCTTCATTTCCATTTCCTTATAGCCTGTTTACATATTTACAACATGCACCAATTCAGTTGGGTTTCCTGAGATAAAACTGAAAGATAGGGAGGACAAATTACTCAGAGAGCCCCTCTGGCGGGATGACAGATCTCAGACAGCCTCGGTGTGAAGCCAAATTCATTACGCACTAGTCATGGGAACATGGGTGAGTTATCACTCTTCTCTCAACCTCTGTATTCAGATCTGTAAAATGGGAATGGTATTCTCTCATGCCTATGGACACTGTGAAGATTAAGAGGGATACAGAGAAAATGGTGCCTAGCCAGTTGCCTGGCACATAATAGATGTTCTCTTTCAATTGCAAGTGACAGAAATCTGATTCAAATCGTGTTAATAAAAGGTCGAGTTGATTATGTTTGGCTCTCATAATCAGGCATCAGTTTAAGGATGGGTTCTCTGGATGGCTTCAAGCCAGGCTTGGCTGATAAAAATCAGTGCTCAAGGGAGGTGGCCAGGGCTATGCTTTGTCTCCATCCCCGAGCTCCACTTGCTTTACTTGGCTCCATTCCCAGATGAATTATGTTCATATGGCCAATAAGATGGCTACACAGAGCCTTGGACTCACAGCCTCCCAAATTACTAATGCTAGAGAGAGGAGGACTTCTCTTTTCTAACTTCCACATATGAATCCCAGTGAAGATTCTGATTGGCCCTGCTTGGTTCATGTAATCCATCTCTAAACCAATCACTGTGGCCAGGGTAATATGGCACTCTGACTGGCCAGCATAAAGCAGATTAGCATCACTGAGCAGAAGGCAGGATACCCAGGCCATGTAATAGGAAAGAGTGATTTCCAAAAAGAAGGGGCACTGTTACCTGAAAGGGGGATGGATGCACACAAGGCAAAACTACAGGACACACTCTATAAAGTCAGCCCTTTCTTCAATAGGTCAATGAGGCCACTAATTAATTTAGTTGTGTCTCCACAATTCCTGCTCCCTAGACACTTGAAACGCCAACTGCATAATGACTTATAGCAAAATGCATGCAACATGAGCCACATTCTCACAGACTAAACACTACACCTAATACAAGATTTGCTGATGGATGGTCTTGCAATTTTCTAAACAGTGAAAAAATTTCTTCAGTGAATTGGATAAATAGAAGAGCAGGTTGCATTTAGACAGGGGAATAATAGAGAGTGTTGAGTTTTTTTTCTCTCAATATTTGAAAAGTAGTGACAGGTAATAGTCTTGGCCCAAAATCTTATGGAAATTCACATAACAGTCCTCTTCCTCTCATAAGCTACTTCCTTCCTGACAGGCTTAAGTGGATGAGTGATTGCAGTCCTGCTGTCTTCTTGAGGGTCTTAGTGAAAACTGTCTTGAAACCAGTACCATGATCTTAGAATGTCGTCTGCTTAGATCAACTGTGAAGACTTCAATTCAGTCTCTGATGCAAACATTTGCAAAAAATGTAGGGCTCCTTAATCTACTATTCAGGCCATGGGTCAAAGCATAATTGTAGCTGGGTGAACATGGGGTTATCCAATGTATTATGACTAACTTTCAAGAAGTTATGTAACCTACCAGAAAAGCAATATGACTCTCAGAGCTACAGGATGAGTGACTGGGTCTTCTCTGGCAGACAATGGCTTATGATGCTAATGGGAAAAAGCACCCATCCCAATAGCAAATGGTGTTCCAAAAAATTTGGTTAGCCCTCAACTTTGTACAGCAGGTCTGTGATGAAAATGAAGATTGCTCCACACCCTCTTTGAGCTGCTGGAGCGCCATCACCCAGGAGCCCACACATATGCTCTGTGTTAGAGGCCGCACCAAGTCCATATGAGAGATCACACCTCCCATTACCTGGGATGCATGTGCAGTTGGAGCCCTGAGACCAAGCCCCCAAAATGAGAGGTTAGAACAGGGAGCAGGGAAGGAGTGTGTGTGTGAGGTGTTGTCTGTAGTTTTGTCATCAATGACAAGCCACAGATTAATTTTCTCATGATGCTTTTGTGCCCTGGCAGCATTAATGTCACTAAAATGGAAAATCAAGGATCAGGAAACCAGCCCAGGCTGTCATCTATGATTGATGGCTTAGAAGGGATTTTGCGTTATTCAGGTTACTGTTGTAATTGAATAAAAGTAAGAGGTGGAGATGGCATCATTCAGGGCCCTGAATTCCCTTCGGCAAGTGAGCGCCAAACAACAGATTGAGTTAGACATGTTTAAAAATCTCAAGATAATTTAAAAACATAAAATAATATAATAGTGATGATTCAGTGTCTAAAACAAGGCCTTATATCTAGTAGGCACTTGATGAGTATTTGTTGTATAAACGAGGGAGTATTGATCTCTTTTCTATCATATAGTGTCCCCCAAATCACAAAAGATTTTCAAGCGTAAACTAATTGGTCTTTAACAACATCCTGAGGGATGTTGAAAAGAGCCTATGTAATCCTTTTGTCTTAATCACTGAGGACTCTGGGATATGAAGAAGTTAAGTGATTTAGAAAGATAATATTCAATAAATCGTGGGCAACGTCAAGAGAAAAACATATCTCAAACTTCCTGCTTCCCCTCCAGGGAGCATTCCAACTCTCTCACTGTTTCCATTGACTTGCTGCTTGAAAACACTCTATGGTATAACAATGCCAGTAAGAACCTTTACTTTTCAAGCAGTGGTCCAGAGCAGACCTCTCTCTTGGTCCATTTATTAGGGATAATAGTGCCAAGATACGTTTCCTTTCTCCTTTCTCATGAAGTTAAATCTCCCCCCATGCCTTCTTTACAGACACTCACACTCTTAATAAAAGATTCTGCTAAATTGGCAACTTATAATGGATTCTTGGTTCTGTCAGCTTCTGGTCCTTTGGGCAAATGCCAGAGCTCATCAGCCCAGCCCAGACCTCTCCCTCCACACCAAAACCTGGAGATCGGGGACAAATCAAAACAATCCAGGGAAACAAGCCATGGGCTCCAAGAAGAATGGCAATAGCTATGAACTCAGAATTCACCTGTCCAACCTCACCTTCTGCAGATGAGCAAAAAGTGTCTGCCAAAAGGAGATGTGATCCAAGCCTGCACCATGGCTGCAATCAACCCCTGAAGTTCAGGCTCCCCAAGGACCCTGAGCATCTCCAGATTCGCAGAGAGAATGCTTCTAGGGAGGAGCTGGTCATTAAGTCATGGAATCAGGTTTCCTGTGCTACATGCTTTGTGACATTAAACAAGTCACTTCCTCTCATTTGTATTTGAGATGGACTCAACATCCAAGTTAAGTAAAGAATGACAATTTATGATTTAAAATGGAAGCAATGTGTTTAGCTCTTGAAAGGAAAAGGGATTTGGGAGGTAAAGGGGTCTTTTTGTGGTCACAGCAGCACTAATTTCGTTGCATTTTGAGTCATTTTGTAAATTGGCTAAGGCAATGGTTAAGCAGTCGGTCTCATGCCAAATAATTATTCCACCTTGGAAACTTATGAGATGCTAGACAAAATAGACACTTTCAAAATCTCTTGGCTCAAATACATATTAGCTGCACAAACTTAGGCAATGAACCTCAAAGTCTGAATCTCTTCATCTGAAATATGATCTTTTAGATCTTCTATGCCTGAGGATTAAATGAAATAAGGTATGTATGGAGCCAAATGCAGTGCTTGGTACATGTAAAGTTCACAAGAGAAGCTACTCTCATTTCAGTTCCCTGTGCAACTGAATTCTTTCTCCTCTGACTGGTATAAGGAAAGATGTGTTCCTGATAACACTTCTCAATGTGCTGTGTGATGTTAACAAAATCAGCCACCTCTCTGAACCTCATTTTCCTTCTCCATAATGAGGTGGTAGATCTGGGCAATCTCTGGGATTTCTCTAGGTTGTGCTATGTTTTGATTCTCCCCAGAAAAGTAATATCTCCCATGGTGAGATCCTAAGCAGTTTCTATTTTTTCTTATTTTTATTCTTGTCTCTCCACATGTGAGGTATAGCAGTAGTTTTCCACTGCCTGTGGCCATGATGCTGCCTCTTTTGTTGAAAAGGCATAAGAAGGGACCATACTGTCATCTCCTCTTCACCATACGACCATGTAGGAATTCAGCTGAAATTGTGGGAGAGAGGCCTGGGCTCCAGCTTTCATTTCAGTCAATCTTTAGTCCTAGGGTACACTGGAGGATAAGAAAGAAATTATATTACTAGCAAACAAAATGCAGCAGGCCACACACCCACCATTTCATTTACTATGACAATCATGAGAAGCCTTTATTATCTGCAGACTGTCTGGGACCATAGATCAGATCTGCAACTTTCTAGCTGTGCAACCTCGAGCAGTTTGCTTAACCTCTCTGTGCCTCAGTGTACTAGTCTGTAAAACAGGCATCATAAGAGAACTTGCCTCATAGGGTTGTTATAAATATTATAAACTTTAATCAACGTAAAGTGCTTCCAGTAGCTCCTGGCACATAATAAATGTTCTCATTGTGTTCACTATTCTTTTTGATGTTTTTTAATTGTTCTGTGCCAGAGGCTTTGCTGTGGATTAGGCATCAACTATAAAGGTCACAGCCCCTGATCCCAAAGAACTTGCAGCTTCACATGACAGACTTGCATGTGGCTCACTTCAGTCCGTGATCAGTCTGCCTGTCAGTTCTAGAGTTCTCAACATGGTCAGGCTCTCTGCTTGGTGCCCAGGACACAAAGACAGAAACATCATGGTCCTTACTATACGGAGTCAGGGGAGTCCAGGAGAGAGCCATCTGGAGTTAGGCTGTCTTGATTGAATCTAAAGTGCCAGTCGCTAATAGTGTACCTTGAGTAAATTACTTACTCTCTGTGCCCTTCCATGTTCTCATCTGCAAATGCCACTAACCTTAGACCAATGGCACTAACCTTACTGGGTTGTTGTGAGCCTTGGATGAGATACCAGGCATGAAGACCTGGCACAGGACACAAGTAGACAGGCTGGCAGCTCCTGCCATGACAGAATACACCCAAGGTGCCATTGAAGCACATAAAGAGAGGCAACCAACTCAGATAGGAGTGAGAAGAGGCATCAAGGATGTTTCTGGAGGAGTGGATCCATGGAGTGACTGTTAAAGAACAAGCAATGCTGACTAGTTACACCCTGGAGACTATTCTGGTGGAAGAAAACATGAGACTCAGAAAATGTAGTGCAGATGCAGTTCTCTGCAGAGTTTTCTCACCACAGGCATACCTGCGAGATAAAACAGCTCTCCTGCCTAGTTCAGGTCAAAGGAAGTTGAATCTTAAAGTTTCAAATCTGGATGTGGAGTTAATTGCCCACAAGAGATCAATGTAGCTCCAAAGTCAGAGCCAAATCCCTTAGATTTGTTTGTGACACAAAAACACAGAGGTGAGGATGGAAGGTTTGTCCCTAGGGTGTCATCATCCCTTGCCACCTGCATTTGATGTGAAATTTGACATGAAATAGAGACCTATCTTGGCAGAGCTAGTCTCGAGTGGTCCAAAGTAGAGCTAGACCATACCCTCCACTCTGCTTCTCAGAAGAACAAAATTAGCACAGCTAGGACACACAGTATGAGGAAGGTCAGCACATTCTGCACCTAAGAAATCAGCAGATTTTAAATTTCTGGCAGCCTCTCTCCAAGCCCAGGAGAATCATAAGAACAGACTACAACACTGAAATCTATTACATTTTGCAGACATCCACTGTCGGTGTAAAGTCTGCTGTTCAACAAAGCTTAGGATATCTTTGAAAAGAGAAAGCAAACATTTTCTGCAACAAATTATCCCAGGAAACAAGACAACGCCCAGACTCCTAGCCTCTGCACCTTTAAACTAGAAGTTATGTGTATCTGGAAATATTTTACATCTCCCCACTTTGGGCAAGGCAATCAAGGATGCCAATGAAGATGCAAGCCTGTGTCCTCCACAGGCTTACAGGATAAATTCAAGAAAACATGAAGAGGAAGATGAAAAAAGGACCAAAAGAATGCCCTGCTGCTGGTCTTTTTCTCAGCTTTAATTACGCCCCTGCTTTATATAAAAAGATACTATGATTTTGCATCTACACAATAATTTTGTTTAGTTTGTTTGAGCGTGGATCTGTACATCTCCCTGCTTCTTTGGTAAATTCAGCTGCAGGGTGTGAGGTAACCCAGGAAAATGGAAAGGTAGCAACTGCATCCATTGGCGTTAGCTCTGTACAGATGAAAACCATCAGTCCCTATCACATATAAATTTTAAAGAAAACTTTAGGATGTATACAGTGTTTACCCAAAGGCTAGTCTCTATCATGGCAAACTTTGCTAACTTCTCATCCACCACCTAATTTGTAAATGTTGGGATGACCCTACACTCAGTCCTGGGTGCTCTTTTCTACTTTCTTTACCTTCTTTCTGCAGGTAAAATTATCCATCTCCATGCCTTCAACAGCTACCTGCATTGCATTTCCATATTAGCCACTGAGGGTTAGGATACGCTGCAATAACAAACAATCCCCCCAAACCACAGGGGCTTATCGCAACAAAGGCTTATTTTTCACACAAATTGTGCTGGGTGTCTGAATGGCTCTCTGAGTCAGCTATCCTCTATGGGATGGTTCAACATTTCTCTTCTGTGTCAGAATGAGCTTCCATCATTGCTGTGATAGGAGAAAACTAGCTGGTTGAACCTCACATGGGGAATTAATTGATTTGCCTGGAAGCAACATGCATCACTTCCAATCACATGTGACTGTCCAAATCAAATCACAGGGCTCTACGTCATGCCTACCTTATCATCCTCACATCAGTCATCTGTTTCTGACTCCTCCCAAAGGGTCCTTTCCCACCCTGGGGATGTCCCAAAGCTGGGTTGACTGTTGCTGTAATTGACCCCAGTGATTCAAAAGTCCCCATTCTGCCTCCCTCGGTCCCTTGTTACATTGATTTTGAACTTTGCCACATGATTTGCTTTGGCTGCAGAACAATAGAACATGGGATACAAGCAGATACCTGCTCACTGGGGCTTACTGGCTCTTGCTGCTCTTCGGAACCCTGACTAAACCATGAGAACAAGCATAGTAGAGGATGAGACAATGCAAAGAGAGATAAGGCATCCCATTTGGGGACCTTTACACTAAGTGTCCTGTCAACCTCTAGGCATAAATGGAGCCACCCTACACCCCCCACTGCCAGCAAAATGCCAGCTGACCATGGAGATTGGCCAAGATATCCTTGAGCAGAAAACCATTCAGCTAACCCTAAGAACTGTGAGAAATAATCTATGTTTGTCATTTATAGGTGTTTTGTTACTCAGCAAAAGCTAACCAATTGCATACTAACAGTTCTGTTGAGACGTTTTTCTTCTCTTAGCTCTTTACCCCATTGTCTTCCTTTTTATCCTTCAGGCTTTGGGTGAAATGTCAGTATTTTTAGACTCTACTTGTGAGAGCTTGCTTTTCACAAAATCCTCAGCAATTATACTTGGCTTATAGCTTCTGAATATGTTGGAGCTCTCACATGGTGTTCATTAAAACCTTCACGTTGGTCTGTGTGACGATATCTATTATACTCATCGTACTGTTTACCTCCATTCCTTTTATGTAATAAATTCCCTGTCATTCCTAGATTTTTACATTATGGCTTTACATTTTGCCATGTCAGCAAATCTTCCTAAGATATTCAATTTGATTTAGTAAAAATTACTGAGTATCTACCACATGACAGGCTAGGCACTGAGTATTTACAGATGAGCAAACCACAGTTCCTGTACTTGACAATCTACAGTCATAGAGCAAACAAGTGAGTAAGTGGAATGCAGAAAACAGGATGCTTATAATAGCAGAAGCATGAAGCAGTGACCTAGCAGAGAGACAGGAGAGACTCGGGTGAGGGAAGGGGAAAGCAAAGCAGGATCCATTGAACAAGGCTTCCCAGAGGAAGGACAGAGCTGCATTTTAAAGGATGACGGATTCACAAAGCAGGGAGAGGGCATTCCAGGCTGAGGAAAAAAGCATAAGTAAATCAAAGAAGCAAAGAACACAGGGATTGGATAACAAGGTCAAGGGTAGACCACAGGCAGTTGTGTGTTACTGGCAGGGAACATGGAATAGGGAGTGGTAAGGAATGAGACAGGCTGAGGAGGCAGGGGGCCAGGGGATAGCAGACAGTGCAGCCATCTTAGGCAACCCAGATGCTTCTCCTATCCTTTTCCATCTCTTTTTATTGGCCTTAAAACGGTGGGTCATCAGTATCTCACCCATCTCCACTCAACCTCTCCACCTTCTGACATGAAGGTTATCCAGGCTGACTTTAGGATAACAATTTCCTGCTTCCTGAAGCTGTTCTTTCTCTTTCTTCTTAACTGCACCAGCTGCCCTTCCCTATCCTACCCACCCCCTCACCAGCATATCCCACATAGACACAATGTTTTCTCTTCCATTACTGATTTCATCAATGACTCTCCTTTTCCTCTTCTCCCCTTATTGCAGGCCATATCACACACTGAATGACTTCCAGAGGAGAGAAGACATTCCAGGCAGAGGCCAACATGTGACCAAAAGCGAAAACCACTGACAAGGGCAGGAAGGAGGTTGGAGCCAGAGGTGATCCCAACAGAAATTTATTATCTGGGCTTGAGTCAAAGGTTTATATCCAGGGAGTAGTGGGTGTTTGGTGAGTCGTGAGTAGGAAAAGGAGGCAGCAGGTAGGCATGGTGGGTCTTGTATAACAGGCTGAGGAGTTTATATTTCTAACCTGAAAGCAAGAGGGAGCCCCTGCAGACTTTTCACCAGATGATTCTGTGCTATACTGAGCAACCTGGAGACGGGCCATACATCGCACTAACATAAACTGCATTACCCCAGGATACAGAAACTGTTGCCAGGACCTTGTTACCAGAACAAGCACAGGATGAAAGGATCCAGAAAGAACATGCCAGTGCTTTGGGAGTTCTAGGTGGGAAGATCACTTGAGGCCAGGAGTTTGAGACCAGCATGGTCAACAGAGCAAGACTGTCTCTACAAAAATAAAAATAATTATCCAGTTGTGACAGCAGGCACCTGCAGCCGTAGCTACTTGAGAGGGTGAGGCAGGAGGATCGCTGAGCCCAAGAGTTCCAGGTTACGGTGAGCACTGATTGCAACACTGCATCCCAGCCTGGGTGACAGAGCGAGACCCTGTCTCTTAAAAAAAATTTTTAAAAAAGGGAAAGTGTGATTATATAAGAAAGAGTGGTCATGCTCTGATTATGTGTCAACTGTCCTGTGTTCTATGTAAAATAATGTGATAGGCTCTTTATGTATGTTCTCTCATTTAACCTAATTAATCCCCACAATAGCCATGTGAGTTAGAAATTATTATCCCCACTGTTCAGTCAAGAACTGAAGCTCTAAGAGATTTAATGCCTTGAGGAAGTTCACATAGCTGGTGAGTGATGAAACTGACAACCAGGTCCATCCCCAGTGTACAACTCTTGGCTGCGCAGTTACTGTATGGCTGTTGTTCGTAATCAACACCCACACAGTAACAGTAATAGTAATGGGAGAAGCTTAAACTGACAACCTGGCCCTTTAAGGGGCTCCACACAGCCCTAATTTAGTGAAGCTCTTCCTCCCATATCTGTTAAGATACAAATCTGTACTTGGTTAGCATTCCATCTGCAATTTCATGTCAAAATGAATTTTATTCCTGCACACTCTTCTTTTAAATTCCAATCTCTATTTCTATCATTAGTTTTCAGTTTTAAAGTGACCACAGAGACCTCCTTGACCAAAGCCTTCTCTCCCCTTTTGCACTTTGGTTATTATGATTTACTGGTTGGGGCCTCCCTGATGAAGGCAAGTGGACAGACAACCCTCTTTTCTTGAAGGAGTCCATTAAAACCCAGCTATTGAGCCAAATGCAGTTATGTCTCTTCCCTGATACTCTCTCTCCCTCACACCTGCAACCACTTTCCCATTCCATCTGATAAGGTTTGTCCTTCAGGAGTCCTGTGTCTTCTCCCCCATCCATCTCAAAGCAGTCCAGAGCTTTGGCCTCCAGCTTGGATTTCCCCACCCCACTCTAAACAGCTCTCTTACTTTGCTCTACTGACCCAGATCTGTCAATCACTTTACAGC
The DNA here is from genome assembly GCF_000001405.40 of Homo sapiens. Taxonomy (NCBI): domain Eukaryota; kingdom Metazoa; phylum Chordata; class Mammalia; order Primates; family Hominidae; genus Homo; species Homo sapiens. The sequence continues at coordinate 15,305,572 of NC_000004.12, forward strand.
CATGAATATCCAAACCCTCCACTTCTTTCAAGTCCAGCTGTCACTATTTCCTCTCACACCTGGATCTTTATCATTTCTTCTCAATTTCTCCTGGCAACTCATCAACACTTCATATGTTATCACTCAAGGAGTTAGGCAAAACAATGGTCCCCAAGGTGTCCACACTCTAATCCCCAATACTTAACAATATGGAACTTTACATCGTAAAAGAGACTTTGCAGATGTGATTAAATTAAGGACCTTGAGATGGGAAGATGGATGATCCTGGATTTTCTGGGTTGGCCCAATGTAATCACAAGGGTCCTTGGGAGTGATACAATGCAAAAACTCAAACAATCGCAGCTGGCTTTGAAGATGGAGAAAAGAAACTGTTAACTAAGGAAGGGAGATGACCTCAAGAATCTAGATAGGCAAGAAAATGAACGCCCAACCCCAAGCTTCCAGAATGAAATGCAGCTCTGCCAACACCTTGATTTTAGCCAAGTGGGACTTGTGTTGATCCATTAAACTATAAAACTATAGAATAACAAATTTATGTTGTTTAAGCCACTAAGTTTGTGAGAATTTATTGAACCAGCCATAGAAAACCAAAACATTCCCTCAGTGAGTCCTCCCAGAGATTAAAATGGAACTTAGATTAACTGAACTTACTCCAGATATGAGAACTGGGAGTCTTGTTTGAGTCACTGAAAGTTGACCAGAGAACACTTCTTGCTAGAATTCTTTCTGGAAACTTTCCTGAAACCATGGTTTCTTCATCTCAGCGAGCTGAGTGCTCTCTACCTTCTTGCTACCCAGGATGGTCCATGGACCAAGCAGGCGTAGCAGCATCCAGTAGCTCATTAGGAAACAAGAAATGACAAGAAGCCTGCTGACTTAGAACCTGCCTGTTAAGCAGAGCTACAGATGATTCGGAAGCACATTCAAGTTTGAGATGTACAGTGCTCCAATTCGGAAGCACATTCAAGTTTAAGATGTGCAGTGCTCCAATTCGGAAGCACTTTCAAGTTTGAGATGTGCAGTGCTCCACATCTAAAAATGATACCAAAAGTAGTTGCACTGGCTGATTACTTTCCTGCAGTTAGTATCTGTTTACACTGGTAGCAGAATTTCTCAAGCCAAGAACTAGACAACAACTTGAGGATTATCTCATCCAATGGCATTCAAACATGTTCGCCAGAAATTTATTTTTTTAATCATCTCAGAAGCACAGTATATAGCAAAAACAGGAAAGTGGAGCTTCTCAATTAGGAAAATGATGTGGAGCCCCAGAGCCCTACCTTGCCTCATCCTCTACCATCAGTTCTAGAGTTAACTCTGAGGCATCTCTTTGAAACCTGAGGAGTCTGCCTTACAGTTTGAAAATAATCGATTTTAAGCTAAATCCCTCTCAACAAGTGTGGGAAAAACTAAGACTTGGAGAGAATAAGGAACTTGCCCAGGTTCATAGATACAATTATGAAGTTGGCAAAGTGAAACCTTCTCAACATGATAGATTTGTTAGTAAGCTCACCAGCTTTTGCACAACCATAAGTTTTTTCTCTTTCAAAATAGTCTCTCTAGGAGGCTGAACATCCCTACTAAGGAATGATTCTGCTGTCCCTCAAAGCTTTATTAGAAATCTTCTGTGGCTACCTTCCCCACAGTTCCACCACTTCTGCCTAGTCTGCATATTAACAGAGGGGATTGGAACTTGGTGGGAGAAGGGAGCACTTTGGTGTTTGGAAATAATGAAAGTGAGTCACTGTATTAGTCTGTTTTCACACTGCTATAAAGATATAAGCTGAGACTGAGAATTTATAAGCAAAAAAGTTTTAATTGACTCAGTTTCACATGGCTGGGGAGGCCTCAGGAAACTTACAATCATGGTGGAAGGTGAATGGGAAGCAGGTACCTTCTTTACATGATGGCAGGAGAGAGAGACAGTGCAGAGGAAACTGCCATTTCTAAAACCATCAGATCTCATAAGAACTTCCTCACTATCATGAGAACAGCATGAAGGAAACTGCCCCATGATCTAATCATACCAGGTCTCTCCCTCTATACATGGGGATTACAATTTGCGATGCGATTTGGGTGGGGACACAGACCCAAACCATATCATTCTGCCCCGACTCCTCCCAAATCTCAAGTCCTATTCACATTCAAAATCAATCACGTCTTCCCAACAGTCCTCCAAAATCTTAACTCATTGTAGCATTAACCCAAAAGTCCAAGTCCAAAGTCTCATCTGAGAAAAGGTAAGTCCCTTTCACCTATGAGCCCATAGAATCAAAAACAAGTTAGTTACTTCCAAGATAGAATGGGGATACAGGCATTGGGTGAATGTGTTCCCATTACAAATGGGAGAAATTGGCCAAAACAAAGGAGCCACAGGCCCCATGCAAGTCTGAAACCTGGCAGAAAAGTCATTAAATCTTAAAGTTCCAAAATGATCTCTTTTGACTCTATGTTGCACATTCAGGACACTCTGATGCAAGGAGTAGGATCCCAAGAAGTTGGGCAGCTCCACCTCTGTGGCTCGGCAGGGTACAGCTGCTGTGGCTGCTTTAATGCACTCATGTTGAGTGCCTGCAGCTTTTTCCAAGTGTACAGTGCAAGCTGTTGGTAGATCTAGCATTCTGGGGTCTGGAGGATAGTGGCCCTCTTCTCACAGCTCCACTAAGCAGTGCTCCCATGGGGACTCTATGTGAGGGCTTCCACCCCACATTTCCCCACTGCACTGCCCTAGTAGAGGTTCTCCCTGAGTTCTCCACTCCTGCAGCAGACTTCTGCCTAGACATTCAGGCATTTCCATACACACTCTGAAATCCAGGCAGAGGCTGCCAACCCTCAACTCTCGTCTTCTGTGCACTTGCAGGCCCAACACCACATAAAAGTCGCCAAGGTTTTGGGCTTGCACCCTCTGAAGGAATGGCCCGAGCTGTACCCTGTCCCTTTTTAGCCATGGCTGGAATTAGAGTGTCTGGGATGCAGGGTACAAAGTCCCGAGGCTGCAGGGAAGAGGGGGGCCCTGGGCCTGGCCCATGAAAACATTTTCCTCCTAAGCCTCTGTGCCTGTGATGGCAGGGGCTGCTGTGAAGATCTCTGACATGCCCTGGAGATATTTTCCCTATTGTCTTAGAGACTAACATTCAGCTTCTCATTACTTACGCAAATTTCTTCAGCTGGCTTGAATTTCTCCCCAGAAAATGAGTTTTTCTTTTCTACTTCATGGTCAGGCTGCAGTTTTTTCAAACCTTTATGCTCTGCTTCCCTTTTACACATAGGCTCCCATTTCAAATCATCTCTTCATGAATGCATACAACTGAACACTTTCAGAGTAAGCAAGATCACATCTTGAGTGCTCTGCTGCTTAGAAATTGCCTCTGCCTTTCTCAAGTTCAAATTCTACAGATCTCTAAGGCAGGAGCAAAATGCTGCGAGTCTGTATGTTAAACTGTAGATGAGTGACCTTTACTCAGGTTCCCAATAAGTTCCTCTTCTCCATCTAAGACTACTTCAGCCTGGAATTCATTGTCCATATCACTATCGGCATTTTGGTCAAAACCTTTCAACAAGTCTCTAGGAAGTTCCAAACTTTCCCACATTTTCCTGTCTTCTTCTGAGCCCTCCAAACTGTACCAGCCTCTGCCTGTTACCAAGTTCGAAAGTTACTTCCACATTTTCAGGTTATCTTTAAAGCAGTGCCCCACTTCTGGTACCAATTCTGTGTATTAGTCTATTTTCACACTGCTGTAAAGATACTACCTGAGACTGGGTAATTTATAAACAAAGGAGGCTTAATTGACTCACAGTTTTGCATGGCTGGGGAGGCCTCAGGAAACTTATAATCAGGCAGAAGGTTAAGAGGCAGCAGGCACTTTCTTCACATGGTATCAGGAGAGAGAGAAAACGCACAGGGGAAACTGCCATTTTTAAAACCATCAGCATCAGATCTCATGAGAACTTCCGCACTATCAGGAGAACAGCATGGGGAAAACCACTCCCATGATCCAATCACCTCCCATTGGGCCCCTCCCACAACATGTGGGGATTACAATTTGAGATGAGATTTGGATGAGGGCACAGAGTAAAACCATATCAGTCACAGCTTAATCTGGTGAATTCACCAGATGATATGGTTTGGTTGTGTCCCCACCAAACTTCAACTTGAATTGTATCTCCCAGAATTCCCATGAGCTGTGGGATGAACCTAGGTAATTGAATCATGGAGGCCATTCTTTCCTGTGCTATTCTTGTGATAGTGAATAAGTCTCATGATTTCTGATGGGTTTTTCAGGTGTTTCTGCTTTTGCTCCTTCTTCTTATTTTCTCTTGCTGCTGCCATCTAAGAAATGCCTTTCGCCTCCCACCATGATTCTGAGGCCTTCCCAGTCATGTGGAACTGTAAGTCCAATTAAACCTATTTTCCTTCCCAGTCTCAGGTATGTCTTGATCAACAGTGTGAAAAGAGACTAATACAATAAATCAGTACCTGTTGGTAGAGTGGAGCGTTGCTGGAAAGATACCCAAAAATGTGGAAGTAACTTCGGAATTGAGTAACAGGCAGAGATTGGAACAGTTTGAAGGGCTCAGAAGAAGACAGGAAAATGTGGGAAAGTTTGGAACTCTCTAGAGACTTGTTGAATGGCTTTGCCCATAATGCTCATAGCAATATGGACAATATAATCCAGGCTGAGATGGTCTCAAAAGGACATACAGAACTTGTTGTGAACTGGAGCAAAGATGACTCTTGTTATGTTTAGCAAAGAGACTGGCAGCATTTTGCCCCTGCCCTAGAGATTTGTGAAACTTTGAACTTGAGAAAGATGATTTAGGGTGTCTGGTGGAAGAAATTTCTAAGCAGCAAAGCATTCAAAAGGTGACTTGGGTGCTGTTAAAAGTATTCGATTTTAAAAGGAAAACAGAGCATAAAGGTTCAGAAAATCTATGGTCTGATGATGCAGCAGAAAAGAAAACCCATTTTTTTGAAGAGAAATTTAAGACAGCTGCAGAAATTTGCATAAGTAGCAAGAAGCCTAATGTTAATCCCCAAGACCATGGGAAAATGTCTCTGGGCCATGTCAGAGGTCTTCATGGCAGACCCTCCCATCACAGGCCCAGAGGCCTGGGGGGAAAAAGTGGTTTTGTGGGCCAGACCCAAGGTCCCCATGCTGTATGCAGCCTAGGGACTTGGTGCCCTGTGCCCCAGTTGCCCCAGCCATGGCTCAAAGGGCCAAGATAGATCTCAGGCTGTGTCTTCAGAGGGTGGAAGCCCCAAGCCTTGGCAGCTTCCACGTGGTGTTGAGCCTTCAGGTGCCCAGAAGTCAAGAGTTGAGGTTTGGAAACTTCTATCTAGATTTCAGAAGATGTGTGGAAACGCCTGGCTGTCCAGGCAAAAGTTTGCTGCAGGGGTGGGGCCCTCAGGGAGAACCTCTGCTAAGGCAGTGCAGAAGGGAAATGTGGGATCAGAGACCCCACACTGAGTTCCTACTGGGGCACTGCTTAGTGCAGCTGTGAGAAGAGGGCCACCATCCTCCAGACCCCAGAACAGTAGATCCACCAACAGCTTGCACCGTGCACATGGAAATGCCACAGACATTTCACACCAGCCCATGAAAGCAGCCAGGAAGGAGGCTGTACCCTACAAAGGCAGAAGGTGGAGCTGCCCAAGACCATGGGAACCCACCTCTTGCATTAGTGTGGCCTGGATGTGAGACCTGGAGTCAAAGGAGATCATTTTGGAGTTGTAAAATTTGACTGCCCCACTGGATTTCGTACTTGCATGGGGCCTGTAACCCCTTTGTTTTGGTCAATTTCTCTCATTTGGAATGGCTGTATTTACCTAATACCTGCATCCCCATTGTATCTAGGAAGTAACTAGCTTGCTTTTGATTTTACAGGCTCTTAGGTGGAAGGGACTTGCCTTGTCTCAGATGAGACTTTGCATTGTGGACTTTTGGGTTAACGCTCAAATGAGTTAAGACTTTGAGGGACTGTTGGGAAGGCATGAATGGTTTTGAAATATGAGGACGTGAGATTTGGAGGGGCCAGGGGCAGAATGATATGGTTTGGCTGTGTCCCCATCCAAATCTCAACTTGAATTGTATCTCCTAGAATTCCCATGTGTTGTGGGAGGGACCCACTGGGCAGTAATTAAATCATGGGGACTGGTCTTTCCTGTGCTATTCTCATGATAGTGAATAAGCCTCACGAGGTCTGATGGGTTTATCAAGGATTTCTGCTTTTGCTTCTTCTCATTTTCTCTTGCTTCCACCATTTAAGAACTGCCTTTCACCTCCCACCATGATTCTGAGGCCTCCCAAGCCATTTGGAACTGTAAGTCCAATTCAACTTCATTTTCTTCCCAGTCTCAGGTATGTCTTCATCAGCAGCATCAAAACAGACTAATACATAAGATTATTAGGGAACATACACCCTATTCTTTTAGACATTGTGTATGACCAAAGTCTCCTGAGACTAATGGATTAGTGATGAGTACACTGACAGGAGGGAGGTAACCATTATTGAGCACCTACTGTAGGCCACAGTTCCCGAGGATATGTTTGCCTACTTTGTTCCATTTGATCTTGACAGTAACCCATTGAGGGAGGGTCTGTTGCCATCACTATAGTGATGATAGTTCCCATACCTGAGATGAAGAAACTGAGGCCAAAGATCATATGAGCAATAAAGGACAAGCATAAACCTTTCTGGCTCCAAAGCCTGCATTCTTTCTATTAAAGTATATATCTCTGATAGACTTATTAGAAAACAAATGCGTCTGCTGTTGCCTAGAAGTAAAAGGCCTTAAGTCTTCCAGATGCTCTTTGTTTAATGCAAGTGCCTCTTTTGTTGTACTTATCATTCTACTAGCAATAAGTGGCTTGTATGTCTGCCTCCCCAGCTCTGGGAGAATTTCTGAATCCCCAGGGCTTAGCACAGTAATCAGCAGTGCTCAGTAAATGTTCACCAAATGCTGTGATGTGAATGTTGGTGTTTCCTAAAAATTCATGTGTTGAATGTTAATCCCCAAGGTGATAGTATTAAGAGCAGGAGACTTTGGGGAAGTGATTAAGTTATGAGTATTTCACCCTCATGAATGGGATTAGTGTCCTTATAAAAAGATAGAAGGAAAAGTGTTTGTCTCTTTCCCCATGTGAGGGCACAATGTTCCTCATTTCCACCAGGATGGAAGAATGAGGATGCAGCAAAGAGTACCATCTGTGGGAACACAGAGTGAGCCTTCACCAGACACGGAATCTGCCGATGACTTGCTCTTGGACTTCTCAGCCTCCAGAACTGTGAGAAATAAATTTCTATCCTTTATAAATTACTCAGTCTAAGGCATTTTGTTATAGCAGACCAAACAGACTAAGACAGCAAATAAGTGAATAATAATAGTAATAGTAATAGCCAATGTTTATTGCATCTTCACTATATGACAAACGTTGTTCATTTCACTTTTCCTGGCATCAGTCTCCTGCTTTATAAAATAATAGGTGGATGAATGGATGTATGGACAGATGCGTGGAGAGATGGATGGATGGATGGATGGATGGATGGATAGCTGTTTGAATGGATGGTTAGATGTTCAGACAAGGAAGAATATACCATACTCTCTGAAAGATATTTCACCAACATATTGAGTCTTGTTGCAATTCCTCTCTTTTGTGTAGTTGCAAGTACGATCAGCAGTTTTCTGAATTGGAAATGCTCTCGGGACAGCCTTGATCCAACAGTTCTGATAATTAATGAGTTCTTGCCTATAAAGTACTTTAAAAGTACAGTGTTAGGAGGATATTTTATGAAGAAATACTCTAATTACTGAAATATGTAACAGTATATGCAGTGTTTCTTCCATGATTTTTTAAATGGATTTATCCATATTTAAATTTTTTCCATTTTTTAAAATATGTTATTTACCTAATATTTCCCCATAATGACTCTAAGCCAGTAGATTATAAGGCTAATATTTTATTCATCTCTTTATTTCCACCACGAAACATAGACTGTGAAGTATAGTAGTGTTTCAGTAAATGCTGAATAAATTAATAAATGAATGAACTTGATTACTATCAGAATACATTTGAATATTGAGAGTTTTTCAATTTGTCATTTTTTTCAGCAAATGCCAATTAAAAGCCTGCTGTTCCCAATGTCAGTCCTGGTCACCATAAGGGATTCAAGGTGTAAGAAACACCTCCAAGGTATGTCTAAATTCACCTTGTCTGCATGTGGAGAAACAGAGAAATTAGTTGGTAAAATAGGTATATTTACTCAACAAGTACCCATTGACCACTGACAACATGACAGTGAGCTGTGGCTACTTTGTGAAGAGCCTTGAACACCATGATCAGGATTCCAGACATTAAGCCAGGGGTCCTGTGTCATCATTGAAGGGATTTTCATAGGGCACTAAAATCAGAACTGAGCTACAAAAATAAAAAGAAGAGAATAAGATGCTGTCAAATTAAAAAATAGCTAAGCATTTTCTTTCATAAGTGCTTAGCGATATTTGTCTCTGTTAACCTCTCCTTCGATTTCAGATTTCAAATATATGAACCTTATATTGCATTACTGTACAGTGATGGAAAACATAAACTTTGATGTCAAACAGACCTGATTTTGAGTCCTCACTGTGTCTCTTATTAAGAGTGTGATCTTGGGTAAGTAAGAATCTTTCTTGGTCTCAGTCTTCACATCTATGAAATGGAAGAAATAACTGTATGCTTGTACAGAATTACAGCGGGAATTAAATGAGTTAATAAATGTAAAACACTTGGTTTTATGCATGGTACATGGTGAACCAATGAATAAGCAAATAATCAAAGCATAATAGATATTAGGGTGGATGAGGCTAGCCAATTATTTGTCACCTTATTTGAGACAGGCACTCTACTACATGTGTAAGCATGCATTTATTCAATGAGCTTTATTAAACCTCTACTAGGTACCAGGCACTGTTCTAGGGATTGGGGCTACCACAGTGAAGAAAACAGAACATCAACAAAAGTCCTTACCCTCAGAGAGCTTCCATTCTAGTGACACTACTTAATTTCCATACTGTGCCTCAGTTTCTCTATCTGTGAGATAGTGACAAGAGCTGAACAGGGGCTGCAGAGGGAATTTGATTATTAAATATGAAGCACTTCAAACAGCACGTGGCATCGAGTAGGGGCCATATAAAGATTTGCTGTTAAAATACTAGTTGTTATTATTTGTATTATTATTGATATAGAGAATATTATCTACCTTTTGTACCTCAGGCACCAGCTGCAGAGCTAATAATATGGATTATTGTCTGTCTTTTACAAAGAGGCTGAGTAGTTTTATTAAAATCACACACTTTGTAAAGGCAGAGCCAGAATTGAAGCAAAATTTGTGTCCAAATTTGACACTCTTAACCCTCTACAAACATTTCCCAGCTCCAACTGCCCTTGAAAAAAATTTATTTCACATACACTGACGAGTATAAACAATTATATCATAGGCTACCTTTCCAAGAGTCATTTACACTCTTAATAAATGAGTTCTCCTGATTTTGCAGTGATGAATGAGTGAATTAGCAGTACCTTTGGAATTTTTACTCCCAGGCTGACCTCATTAGCCTTGTTTATAGACAAGCAAGGGCCAGACTATGTTACATTACGTAAAACAAAGAAGGAAGTTCTTATAGGATGGGCAGCTTGCTTTGATTACCCATTGTGGACCATGGAAGCACTTATAGTAGTGATTTTTATTAAGTGTTTTAATACAAACCAGCGAGACAACTTTGGAGTTCTGAAGTGTAGGCAGATATTTTTTTAAGTAACTTTTGGAAGTCTGTAAGTTTGGTGTTCTTTCTTTCTTCCAGTAATGAATATTCTGGACCTTTTCTCTAAAGAAATTTGAAATCCTTTTTAATCTGCAGATTAACACCTAGTCAAAAATTACATTCTTTCTTTGATAAAAGGGACTAATAAGACAAAGATCAATATTGTACATGGCGGTGTTTCTCAAAAAGCTAAGTTTGAAGTTAAAGCCGAAAACTTCAGGAGGAAAATATGCAAAGTATATGAGAGAAACGTTGAAAGATAAAGAAGAAAAAACAGATTAATAAAATCTATGTCAGGGCAGGAAATCAGCCTAGACATATTTTATTTAAGCCCTTTGACTTTCTATTTGGGTTGAATTTCATCAGCTTTGAACTTTTTTTTTTTTTTTTTTTTTTTTTTTTTTTTACTACTTCTAAAGATGTTTCCTCCAGAAGGAGGAGGCTTGGTGTGAATACAGGAATTTAGTGAACTCCATTAATTATTTCAGCTCCTGAAGTCCTTGTTAAAGTGTCTCATTCTTCTAACGAATTAGCCTCTCCTGCTGCTAAGAATGTACCTGAGAAGCTTATTAAACCTGAAAGCTCCTGACCATATCTGAATCCCACTGAATTAGAAGCCCGGGTGCAGGTGGGATGGGGGAGAAGCTCATATTTCCAATAAGACAATGAGCAACTCAGAAGCAGGCCAGACACTCCTAATCTTTCTTTGCTAATCTTACAGCCCAGCCATACTCTCCTCCCCCATTTTGATGAGATAACTGAAAATCAGAGAAGGGAAGTAATTCAGCACTGAATTTTAATTGTTTTTATTGTGGTAAAATACACCCGACATAAAATGTACTAATTTAATCATTTCTAAGTGTACCATTCAGTGACATTAAGCACATTCATATTGCCGTGCAACCATCATTACCATTCATCTCCAGAATGTTTTCCTCATCCCCAGATGAAACTCCACACTCTTTCAACAATAATTCCCCATTTCACCTTCCCCTCAGCTCCTGGCAACCACTATTCTACTTTCTGTCTCCATGAATTTGGCTATTCTAAGTACCACATATGAGTGGAATCATACAGTATTTATCCTTTCGTGTCTGGCTTTTTCACTTAGCATAATACCTTCGGGGTTTATCCACTTTGTATCACGTTTCAAAATTTTATTCCTTTTGAAGGCTCAATAATAATTTATTGTATTATTTATCACATTTTCTTTAGCCACTCATCCATCTATAGACATTGAATTTTGATTTTTAACCATCTTGAACCAAGGGCATGACATTTCACCTGGAAATATTTGTTCTCCTATTCCCATTATATGTTTACCAGATTTTGCAGTAAGTCTTAATTACAGAATGCCCAGTTGAATTTCAGGTTAAAAAAAAAACATTTTTAGTATAAATTTGCCCTATGCAATATTTGACACATAATTATACTAAAAATTATTATTTATCTGAAATTCAAATTTAACCAGGTGTCCTGTATTTTATCTGGCACACTTATAGCTCACATTCAGTAAGACCACAAATAAGGAGATTCCTGCCTTCTTGGAGCCTTGAGTTGCTGGAATTCTTACTTTTGAAACATATCTTGATCTAGATGAATACAAAGCAACCAAAAGTACAGGAAAAGCAGGCAGCATTTATACACTTCTTTTTGATTTAAAAGGTTTGTCTGACACATTGCATTCTCTCCTCAATCCTACAATTGCCAGCTCTGTTTTCCAGATAAGGAAACTGAGGCTCACACGGACCATGTGGATTTCCCAAGCTCATAGAGCTTGAAGAAAGCAGGGGTTTGGCTCAAATCCCAAACTTCCAGATTTCAAAGCCAGTTTTTTTTTCTTTTAACTGCTTAAAGTATACTAAAATGATACAGAGAATTATAATTATCAAAGTAATTCAAATGCAATAAATTATTTTCATTAAGTAAATAACTGAGTCTCTGTCATTATGCACAGAATAGTTGCCCCAACTGCTCTATACACCTAACTGAATCAAGAAAAGATGTTTGGATTGTTGGACAATTTGGTGCCTGAGTCATTCAAACAATTGGCTGTGCTTCTCCACTTCCCTCTGACAGTTAAGACAACCTACTGAAGGATAAAGAAGGCATCCGCACAGCTGAGTACTGACTCCTTTCACTTGTGCCATCTTGTTTACTTCCTCAAGCCCTATTACAAACCGGCATTTTTTCTTACTTATTTGCCGTATTTTATCAAGTCCAAGATTCTGTAGCTTGTAAGAGACATCATTATGTTCTATAATGATAAAATGCCACCAATTAAATTATGACACCATAAATATTGCATTCCATTTTCAAGATGTTAAAAATGTTTAAAAAGTTCATCTAACAACTAACACAAAGAGATATAAAAATGGCCCCAAATGTATAAAATGATGTCCAATTTCATTCCACCAACATGGCACATGTATACGTATGTAACAAACCTGCACGTTGTGCACATGTATCCTAAAACTTAAAGCATAATAATAATAAAAAAAGATGTCCAATTTCATTCATAAAAAATACAAATTAAAGCCACACTGACATAGCATTTCTCAACCATGATATGGATAGGCATTCCAAAGCTTGACAATATGAGTATGTGGTGAAGCAGATACTCTTAGCCATTGCCAGTGGGAATGTAAAATGACACAGTCCCTATAGTGGGGAATTTGGCAATCTCTAACAAATAAAGCATTTATCCATTGGCTCAGCAATCTCACATCTAAGAAATTACCCTAAATATACACTTTCAACAGTATGAAAATACACATGCACATGGTTATTTATTGGTTTATTGATAACTGAAAATATTAGAAATGACTTTAATTTTCAAATATAGGACATTGGTTAAATAAATTATAGTGCACATGCCCAGTGGAGTATTGTGCAGCTGGAAAAAAAGATGAGAAAGAGCTCTATGAAGTGATATGAAGGGATTTCCATAAGCTACTTAGTGATAAAAGCAAAGAGGAAAAAAAAAGTCTATAGAGTGAATTATTTTGTGTAAAAAATGAAAAGGGAGTAAGAAAATAAACACATATCTTTTTTTTTTTTTAGGCGGAGTCTCACTGTGTGGCCCAGGCTGGAGTGCAATGGCATCATCTCCGCTCACTGCAACCTCTGCCTCCTGGGTTCAAGCAAGTCTCCTGCCTCAGCCTTCTGAGTAGCTGGGATTACAGGCACTTGCCACCATGCCCGGCACCATGCCCAGCTAATTATTTTGTATTTTTTTTTTTTTTTTTTTTAGTAGAGAAGGGTTTTCAGTATGTTGGCCAGGTTGGTTTTGAACTCCTTGCCTCAACTGATCCACCCGCCTTGGCCTCCCAATGTGCTGGAATTACAGGCGTAAGCCACCACACCCGGCCCACATATCTATTATCTTCACAAAAAGAAGCACAGGAAGGATAAGGCACAGAATACTGAAGTTGGGGGAGGACAATAGAATGGAAGGAATGCAGGAGTGAGTGGCATTGTTCTGAGTATGCCTTTTTGTATGGATTTGATTTTCAGAAGTATGTTTATGTTCTACTTGTTTAAAATAAAACAAAATAAACAAAGGATGAGAAGGAGGAAAGAAAACCTAAAATAAAAAACAAACTAAAATAAATAAACCCAGTTATATTTAAAATGAATGTAAAAACCACACAAATGGGGGTTGATCACTAATTCGAGTAACTGGCACAGTATTCCACTGTGGACTCTCAGTCTTGAGTGAGATTGAGGATTAGGGGAAAAATGCATTCCATTTAGTAGGTCTGTTTCTCCCAGTGGCCTGGGGGAAGTGTTTCAGATGTGTGATAGGACTTGAGCAAATGAGCAATGTGTCATTGATTTTGTTGAGATCCAGGGTTCTCACTAAGGAAGAAGGAATGCTCAAATATGGAGTGAGGGAAGGAAAGAAACAACTGTCTAGATTAAAATTGGAGGTTACAATCAGTGTAAGCTCATAATTGCCATAATGTGTACATGTGTGTCCATGCACGTATATGCGCATTTGCATACATACATATGTGTGCCCACAGTGCACTAGAAACAGCCATTCTGGTTCAAGAGAGTGGATTTTTTAATTTCCCAGCATTTTGTGCACCAGATGTTCAACATCACCTTATTAAAATTAAATTATATAAGTGTAAAATTAAATAAATGATATTAAAAATAAAGTAAAAAATACTCAAAACTCAAAGCTTCCTAATTAGTTTACATTTTACCATTATTATTCTACAGATGCAATATAGCAGCTCCTGTCTCCTGGGCAGTGGGAAGCATCATTTGAAAGAAGATTGAAGTTAATTCCCTCCCAACTCATCTGGGTTCAAATTCTGGAAATTAGTAAATACTGTAAAGTAAGACCATTTTTGTTTTGAAGATCTGGTTGTTAAGCATGTACCAGGATACATTCTGTGTATGTATATATGTAAGTATCCATGCATACATTTTCTAGTTCTATTATTATTGCAACTTTTCTGTAAGTTTAAAATTATTTCCAAATTAAAAGTTTTCAAGATGCACATCAAAGAATTAGTGGAATATGGTCTTTGTTCACTTTTTTTTTTTATTACACTTTAAGTTTTAGGGTACATGTGCACAATGTGCCTGTTAGTTACATATGTATACATGTGCCATGCTGGTGTGCTGCTTTATGTTCTGCCTCTGTCCTCTGGAACACTCACTCCAGGAGAATAGAACCTTGTTTACTTTGTGCATCACTATATCCCAAGCCCAGAAGAGACTTTGCTACAAGGTGGGTGGTTGGTAACCGTTTGCCCAATAGCAAAAAGACAAACAAATGATGAATCTTTCTCATTTAAAAGCTCAGAGAGGTTCCTGATTTATCATAGTTATGTTAGAATCTCAAACTTCTAGCCAAATTTGAATTTAACAGACTGCTGTCTTTGGTATGTAAATAGAATGCTACAGGCATTCATGGGCTTCAACATGCAGGCTGGGTCTCCCAATCTTCCCTTTCATCACTTCCAGGAAGACTAAGGCACAAGAGCTGTTTTAATCCCTGCCAGATCCCCAGCTCCTAGAACAGTGCCTGGCACACAGTAGTTTCTCAGTTAATGAAAATGGAATTTCATGGAGACTTTCCCTTTGGGATCAACACCCCATTCCCTCCATCAGCATTTACATGCACAGTCAGCCTCCCTTAATCAACATTCACATGACTTCATACAATGCAGAGAAGTTATTCTCAAGGGGAAAAAGTTGATAACCTAAATACACAAACCCAGTTAATAATACTTTTGAAATCAAATAGATTATTCACTGAAAGAAAAAAATGGCCAAAGAATAAGTTCCCTTGGAAAGACAGCCAGGTCAAGTGACACAGGGTGCCCACCCTGTGATGCTATGGTCCATAATCTGTTTAGGAATATAGAATTTAGCCTTCTCTGGACAAGAGTTTCACTACAAACCTGTAGAAATGTGAATAGTTAGTCATTCATACGGGCTCCCTCTGTTTGAGGAGAGCTCTGACCTCTGATTTGCTCTGCTGCTGCTTTTGCAAATTCTCCAAACATTCATATCCTCCCCTAAGAACCTAACTACTTGGATCCTGAACTGCTTCCTTTTTGAGAGATGCCCCAGATATCATGCTCCCTAATGCTCTCATTGCACTGGGAGAGGACTTTGGGGCTTAGTAAAGTGAAGGTTTCATGCCAGTTAGCTCCAGAGCCCCATATCAGGACCACAGACCCCAAAGAAGCAACACTAGGCTCGGCTCTTCGGCCATGCCTTAGCAAAACCAGCCCAGCGCCTCTTTTGTGGCCCACAGGGGTGTCCTCTGGGAAGGAGTTTATTTAATAAATACTGTTGAGCACTTACTCTGTGTCAGGCACTATTCTAAGGTGTTACAGGTATTGCCTCATTCCATCCTCACAACAGTCCTATAAACTAGTCATTAATTATTCTCACCAAATATTGTCAAGTCTCCACCTTCCAGGCACTTTCTGAACCCTGGGGCTGAGCAAAGTCATGTGACTAGTGCTGACCAACGAGCTGCACTCAAAAGTGAAGCAGGTGGCTTCCAAGCTGAGCTGTTGATTGCCAGCCCTTCTGAGCTCTCTTTTCCCTCTACCATGGGTACCAGCAATGCTCAGATGCTCCATGAAGAAGCCGTTTGTCACATGTTTTTTCCCGGCCTCAATCATGCAATATAATTTCCTTTTTCATGATGAGGAAACTGAGGCTCAGAGAGACCAAGTGTGTTTCTCAGGTCATGTGGATGATAATAGGTAGAGGCTGGGCTCCAATCCAGTTTTGCTTCAAAGTTTAAAGGAAACTTTAATCTACATCTGTATAAACAATGTAGGCAATTGTAATCACGAGCTTCTGACAATATAGAGCAGAACTCCCAGCCAATCCACAATAAAGACAGAGCATCAGAGAGATATAACTCTCTGCTGTTGGAAACCACTGAGATCTGGGGGTATCTGTTACAGCAGTGTAACTTTCCCTCTCCTGACCATTCTCTGAGGCACGTCCTACTGTTGTCCCCCTTTTGCAGATGAGGAAACCGGGGCACAGTGATATTAAATAACTTGCCCAAGGTCACACAACTAGTAAGCACTGGAGCCAGAATTTGAACCCAGAGAGCTTGGGAGGGAATTAACCTTAATCTTCTTTCAACTTGCTTTTCACCCAGTAGATGATGCTTCCCACTGCCTGGGAGAGACGTGCTGAAGCCTGAGATGACTATGGAGGAAGTAGATTAATTTCTCAGGGCTGCCACAGCAAATCACCACAAACTTGGTGGCTTAAAACAACAAAAATGTATTCTCTCACCATTCTGGAGGCTAAAAGTCCAAAATCAGTGTGTCGTTGGGGCCAGTGCCAACTCTGAAGTCTCCAGAGCACAATCCATTCCTTGTCTTTTTTTAGCTTCTGGGGGCTCCAGGCATTCCTTGGCTCACGGCTACATTACTCCAATCTCTGTTTCCATCATCACATGACCATCTCCTCTTCTCTATGTCTCCTTCTGTGTGTCCTTCTTTTTTTGTGTGTATCTTTTTTTTGTGGGGGGGACATAGTCATGCTCTGTCACCCAGACTGGAGTGCAGTGGCATGCTCACAGCTCACTGAAGCCTGACCTCCCGGGCTCCAGCAATCTTCCCACCTCAGCCTCCTGAGTAGCTGGGACTACAGGCATGCACCAACACGCAAGGCTAATTTTTTTATTTTCTGTAGAGACAGGGTTTCACCATGTTTCCCAGGCTGGTCTCAAACTCCTGGACTCAAGGGATCCACCCGCCTTGGCCTCCCAAAGTGCTGAGATTACAGGCATGAGCCACCACACCCAGCTACCTCTGTGTGTCTTTTATAAGAACACGTTGAATTTAGGACCCACCTGGATAATCCAGGATGATCTCCTCATCTCAAGACCCATTACGTAATTACATTTGCAAAGACTCTATTTCCAAGAAAGGTCACATTCTGAGGTTCTCAGCAAACATGGAATTTCAAAAGATGCTATTCAATCCATTATAGGGGGGACTGTCAGACCTACCGAGGACACTGCCTCTACTGCCTTTCCCATAGCTGAATACACACTTGCAATGGGTTGAATGTTTGTGTCCCCACAAAATTCATGTTGAAATCCTAATCCCCAATGTAAGAATATTAGGAAATGGCATCTTTGGGAGGTAATTAGGTCATGAGATTAAAGCCCTTGTAAATGGAATTAGTGCCCTTAGAAAAAAGACCCCAGAGAACTCTCTCATCCTCTTTCCACCATATGAGAATGCGACAGGCAGTCAGCAGTCTGCAGCTCAGAAGAGAGCCCCTCACCAGAACTCAACCATGCTAGCACCCTGATCTCCAACTTGCAGCTTCCAGAACTATAAGAAATAAATTCATATTATTTATAATCCACCCAATGTATGATACTCTGCTACAGTAGCCCAAAGACAACACTGGAGCCAAGAAAGATTTAAACTCCAAAATAGTTTGAAAAATTGTTTCAAAGCTATACAAAGTTGGAGATCAAAGGTAGCGAGGTGATGAGTGGAAATGGAGGAGAAAGAATCAAGAGTCGAGCCCTCTGCTTGGTTAAGCCACTTCACTCTTTGGTACCACTATAGCAATGAGCATCTCCTCAATGTCATAGGCTTGTCTCCTTCCCACTTAGAGAGGAGAGCTGGGCTCAGCGCATGCTCTCCCAATTTCCCCAGGGAAAGGGAACATGAACTCTTGCCTTCTGACTGGGGAGGATGGAACTGTTTGGTCCTAGAGGTAAAGATAGGAAGCTAGTGGCCTCAAGAACTTGGCCTATAGATGTCTTGTTGGGACAGACTTCCCAATTCTGCAGAGTGGGCTTGACTCTCCACTATCCTCTACAGGGCCAACTCACTCAACTGTCTTTCTTTCCTGGTCCCCCAAAACATCAGTGTTTGAGCATCTCCAGGAAGTGTTAATGTGCCTTAGCACTAAGAGAATTAATTTCTTCCTGAAAATTTTGTCTGTTTTATCTACACTAAAAATTCATAACCCTCCTCTTAACATAACTGATCCCATTTCTTGAGCACTAATAACCTTAGCCTCATTATGCATTTGCCAGTTCCCATCCTCCTTGACAACTCCTAACCCTCCTTCCTGCACTGGGTCATATATAATGCCTCTATCATCAAAGAGCTCTTTGTCCTAAGAGTTTCCCCATAATCACTAGGTTTCTCCACTCAACCCAAGAGGCAAGGTTGAAGAAGAATTTCTGCTATCTCTGAATGCTGGTGACTTTGGTAGCCTCCTGGAATGTAATGATAGCATAGCAAGATGCCTGTTGCAGAGGAAAAAGGACTGTCCCTAAAACCAGACAGTCCTGGGCTCAATCTCGGGTCTGTGTTTGGCTTGCTGAGTAAACTTGCTCAGAAAAGCCCAAAGTCTTGGTGCCTCAGTGCCTTCATGTATAAACAAAGATAGCAATACTCTGCTTGTAAAAGTTAGATGAGATAATGAAAGTAAAATCACCCCTTACTCTGCAAACACTACACAAGTACATGAGATTGCTGCTATTTTTCAATCTGTGCACTCTCAGTTTCCTCTTACCTAATGTAATTCTCCTATCCATGTCCAGAACTGCCAACAACCCTTGGTTTCTTCGGATTGCAACACTGTTCACAAGCCCATTGGAAGGCAGATGTGGACAATCAGAAACAATGACTTGAAGGGGAGGCATCAGTATCATTCCCATTGTAACACCTGGTATTATTTCAGAAGTACTTCCTTCCTGCCCATCCTCCCCCTACAACTACTTTCATGTTCCCTTCACAGGGATATTATAACATGATCCCTAACTTGGCTGCTTATGTCAAAGACAGTCATCTCCATAGTCTGTAATTCTTGAATACTGCAAAATCTCCATCACCAAATAGCCCTTTAAATCGGGAAATGAATTAAGCACATCACCAACAGACGTCACCAAATAAGGGGCATGAAATACAGGAATCCACAATAGACACTTCCTGTCATACATTCCTTCATCTATTTTACTGAAACATGGAGTGATACTAATTACAAATAATAATGAGCATTCATTAATATCTCCAGTATGCCATTATGCCTTTTAACTTCTGTGTATCAGTCAGGGTTCTCTACAGAAACAAAACCAAAGGTATAGATGAAGATAGATTAGATACAGATAGAGAGAAATAGATAGATAGATATAAGATAGATAGATAGATAGATAGATAGATAGATAGATAGATAGATAGATAGCTATTGCTGCTATTTTTCAATCTGTGCACTCCTGGTTTCCTCTTACCTAAAGTAATTCTTCTGTCCATGTCCAGAACTGGCAAAAACCCTTGGTTTCTTTGGTTTGCAACATTGTTCACAGTTGTATCAATTAGATAGATGATAGACAGACAGACAGACAGACAGACAGACAGATAGATTTAAGGAAGTGGTTCATATGATTGTGGGGCTGGCAAGTTTGAAATTTGTAGGGCAGGCCAGCAGGCTAGAATATCAGGCAGGATTGCCATGTCAGTCTTGAGGCAGAACTCCTTATTTCCCAGGAAATCTTAGTTTTGCCTTCAAGGCCTTCAACTGAGCGGATCAAGGCCACAGATATTATCAAGGCTAATCTGCTTTACTTGAAGTCAAACCATTGTAGATATTAATCCTCTCTATAAAATACCTTCCCAGCAACATCTAGACTGATGTTTGACCAAACAACTGGGCACCCATTGCCTAGCCAAGCTGACATATAAAATTGATGATCAAATCCTGTGATGAAGGCTTTTTTATAGGCCCCTTTTATAGGGGGAACTGAAGCCCCTTGACTTTAGATAATGTATCCCAGGGGAGATGAAATATACTCCCTAATGAAGGGCAGCAAAGACCTTCTCTCTCCACTGCACCACACTATGCTCTGGAGAGACAATTCCAGAGTTAATAGAAAAATAGAAAAAATAAGAAAAACACAAAAAATGGTCCTAGGAAAAGGCTGTCAGGAAATAGGCAGGAAAGATAACTAATAATAAGGATTCACATTACTCCATGATTCCCTATTTTCCAAATAATAAGAATTCCATTATTTCCTAAATGGGATATTATTGGTGAAAAAAAGATTTGACTGATTGTGTTGTGATGCTGTGTTCTTTAGAGTCTTGCTTCCTAAAATTTAATCCCAGCATTGGTATCACCTTGGAACGTCTTAGAAACGTGGACTCTCAGGCTCCATCCCAGACCCGCTAAATCAGAATGAGTCATCATTATAGCCAGAGCTGCAGGTAGATTCATTTTCTTTTCTGAGTAACAAATGGCCATAAACATAGTGACTGAAAACAACACCCGTTTATTAGCTCAAAGTTCTCTAGGTCAGAAGTGGGAGTAGAGTGTGGGACAGGGTTGGCTGGATTCTCTACTCAGAGTTTTAACGTGCCTGAAATTAGGGAGTTGGCAGGGCTGGGCTCTTATCTGAAGGCACCAAGGAAGAATCTGCTTCAAACTCATTGAGGTTGTTGGCAGAATTCCTTTTCTTTACAACTGTAGGACTGAGATCCATGCTTCCTCACAGGCTGTGAGCTGTCACTCTTGGCTCCTAGAGGCTGCCTGCACTCCTTCTCATGTGGTCTCCTCCAGGTTCCAAACAGCAACACGTACTGAGTATGTCTGCTTCAAATTTTCTCATACTTCAAATCTCTGTGAAATCCTATGTTGCGATCAGTGGGAGGAGGCTTTCTGCCTTTTAGGGCACATGGGATCAGATCGGGCCCACCCCAGATCTTAAGGTCAACTGTATCATATAATGAAACTTCATCAGTGGAGTGATATTTCATCACATTCACACATTTTCAGGATTACAGTGGGACATCTTTGAGAGACCAGGAGCTCATCTTTGAATTCTGCCTATCACACCAGTGAGTTCCATGTACAATATTAGAGCTTGAAAATCACTATTTTATAACATTTAGAATTATGGATTCATCCACATGCTTCATTCTAAAAATGTATGTCACAGGAGATTCTCACAATGTGGCTAACAAATATAGCTCATTTGAGATTGTGCTTGCACATGCATTATCTCATTTCATTCTCCAAACAGCATGGGTATGAAGAAGACACTTCCCTTCTCAGGGAGCCTCAGTGTCCTGCTGCAGACTTGCTATGTTACCTAAGGCAGGTAACTCAGCCTCCTCAGTTACCTGCCCTTTGTGCACAGAACAGCTAGTGTTCGAACCCAAACTCCCACTTAAAAGTCAACCATGCTTTCTCCTTCTCTCCTTCCTCCAAATAACATCCCCGTACACTTACCCCAATACATATGCTGGTGTTAGTAGATTATTATAAAAGCAACTCTGGTATTAAGCACATTTTTACCGAAGCACAAAAGACTGATAGATTGACTCATTAATTGGTTCAGCAATTATACAGTGAGTGACTGGCTGCTATGTGACAGGCTTGTTCATTTGTGACCAGGACCAACTCAAATCCTTATCTTCACCGGAGTGGCATGCCAGCAGCTAGACAACAGCTGAGCATTCCAGGACTAATGGCATAGGATGACTATGAGGGGTTCAAACCTGGTCTAGGAGGCTCAGGAAACCCTACCATTGTGGTTTGCAATTTATGAGAGTTAATCCAAAGAGAGAGCATTTAAGTAGCATTTTTGAGGATATATTTTTGGATTGGTGTCTTTTCTCTAAAATGCCTCAAACCACACCACACCCTGAGTGTAATGTAGGCATATTTGAAGGCAGGAAACATGGTCTCTAGACCTGGCATCAGCAGCTGTCATTGGGAACATCATGTCCTAGCTCTGAGCCTCTGCTTTTGAAAAACGATGTTTGGAGAAAAATAACTCTGTGGTCTGTCTGTTAAAGGACACTGCTCTAGAGATAGTGGTGAGATGTAAGGAGGAGCTCATAGAACGAGAGGGCCAAACACCTGGAAACCATCTCTTAGAAACCACCCCAGCCCTGGTGACCCCAGGCTCTGCTGTCAGTCCACTGAGCTGGGTGGACAGCTGGATCTAGTCACTAAGCAAAACCCAGAAAAGCTGGTGGCAACAGAGTGGGCCAAAAAGAGGTGCCCTGGAAGAACTCTACTGCGGACAACTTTCTGCACAGTGCTTCCTCATGCCTGAAGCAAACAACTGGGTTCAGTAATGTCATGGATCCCTTCCAGCTATGGGACTAGATTCTTGTTGAAAACACCAAACGATATCCCTCAGCATCCACCATCAGCCACTTTCTCTTTTGACGTTTTAACAGTTCAGATGGAAAACGGTTGGGAACTCAGTTTCTGATGCCTAGTGAGTCATGTCATCAAGTTAAGTGATACCATCTGCATACTTTGTTTCATCTGGAAGGCTTTTAAAGTATTTTTTAAGGAGTTGAAACAGCTGGCCACCAGATGCCAGTCTCCACTTCTTAAGTTGTGTTGGTGGCTTATAGTTGGGATAACCTGACCAATCCTTACTCAAGTTGGTGCCTAGTTACCTCTAGGCTGGACTTTTGTTGTTATGTGGCATTTAAATCCAGGACAATGGAAGGTTTAATGAAAAGAAGGTAAAGATGAGCAAGAAGTATTGTCCTAAGGATAGAGTGGCTGTAGCCAATAAAAGTTTTCGAATTTTAGTTTAGAACCTTGTGCCTAGATAAGTAAATAAATTAAAATAAATATATAAAAATAAGACCAGTTTGTAGGTAATAATTCAAAACAACTACCAAATCGCAGTACATTTCAATATTTTCCAACATTTATCAGACATATATCTGTGATACGATAATATGAGGACGACTCACAGCATGTCTGAAGATCAATAAATCATCATAATTTTTGCCAAATACTATAGCATTTGCTTTTCTGAACAGAACATGCAAGCTGAAGGGAAGAGTCAGAATTCTCAAGATAATTGAGGAAATTATTTGCAGGGTTTTTTTTTTTTTGTCTAAATCAATTTTGTAATAAAATGCAACTGTTTTATATGTACAGTTCAGTGAGTTGTGACCACTGTCTACCATTGTAACCAACACCACAATCAAGACATAGGAAATTCCCATCACCCTCTAACGCTTTGCTGGAGCCCCTTTGCTTTCAGTCCTACTCCTATCCCCAGTCCAGGCAACCAGTGATCGGCTTTGTCACTATTGATTGGTTTTGCCTGTTCTAGAATTTCATGAAATCACACAGTATCTTCTCTTTTGTATCTGGTTTCTTTGGCTCAGCATAGTGTTTATGAGATTTGTCCATGTTACATATATCAGATAGGATTTACACAATTTATTTATGTATTCACCTATTGATGGACATTTGGATTGTTTCCAGTTTTATTGCTGATATGGTTTGACTGTGTTCCCACTCAAATCTCACCTTGACTTGTAATAATCCCACCGTGTCAAGGGCAGGACCAGGTGAACATAATTGAATCATGGGGGTAGTTTCCCCCATACTGTTCTCACGGCAGTGAGTAATTCTCACAGATCTGATAGTTTTACAAATGAGGCTCTCCTGCACAAGCTCTCTTTGCCTGTTGCCATGTGAGATGCGACTTTGCTCCTCATTCACCTTCCGCCATGATTGCAAGGCTTCCCCAGCCATGTGGAACTGTGAGTTAATTAAACCTCTTTCCTTTACAAATTACCCAGTCTCAGATATGTCTTTATTAGCAGCATGAGAACAGACTAATACAATTGCTGAGTAGTGTCTTATCATTTGGATGTAATATAGATATATCACAAATTGTTCATTTATTCACTTATAGATGGATATTGTATTTCCATTTTTTTGCTATCATAAACTAGGCTGCTATGAATATTTTTTATTAACTTCTTTTTGGCTTACATCTGTAATCTGAACACTTTGGGAGGCCAAGGTGGGAGGATTACCTGAGCTCACAAATTTGAGATTAGCCTGGGCAACAAAGTGAGACCCTGTCTCTACCAAAAAAAAAAAAAATTGTTTAAATTAGCCTCTACAAAAAAAAAATGTTTAAATTAGCCAGGTGTAGTGGCATGCCCCTGTGGTCCCAACTACATAGGAGGCTGAAGCAGGAGGATCGCTTGGGCCCAGGAGGTCGAGCCTGCAGTGAGCCATGTTCGTACCACTGCACGGGTGGTTCGTACCACTGCACAGCCTGGGTGACACAGTGAGACCCTGTCTAAAAAAAATAAAAATAAAAACAAACAAACAAAAAACTATTGTAGACATATTCTTTCATTTATCTTGGGTAAATAACCTAAGAATGGAATTGCTAGGTTTCATGATAAGGGCATATTTAAGTTTTTATGAAAGTGCCAAACAGTGGTTGTCCCATTTTATATTCTCATCAGCACTGCACCAGAGTTCTAGTTGCTCCATATACTTGTCAGCTTTTGGCACTGTTAATCTTACATTTTAGCCTTGATAGTAGGTATGTAGTGTTGCATTACTATATTTTAAACTTGCATTTCCCTAATGAGATGGACATTTACAATATGTTTTAAGGTCAGAAGAAATGACAACTGGACTCAGGAGCAAAGAAGGAAGGTTAATGGGTTGAGTTACCATATATTCTGGTGTGTCAAAGACAGTCTTGGTTTACACTTAGTATTCTGGTGTAATACTGCATTAGTCAGCTCAGGCTGCCATAACACAACACCATAGTCTAGGTGGCTTAAACAACAGAAATTTATTTCTCTTGGCTCTGGAATTGGCCAAGTTCAAGATCAAGGTGCCAGCAAATTCAGTTCCCCAATAAAAGTTTTCCTTCTTGTTTGGAGACAGCTGCCTCCTCTCTGTGTCCTCACATATTAGAAAGTGAAGAAGCAAGCTCTCTCATGTTTCTTCTTATGAGGACAATCATCCCATCATGAGGGCCACCCTCATGACCTCATCCAAACTTAATTACCTTACAAAGGTCCCACCTCCAAATACCATCACATTGGAAGATAGGGCTTCAACATGTGAATTTGGAGGACACAGCTCAGCTCATAGCCTTGTAATGGCAAGGCTTTGAATTAAGTTTTGCTGTTCAATGTGTGATGTAATCCATCTCTTCCCAAAGCCTTTAGTAAATCTACATCTCTCATCAACTTTTAAGTTCGGATTTGTGTTTATAAATCTGATCCCAAGAGCAGCTTGCCCAACAAGACCCCTTCATATTCATGCTACAATTATTGTAGGTTTCAATTATATTAAAAAGTATGCCCTACTATTAAGAATGATATAATGAACTTTGTGGACTAAGAGGAGGAAGGTTGGGAGTGGGTGAAGGATAAAAGACTACAAACTGGATACAGTGTACACTGCTTGGGTGACGATGCACTAAAATCTCAGAAATCACCACTAAAGAACTTATCCATGTAACCAAAAACTACATGTACCCCAAAAATCATTGAAATAAAAAGTATGCACTACTCTATGCTTCATACTATTGAACCATTAGCTTTCTTCTAGATACAGTCTGGTATTTTGGTTTGAAGAATGAAGCTTACAGCATAAATTGTGATGCAAATTTCAAAAAACAATATTATCAATGAAAACATATAATATCAAGTTTGAGCTAATTTGAAAATAAATTTGAACATTTATCCTCTCATAGATTTCTATAACATTTTCTTTTGACCCTTTGTGAATTGAAAGAATCATACTCCATAATCAGGTATGAGTTTATTCATGAAAGCAAAATAAAAGTTGAGCCAAGGATTCTGTCCATTCCTGAGACCAAATCCAAGTGAACATGTTTTTTTTTTTTTAACTTTATTCCCATTCTTCTTTCATTCTGGCAATAATCTATCATCAGAATGTAATCATTTCAATTTAATATTATCTCTTCCTCATTAGGGTTCACAAGATAATGCCCATCCCCAAGCATTGTATCTGATAGCACTTAATGATTGTTTGAAAATGGGTGAAAGCATGCATGCGCACCTGAAATTTACTTCCTAAGTCTGACCACCTTTTCACTATATAACCTTTCAAATGGTTTCAGTCTTGTGTGGCTTCCTTTGGCATTTTTTAAAATGTGTAGATAAACACAGGATATTATGTGAAGCACCATGGATAATAGAAAGTTACAAAAGTTCAAGACATAATCCCAGCTCTTGAAAAACTTAGACTTTAGTATAGGAAAATGAAAACCACACGCACACACACAAAGGCACATACATGAAGAGTATGACATGGAGCAGAAAGTGGTAAGTACCCTG
This sequence comes from Homo sapiens, assembly GCF_000001405.40. Taxonomy (NCBI): domain Eukaryota; kingdom Metazoa; phylum Chordata; class Mammalia; order Primates; family Hominidae; genus Homo; species Homo sapiens. The sequence continues at coordinate 15,332,008 of NC_000004.12, forward strand.
TGAGTGAGATAAACTACTACAGCTTGACAGCATTGAGATTCCTTGTAAACAGAGCTTTACTCTGCCAAGAGAACTATGCATGCAAGAATTAATAGCCAAGTGAGGGATAAAGTCATGCTTTTATTAACAGCTGAACCAGTGCCCATTAATACCACCCTCTGGTCGGGGAGAAGAAAAACTGATCTCTGGGAGTGGTGTTGAAAAGCACAAGGCTTATGCTTCGAAGTTGAAACAAACCTTGCTACTCTCAGCTTCTAACCCCTTAATCTGCAAAGCCAGTGCTAAATCCAGGTTTTTTTTTTACTCAACTATACAGACCCAAGATCTAAAACACACTAAAATAATGGTGGATTCACTCTGTAGGGAGATGACTTGCCTGTAACTACACGAAAACAGAAAACTGAAAATCATCCACCTCACCTGAGGACAGGAAAAAAAATATGTACACAAGAGGATTGCCCACCCTAAGAAGATAGATAATTCCTTGTTCTACCACAGAATAGGAGGAGAATTCAGCCAAAGAAGCCGTAAACATTCAACGTTGCGTCCCCACAAATAGTGAATCATGGCCAGTGAATTACATTCTTGGACCAAGCAGATGATAATGCCTTTTCTGTTAGAGGGAAACTAGACAAGGGAAAGAAGATTATGGAAAGGGAAGGCAAGTATCATTACATGAATGTGCTTTGCACAATATTTGTACCATAATGTGCTCCTCAAGTTAGCATTCTTTGAACCAAGTGTTTTGTTGTAAAACATAGAATATTTTACCCCTTAGTAGAAGACCAAATGCACCAATGGTACCAGTATTTTCCACCTTCGTGTATCCATGTCATTTGGTGGACTCTTTCAGTGACTCTCTGGTCTTGAGCATGACACTTGTGTTAGCCAATGGGTCAATAGCAAACTTGATGCAAACAAAGACTTGAAAAAGTACTTGAATATTTCCAGCTTTTCCCTTGGGCTCTCTCAACTGCCTGAGAACATGTCCAGACTATCCTGCTGGAGGATGAGACACACGGAGCAGAGCCAGTTACCCAGCCAAAGCCATCCTAGACCATCCAACAGCCAGAAGACCACTAGACATGTGATAGTCAGCCTCAGCCAAGACCATAACTGCCCAGCCAAGCACATCCAAGATCAGCAAAACTCCCCAGGCAACCCACAGATTTATGAGGAATAATAAATGGTTACTGTTTCAAGTCACTAAGTTTGGGGGGTTTTTTAATATGGAAATAGTTAATTGACATGCCCCTCTTGGAGATTCCCATATATAACTATGATCTTCCAAACTTCTTTTACCATGGAACATTTTAAGAGTATAATTCCACAGACAATACTCTAGGGAAACACTAGATTTTTAAAAAATGTAATAATAGAAGTGCTACAGGGTGCCAATTTTAGAGATATAACAAAGAAAAGACAATGTGGATTTGATGACTGAATGTTTTGGGGAAGAACAGGAAGTAAAACCAATAACATGTGTTTAAAATCCTGAACACTTGAGAAGACTGTGGTATTAATGACAGAATTAGGCAACTAAGGAAGAGTGGGTTTAAGGGGAAAAAGTTGTGATACAGTTTGAGATATTAAACCTGAAGGAAATGCACTACCTCCAGGAAGTGAGATCCTGCAAGCATTAGAAAAGCACAAATGATGCCGAAGGAGAGGTTGCATTGTCCTGTAGATTCTAAATGGTGAACACCTGACCCATGAAAGGAGCCCATGCACAGGATGAGAGTCAAGGGCTAATTAAGGAGTCTCAGATAGGTGTAATATAGGTGGCCACAATATGCAGAGGCCAACAGTGGGAAAATGACTTCTCAAGGCCAATAGCAGAGTTGAGTCTCTAACTCAGACTTTTGATTTCTTCGTCACCTTACCACACTGCTCATGAGTCATTTAGCCACTAATTAGATATTGGCTCACTGGAGGGCATCCAACCAAGATGGTAACCTAATTGGAATCATATTGCATGAAGAACACTTAAAATCATTGAACTTGAAGAAAGGGAGGTAAAGTTGTTGGGTGGGGGGAAGGCTGAAAATTACCTTTGGATATCTGAAAGGCTCTTGCATGTGGAAAACAGAGCAGAAATAGTCACTGTTGCTCAGAGAATTATTCTAATGCCATGTGAAGCCATGGCCCCCTTCCCTAGGAGCAGTCCAGCAAAAGTGGTGTGGCCATCTGCCAAGGACGTGCAGATGGATCAGAAATAGAGTGAGAGAGTGAGTTAAAACACTCTCAAGTCTTATTCCAAATCTCTGATCCTGCAGTCTACAAACAGATCTTTTCTAGTCTCCTTTTCTAGTTTTGACTATCTGCAATAAGTTGACCTGCTACCCTAAATCACCAAGGAAGTAAAAAGAAGCCTTCAGATTTGCTCACCATGACCGAAACCAATGAAAAGTGACTCAGAGACTGCAAACTTAAAGACATGACTTCTGTGTCTCCAGTACTCCACAGTGACAAGCACATGGTGGGCATCTGTGTGCCATCTGACAATTGGGAAGAAACTCAGCACCTCCTGAGTGGCTTCCCTTTGAAGTTGGGTTAGATCATTTTCTACCACTCTGAATAAAAGCATTTCAGTTGAGTTCCAATCTCTAAACATTAGTAATGTATACCAAGGGGAACATGGGGTTTTCAAGCAAGTCTCATTTTTCCTTGACCTCTTCCTCAGTGTCTTCACATGTTTGATAGAACTCAGCAAAGACTGTATTATAAAATCCAGATGAAGCTACCTGGGTTTCAGGATATAATTTGAAACTTGGATGCTGCATGCAAGCAAAGGAGTATAAATAAAGTTAACATACAAAGCCTAATATATGAAAAACATGAAAAATGCTCAAGGCTTATAATTGCATTCAGATAGGAAAGTGTTTGCTGCCTCTAGTAGTTTAGAACATCTTTCAGAAGTAATCTGTACTCATCTCAAATACCCATCTTAGCAATGAATACCTAGGAAAATACATGGTTTAAGCATATTTTCTTCATTTGACATGAATATGTTTTCACCAACACTTGAGAGCTTGGATTGCTGGAAACAAACAGCCTAGGTTCAAATCCCAGATTTGTTTCTTACCTTCTGTGTGACATTGAGCTGGTCACTTAACCTCTGCATTTCACAGTCTCCATTGGTAAAATAAGGATAATGTTGGTATCTACTTCATAGGCTTGTTGGCAGCATACGATGAGTTTGTACATTTATAGAGCACTAAAATACTGCCTAATACATAGTTAACGCTCAATGAATGTTTGCAATTATTGTTACTGTTGCTTTGAAATCATAGAAGGAAAAAAGGGTCTGACCCATTTTTAAAAGGTCTGTGGAATGAAGGAAGCTGCATTTCTAGTGGAAATGCTCCAAATACCTGAGGAGGAAACAAAGTGTATGAACTAGGACTTTCTGTACCTCTCTCTGTTCAGAGCAGTTCAAAGCCAGTAGGAAAAGCATGTGGCCTCAGTGAATGGCAGTTTGTAGGAAAATTAGCTCTTGGTCAGCATTAATAAGACATTTACTCTATTTCCACTGAGAAGCAGCCTGGAACAGTCAATGTCAGAACACACAGTAAAGCAAACATTTAGGCAAGTGGAGTTTATAGCAGTAAATGCTACGGAGAGTATTTAACTTGTATTAATAACTTGGAGTTTATAAATTCCTTTACGCTCTGCTTTGAAGGTTGTTCATGAAAATCTAATAGTAAGTCATTGGATAATTTTCTTAATAAATGCATACATTTTTAAAAGATGGAGAGTAAATTTTGTTTTCAACATCTATTTCTCTCACTAATCTTTCCATGATTTTCAATTTACTTAGCCTATTAGCACACAATTTATAAAGCTCAAATTTGTACAAGTACTCACAACTGGCATTTAGCTGGATTGTCTTTGCAAGGGCAAGAAAGTAGGGATTTACAGTTAACATAAAAATAGCTATCAAAGGGCAAACAGTTTCAGTTATATATGATGAATAAATCCCAGATATTTATCATACAGCATAGTATCTATAGTTAACAATACTTATTGTATGCTTAAACATTTGCTAAGAGAAAAGAAATTATATGAAGTGTTCTTATGACAAAATAACAATAATAATAAATAAGGAGGGAGAAAAAAATTTTGGGGGGAGATGAATATATAGGTGGCATTGATTGTGGTTTCACTGATGTATATTTATCTCCAAACTCATCAAGTTGTACACATTAAATACGTATAGCATATTGTATACCATTATACCTCAATATGGTATTCTATAAAACAGCTCTCATTTGTTGAGCATTTACTATTGGGTTGGAAACTTTTCTCCATTCTTTAAATATAATATTTTACTTAATGGTCCAAGAAGCTTTCAAAGTGCTTGTATTAGAGCAACTGACACTAGCTAACTATGACAAATATATCCCAAAACTCGATGGAGAGACACAATGTAAGTGTGTATACTATTCAGGAAGATTCGATGCAGGCTAAGCAACTCTCCTAGGCAGCAGACCACTGAGGGATCCCCCAGGGTTCAGCCTTCCTTCTATTACTGGGCTCCACCTCCTCTGAGTCATTTGCTTCCTGCCACATGGAGAGAAGGAGAAAGAATGTGGAGTAGGCACATCAGCTCTTGATTACCTCAGCCCAGAAGTACCCACCCCATGACTTCTGCTCACGTCCCATTGACCAAAAATCAATCATACAGTCAACCACACTGCAAAGGAGGCTGGGAAATGTAGAAGAATACACAAGCATCAGTAAGCACCAAAAGTATCTGCCATAGTTTACTCCCTGGTTACCAAGAATCAATGTCCTCTCCTCTTTCCAAACAACAGAACATCCCTACTGCCCCTGCCACTGCCCCCACTCCAACCCCTGAGAGTAAGCAACCTCTAATCCCACCGCTCACTGCATTCAGCACCTCCAAGGTAATCTGGACTTCTGGGGCATGTGGAGTTCGCTGCGTAACTCTGGGTGTGGCTGTCTCTTGATCCAGTGACCTATGAACTAGAAAGGAAGTGATCTATGAATGAAACGTACAAGTTCTCTCTCTCTCACACACACACACACACACACACACACACACACGTACACACTGTGTTAGTCTGTTTTCATGCTGCTGATAAAGACATACCCAAGGCTGGGTGATTTATAAGGAAAAAGAGGTTTAATGGATCCAAGGTTCCACGTGACTGGGGAGGCCTCACAATCATGGTGGAAGGCAAAAGGCATGTCTTACATGGCAGCAGGCAAGAGAGAATGAGAATCAAGTGAAAGAGAGAAAAAAAAGAAGGAAAAAAAACAGAAACGAAAATAAAAAGAGAATCAAGAAAAAGGGATTTCCCCTTACAAAACCATCAGACCTCATGAGATTTATTCACTACCATGAGAACAGCATGGGAGAACAACCCCCATGATTCAATTATCTCCCACCTGGTCCCTTCCACAACATGTGGAAATTATGGGAACTACAATTCAAGATAAGATTTGGGTGGGAACACAGCCAAACCATATCTCATACACACACACACACACACACACACAAACACACAATGTAATAGCAATAAGAGAACCATAATATAAAATCCAATTTGGAAAAGGGAAGAATGGGAAACAGAGCAGCCACTGATGCCCAGGCTGGCCAGGCCAACATAGTAAAGGCTCACTACCTTGTAGGTGGAGTTGGTTCTTGGCTGTGGTTCTGCTCTCCAGGGAATATTACTTTGTCCACCAAAGGAGTATTTCTCTGTGGCCACCAGTTCTTCCTTCTGAGAGGCTCCCCTTGCCCATTCTCCTTGGCCACCTCAGAGGTGGGTTTCGGGGAGCTTTCCCTCCATGCAGGCCTACAGCCAGCCTCCTGCCAGTGGGAGAAGTTGTTCCCAGCCTTGAGAGATATTTGTAGTACAGGATTACAGGTTTTTTGTTTTTAGCAATATACATCCCTCAAAAAATTGGAGGCTACTACAAGCCATCAAATGTAGGTACTCTTTCCCAACTCCCTCTTATTTCTGTTTATAAATTAGCTATTTCTTTCCTGAGCTCATCTCATTCTTGAAACACTTTGCCAAATGCACTCAAAAGTACCCAACACACATAACTAACATTCTCTCCCCATCCTTTTCCCTTAGAGCTACAGAGTTACTTAGCACATATTGCCTTACAAACTGTCATAGGTGTCAGTTTCACCAAATGTTTAGCTACTGCGAAACATGGAACTTCATCTTTCCAGCCTTTGATATCAGTTCCCTTGACACTCACAATGAGGCCAATGCCACTATGTTTAGGTTTGTGTCAGAGCAGCATCCCATGCCCATTATCAGTTTTGAAACGGGTCAGGAAAAGCTAAGCTAGCTGCTATCATGAACATCCCTAAATCTCAGTGACTCCTCAGTAGGTCTTGTTAACTACCTGATGGGCAGCAAAGTGCTTAATTCATATTTGTTGTATACAATTATGTGAATAGATTGCTTTTACTTATTGGCATTTAATATTTCTCAACTGAGGAAACCAAAGCTCAAAGAAAGTAATACATCCAAGGTCACATAACTGGAATGTGGTAAATCCAGGATCTGAGTTCAGGTCTATGACACTACATGTGCTGGTGCCTGCAAATCTCTCCTCAGTGGAAATTAGAGTGAAAATAGACTCCATCTTTTCTCTGCATTCACAGCAATTAAAACCTAAAACTTGAACATTTCCTTGTAGTTTTAAATCCTTTCTTTCTTTGCATAATTAAAATCAGAGGTATTATCCTCTGCCCATTGCATAATAGTTATTTCAGGTGACTCAGAAAACATAGCAGAAAGGAAGCTATAGTTTTTGAAATAATGAATGAGGTTTGTTTCCTGAAACTTGTTTGCATAACTTTGCACAGTGAACATACTTAATAGATTATGCCCATGTCAATATTTCTATTATCTACCAATTGGTCTGTTTATTTAACTGATGTTTTCTATTCATTTAGGAAACTTTAATACATCATAACTATTCATTAATGTATGCCTGGCAAAGGTATGTATTGTCCTATGTTTACTTCTATACAAGCTTTGACATATTAACCATCTCTAATGGGAACATATACGCAAACCAAAATTGTCAAATCTGTTGGTTGGTGTGAACATATGCAATACTTTATTTATTCAGTATTTTTTGAGCACCTATTATCTATCAGGTACTAAGCAAGATCTGTTTTGAGATATACCATCAAATATTTTTCAAATCATCATTTTCAGTTGATCACACTGTAAGTTGGCTATAATTTGAATTCACAAATGCTCCTCTGTGTGTGTGTGTGTGTGTGTGTGTGTGTGTGTGTGTGTGGTTTAGTGGCAGTTGATGGAAAGTAGTAAAAATAATAACATTTGTAACATTGGTTACAGATCAAATGTCAGAAGATTTATTCAGCCACAGACACTGCAAAGTAAGCATCTTCTCTAGTTTATGATTCGTATGTAAGATAAAGTTTAAAATAAGACCAATGCAAACATCATTTTAGGTAGTTCCCCTTTTGTGAAAAAAATTGCATATAATAATTCCGATTTTTCATTCAGATAAATTAGGCACAAATTGCATGGAAATAATTCTGTTAGCAAAAGTGACGTTTAAACATAATTTCACTAGCATCACTTTTCCATAAGTTGGGGCATAAACTTTCCTATGTACTCTTTTTGCTTCCAGTGAAATGATATCATTTGGTCTTTAGGCATCACTTTAAAAGGCAAAGCAACTAGAAGTAACATGGTAAGAAGAGCAATGGATAAAAGAGAGAAAGAGAACTGTTTAGATACCTGAGACTCCTGCTTTTCATTTGCCTCAGTCTGGGGTTTGCAGAAGAACACTACCCACTCCTACTTGTTCTTAACTAGTGTATATATTAAGCTCTTTGAAATGTGAGTATTATGGGAAGGATCGCAGTTGCTTTAAATTATAGAAGTTGGCAAGTCCCTGGGAGAAGGAGTGGGAGGTTGTTTAAACTGAGAAAGACAGTTGCAAAACTTCGTACAACAGCATGAGCTCCAAGCTTCAAACGCATTCTCATGCTCAGACGAGCACTTTATTTTTCATCAAGTTATTTTTTGCATTGTTTTGGAGTAGCTTCGAATAATAAACACATATTTCTGCTTTAAATTTTTAATAGTTAACTACATTCATGGGACAACCAAAGCAAGAAAGCCTCATGTTTTGGGGGAAAGTTTGATATCAGCAATGTCCAGACAAGGTAAGCTACCATTTTCACTGCAGTTTTTCTCTTTTTCCCTCCTATTCGGCCTTCATCAAAATATTTCCTGGGAGAACTTAAGAAAGCTCCTTGTAAAGAAATGGGGGAACTTGTAAAAATATGTCAACAAATGATAAATCAGAGGTTAGAAAACCTCCGCAGGAGAGCGTTCTCCTACTTTCTATTCTGCTTGATTCATGAACCTCTGTAAATATCTTTCACTATATAAAAAATCCCATTTGTTTCAGAAAATGTAAGCGGAGTCTTCAAAATCTCCAATCTGATGAACTTAGCATTTGTCAGTGTGGTGACAGGCTAACTTATTCCCAAGGTCAGCTTATCTATGTTTTCTTATCCCCTTATATGCAACTCAACTTCCGGAGCTGTGATTCTTCTATTAACTTGGAAATGTTTCCCAAGGAAGATTTTAATATCTTTCCAAAAATCCTCCTAAGTGCAGTTACTATGGCTTCTTATTAACTTGTTTTGCAGAATATATTTTTAAAAGTTAAATAAATCATTTGTCTTTTCCCTTGTAATTGACACGGGAGGATGTTACAGATATTATATATCCTGGGAGAAGGAAACAGTTCAACTCAACATTCATTAATTCAAGTCACAGTCGGCTGACAATGTTATCTAAATAGGGTGACTTTGCCTTCTCGATTGTGCCTCATACACAGGTAGGGAGCAGCGAGGATAAGATATTTTCTTGTTTTTCTGTGCATTGGTCACTTGAGAAGTATCTTGTGCATTGAGGTGGAGGGGCATATAAATATGAGATGTGTTGTTCCCTTTTTCCCTGAGAATGTCTCTGTTATCAGTGTTCCCATCTGTCTGAGGCACAATTCCAGGTGCAAAAAACTAGATTGTCACAGAAATCTGCACATTCTTCCAGCAGGCTGAGATTTTATCACAGCTCCACATTCATTCCTTCACGCACACAAGCGTGCTCACAGGCAAAGATTATAAAACCCTGTGGATTTGACAGAGCTTGAGTGGTTTGCGACATTTAGGTGACCTCAGGCTGCAAAACCCACTGGTACAGAAACATTAGCAAGGCGAATTTCTCAGCCATTAGGCCTGGGTGAGCAATTTGAGGGCCGCCTGGGACCCTGCTCTTGGGCTGAGAGGGCTCTGCCTTCTTGCTATACCAGTTCTTTCTCTGTTTCTGGAATATTTTTTCTGTCTGTGTCAAATTCTAGTTACATAAAGTGGACTGTTGTGGCTTCCTCTGCCTCATGGTCTCAACGATAAGAAAGGGATTAAGGTTAAGAAGGACACTTTGCTCATTGCAGAGTGATCAGGAGACACCATTAGTTGCCTCTCTCCACCCATAGTTAATGCAGCGAGTGACCCGCGACTGCCAATTCCTTATCCTTCTCTTTCCCAAATCTTCTTCTATTCTCCCTTTCCCCTCCACTTCTGTCTACACCAGCCTATAGAACATTAAGAAAGGGAGCAGTGGGTCGGACACACAATATTACTGTCTCCTTCCCGGTCCTCTCGGACCATCCCCAGGCTGGTCGGGGAAGCCCCCACCCTATTTGGAGTGGGGTCTCCGGGGCCCCACCCATGACCTCATCGCAGGCAGCTCTAGAGCTGGGATGGCCAGCGTTTGCATGGCGCCTGAGTGCACCCTGGGGACGGGTGCGGCAGAGAAATGCACAGTGTGGCATGACGTGACTGCTGAGAAGCCGGAGCGCGAACTTCCTCACGGGCTCCAATGGAGGCTGGCGGCATCTCTGGAAGTCAGGCCCGCCAGGCCCCACCCCAGGGCCCCAGAGGGCCCCAAAGAGGACAAAAACAAAAAGGCTATTAGGGTTGCTAATGAAGCCCAAGCCAGCTGACTCATCTAAGGCGCAGTCACTGGGGGGCTTTGTAATGAAACCTGGACAGAGCCCTGGAAAGGACAGGTCAGGGTTGTCCCATAAAGGGCGCTGATGAGAGAGGCCCACAGTGACCTAATCGCACCTCCTCGCCTCCGAGAGGCTGGGAGAGAAAGGCAGCGTCTGCAAGGGACAAGAGTGTTAACCAATGAACTGCCGGGAGTGTGGCAGCCATGCTGTATTAGCTTTGGGTGTCAGCCAGGCTTAGTCCACGTTTCGGGCCACAAGTTTGTGAACCTGGACCTGAAATGCCCCAAGGTTAGGGATCAATGGCTGATGGGCTAGAAAAAGAGACCATGGTAATTCAATAAACCTTAACCGAGTGTCCACTCTGTGCCAGATACTTTATCAACGCTCTTTGAACGTGTCCTTGACAAAGACAGACCAAACATTAAAAACAGCATAGGAAAGATGGCAGGAACACAGAGGGGCTTTGCAAATCAGCCTGCTGAAATCAAAGAAAGCGTCCCACAAAGCTGTCCTTGAACTAGACCTTGAAAGATGAGTAAAATATCACGAAAGAGCCAAGAGGGCCAGGGGTCCCCAGGCAGAGGCCGGCAGGCAAAGGCACAGAGGTGCAAAGAGCATGGATGAGCCCATAAGACAAGTAGCTTGGGCCTGGCGGGGCTCTATTCCCCAAAGTGTCTTGCAATGAACAGCACTTTCATGGGTTATTATTATAATAGGAGGATAACCAAAAGTATTTCCTGGTCAGGCAAGTTTTGGAATGTTGAAAACTGTGCACCATGGTAGATCAGCGCTCTGGCTTAGGGGTCACAAACATCTGGCTTCAAATCCCAGCTCTGCTCCTTCAATGATGTATGAACTTCGGCCCATTCAAACAGTTAGTTTCTTTATCTGTTAAATGAAGATAGTAATCACATCTATCTTCTATGGGCATTCTGAGGATTAAATTAGAGAGTCTGTGTAAGGTCTACTATCAAAATGCCTGACATATAATGAGAGCTTAGAGAATGTTAGCTATTCTTATTAGCTATTAAATGCTGATTTCTTTACCTCAGTAAGTGTCACATGTTTTAGTTGGCTAATGTGTGCACCGACTCCCGTGATCGGGTTATTAATTAAAATCTAATGTTTTCCAAACTCATTTGACCATGAAACCACTTTTTCTGAAGTATCACATAGACCAACGCATGCTGGAAAATGGTGAGGTTGAGTTGTCCTGATGAGTTGAGGCCATGTGTCCTTTAAACATTAAATCAATGTTTCCCAAGATTTAATTGAAATGTACTAATCTCCACCAGTCACTTCACAAATTCTCTTCTGTATTTCTATGAAACTGAAGCCCAACAATTGGGATTCTCATCTCTAAGAGAATTGACTTTTTTTTTTTTTAACTATGTTCAACTTTTAGGAGGAAAAGTGTCAGCAAAGCAAATTCTTTTCAGTATTTTCACACTTGGAAAGTCAGCCTTTGCCTAAGTTTGAGGACCTACTGTGGTAAAGGACAATGCAATAGGGACAGTCCAGAAGAAAATATCATCCTAACTTCAATGAGCTACCAATTGAATGGGGAAATAAAATGTGCATTCCAATATCTAAAATGCAAAATTAGATATCGCAATTTAGAATATAAGAGAATTCACAGTGAGTGGGAATTCAAAGAAGACAAGACCACAGGTCCCTGGAGTAATACCAGTAATTAGTCACATTCTTGGACACTTACCAGATACAAAGAATTGTGCCGACTACAATAGAATTAACCCACTTATATCTTACAACCAGGTCACAAGGTGGGTGTAGACTTACCCATTTGGCAGATGAGAAAACTAAGCCCCAGAGAAATTAAGTAACCTGCCTGCAGTCTTTCAGGACCTAAGTGGCAGAGTAAGGTTTCAAACTCAGGTCCATGTGATTCTCTGTATCCCTTACCCAGGGAAGACTCCTCAGAGGAGGTAACATGCAATCTGGCCTTAAAGAATAGATAAGGATTGGTGAGAAGGGCCTTCCAGGCAGAGAGGAGAATATGAGCAAAAACACAGGAGACTGAGAGAACAGCGTGGAAAGTAGCAGGAAGGCTTCCCTGCAGACAAAGTGCATGCATATGGTGCAGAAGGAGATAAGCTTAGAGTACTTGATTGGAATCAGATCACAGAAAGCCTTGAATGCCAAACCACAAAGTTTAGATTTTCTTTAAATGAAGTAATCATTTAGGTTTGTAAACAAGAAAGTAACGTGATGAAAACAATGAATTGGATGAGTAACCAGTGCACAGCTGTGGCAGAGACTAAACTTCCAATTAGGAATCTAGATATGTCCAGGCAAGAGACAGCAGCAGTGGTTGCTCACACAGCTGTTAAGGAGTGGAGGTGCACATTTGACCCAATTAACATCAAGACTTTGACTATCTCAACAGTCTTTCAAAATGACAACCCTCAGGCCTCAGTAAATCCAGATTCTACATGGACCTCAGTTTAACCCCTGTAAAATGGGAAGGGTAGGAGGGGCTAGTTGACCTCTGAGGTCTCTCTGACTTCTCACACTCTATGAAGATAACACTCTAAGCACTTTTATAGAAATCATAAACTATACAGTTCCCTATTCGATCAGCAGGTTCCAAACTTCTCTTTCATATCAAGCAGGCATATTTCCAAAAGAACATCAGGGTCTACAAAATTTTATGCATTTACTGCTATAGCAATTACATAATAATAGTATTGGCACACAATGATTAGGGGAGGGTGCATTTTTATATATTCCTTCGGGAGAAACTTTTTTCCATCCTCCTGGCTATCTGCCTTTTGCAAAATTCAACTGTCTACCTCTCATGACTGAGAACTTTTTCTGCAGTTTGTGACATATGAGGATCTCACAGTGCTGTGAATGGTAGTTATTCATTAGGTGTCTTATGATCTTCTGCAGTTCCCAAATAGGTGGTAAGCTTTTAGAGAGCAGAGATAAATTTATCTTTAGATTTTCCAATGCCTTACAACTATAGCAAGTCTGAATCTTATAAACACGAGTCTGCAAGAAATGTTCTATTTCTTTATTTTCTTGAAATCAACATAAATCTGATTCCAAGAGTCTATGCCAGCAGGAACTTTAGTTTCTTACATTATTTAGGCTCCTACCTCCACCACCTTTAACACTAAGGTCAGGCAAAAATCCTGGGAGGCATTTCTTCACACCAATTATGCCCAGTCTTGTCTTGTAAATGACCTCTCCCTTTGGAATCCGTGTATTCTGCTTTCAAGCCCTGCTTGGGGACTAGAAGTCACTGTCAAGGCCAAGAACCTGGTGTCTGAGCAGGACCAGGCAGCCCTCCCTTCTGAGGTCTAGCCAGGCAGGGTGACGATTTCTACTTCTCACAGATGCACCGACCCCCAGTCTTTCCAGGTGTGAGAAAATCTCCCATCAAGGATGTCTCATTCCCCTCTCCCCAGCATATACTCTTGGGCTTGGAATTTCTGAAAAGAAAGCAAGTGTTGTTTTCAATAAAACTCTTCCTGTTCTGCAAAATCCTTGAAGCAAGGAAATACAGAAGGCTGGGCAACACTCGTGAAATGATAAGGCAGAGGTGAAAAACAACACATAAATTAATATTTAAATAAGGTGTTCCGTCACTCAGCAAACAGGTGTTCAATAATCATCAGCAAAATAGGTGGCCAACAGATGATAAAACAGCTTCTTCAAAGTTACTCAGTTTGCCAGCGGAGGAGGCATATATTACAATCAGATTAATAGTGTCTTTTTGTTAAGTGCCTACTGTGTGCCATGACTTTATATATACTGTCTCTTTGTCCCTATTGTTTAGATGAGGAGAGGTAAGTAGCTCACCTAACGTCCCATATATACTAAGAGATGGAGCAGATGTTTAAACTTATATAATGCCTGCCTTTAAAACCTGCACCCTTTCCACACTGTCACAGGGACTCTCAGAAAGGATTTTTCTATTTTCTGTTGCTAAATGCAATCTGGAGTTCTACTTTTGACTAATCCTTCAGTCATTATTTCCAACTAAAGTGTATTTTAAATAGAGAATTTCTTAATGAAATTTATTTTGCCATAAACATAGTATGGCTTTGTTAGATATAGTAACGAACCCAAAGAATGGTTTATTACCCCATCTCACTGCTCATCTGCAAGGTTGTGGGGTGAGAAATAAAGCACTTTGCCTAGGGTCAGAGGGTTAGAAGACAGCTCAAACTTCAATACATGTTTGTCTGTCTTCTGTCTCCAAGTAGAGGAGAGAAAATTGGTTCTAATTAATGAATTATTAATTGGTTCTAATTAATTAAGACGAATTATAGATTAGTATTAAATATTGGCAGTTTTAGGGCCTTCATGTGCTACCAATGATATAAAGTCATGGCTAATGTAGTTGCCTCAAAACACATCCTACCATATATACTATGACAGTATTTTGAGAGCTGTCATGAAAACATTCCTTGGTGGCCTTTCCAACAGCTAACATGCCCCAAACAGCTTACTCTCTTAAATTGGTAATTTTTTCCATTTTCTTTCTTGCACCATTAATTTATGTAGAAAGACTTTTTATGAAGTCATTTCAATCCCATTCCACTCTAAAAATCTAATTTGACCACAGTGGAATCTTATTAAGGGATTCTTTGAATGTATCAGAATTACCAACCCATTTCATCACAGGTGTATCTATCAATTTCCCAGATCATTATTAGCATTCCCTCCTTTCCTTCATAATAAAGACCATATTCTTCAACATGGCCCCAGGGGCCTTTGAAGGATCTGCTTCTTGACTGCCTTCCTTGTCCATCTCTGTTCCTACCACTCTCCTCCATATTCCCAATACCAACACGCAGTGAACTCTTCACTGTTTCTTGGGCATCCTTCTTCCTTATGCAACAGGGGTCTAAGGAATCTGAGTCCATTCTCTTGACTTTATGTGAATGATGTTGAACCACATAAACTTTCTAACTTTCAACCACTTTATTACCTACAAAAAAAATGGCAACTTTATATGATCCCAATATAATCTAGAGATGTAAAGAAAGACTCTCATTTCTTGAAGACAATTTATGTGCCAGGCTCTTAAATATAATAAAAATGTGTTCATTGTCCTCCTGTTTGTCCTTGGGGCTGAGATGGAATGGTGCCCAAATAGACTTTTAGAATTTATCCAAGCTATCAATCTCACCTTCAGCTTAAATGCCAGCAGCAGCAAAACACTCATACTTCATAAGGCCGCTCCTTCCATTAATATACCACTGGTCACCAGAATCTCACCCTTCTTAATGTCTCGCATTCTCATCTTTGCTCTGCTTTTAGAAGTAGCAAGAAAAAGTTATCTTTCCTCTGGCATTTTAAATGCTTGAAGACTCATCATCTGCCTTCCTGGCCTTCTCTCAGGGTCTTCCTGTGCTTATAGGGAGGACTTTCCCCAGATGCCCTGTGGTTCACCTAGGATATGCATGCCCTCTTGAAACAGGTATCCAGACTTGCTCACCAAATTTCAGATGATTTTCACAACTTGTGCCAACTCCATATGTATGTTCTGGGATGGATAGTGGCTGCCTGAAGCCCTGTACTGAGAAAGAATCTGAACCCTATCTGGAATTAGCAAGAAGGTGTACAGAGTTCACTTAGTGATATCTAAAGGAGAATCAGATATTTTCCAGGGCCACTCTACCCTGGATATTGCCTGACAGCCCAGAGTACATGGAACTATTACCCTCTCTGATTTAAAGACACTATTTTCCTTAATGCTAAATTTGCATCAGCTTTGCTAGTAAGCCCATCTCATAAAAAGACCAAGTAAAACATTGAGATCATTTCTTAAACTTGCAGTAAGGCCTGTTTTAGTTCATAGTTAACTAAAAAGTGCCAGTTCCAGCCCTAGCCCTTCCCGGTTGTGTGATCATGGTTAAGTTACTCTAGTTCTCTGAGCTCTGTTTGCTCATCATTGATAATGGTAATAATATATATCTGCTCCACTGGACTCACTGGAAGTATTAAATGAGATATATTTGCAAGCTAGAAGATAGTTACTTTAGGAGCCCGATGTATTTGGTGGGCCAGCTAATCTTTCTCTTTGCCTCTTTGCTATGGGGGATTTCCTCTCCCTGGACAAATTGATATCCAGTGGGGGATTAAAAAGAAAAGTACAAGCAAAAGGAATAAAAACACACTAAGTACTTAGTGAATGGAGTTGCATGTGGGTGTAAACATGTCAAAGGAGACAATTTCAGTGGAGATGAAAGTATTTCCACAATGCTGTCAAAGCAGAGTGACAAGCAAAGTCCAAACTGCCTCTCCCTGGCTTGCTTTGATTATTCAAGGCCTGGGATGTTCGGTTTGGAATGATTTGTACTTGCCATTTGCTCACACAATTCTACATTGCTGCCTTCATGCCTTTGCTAACATTCCTCAGAGATATGTTATCAGCAAGACATTAGTGTAGCTCCAGGCAATACACTAAGTCAGGGGCTGTCATCTAAACCATCTGCAGGACCAAGCAGGAAATGCCCATCAGTAAATAGGCAGGGCAGAGACCCCAGAGACTTAGGTTGCATGCCTTACCTAAAGTGGGCAGTCACTGCAATGCATGGTGTTCACGGGGCAATATGGCCCACTGGTGCCAGGTCTTCAGATTTTTCAAGAAAACTCATACATCTGGACATTTTTATGTGAAATGTTTCTATTTTTTAAATCCTTGCTGTTTTTGACCTATAGAAATGGCAATGTCATATAGTTCAACCTAATATAATCTAGAGACATAAAAGGAATTCCCATTTTCTTGCTGTGTGGGAAACCTCAAGAGTCTTTGTCATTCAACACCTAAGTCCTAAATCAACATGAACAGGCATGCACAGTGCTCTACAGTAAAACTAGACAGCAGAGCACACTCACTACACAGAAAGCACAGTTGCAGGTAAACCTTCTTTCCATCCTCCCAACACCCCTAGAAGGTGGTGCTAGGTTTATTCCTATTTTACACATGAGACCCAAAGCCCACCATCGGTTAGAAGTGACACATACATAAAAGAATATGTAATCTCCTTGCCAACAGAGCCAGTCTTCTTAAGCCTCTTGCCACACAGGACTTGAGGAGGAAATGTAAAATGTAAATTTCTGCACATTTCCCCAGAGTGGGGCAAACTGGGGTGACAATGATTCTCCAGGCTCTTCTTGGAAACTTTAAATCTTCATTCCCCTTTGGCCCCTTCTATGGAGAATCCACACTCCTTCCTCTCTCTTCATCTTTTTTGTACACTCACCTCCCGCTCACTCTAAATTCTTTTTTTCTTTGCATTTACGCTGTATTTTCTGCAGTATATAGGACCCCAGATAACCGAAGGGCCTAGCACAGTGCCCGGGATATAGTAGAAACTGCATAAATTTCAGTTGGCTCTTTCTACACAGGATTTGAGGCAAAATGAAAGAAATGTGCAAAATAAAGCAGTTTAAATGGAAACAGAAAAGCAAAGCCATGACATGAGGAGGAGGAGGAACAAAATATGTGAACCACAAGGACCAATCTGGTTATAATGATTGAGTGTGAAATTTCACTTCCTGGCAGCCAGACTCAGAGCCTTTGCAGACTTAAAGTGACCCGTGTATTCTCTCTTGAGCTCTGGGTGAAGTACCAAAGGAGAGAAAATGAATTCCTTTTCTTTTCCTTGACCCGGGTCTTGCCTTGGAACCAATGTTTTTCCTCATATCTGTTTGATTTTCAGCATCCATTAATCTCTCACTAAAAATCCACTGCTGTATTGTGCTCAGAGTTCACTCAAATCCTATTTAGAAAGATGTTTTGTGTAGTAAAGAATACGAGTCTCATAAGGAAGGCAATTTATAGTTGAAGCTGTTGCTAGGGTGTTGCTAAAGGAAATCTGTAACTCTTAGTTAATCAGAAAGCTCACTGAATACTGACAGAATCAAGCTACAGCTGGATGGTTTATAGGAGAAAAATATTAGATAAAAGGAAGGGAGGAAGGGAGGGAGGAAGGAAGGAAAGAAGGGAGGAAGGGAAGAAGGAAGGGAGAGAGGAAGGGAGGGAGGGAGAGAGGAAGGGAGGCAGGCAGGCAAGCAGGAAAGAAGGGAGGGAGGGAAGGAGGAAAGAAGGGAGGGAGGGAGCGAAGGAGGGAGGCAGGAAGGAAGGAAGGGAAGAAGGAAGGAAGGGAGGGAAGGAAGGAGGAAAGAAGGGAGGGAGGGAGGGAAGGAGAGAGGGAGGGAGGAAAGAAGGAAGGAAGGGAAGAAGGAAGGAAAGGAGGGAAGGGAGGGAAGGAAGGAGGAAAGAAAGGAGGGAGGGAGGGAGGGAGGGAGGAAGGAAAAAAGAATTCTGAATTTTTCTTCACTTTTTCCTAAAGTTACTCATTTTCTTTCCCTGTAAAGTTACTCATTTTCTTTCCCTGTAAAGTTACTCATTTTCTTCCCCTCTGTCACCATTGCCTGACCTCTGAGATCTGCAGATGAATTCCTCTCTCCATCTCTGGCCACTACCTCTCAATGGAAATCTAGTCCTTTTCTTCTAACACTTTCTGCTGAACATAGAAATTTAACCATCACCACAAATTCTCTATTTTGTTTTGATCCAGCCCTTTTCCTTAGTTGGTTAATGACTAAGACTGCCATTGCTATATTGGACTGGGGACACCACATATTAATAGGGCCATTATCAAGCTGAACCAGAGAGACTGTGGTTGTCCAAGCAGATGAAACCTATTAAAATCAAAGCACATGAAGAACAGTTGCAGGACCTCAGGATAGCTGCCCCGGAGAAAGAAAAACTAATGGGAAATAGGAGACTGATTTCAGGTATTTGAATATCTCCTTTGGGTAAGATTTTTGAAGTAATTTCCCAAGATTTGATGTTAATTACTTAGGATTCTAATCCAAAGAGACAGCAAAATGTAGGCTGACTCTGAAGTCCCTATCAACTTGGATTAAAATCCAAGCCGTCAGTTTCCAGGCTCATGCCCTTGGGCAACTTCTCAACTCCATTTCCTTGCTATAAAAAATGAAGATAATAGTATCCATCTCATTGGAGTTTTTGTGAGGATTAAGTGAGATAATATAGTGCTCTAAAAATCATAGCTAATGTTAAAATTGCTGTTTCTTTTAGGGATATGAAACAGAAAAGAAAGCATTAGGTATGCAAAGTATTGTTAAAATCATAAAATATAAGATTTTCTTTTCTGTCTTCTTCCGTCCTTTTCATCCTTCCTTCCTTCCTCTGTTTTCTCCTCCTCCATAGCCATCTAGCATGAACATACATTAGTAAGCTTCCTAATCAAACACAAATTTTAGCTTTTCTTTAACAACACCATAGTAACAACTAAAACTGTATGTTGCCTTAATTATAAGATTTGCATCTTTTACTACTCAAACAACATCCTAAACAAGGTTTGACTGAGATCCTGAAAAAGATTCAAAAGAAGCATTTGGCAAGTAGGAGAAACAGAGCATTGCAATATTACATAAATAAAGGAGAGTAGGAATTTTAGCCATTTCTCAACCATGGCTGCACCTTAATGATCAACCAGGGAAAAGTCCCAGAGCCCAAGCGGCGCCCGAGACTAGTACATCAGAATCTCTGGGGGTGGAACCCAGGTGTGAATAATTTTTTAAAGCTCCTCAGGTGATTCTAATATGCAGCCAAAGTAGAGAACCACAGTTTTAGGGGAAGCAGTGGCCAATGGTGTGGAAAGCTGCAGAGCTGATGAGGCTGCATGCTGTGTGCATGACGTGAGGATGTCTGTAACTTTCTAGACTTTACAGAGGCTTTTCAGGAAAGTTGAAGAAATAGAAGTCAGGCTGTGAAAGGAAGGAGTTAGGGGCTAGGGAGAGTCTACACTAATTGTCACTTAGTCCTTCAACAAACATAGAGAGGAATCTGGAAGGAGAAAGGGAGATAGCTTGAGGAGTTAGCAAAGGCAGTATAATTTAGAGTATGGGAGGCCTAAGCGTATTTGAACCAAAAGTGCATCTACTGTAACTTGAAAGTTTGCAATTTAAATTTTGGAGAATGATGAGAATATTTTGCCTCTACCCAGTAGATTTCATCTTGATGAGTTCAGATTCATCAGAGAATCTTGACCAAATATGCCCAAGCTGCAGCTTTACACCTCACTATTTATTTCATTTTAACTGCTATTGATTAAATTTCCCATTGTGTGTCCAATATGTCATTTAAATACATCTCTTCATCCTCACAAAAATTCTATAAAATAGCTGCTTCCCATTTTAGAACAAGGACATTTTTCAGATGAGAAAATGAGATTCTGAGAGGTTTGGCAGTTTGTCCAAAGTCATTAAGTGGCAAAACCAGGATTCAAGCCTGGGTCTATATGACCCCAAGGCCCACGGTCTTTTCACTCTGCCACCATGGATGCAACACAAGAATTTAATCCTTGCAGAGCTGCATGCTCCCTCCAAAACCTGTAAAATGACAAAAGCTGTGTGCTGAAAGATAATGTCCCAACACCATGGCCTCTGAATAAAATGAATGAAAAGTGAAAATGTATCAGAGGGGGCAGCTAAAACCTCAGGTTGCAGAAGGGCTTGAGCAAGGTTCAGATTGTTTCACAGAGTGCTGGATGGGCAAAACAAGGCATAACAGCCAGAATCAGGATTGCTCATAACTGACATGAATCAGAGAGTGCAGCATCTTGCACTAAGGGCTGTTGGGTTTTGGATAGGAGTGGCCATTCTCAGCACTGTTCATCTCCACCATCTGCCTAACTCCTTCCTCCTTCCCTGGACACGTAGTCCTTGCTGACTGTTGCCTGCCAAATCATCTCACACACGCCAGCTCATCTGGCCATCTTTGCTGAAATCAAATCTCTACATCCTTGATTACTCCTAAAAACTGATTAGTGTCCATTTGCAAGCAATATTTTCCTCCTAATATATCCAGGTATGTATGACCCAGAGGGCTGCTTTGATTTCTGGAATATTAGCTTAGAAAAGAATGACATCTAATAAAAATATCATATTAGCTCCAAATAGCTGCATAATCTGTGTCAATGAGAT
The DNA here is from genome assembly GCF_000001405.40 of Homo sapiens. Classification (NCBI taxonomy): domain Eukaryota; kingdom Metazoa; phylum Chordata; class Mammalia; order Primates; family Hominidae; genus Homo; species Homo sapiens. The sequence continues at coordinate 15,353,068 of NC_000004.12, forward strand.
GATTTCCATTTGGTCTGCAGACTGTAGTTATTAGAATTAGTTATCCTTTGTACTGAGACGGGGGAATGAGCAAAATATTGTTTTCTCTCCCAATAAAAAGGTCTCAAATCTTGGAAATTGCTGGTGCAATCCCCACTTTAAAAAGCCAGTGACATTTTGTGTTGCCTTTTAAAAAAATTAGTATTATATTTTAAAAGAAACTGGCCTTCAAGTTCATTCCAGGACAAGTTTTAGATTCTTTAAGATCACGTTGGGTAAGACCATAACAGAGACTGTTTAGTTTGGACAGACAAATTGCCAACATACCCATAAAAGGGAGGATTGGCTGAGCATTTTTCTTTCAGCTCGTATTTTCAGATTTTCTTCAAAAGCTAATCTAACAAAAATTTGAGAGGAGCCATGTGACACACCCATAAAATACAAATACCTCAAATAGAGCTTGTGTATCAGACCAAATCGGTCCAGGGAGCCTGTGGAGACATGGGCAAGGTTGCCATCTGTGATGTCTCTAATTGTTTATAAAAGTCATCAGAAGAAAGGAAAGAGGGGCATTTTCTTAGTGTGCACTGTGTGTCTGGCTTGTGCCCTGGGTCCTAACCAGGGAGCGGGACAACTAACTCATTTGGTCATTCTTCCAATTACCCCTCAAGGTTGGTATTATTTCCATTTCACCCAGAAAGAAAGAGAGGCTGAGGAAGATTAAAAAAAAAAAAAATCTGGACAATACGGCAAGCATGTAGGGCAAGATATGAGGTGGAAAATGAGGCTGAAACTCTTGTTTAAAATGTGTTTAAATTAATGAACTTATGAATCTTAAAAGATTTTTTAAAAAGAAATACATCATACAATGACTCTAGAGGCCCTGATCTATTCTAACCCTTGAAAATTGGAAGCGAATGTGTTGTGGGAATCCACAACTTCAGTCAAGGTGCACTGCAGTATTCATGGATTTCAGGGAAGAGGCACCACCTTCTCCCCCAAGGCTGCTGTGTGGAAGGCTGGCTATGCGCACTTTGTCCTCACCCAAACCCGTTCTCCAACTAGGGTACATGAGGCTCAGAGGTCTCACACTTCATGGGACAGAAGGATGAAAAGGGTCTGAAGGAATGGGAGGACCTGCATAAATTTGGGAACAGGAAAGGAAAGACTCACACAGAGTCTTTGGTGAATGCCAAGTAGCCCTGTTTGGTCAGTGAAGAATGTTCTGGAAGGAAAGTAGTTAGGTAAGGGTTGGATAAGAGAATACAGGAGAAATAATTTTGACCTTATTCTGAAGGAAATGGGATGCCATCAAAGGTTTTTGATTGAGACAGACATGTGGAAAGCAGACTTTTAGGAAGACGAAGCTGACCATGTGTGGGGGAGGTACTGGATGTGGGGAGGCCAGATGGGGAACTCTCCTCAGAAGTATCCCATGACATCTGAGGGTCATGGCTGTTCTGAGGCTCTGCGTGTCATTTGAGCTCAGCTGCGCTCTGTCCTGGGTTCTGGAAAGCCATTTAGAGGAAGCAGCATATCCAGGCTGCCTGTGCTCTGCCCAATGTGGTTCACATTGGATGGTCTAAATCCCTGGACTTTGATGTGGAAATGTCATGAGAACATTGAGTGAATTCCAGAAAATCTTCCAGGGAAGAACACACGATAAAAGAGGCCCCACACTACACACATGTTGACCTCAGGAAGCAAAGACACAGTGATCAGAGGGAAAAAGTAAGATTTTTTTTCCTAGTGCTACAAGACATAAATTTACATTATGGGCTCCCAGACAAAAACAACAGAATGGGAAGGGTTCACTTGACCTTGGCCAATACTTTAAGGATAATTTTCTTTAGACATGTTGCCTCACCCCATTCCTGCTCACATTCGCATGTGTTTCACCACAGGATTCTTGCATTGGGAATATCCTAGCCAGGGCGCGCTTTGGGGGATTAATGGGTCCATGCTGTTTACCAGTTGTAAAAATTCAAGAAGGCTGTGCCAGGGAACTAGGATTCAACCTGAGTGCACTCATTAGCCATGTGACCTTGGACAAGCTTGCTCAGTTGCAGAATAGCAATAGAAACATGAGGATCTGAGGAAACAGCACATGACAGCATCTTACCCAAAGTAAGGAGTTGACACAGCAGTGAGCAGGACCGTAAATCAATGCTGGCAGAGCCAGGTGGGAGATGCAAATGAATGCTGTGGGCTGGGTGAAGACCTAAGGAAGTAAACTTCATGTGACTCACACGAAGAGAGCACCAGCTACTGCCCCCTCATCTGCTGCCACAGAAATCAGAAATAGAGATTTCTATGTGAAATCGCCCAATTTTTAAATAATAGAAACTAATATGGATCATGTGTTAAACCTCAAACTAAGCAGCGGATCAATTTTGCTGCAAGTCTGCAAACAAGGACTAGCAATGTGCAAGTTGTCATAGATATTGAGATCGTGCACGGTGAAACCACTGGAGAGGTGGCTCAGACCACCATTCAGGTGCTTGCTAGTTGTGTATGTTCTCCAAAGCTTACTTTTCTCATCAAAAAAAAAAATGTGGATTACAAAGACAACTCTTAAAGGGATGGTAGGAGTTAACTGAGATCACATGCACAGGAGCCCACCAATCAGAAAGAGGCTGAAGCTTGAGAGGAAAGTTCCCTGCCATGCAAGGCATTAACCCTGTGGTTGCTGGTCTTTGGGGAAGTCTGGTGGGTTGGACTGGTGGGTAGAAAGTTGGAGCAGCAGCTTTAACAAAAACCCTTTGCCCAGTTCCAAGCCCTCTGTAATGCTCAATAAATAGCAACAGTATTTTGTTTGTTTGTTTTTAAAAGACAGGGTACCACTACGTTGTCCAAGCTGGAGTGCAGTGGCCCAGTCATAGCTCACTGCAGCCTCTAACTCCTGGGCTCAAACACTCCTCAGCCTCCCAAGTAACTAGCCACCATGCCTGGCTAATATTTTTATTATTTTGTAGAGACAGGGTCTTACCAAGTTGCCCAGGCTTGGTAATGGTTTTTTGTTTGTTTGTTTGTTTGTTTATTTGTTTTTCAGTTTCTTTTTTTTATTATTATATTTTAAGTTCTAGGATACATGTACAGAACATGCAGGTTTGTTACATAGGTATACACGTGCCATGGTGGTTTGCTGCACTCATCAACCCGTCATCTACATTAGGTATTTCTCCGAATGCTATCCCTCCCCTAGCCCCCAACCCCCTGACGGGCCCAGGTGTGTGATATTCCCCTCGTGTGTCCCTGTGTTCTCATTGTTCAACTCCCACTTATGAGTGAGAACATGCAGTGTTTGGTTTTCTGTTCCTGTGTTAGTTTGCTGAGAATGATGGTTTCCAGCTTCATCCATGTCCCTGCAAAGGACATGAACTCACCCTTTTTTATGGCTGCCTAGTATTCCACGGTGTATATGTGCTACATTTTCTTTATCCAGTCAATCATTGATGGGCATTGGGTTGGTTCCAAGTCTTTGCTATTGTGAATAGTGCTGTAATAAACATACATGTGCATGTGTCTTTATAGTAGAATGATTTATAATCATTTGGGTCTATACCCAGTAATGGGATTGCTGCATCAAATGGTATTTCTGGTTCTAGATCCTTGAGGAATCACCACACTGTCTTCCACAATGGCTGAACTAATTTACACTCCCACCAACAGTGTAAAAGCGTTCCTATTTCTCTACAGCCTCTCCAGCATCTGTTGTTTCCTTTCTTTTTAACGATTGCCATTCTAACTGGCGTGAGATGGTATCTCATTGTGGTTTTGTATTGCATTTCTCTAATAACCAGTGATGATGAGCTTTTTTTCATGTTTGTTGGCCGCATAAATGTCTCTTTTGAGAAGTGTCTGTTCATATCCTTCACACACTTTTTGATAAAGTTGTTTTTTTTTTTTTTTGTAAATTTGTTTAAATTCCTTGTATATTCTGGATTTTAGCCCTTTGTCAGATGGATAGATTGCAAAAATTTCTCCCATTCTGTAGGTTGCCTGTTCACTCTGATGATAGTTTCTTTTGCTGTGCAGAAGCTCTTTAGTTTAATTAGATCCCATTTGTCAATTTTGGCTTTTGTTACCATTGCTTTTGGTGTTTTAGTCATGAAGTCTTTGCCCATGCCTATGTCCTGAATGGTATTGCCTAGGTTTTCTTCTAGGGTTTTTGTGGTGTTAGGTCTTACATTTAAGTCTTTAATTCACCTTGAGTTAATTTCTGTATAAAATGTAAGGAAGGCGTCCAGTTTCAGTTTTCTGCATATGGCTATCCAGTTTTCCCAACACCATTTATTAAATAGGGAATCCTTTCCCCATTGCTTGTTTTTGTCAGGTTTGTCAAAGATCAGATTGTTGTAGATGTGTGGCATTATTTCTGAGGCCTCTGTTCTGTTCCATTGGTCTATATATCTGTTACCATGCTGTTTTGTTACTGCAGCCTTGTAGTATAGTTTGAAGTCAGGTAGCATAATGCCTCCAGCTTTGTTCTTTTTGCTTAGGATTGTCTTGGCTATACGGGCTCTTTTTTGGTTCTATATGAAATTGAAAGTAGTTTTTCTAATTCTGTGAAGAAAGTCAGTGGTAGCTTGATGGGAATATCATTGAATCTTTAAGTTACTTTGGGCAGTATGGCCATTTTCACAATATTGATTCTTCCTATCCATGAGCATGGAATGTTTTTCCATTTCTTTGTGTCCTCTCTTATTTCCTTGAGCAGTGGTTTATAGCTCTCCTTGAAGAGGTACTTCACATCCCTCGTAAGTTGTATTCCTAGGTATTTTCTTCTCTTTGTAGCAATTGTGAATAGGAGTTCACTCATGATTTTCCTCTCTGTTTGTCTATTATTGGTATATAGGAATGCATGTAATTTTTGCACATTGATTTTGCATCCTGAGACTTTGCTGAAGTTGTTTATCAGCTTAAGGAGATTTTGGGCTGAGACAATGGGGTTTTGTAAATATACAATCATGTCATCTGCAAACAGAGACAATTTGACTTCCTCTCTTCCTATTTGAATACCTTTATTTCTTTCTGTTGCCTGATTGCCCTGGCCAGAACTTCCAATACTGTGTTGAATAGGAGTGGTGAGAGAAGGCATTCTTGTCTTGTGCTGGAAGGCTTCCAGCTTTTGCCCATTCAGTATGATATTGGCTGTGGGTTTGTCATAAATAGCTCTTATTATTTTGAGATACGTTCCATCAATACCTCGTTTATTGAGAGTTTTTAGCATGAATGGGTGTTGAATTTTATCGAAGGCCTTTTCTGCATCTATTGAGATAATCATGTGGTTTTTGTCATTGGTTCTGTTTATGTGATGGATTACATTTATTGATTTGCATATGTTGAACCAGCCTTGCATCCCAGGGATGAAGCTGATTTGATCATGGTGGATAAGCTTTTTGATGTGCTGCTGGATTAGGTTTGCCAGTATTTTATTGAGGATTTTCACATCGATGTTCATCAGGGATATTGGCCTGAAACTTTTTGTTATTGTTGTGTCTCTGCCAGGTTTTGGTATCAGGATGATGCTGGCCTCATGAAGCAGTGGTTATTTTTAAGGATCAATTAAAGTTTGCCTCTTGTGCCTGCTCTTCACCATCCAGAATGTTTTTTATGTAACTTGAAATTGTGTTCTATGTTAAAGAAGATAAAAGAAAAGAAGCCAGGCTCTATTAGAGGACATACCACATTTTAACGACTCATCACAGACATGGCAATGTGTAAGTGCCTCCTAAAACGTGCAGAGGAGACAAATAGGACCAAGGAGTGTGGAGGAGAAGGAGTGCAAGGTGAGCCACAGCATCTAGACTAGGTCTGACCCTAGATCTAGGAGTGGACAGAGTAGGATTCATGGGCTTATGGCACTCACAAGAAGTCCCAGGCATGGCAGTTGATGCTCTATGGTCACTGTCTTGAAATTTCCAATAGTTGCATTTTTGCATTTGTGTTTTGCAAGTAAAGTGGGACAATTGGGCATGCACCAGGGGCTTGGACTCTCCTTTCCCCTTTCAGACAGCTCCCTTGTTCTTGCCCAGCAAACACTGCCACCCTCTATTCTCAATGGGCGGCTAGGCATAGGCATGAGGAAGGTCAGGTGCTCACATTCCATAAGCCAAATTGTAGGGCAAGGTCCAATGCCTATGAGTGTCTGCTCTCACCAACCAGTATCCTTGTGCCCAAGGGAGTTACATGAAATAGCAAATAGAAAACACTATGACAAGTCATGAAAGAGACCACAGAAAAAGGGAAAGACATCTGGCTTTTCAAACAAGGTATCTCACATTTTCATTTTGTTCTGGGCCCATAAATTATGTTGTTGGCCCTAGGGGTAAAATTGGAGGTGGAAAGAATGTCTGGGAACTCAATGGGTACAAATAAAAGAGAAGTTGATTCACACTACTTGGGTTTTGGGTGCCACAATTCTACCTTATGTAGAACTCTCTAGGGCTTTGTAGGACACTTAGCATCCCAGACCCCTTTCCTCCTAAATAAAAGTGTCAATCCCAAATACTTCCAAGGGATTGTGATGCCACATCCCCACAATTGAATTAAAACCCATGGAGGTTTTCTCCCAAAAACAGGGTGCTCAAAGGAAATGATAATATAAGAAATAGGACTACGAGATCTTTAAAATTTTAGCATTGACGGGACCTTAGAGGCTGTCAATCAAAATCCCTGGAGTTTTCAACTCCTTGAGAACTCTTGATGACCAGTCTACCCCCAGATTTTCAGGAGTGAGTCTGATTTCCAGTTCCAGGAATACAGCTCAAGCAGGCTCCTTTCCCTTCTGAAGCATGGCCCTTCGCCCAGAGACACATCTTCACAGTGTGTGATAAACACAAGCAAGCCCCAGTACCTACTCCCACCCTTCCTAGACATGGTAAGGAAAAGAGGAGACTTTCTAGACAGAAAGGAAGGGCACAGTTACAGTCCCTCACGCTGTCTAGGCAGAGTTAGACCTGAGTGGTGGCATCATCCCTGCTGTCTATGGCTTGCAATATTCTTGGATTTGGCTTCATCCATCAAGGGTCTGGCAGGTGTAACAGCACTGTTCTATCCACAGAAAAGGCCTTCAAAGGCTACCACTTAGACAGACAGCCATCCTCTGAGTAGCCAGGGCTTTGGGATTAGGTTGGGAGACCAGGTGTTTAAGAGTTGGGTTCTATGGGTAAACTAACCCATCGATCTTTTAAAAATACATACAGCTAATTCTCACTATTCACAGCTGTTATGTTCTATAAAGTCATAGTGAATTTGAACCATTGCTCCTAGGGAAATAAAGAGTTAGGTTCATGAGAGCCCCTGGTTATATTTTTGGCAATTGATCATTACATAACCTTGTTTTACGTATGCTTACGTTTAAGAACATCTTCTTTTTTATATATATTGCTGATTCATTAACATTGAATTCATGGCCAACATCGCTGTAACTCATGCCTGAACGGAGCTTATCTAACACATGTATTTTCTTCATAAGGCACATCATAGCTTTCTTGCACTTAGAAACACTAGTCAGCATTTCTATGCTTGGAGGACATTTTAAATAGCAAAATCACCAACAAAAAGTACAAAAATGCAAGAAACAGCACTAAATATACTGCCAAAAAGGACACTTGTTTACAGTGTGAGAGCTGAAAGGAGAAAGTAGAACATTGTCGTCTTTGACCTGAGATGTGCATATCCATCCACAAAGAACCAAGAAAGCACTGTGAGGTTTGACTGGGGGCTTGCAAATAAATTTTAGCAAGTAGATGAATTTGCAATTATAGAACCTTCAAACAACGAGGACTTTTTCTAAAAGTCATTCACACACTTACCTACCAGAAATAGCATCTGTACTTAAACTCACCTTAGCTGGTCTCCAGTCAAGTCATGTTAGGTAGGTTTATATCTAACACCTATAAGAGGACACCATAGTAACCTCTGTACAATTGATTGAATTTAAGGATTTTCTCTTCCTCATCTATTATCTTCTATGATAAGCTACTATATTTCTAATAAGGAAAAGCAATTCTATTTAGTATTTAAAAGGATTAAAGTTAAAACAACTTTTTGGTAATTTCAAGATAAAGTCCACACCCCTGCTTGGGACACCAGACTTCACAAAGCTTACCTCTTGGGTTTCATCTTCTAATATTCTTCAGAAGCACTTTCCACTTTGACCATCATGAACCACCTAAAACTTCCCAAATTTATACCCCTGTTTTCCATCTTCTTCTTGGAACATCCTATAGGTTAAGAAACTGGCTTGGGGAGATTATTCAAAATTACACAACTAATGGAATGATTAAAAAAAAGAAACAGTTACTCTGAAGGCCATACTGTCTCCCCAGGCTCAGAATGAAAAACTGAATCTGTCAAGGTGATATTTTTCTAATTATCTTTGTGCCATAATCTCAGCATAGACACATTAATCGCTTACATTGCTTTCAACATTATCTGGGGGAAGAAAAACCCTGAAATATACTCTCTGCCATTACCATATATACAGAAGGTCCAAATGATTCCAGAAAGGTGTTTTTGCCTCTTGAGAGGAATGACACAGTGTATTCAGAGCAATATTTCAGCCAGACATTCAAGCCCAGTTTGCTAACACATGCCCTGTGTAGTCAGATTTCGTTAATATGGTCTACTCTGGTTTCTTTCATTCTAAGAATTTAATATTGAATTTCAAAACCCAAATGGCATAAATAAATTCCAGATGTCTTCCCAAATCCCTAAATCTCATATTAGACTAAGGAGAGGCATTGCTATGTATGAGTAGACGGTTACATTTAATTCCTTGAAAAGCCAAAAGGATCTTTGGGAGGCTCTTCAGCCTTCTTCCACCAAGAAAACACATTAACTCTTCTGAGTTTCTTAAGAAGCTGAGTTCTCAAAATCCACAGCCCAGCTGTCTGACATATGTTCTGCTGCATTCCTCCCCTCGAGGGGCAAAAGAGCATCGTGGTGAACTGCAGGGCACAGAAGCCAGGCCGACTGGGTTCCAATCCAACTGGGTGGATTTGGGCAAGTCAATTAAGCTCGCTATTCCCCAGTTTTCTCTAAAATGGGGGTAAACATAGTACCTACACCTCGAATGGCTGTTGCAAAAATTAATGAGTTAATAATTTAAAGTGTTTAGCACAGTGCCAGCCACACAGCAAAATGTCTACACTCTTATTTCCTAAGAGGTGATGTATAAAGAGCTGACCTGGGAGGTCCTCAATGGCTGAGAAATTCCCTTCCCTCTTTCCCTCTATATAGACAAGTGTAAGTCTTCAACTTTTGATTAGTAAGATTCATCTTTCTGTGGGGGACTAATCAGCTAACTTCAGATCTCAGACCCCTCCCCTAAGTCTGGCCCATCCCCTACTTTTCCTACCTAAGTCAGCATTCTTGATCCTTGTGCGTTAGTCATAGGCAACTTGACCTGCAGCATAACTCCACTTACAAAATGTAAAAGTTCTTCAGAGCATTTGTGTAGCTTTGTGTCTGCAATTAATCAAAGAAGATCATATATGTAAAACACCAAAGGGTTTACAATAAGTGATTAAAAAATTATAGTTTTCTTCCTTCTTCCTCTTCCCCCATTAATGGCTGGCACCTCTGTTTGTAAGAAACGTGTGATTATGACATGAAAGACTCATTGCTAACCTTTGACAGAGCATTTACAGCCCATATATCCTTCAGCATCTCAGTTTCATGCCTCTACACCACACGTTGGTGCCAGATGTTAACTGGGCAAGCTTGGCTATTTCACACTTGACTATCTTTTCACTTTTCAGTAGTAACAAAAGCTTGCCTAATAGTTTATTATTTACAAAGTGCTTTCACATACATTCCCTTGAGTATGCTCTACATCAATACTATAAGTAAGTATCATCATCATTATCATTATGATTTTGCAGCATGGAAAACTCAAACCTGGAAAGATAAAAAGACTGGCCCAAATTCACTCTGCTGATAAAAGGTTCAGTGAGAATTTGAACCTGGGTTCCCTGCCTTGAAATTTTGTACTTTTTTTTCTCCCAAACTTCATTGATAACATGATAGGATTAAATAATGAAAATCTTAAAATATACCTCATTAATTATTTGGTTACATGTCTTCCCTTGATGGTATTTTTTTATCTTAAGCTTTGATTTTTCTGCTTTGTCTGGTGTTACCATGGTTGGGAAGATCACGCTGAGCTTAGTCTTTCAGCCAGGTGGAGCTGTTTTTGTAGGCTACAATGATTGTGTGTTGGATGGTTGGTCTTTCTTTTTTTTAAAGACATGTTTAATTGTTATTTTTATTCAAGTAGAACGAAAACTTTGTGGTCATAAGAGACCTAGGTTTATTCTACCTTTCTGTTCCTCCATCCTGGTATGCATGGTATGCAGCAATCCCTATTGTAATCACAAGACATCTACTCTACCTCAATGCCATGACTGCATTCTGGATCAATAGCAAACTACACAGAACAAAATCTGAACGTGTGAAACCACCTGAGCCTTTCTCTTCTAGGAAGCTTTCCCAGCAACCTCCTCCATCAACCTCTGCTTACTTATTATTGTCCCAACTCGGTGGGTCACAGCCTTCACTAGCCACAAAGGCTCCCAGGAAGGTGGGCATTTACCTGGCCACATTGCCTCCCCAGACAAATGAGGCTTCTGTTAACAAGAAATAATGGCAAAATGAACATTGGAAAGTAACTAACAGAATCTTGTAAGAAAATTACCATTTTTTGAGAGCCTGAAATGTGTTAGGCACAAACTAAGACAATATGAAGAAAGAAATGTCACTATCTTTGCATCAGACATATAGAAAGTGATATCCAGAAAGATGTAAAATGTGAAATGAGATGCCCTTGTCTCTGAGCATTGCTATGTGAGTTTTCCTCATGTGATGATACCCTGTTCAGAGCAGACACTCAAAAAATGGCTTCAAATGTTTTCTTCCCTTTCTCTCCTCTCTTGAAATTAGAAATGCAATGTCAGCTTCCACTTGGAATGCCTTTATATTCGCATTGTCTAATTAATCTTGTTATGATCCCACTATGGCTACCATTCTGGCCAGTGTTATCTGTATTCTCTAAACCATCACACCCCTGACTTGTCAGATCCTGTCAAACCTTTTCTGTGTCATGTTCTTCTATCTTTTTGGTTGACTCTCTAGAGCTATAATGACATTGTTTTCACTTTTAACATCATCAGCTAAAACATAAATAGTCTTTGGCTTGGTGATTTATCAGCCTCTTCATTGTACTTGGCACTTAGGAGGAGCTCAATGATGTCTGTTGAATGAATGAATCTCAGCTTCATCATTTACCAGCTGTGTGATCTTGGGCAAGTTTCACAGCTCTAATGAGTGAGAAAAAAATAAATGTTTGTTGTTATAAGCCACTGAGATCTGGGAGGTGTTTATTATGCAGCACCATTAATAGCAGCATTAGCTGATGACTACAGCCTGCCACCATGTAGATGGGGGAAGGAAATTTATGGAAGAGAGATGCTCAGCAGATAATGCCAAAAACATTTGCCATAGAATATTATCCATGCTCTAATAAGACACGTTTCTCTAGCATTAGTTAAAATGAACAGACAATCCTGAATTGTAATAACTTCACATATAATAAATACTAAAGAAATTACACATAAACTTTCCATATTGTATACATGCTCTGTGATTTTTAAAACATGTATGGAACACCACCGTGGAGAAAAAATATATTTCCTGGGCAAGCATCATCCCATTGCATCAGTGGGCAAGCACATGGGATGATCATGACAATTCAAAGTACCCAGAATACTTCTCTCATTGTCACAGCTGTGTTATAAATACGTTGGGTTTGAGGTATGGGAATGGTCTCTCTGAACAGAGAGTAGAATGGGTAAATAATCTCTTTTTTTGTGAGGCAAGAATAGCACCTCTTGATTGTCAGTGAAAACCAAAACTGGAGTACTTTTGAAAAGCTGATATATCATCACCTGGGGCTTCATCCCACGTGAAATGAAAATACACACTAGAGTTGAGCAGGGTTTTTCCTCTTGCTTTGCACACTCGTGTGTCTGACTTCTGTTCATGAAACATCCAGTGAAATGGGGATTTTACAAGCAAACGAGCAGGTGTTTGGCACCATATATATGTTCATACATAAAGGTATGAATTAAAATCTAGTATATTTCAAGGCCTTTGTCAAATAGCAAGGGAAAGCTCTTAAGAGATCTCTTTTTTTTTTCAGGCAGCATTAACTACTGGAAATATACTTGTGTACCTTAGAATCAAGAAGACCTGGATTTGATTCCCAGGTCTGCTAACAAATGTGCAGCCTTGAGCATATTATTTCTCACCACTAATTGTTTTCCTCACCTGTGCAATAGAGATAATAATATCTAAAATGTTTCAAATGACATTTCCACATTTGCCATCAAAAGAAGTTGAATATTGGTGATTTCACGTGGTTCAACTTAGACCCGTCTCTCGGGACTGACTCCAGAATAACAGAGCTCATGTATGTCTGTTAGTCACAACTCTTTTGGTTGCACATGAGAAGAACCCATCTCAAACCAGCTTAAGAAAAGAGGGAATGCATGAGCTCATGAAACTGGGCAATCTAGGAATGGTGTTAGCTTCATGTGTGTAGGATCCAGGGGCTCAAAAGATGCTTCAAGTATTTTTTTCTCTCTCTCTTTCTCCCTCTGACTTCCTTCTGTATCTGTTGACTTTGTCATACATGGTGGAGAAGATGACCAATGATAGGCTTCACTAAGAGCAAAAGGGACTCCTCCCTCCCAACGGCTGTATTCCTTGCATTCCATACTCACCCTTCAACTAATCACTGTTGCCAGAGGTGTCAGAGATGGCCTGTTTTGCTTAGCCTACCCTGGTGGACCTATCACCTCAGGGGAGGCAGCAGGAGTGAAGGACACTGAGCAGACAGCCCAACTAGAACTACATAAAATAGGAAAGGCAGTACCCAAAGATTACTGGGGTGCCAAGCAAGCAGAATAAAAAGATGTCCACTACAGTGTACACAATGTAACACAGATCCCAGCACATGGAAGATGGGTTAACAGCTGGAGAGTTTCCTATGCAATCCTCAAAGGATGTAAGAGACACAATTTACTGTCTCACTCAAAGATAAGATGAACAGCTTTTCCTGATTTGCCTGAGACTTTTCTGGTTTTAGCACTGAAAATCCCATGCCATGGAGAACTCCTCAGTTTTAGACTGAACTATCCCAGTTTTAAAACTGAAAGCCTCACATCTCGGGAACCCCCTCAATCCCAGGAAAATTAGGATGGCTGGTCACCCTATCCAAAAATGGCACTTGTAAGTGTAAACCTTAGCTACAGTTGAGGGCATGTTAAGTTAGTTTACTGTTGCTGCATCATGGAAGAATGGAATGGTATGGCACATGAAAAACTGCGGATAGTCCCCTGGAAAAAAATGCACAGCCCAAGTCTGTGTTACTTGCAGTTACAGCATCTAACCCTTTGCTTTGCCTCCCTCCTCTGCCTTTTCTTTTTCTTTCACTGTGTCTTTCTCTCTTTTTCTTTTTCCTCACTTTTTTCCCTTCCTCTCCTTCCTTCTTTTTTTCCTTCCAATCTTTCTCCCTTCTCTGTTTTATTTTCTTCTCTTTTTTAAATTTTCTTTTGTGGCTACATATTTACCTTTCAAATAACATGGGACTTAGATGTTGTCTGCAGTCTCCAAAGGAGCTGCTATGTATTCCTGGACTAAAACAAGCAAGCCTCAGTAAATATCCTTATCCTGAATGATCTACCAACTAAGTGAGAGCTTCATTGTTGATTAAGACAGGAAGTGCATGTGTGACTCCTGCGGGCTGGCTGAGACAGCAGGGTCATGCTGATGCACATGAGGAATGGAAAAATTGGGGGGAAAAGATAGTGATGATTGTGAAACTAAGAGATTGGAAATTCAAAGGGCTTGAGACTAGGTTCTTTTGAGGGACATTTTGGTTCAACCATTTACATAGGGGGTGCATCTATTTATCCATAATGAAAATTGCTGAGATTTGGAACTTCTTTCTGCTTTTGAATCAATTAATGAAGCAATATAAATCAGGAAGTGCTTCTTAGTTTCAAACTATGCTTTGAAGCTAGGCCTGCATTTGAATGTTTTCAATCCAAATCTTAAAATTAGAAAGAAGGCAATTTCCAGTCGTCTTCAAAGGAGAACTATTATTCGGGAAAATAGAGTCTTCTAAATTATACTTTTGAGAGTGATATGAATTTTCTTGCCTTTATTAGGTGCTAAAGTTCTAAAGAATTAACTCCACTTAGGAAGCAAATCCAAATACTCTCTCATGACAAGGTTTCCACCAAGTGGCGGTCATATACTTGGGACTTCCACTACATTTTCAGCATTCATATATCACTTATACAATTTTCATCATTACCCAGTACTACCAGCACCATTTATTTATCTGGCGTTTTCCACAAGTTGACTTTTTAAATTAGACATACTGAGTTGATGCAGCCGATGCAGCTCACTAGGATGTATGTGTATCAATGTCAGAGGGACCAGGCTGATCCCCAGATCATGTATTTGAAACCCTGTGGGAAAGAAAATTATTGTCACCTACAAGAAAAGCAGAGAAAGGACTTGGAGCTTCACCACATGGCCCTTATCTTGGTTCTACCTTTTGGTAGCCTTGAGATTTGGTTTAAGTGACTTTAATTTTCTACCCATACAGTGGTAAAGATTAATTAAGATAATGTCCAGAAGAATCAATGAACTTTGCTAGCACCTAGCAAATGTTAGCCAGGAAACTTGTTTTTATTTTTTTTTTTCACATGCAAACATTCCTAATTTACTAACTATGATTTTGTAATCAACATTATTGAGGTATAATTTACATACAGTAAAAGGCATCCATTTATAGTGCACAATTCAATTTATTTAAAGTGTTCAATTAGCTGAGTTTTGTACACACCCATGAAGTCACTGCCAAAACTTAAGAAACAGAATATTTCCATTTACCCCTGAAAGTTTCTTTCTGTCCTTTTGAAGTTTTTCTCTCTTTCTGTCCCTGACCTCATGCAACCACTTATCTGACTGATCTGCTTTTTTGTCACTGTGGACTTAGTTGCATTTTCTAGACTTTTACAAGTAGTATCTCGCAGTATAGACTCTTTGTGTCTGGCTTTTAAAATCTATCATAATGATTTTAAGAGTCACCCGTGTGGTTGGATGTATCAGTTGTCCACACCCCCGACTCTTTCAGCATGCTTTTTTCTTTTTATTTTATTTTAACCATTTTTTTAATTATACTTTAAGTTCTAGGGTACATGTGCACAACTTGCAGGTTTGTTACATATATATACATGTGCCATGTTGGTGTGCTGCACCCATTAACTCGTCATTTACATTAGGTATATATCCTAATGCTATCCCTCCCCACTCCCCCAACCCCATGACAGGCCCCGGTGTGTGATGTTCCCCTCCCTGTGTCCAAGTGTTCTCATTGTTCAATTCCCACCTGTGAGTGAGAACATGCAGTGTTTGGTTTTCTGTCCTTGCGACAGTTTGCTGAGAATGATGGTTTCCAGCTTCATCCATGTCCCTACAAAGGACATGAACTCATCCCTTTTTATGGCTGCATAGTATTCCATGGTGTATATGTGCCACATTTTCTTAATCCATTCTATAATTGATGGGCATTTGGGTAGGTTCCAAGTCTTTGCTATTGTGAATAGTGCCGCAATAAACATACGTGTGCATGTGTCTTTATAGCAGCATGATTTATAATCCTTTGGGTATATA
This sequence comes from Homo sapiens, assembly GCF_000001405.40. NCBI lineage: Eukaryota > Metazoa > Chordata > Mammalia > Primates > Hominidae > Homo > Homo sapiens. Next base: position 15,368,803 of record NC_000004.12, read on the forward strand.
CCCAGTAATGGGATGGTTAGCCAGGAAACTTGTTAGTCTCACTGGTTGCAAGTAGCAAAGACTTGCAGAGTTCTTTAGGGCAGATGGTTCATTTATTCTGGGAAAGCCAACCAAATGGTGAATGTAAAGCGAAGATCATTTTCTGAAATATGTGGTTTTAAGTTGTTACACTGTCTTGGAGAAAATGATGTAAAAAAGAAAAAAATTGAGTTACAGCCAGGGACCATCTCTGCAGGCTAGGATATTTTGAGAGGAAATATGTCTTAATTAGGAAGGGACAAAGAACATGTCATAGTGTTCATTTCCCTCGGCTTCTTCAGACCAGATTTTGATCGCTTGTGGTTAGTGAGTCAGAGGTAAGGATGAGAAGGGAAAGAAACAAAATATTTTAGCAAAATTTTGAGAGTCTCTGCACACAAGTTGTGCTGATTAAGGCTCAAGTGAGAAAACAGCCCAGAATTAGGGAGAGGCAAGTCTCTCCTTCCTCTGCAGGGAAACCAGCATCACTTTAGATTTTAGAGGGTTTTTAAACATTCTGTTTTCTGATTATTTTGATATATAGGAAGGCTACTTTCATGTATGTATTTTTGTATCTATAAACTCTGTTAAACATATATTATTTCTAATGGCCCTTGTTAAATTTGCTGCATTGTTTAGGTGTATAGTTTTATTATCTTCAAGAATGATAGCTTAGCCTCCTCCTATCCATCAGCTACATCTGTTATTGTTTGTTTCCTGCCTTATCATATATAAATTATTTTACCATTATTTAAGAATGATTTAAAAAGTTTTGCATTTTTAATCTACTACAGTAAGAATGACTTTGAAAACTGAGCAATTAACAGCCCAACGAATAGCTAAAAATCTTTTGTGGTAACTTACATATAATGTAATGATACACTGGGAATGCCTTTGTAATCCTGTGATGAAAACAATGGGAAAGAAGGCCTGTGAAGTTGTATCAGTCAGTGATATTTCAGTTGAATACATTAATGAAGATAATGGAAGGTAAGCACCATAATTTGACTGCAAGACTTCAAATGTGAGATAACACCAAGAAAGTATTAACCACCTCAGTCAGCATTCAGTTAAGAAAATAGCATCAGGTAGAGATTTAAGACAAGAAATTAAAGTCTTAAAGAGCCATTTAAAGAACTGTAAAGAATCTATACATGAGATCATATTGTATTCAACTATACTGAACTATGCAACACACAAGTAAATCTACATAAAAACTGGTAAAAACTGAAGAAGGTCTGTAGTCTGCCTAATACTATTGTACTCATGTCGATTTTTTTTAATTCTATGATTATTATAGTGATATAAGATGTCACCATTTGAAGAGGCTAGGGTATTTTTGTAAATTTTTTTGTAACCTCTTATGAGTCTATAAATATTTCTAAATAAAAAATAATTGTTTAAAAGGGGTTCATGGGACCAACAACTGGCGAAAAAAAGCATTCTGTTTGGCTATAAACTGAGAAGAACAAGCTTGCTGGGAAGCCATAGGAAAGTGTGAGATTCTAGGATCTCACCCAGAAGTTCCTGCAAACCATACATCAGCTGGCTGTTTCCACTCTGTAACTGACACCAAAGAATAATGTTCTCTAATTATTTTGTATCTTTCACAACCCTGTGTGTGCCCTCCTTGGCTGGCTGTAATTAGGAACTCTGCCTACAAGTGATTCTGGGAAATGTAGTTCCAGGCTTCCAGTCTCTGTTCCCTCAGAGAGAGAGAGAGTGGAAAGGGCCAGGGATGGTGCTGAGTTGAAAACATACATCCCAACTCACTCATATTCAACAGATACTATAAACTTACATTCTAGCCTTTGAAAGGAGATTATAAGAAGGAAATTAATCAAAACTTTAGGTTTATAAATAAAAGAAATTTATAAATAGTTCCATTTCCCAGCATGGTTTCTTAGCCTAATATTCTAGTTATCTTCATCCAAAAGAATTTGTAATAAAAATATTTTCGTAGGATTTTTTTCCAGTTTATAAAGCAATTCCACATGTACTCTCTCATTGGCCCTCCAAACAATTTTGAGAAATAGATAATAATGGAAACACTTAAGATTTATCTGATACTTTCATTTCTACTATCACATTTCCTATTGTAACTCACCAACAAAACTAGGCTTCTTGAGGTTCCCTAAACACAACATGCTGTCATTCCGTTTCTTTGCACATGTGGTTCCTTCAACTGAAAATGTCTTTCCCTGGTAGGAATTCCTCCTAGTTCCTACACATCTTCACGCCCTGTCCCGTCAGCTCTTTCTAGGAAGAGACTGAGGCTGTTGGGGTATGAACAGGCAGCTCCATCCTGCAGAGGGCCAGGCTGTGCTGCCCTTGCAGGAACCCAGGCATTGACCAGCAGACAGCAGATGCGACCCAAGATCCGCTCCTCAAGCTGCCTCTCTCCACATTAACAACCTCATTCTTGATTAGCCAAACCTAGCAAAATCGACAGGGGAAGAATGCATTTGGTGGTACACAGAGGGCTTAATAAAGGGGCCTCATTAGACTGTTCTTGGGCGTATGCTTGCTAGTCATACTGCTGCAGAAGAATTTTGAAGGGCCTTTCTTCTACTATTTATTTTCCCCGGCTTGCCCCTGTCTAATCCTCCCTTGCTCCTCTGTAGCTTTTCATGTTAGTGTCCTAATGGCTGGACATATCTTAGTGAGCAAAGCATCCCTGGCTTCAGGGAGCTTACAGACTGGTGAGGGAGACAACCATTATGCAAATTATCTTAGAAATATATACCTATTGCTATAACCACTACAATAATAAAATGACACTTATGACATCCTATGAAAGGAGAAAAAATTATAAAGGGGAAGTGTAGGACAGTATAAGAGAATATAGCGAGGAAGAGCAAGGGTGCGGAGGGTCAGATTAAAGAAAACATCCCGGGGAAGAAGCATGTGAGTTCAGTTTGAACTAATGAAGGGACTTATTAACATGAAGGGGGCTGGGAGGGATGCAGGAAGAGAACATTCCAGGCAAACTCTCTACAGCTGTCAATCTAAGCTCAGTGGGCACATGGAGGGAATCCCCATGGCTTCCTTCTCATGGTGCTCTGGGTAACAATGTCTTGCCTCCAGGCAACTCAATAGGAAAGAGTAGGAAAGGAAAGGAAAGGGTCACAGCTCAGAATCTCGGAGAAAAGAGGAGGTGGAGGCAGAATGTGTCATGAGGGGAGCAGGGTTCTTGTCGTCATGGTTTACATTTGGTCACTGCTGCTTACTAGCTTTGTGACCTTAGAAAAGTCACTACCAAGATATCAATGTTGTTTTGACAATTCAGTGAGGGAAAAAAAAAGGCTCAATAAGTATTCGTTCCCTTCTTTTACTTCCCGCAGGCTTGCTATGGACTGAATTGTGTCACCCCAAAATTCATGTGTTGAAGCTTTAACCCCTATTACGGCTTTATCAGGAGATAGAGGCGTTCATAGCTAATCCAACTTAAATGAGGTCATAGGATGGGTCCATAATCCAATAGGACTATGGTCTCTTAAGAAAAGGAAGAGAAAGATCTCCCTCTGCCCACCATATGAGGACACAGAAGGGAGGCAGCCATCTGCAAGTCAAGAAGAGAAGCCTCACCAGAATCCAACCACGCTGGCACCCAGATCTCAGACTTCCAGACTCCAGAACTGTGAGAAAATACATTTCTGTTGTTTATGCCACCCAGTCTATGGTATTTTGTTATGGCAGCCCAAGCAAGACTCTACTAGAAAATTCTTCTTACAGATGATAGAGTGCAAATCTTAAATAACATTCAAATAATAAATTAATAAAAGGGTAAGATAGTGAATGGAACCATAAAATATGAGTTGGACTTGTGACTTGATCATTTTCAAGGGGGCGCTGATCTTGATTCATTTGATCTTTGTTCATGGCTACTTCAAAAATAAAGACATTCCCATTTGTGTCAAGATACCGTGGATGCCTTTCTGTGTGACTGAACAAAATATTTTCTCTTTGTTCTTCATTCTTAACATTACATGAAAAATGGAAGGACAATTTGAGTCCTAAGAAAGAAAACCAATAGCAGCAAGCATGGGAGACAAGTACCAAGAGGTGGATAACAAGGGAAAAAAGATGAAATACACTCCTAAAAGGAAAAGGGGGAAAAAAAGTCAAGGCAGAACCCAGGAGCCCTGGCACCTAGTGGTGTCAGCCAATGACACAGATGAAATGGGCAATGGTAGTTGCACATCCCGCTGGAAAATACCACTGTCTCAGCCCATTAGTACTGCTATAACAAAATACCACAGACTAAGTAATTTATAAACAACAGAAATTTATTTCTGACAGTTCTAGAGGCTGGGATATCCAAGATCAAGGTGCCAACAGGTTTAAGGCCTGGTGAGGGCTCTGTCTCTGCTTCCAAGATGGCACCTTGTTGCTAAGTCCTCCAGAGGGACAAATGCTATGTCCACACATGACAGAAGGGTAGAGGGCAAAAAGGGCTTAGCTATCTCCTTCCAGCCCTTGTACAAGGTCATGAATCCCATTCACGAGAGCCCTGCCATTGTGACCTAATGACCTCCTAAATGCTCCACCTCTTAATATTATCACATTGGATCTTAGGTTCCAACGTATGAATTTGTGGGGAAACACGTATATTCAAACCATGGCAACTACTTTATAGTTTCAAAGCCTAAAACATTGCAAAGCACTATCTTGATAAACACCTCATTTGATTCTAACCACAACAAAATGAGGTAAGTGCAATGGGACAGGGATCACATACCCAGTGAGTCAACTGTGTTTTGGAACGTTTAAATGACTCCACAGGGCTCCCTTGGCTGTTAAGTGTTCCAGGCAGTGGCCAAGCCTTGATTTTCTATTTCTAGATCTAGTGTTCTTTCTGAGGCACATGTTAAGATATGCTGTATATGCTGTATACCCTTTCATCTAATCTTGACCTGGATTTCCAAGGTAAAATTTTCTCCATATTCTATCTCATTTCCTGGCCACTATACTCCTCCTTCTCCATCCAAAAGTCACTCAATGGTTTCTTTCAGTCAGAAAATAACACCGAATGGAAAATGAGAATGGAAAGGAGAAGAGAAGCATGTAAATGGGGCTGTGACGACAAAATTTCATCTTAGGATACAATTGCTTTCATCCTGGACAAAATGCTTTCAGAGAGATTACCACATTGTATGACCAAGCAAGGGTTACTATTACGATTTTCATTCTGCAGCTGTGAAAATCAAGACTCAGAAACATTAAGGGCCATGTCCAGTGATAGGTATCTTAAAAGATCGAGAGTCAGATCTCCAGCCCTTGCATCTGCCTCCACCTCCCTACAGTGGACACAGCACTGGCTTGACAGTCGGCTCTTAGGTTCCTGTCCTTCCACTAACTAGCTGTGTGATGCTGGTCAAGTCTTGTAAGCCCTGGGCATCGTTTCTTTCTACTGTCAACCGAAGGGGCTGGGCTGCTTGGTCTCTAAGAACATCCTGTAAAGTAGCTGATAAGAAAGAAATTGCAACTGCTGGTCTTTGAAGACCAGTCAGAGGTGCCCTGATCTCTCCCAGCACAACAATGAGAAGGTGTTCAGCTAATATCACACTTTTAGAAAAAATATTGTCCAGACTCACTGTGCTATTTCCCAAATATGATTTGGGGAGCGAGCCAACAGATAAAGAAGGATATTTATTTTTGTTTGTAATGTCGACGTCTTCTTTCGGGCTCGATCAAACAATCAGGAGATCTGTGTAGGCCACAGCGTCATTGCACGCCGGGGTCCTTGCCCGCTCCCTCTCTCTGCCACCGCTCAAAGCCTGGGAGAACGCTTTTGAAAGCGAATCAGGAAATTACTTATCAATCTGAAGCCCCAAAGAATTATGAATAATCCTCGCTGCCAAAGGGAAGGGGATTTTGAGCAAAAGCTCCACATCTGCGCACACTAGAGTTCAAAGACTCCAGCTGTTGGAAGGTCTTGTGAGCAATGTAAGTAAACAGCCCTCTCTCCATTGATAAACGTCTTCAGGCTTTTTTTCCTTAGAAAGGCGTCTTTTGGCTCATGTTGGTGTTTCTCTCTCTCTCTCTCTCTTTTTTTTTATGATGTTCAGGGGTGTTTACCGACTGGGGCTTAGTCAATAACACAACTCCTCTGGGGGTTGCTTCTGCTGAACAAGAGAGGGAAAGCGAAAGTCGTCAGAATCGGCTTTGCTTGGGAAGGGTTAGTTTTGAAAAGCCCTTCCTTGCCAATTATGCTCCTTCATAGCTATAGATCCATACTCAAGAGGAGTGTGAGGCTGACACCGACACTCGCGGGGGCAAGCAGAAGTGTCTCTGTAACCCTACTCTGAAAAACAGAATTGTCATCGTGTCCATTCCTACATAATTCACATTGAAGGTGCTTTCTTCATTTTGATACACTGTAGGATTTTAGTAGAGGAAAAAGAAAGCATTAAAGTGAATATTGTTCTGTGGAGATTTCCTTATAGTGGCATAAATTCTGTGTTCAATTTAGCATTCATTAAGGGTGTTGATTTATTTACTGTCTATTTTATTATTAAACGAATGTGCTTACCACTCCACTTGGCCATGGGAGGATAATGCAATCATTGCAATATGGAAGCAGAAATATCTAAATTGTGTTGGTAAAACTATGAGTTTGCATTAATAGTAATTCTATAAATGGAATGCATAATTTCATAAATGATGCATTGTACTGGGGTACATTTCTTTTATAAGTATTTCAAATCAAATTGTGGGTAATGACTGGGAAGTAGTTAAAAGAAATACAACAAACTTGAACGGAATCGTTTTGTTTGGATCAGCCTTTGTCCTCAGGAACTTGAATGTCCATTTTGCAAGTCCCTCATCATGAATTCTATGGCTGCAAGGAACATATGTCCCGAGTCCTCACACTCTGTCTTATCATCAGACTATGTATCTCCCAATTTGTTCTGATTCATGATTTCAATAAGACCCCACACCCTCAGCCTGGGTTGTGTTCCCCCAACTCACTGGAAAGCTCCTCCAAAATAAATAATAATTGCCCTTAACTCTAGTTGACATCTGACTTCCTTTCCTCTCTTTGAGTAATTTTGGTGTGTACTTCCACATCCTGTACTGTTAAGACGGGTTTCATTTCCAGTATGTCAGTCATTGTCAGCACACACATAAGCTGCTTCCAAGAGTCGAAAGGCTCTAGGTTACTGTACATTTATAACAGCAATTTTCTATGTAGCCCTTTCTCAAGCAACTCATCTATACTTTTATTCTAAGGTGATCTGTAACCTTTCACCTTTACCTAATAAACAGATAGTATGTGCCTAATGTGCTGAAAGCAATAAAAACCAAATGTGACACAATGTTCCCCTTCTTGTATAAACATGTCTGTAGTTTTTATGCAGCCCAAGTGCACTTTTGTGTTCACGGGCAATAGCTAAATAGGGTTGAACACTGACTGTCTGAGCTGTGCAGTGGACTGCGTAACGAAATAGAAGGATGAAGTTTGTAATGTGAAAGTAAGTTATTCAAATTTGGGGAAATATTTACTGAGCATTTGTCGTGTGCTGGGCCCTTCCTAAACATGCCTTGTGCACTCGTGGGAGCAGCAGGCTCACTAGTAAGGTGTAGAGACTCTGAAGCAGAGTTCCTGGAGACACAAACCAGATTGGCATCTGTGTGAATCTGGGTTGGGTTACTTAACTCCTCTGTGCCTCAGTTCCCTTACAATAAAATAGAGCTCATAACAGCAGGGTTCATGTAAAGTTTGAGAGTTGATATAGACAAAGTATTGTTTTTGTCTCTTTCATATATGAGAAAACCAAGGCTAGCGAGGTTTACTTGCCTACAATTACACAGGTAATGATGGCTGGCAGGGCTGGGATTTGGAAGTAAATGAGTGTTTTAATCATAATAGAGAAAGTCCACATTTTAAACCACAGCCTCCTGCCCTTTTGTTGTTGGATTCTTTCTTCTGCATTCCTTTATCCAGTTCTTACAATGGCCTTCTAAATAAACATTATTGACTGTGATGATTTCAGACGAGTAAACTGAAGCTCAAAGACATGAAGTGACTCATCCAAAGTCACATACCTAGAAATTAGCAGCACTGATGTCTGAACACAGGTTTTCAAATTCCAAGTTTTGTGCATATTTTTTCTTTCTCTTGCCAATCTGTGAATGAATGGGTCAGGCCCACACCTGCCCTTTGGGGAAGAGTGAAATAAATAACAATGCTAATGGTCACCATCAATTAAGCCCTCACTCTGTGCTTGGCACAGAATCTCTTTAATTAAAGTAGGTCCCTGTGCCCCTTTGTTAATAAATTATCTAGATGATTCTGGTATATACTAAAGTTTGACAGTTCTATAATCTGGGACAAAATGGAAATTGTTATATCCAATATGACCTAACCTGAAGAAGGTGAAAAGTCCTGATAGAGATGAGAAATTTGACATTTTCCCCAACTCAAATTTGTGGATTACCCTGTGGTCAGAATCAACACTATTTCAGGGTTATTTCCTATCTTGTTGATACCCCCGTGCTTTCTTCAACTTTTGGCCCATGTCATCTGAACTTTCTATCATCTTTGATTGCATCAGGTTTCAATCATCAGCAGATGGGTGGATTTCTTTCTCTGGTAGGCTTTTCATGGCAAATTTGTGCAACTCAATAGGATTCATCATCAAATTGAAATAAAGCTATAATATCTATGAGAAATTTACTCAGTAAATTTTATACAGAGAAGCACCAGCAACATAGAGTATTTGCTGTGTTGAATATAATATCTTCAAGTTGGTTTCTCTGAAAACTATAGTGCCCAGACAGATATAAGCCAACAGGGGATGCCAAACACAAACTTGGTGTACTGGGAACTTTAGATGCCTGGGAAGAGGTCATGGAAAGGGTGGTGGAGCAGGAAGCATTGAACACTGAAAATCATTTCTTGTGATGTCATGACTTGAAGCAAAATATCCCTGACTTTCAATTCTGGCTTCTCCACTTTCTAACTGCAAGGCTCCAAGCACATCACTTACCTCTTAGTTTATGTAACACACATAAACAACTTAGCACCGCAACTAGCATAATAGATACCTAAGAAACAAGAGTTCCTTTCCTCTTTAGCTCTGGTCCATTCAATCCACAAATTTGCACTGAGGACTTATATGTCCTAAACATTATTTTAGATATAATAGTGAACAAGAGCCAAAGTCCCTGCCTTTGTGGAGCTTGCACTTTACAGGAGACAAACCACAGAATCATAAACCAGAATGTAACTTCAGAAATTGAAAAGTGGTATGAATAAAATAAAACAGAATAACAAGACACAGTGACTAGGTGCCAGGAAGGAGCTAATTCTTTAGCTAACATGGTCAAGGACCACCTCATTAAGGGAGGGGCATTTAGCTCAAAGCTGAATCATAAGAAAGACAAAACGAAACAAAGCCATGATTAAGTAAGCCACTGACTAACCATGGGACACTAGACAAGTCACTGAAGCTCTTTTTAAGCCTGTTTCATCACCTATTAACTGCACAGCTGGAGTAAATCTATGGGGCTTCTCTAGACTCTGCTCAGAAAACTCTGCTTTGGAATTTTCTTTCTCTTTCTTAGTATCATATGCCATAAGTAATTGTATGAAAAGAAGAAAGAAAAAAATCTCTGAACCAAACTATATTACAGTAGCTGTTTCATTCTTTCATTCAATGTTCTGGGCTTTTTCAACATGTTCTTCCTCATCACAGACAAACTAGTATGTCCTAAGTGAATGAAGATTAATTAACAATTTTTTTAAAAGCTCATATCATCACAATTCCTAGGGATTACATTGTTGGAGGAGATAAGAACCACCACATGGCAGATTTTTAGGAATTAATTGTGAGGCTTCACAATTACTTCCTGTGTGGCTTCAAGTCTGAAATTGTGCATATGTTAGTGGAGTCAACGTCCAAAGCTGCCAGAAGTCAGTCAATCCAACACTCTATTAGCCAAGAACTAATAGAGTGTACAGCTTTTAAAAACAATCCAGGGTCTGAAATGTTCCTTTTCTTAAAATGGCACAGCAGATCACTTGGGTCTAAGTTAGTGGCCTACTCAAAATGAAGATCACCATTCAGAGAACTTGCACCAGAGAAGTAAACTTTGTCTTTCAATTAGCCTAATAATTGTGGCCAAATCCTTGGCTGTAACAATCCAAATGATTGTCTCATTACTCCATTTTGTCTTTGTCACCATAGTGACCTCAATGCAACCTAGAATGAGTATTTGGTGTGTATAGCAAAATAGAATATATGGGTCAATATTTTCAATTTTCAAGTACTGTTATTTTTTGCTTACTTTATAAAACTGCAATTCCCCAGAATGCAAAGCACATTTTTTTAATATAATTTTTTTGTAAACAAGTTCCCGAGTTAAGATTCAAGGACTGAAAAATAAGAGTAAAGAGGATGGGATTAGGAAATTGGAGTTAATTTGCCTGTAGTGAAGAAAGTTATGGAGCAATTCATGATGCTTCTTGGGATCCGACACAATTTCAACCAGAGAATAGTGGTAAGTTGTTGTCCAGTCGACAGAGAAGGGGAAAAAAGAACTGCTTTCGAACACTTACTTTTATGACAAATAATATTCCCAACATTTTACATATATTAGCTCTGAACCATAACTTCAGGGATTATAGTGTAGCTATTACTTTGCTTATTTTACAGATAAGGAAATGAAGCTTAGTGATGTTAAATAACAAGGAAGTTCATCAACTAGCAAGCAGCAAAGCCGCAAGTCAACCCAGGACTGCTGGACTCCACAACCTGCTAACTTTCCACTCTGTCACTCTGCTTTAGAAAAATAAGGGGCTTTTTTTTAACCCACATGCAATACAAATTCTATTTCAGCAAAGGAAGAATTTACTACGAGTTTTTAAATGTTGACATGGTCTCCTTAGGGAAGAGGCTGTGGAATTGTCTTCTTTGGAGGTCTATTAAAACCAGATCAGTTATCATATATGTCTGGTATGACTTCAGTGTGGTCCTTCCCCAAGGTGAAAAGAGACAAAATGATTCCTCAAGTTCCTTTCTAAACTTTCCAATCAAAGGCCAAGTCTACATCCATGCAAGGCAAAATGGTGGGGACATGTTGAGTCCAGCTGTCCTATTCTTCTTCCCCTAACCCAGGCCGATTACGTTGGTTGAAGTGATGTCCAGATTGTCTGGAAGGGCCACAGTTGCTTGGATCATACCATGTGGGCCATTCTTCCATAACCAGGGAGTGGACCCAACTCTGTTGCAGTTAATGCCCAACAAAATGAATATCTTTCCAATGAATCTGTTGTCTAATTCAAAGGCTATACTTTCAGTGTTTGCAAACTACAAATTGGGACAAAAGCTGGCATGAAAATTGAACTGTGTTAGAAAATAGGAATACCTTTTAAAATTCTGGCTATTAAGTGTATCAGCTAGGATTGTATTTGTAAGTATCAGAAAACCCAGTTCCTTTATTATGCAGGAGGTTTATTTTTCTCACACAACAAGAAGCCCAGAGGAAGGTCTAAGAATGCTGTAGCTATCCAAGGATGCCACTAGGAAACCAGTGTCCTTCTCTATTCCTTCTCACTAATGCTAGCATGGGCTTTTATTTTTATGGTGGCAATATAGCTGCTGCACCTCCAGGTATCGAGTTCATATTCTATGGAGGAAAACAAAAGCCTTTTCCTTGTCAAACTTTGCCTTTTAATTTCAGAAGGGAAGCCTTCCTCCAAGACTTTCCATGTGCATTTTATTGGTGAAACTGTGTAAGTAATAGGGTTACCCCTAGCTGCAAGGGAATCTGGAAGTCTGCGTATTCTGCTTTCCAGTCTTTCATTTAAAAAAGGTATGGGGAGGCCAGGCACAGTGGCTCACATCTGTAATCCCAGCACTTTGGGAGGCCAAGACAAGTGGATCACTTGAGGCCAGGCGTTTGAGACAAGCCTGGCCAATGTGGTGAAACCCCATTTCTACTGAAAATATGAAAATTAGCCAGGCATGGTGGCAGACACCTCTAATCCCAGCTACTGGGGAGGCTGAGGCAGGAGAATCGCTTGAACCTGGTGGGTGGAGGTTGCAATGAGCCAAGATCACACCACTACACTCCAGCCTGGGCAACAGAGTGAGACTCTGTCTCAAGAAAAAGAAAGAAAAAGAAAAAAAGGTAGAGGGAGAAGTGAATTGGGTTGGGTCTTGAGTGACTCAACAAACCATACTTGTCAAAATATGCCATAAATTCCTATTTCTGAAAACAATAAATATAGAATTTAATATATAAATTGGACTATATTACATAAACATTTACTAGCTGTATCTCTTTTAATATTTAAAAATTATTGGCCAGGCACGGTGGCTCACACCTGTAATGCCAGCACTTTGGGAGGCTGAGGGAGGTGGATCACGAGGTCAGAAGATCAAGACAATCCTGGCTAACACAGTGAAACCCTGTCTCTACCAAAAATACAAAAAATTAGCCAGGCATGGTGGTGGGTGCCTGTAGTCCCAGCTACTCGGGAGGCTGAGGCAGGAGAATGTCGTGAACCTGGGAGGCAGAGCTTGCTGTGAGCAGAGCAGAGATGGCGCCACTGCACTCAAGCCTGGGCAACAGTGTGAGACTCCATCTCAAAAAAAAAAAAAAATTGTGAACATGGAAATATTTTCTTAAAAAGTGAAAAGGGGAAGATAGGAACAAAATTCTTCCTGAAGTAGATAAAATGGGAAAAACATGAGTTTGGGTGCACATATCAAAGTCTGAATTCCAGCTGTGCACTTAATTAGGTATGGGACGTCTCTGGACTACAGGTTCTTCATATTTAAAATAAGAGCAATAGTAGCTACCCATAGAATTTCTTTATAAATAAATAAGATATATAAATTGTTTATATGCCGTATAAAGAGGCTAGCATGAACTAGACATTCAGGAAATGGTAATTCTCTTCTCCCTTGCTTTGCACCTTTTATTCAGCAAGTGCATAATGGAACGCAACTTCATGGAACCCAACTCAGACAGGATTGACAGTTGAAGAACCAACTCTTTAATTGTGAGAAATTAAAACAAATCTACTGAATGGTGTGTAGCCTTTCTCTATCAGTGCATGCCAAGATTCTTTCATTTGGGGCTTCATCACATTATCTTAGCAAACCAGACAAAAATGTCTAAGCAATTTCATTTTCCAAGCTGCATCGTATGTTTCAAAGTGCCATCTGTTTGTAACTTGTTACAAAATAGAGTCAACAGAGCCATTTGGTGACATTTTAAAAAGTGACTTCAGTGTTTGTTTCCAAGGGATATAATTCCCAGAATTTGTGCAATTTGTTCTGTGTCGCTGTGATGTGAAATAAAGCCTTCACAGAGGCTCTCAGCTGTTTCAATACATTATCCTCATCTTAACCCGTGAAGCCAGGTTTCAAATGTGGTTTTCTTTCCATTTTAATTATCTCCCCATGTCACTGTGACCTTTCCAGTCAAAGATTTAAAGCTTGTCACCTCATAGTCACCATTGCAAAATTAAAAAGAGGAAAATCACAAACAAAAAAAAGAGCCTACAGATTTGCATAGCCAAAATCTATTCATTAGCCAAAAACTCATTTCTGCAAGATGATAAAGCAAAAAAAAAAAAATTCTAGAACACAATTCAAAGCCGTGGGTTCTTGTTCACGAATGAATGCTGCAACCTTCAGCAAACTACCATTTAACCTTATTCTCTCTCTTTCCTTACCTGGAAAAAAGAATTAACATACCTGTCCCACCCATCTCACCTGGTCAATATGTAGATTGTTGAGATAATGCATTAGAAGCCCCATTCAAAACAATGCATGATATACTCAGGCCTATTTTGGTATTTCCTATCTATTGTAGTACAGTTTGCATCATATTGTTACACATGATGAATCCCATACCCTTCTCAAACTCCCATCTGATTTGTCTCCTTATTTTTACAGCCAGACTTTCTTAAAAAAAGCCACTGCTCTTGCTTCACTGTTTCCCTTCCATACTGTTAATCTAACCTTAGTTGATTCTTCCTGGATCCTACTTGATTCCAGCTGTTCGGACTAAGTATCCAGCTCTCGGCAGGCTCACCACATTTCCTGGCCCAAGTGCCGCCAAAGTCATTACATGTTCATTGAACAAATACTTATTAGTGCTTACCAAATCGGAGGTGATCAAAACAGACAAAAATCCCTGCCCTCTTACAGAAAACATTTTATTTCTCCAGACTTAGGAGCCTAAGCATGCTGATAAGGACACTCAAATGTCAACAATCCAACGTCATGCCCTCTCCTCTCACTGAGCAACTTCACCTAAGCCTTTCTTGATGTCTCTGTGCTGTACCCACATGTACTCAGGAACTCCAAGGCAGCAGACACTATGCAAACCATGGACCCTAATGTTGTCCTTCTTGGCAATGGTAATATTTGTGTGACAAATGCAATCTCTTATCTTCCCCCAATCCCCCCAAATGATAATTTTCATGCAGCCAGAGTGTTGCTAGGTTCAGGGCAGAGGGAGGTAGAGAGAAAGCCACTTCCCTATGTTGATTCACATGGCCCCCAAAATGGTTACGCTAATACCAACAGACTTAAGCCTTTCCTAGAAATGCCCTCCTGAAAAATTTTCCTGGAAGCATTCCTTTCAGTATCTGATACAACTCTCTCCATAAAGGCTCAAAACCAGTCACTAGGCAGAAAACAAAAACAATTTATATCCTCCATTGTCCGGTACTTGTGCATACTCATCCCACACACCTTTCACTTGCAATGGCCAATCTCCAACTCCTAGCTGGCCTTAGCCAGAACACTGTAGAAACCAATGAAATTTAGGAAATTTACCTAAGGCTTTGTACCTTCAAATTGTTATTGTTCAGAAATAGTCATTCCCACCTACTCCCAACCACAGAATACTAGGCACAGTTGAATGCTTTCAGGTAGCAACGTCTGTAGTATCTTTGGAAAGGGCTGATTTGCTTTCTTCACCCCTTGCTAGTCTTGAAACATGCCTTTAACCTGCCAGGTCCACCTTCCTTGGAAGGACAGAGATGCATGGTGTTAGAGGTGGCTATGGGAGCCAAGTCAAGGTTATTTCAGAATGGACAAAAATTGAACATTTGTGTAGGTTAAAAGCAACCAGCCAGTGGTAGAAATGGAGGCTATCAGAGAATGAGAGAAGGTAGTTAGACCAGGTAATCTTGGAGAGGAAAGAGATGGATCAAAACAACCACCCAGGTGGAGGACTTGGTCTTGAACAAGCATGGATCCTGACTCACAGCTGTGTCCACTGAGGCAGGTGAGAAGCAAGTGAAGATGGGTAGGAATTTGAATAAATTGGGGATAGTAGGGAAATTGAGATGACTATGATAATGTTTTTCTCTAGGAGGTTGAACCTGGGATCATTGCTTAAGATAAAGACAGTGAGCTGATTAAATGAGTGCTGAGAGCTCCCAGGCCAGTGCTTGTCATAGAGTAAGCACTAGAAAGGAAGTATATATTCACTTCTGTCCTCCTTGACAGATTGAAATGATAGCAATTGTTTATTTACAAAGGATCTCATCTAAAAACAGCCCATGACACCATGCATATATTTTGCCTTTCAAGTGAAACACAAATACAGCTTTTTTTTTTATTTTAAACCCTAAACTATAATGACTTCTCTAAGCTCATCTCAGCTTTGAAAATAACTTGGCCCAGGTATATACTATTTGAGAAGACCTCTGACCACACATATTCTCTTTCTATGACCCCTGAGTCTAGAGAATGTTCTGGAGCCTCACCAGCAAAGAGGTGTGTGCAGGAAGAAAACTGAATTCCGGAGCTTTTCTGTTCAGTGTTATAGAAATGGTTCAAGACATGACAAATGAAAGGGAGTTAATCTAAACCATAGACCATTTTTATACTTGGCCTGTGAAACTTTTTGTAAGCATAAACTTTACTGGGCCAGATCAGGCTCTTATCTCCAAATGTTTCCGATTTTGACTGTCTTCCTTTAATTATTTGAAATCATAAGGGTTGGTTTGGGGAGGCAGCTGGCAGGCAGACCAGAGCAAGTAGTGGCCTCCGGGGAGTGGGGTTGCAGGATTCTCTTCCACCTTGCCCTATCAGCCCTCACCAGCACCATAGCAGGGAGAAGCAAGAGCAGGATTGGACAGACCCAGGATCAGCCAGTGTTTCAGGGCTCCCAAGAAGGGCATTCTCTTGTGAGAACAAGGGTTAGGAGCTTGCGATTTCTTGAACACTGGTTCTCTCCTTCTCTTTCTCTCTTTTTCTGTCTGTCTTCCCAAGCTCTTGTAAATAAGTACTGGTCTCTTTGACTTGTTTTTTAGGAATTCTAGTTACCCGCAAGACCAGCACAGTAACAGAGAGGCAGAACTAAGCGCTCACCAAGTACCTGGCACTATTGTGGGTGCTTGGGACAGAGCTGTGATCAAAACAGACAAAGTCCCTCCCTTTAGCCCCTTAGAGTCCACTTGAGGGGTGACAGACAAAGAAAACACAAAGACGTACATGTCAGAAGGACCACAGAAAAGGAAGTGACATAGAGACAGAAAAGTGTAGACAGGTGGGTCAGATAAGGCTGGGAGCCATGGGAAGCCAATGTTGGAGCAGAGATATAAGCCACATCAGCCTCTGGGAGAACAGCATTCTCAGCTGAGGAGTGACAAGGAGGACAGAAGGCAGGATGGACTGTGCTTGGTTTGTTTCAGGAACAACAAAGATGCCAGGGTGGCTGGAAAGGATCCCATGAGGCAGAGACTTGAGGTCAGAAGGCAGTGGGAGGGGGATCATCTAAGGTCTTGAAAACACTTTGAGATCTATCCTGGGAGAGGTGGGAAGCTACTGCAGGGTTTTCAACAGAAGAGTGACTGACAGATCTGAAAGTCCACTCCGATCTGAAAGTCCACTCCGATTGCTATTTGGAAAATGCACTGTCAGCAGGCAAGGCAAGGTGGATTATACTATCCCCACTCCAGTTCTCAGTACCCTGGCTGGGCAATTTCAACAAGAGCGGGCTCGCTTGGTGAAGAATTCACAGGTAAAAATAAAATAGACACACACCGAAAGTTTAACAACCACCTTCATTACGGCTTATATATTACATTAGATTACTCTGTTTGAAGACAGACAAATCACATCATAACACGATAATAAAATGAAATTAATTTCACTAAGGACAGTTCTATTTGTAGCATTTTGTTTCGCCAGCCAGAAAAACTCAAATACCAGACTGTTATGCTCAAAAACCAGACCTGGAAGCCAAAACCAAAAGCTGTCTATTCTCCTTCCTTTTCCTTGGACCTGCCTCTCCTGGCAGAGTGCTGTCCCTCAGAGAGCAGGGAGGATGTCCGCATCCCAGCCCGGCTCCACAGGGTTCTGGGCTCCTACTCAGGAGTTTGTGGCCAAAGCTCCAGATGGCACACACTGTTCCTTTCCCTGGCCTTGTCTCTCATGCATGGAGCTTTTGAGGGGACCATGGAGGAGGCTAGTACAGAAACTAGCTCATTGAAGTCTTAGATACAAGAGGTCATGGGTCCCAACCAAATATTATTTGTCAACATTTATGGCTTTTATTTCATTTTTTCATCCAACAAATGCAGGTCCCTAATAGGCACCAGACACTGTTCTGGTTGCTCAGCACTCAGCAACGAAAAGTGCAGACAAAAATACCTGCCCTCGTGGAGCTTATATTTTATGGGGAAGACAGATGATAAAAAAAGAAATACATAAAACACGTGTACCTTAGATGACCATACAAGTCATGGAGAAAACAAAGAAAAGGGGGTGTGGAATGGTTTGGTCTGCAATTTTAAAGAGAGTGGTCAAAAGAGGCTTCATGGGCAAAGTGAAATTTGAGTATAAATCTGGAAGAGGTGGAAGAGCAAGACGATGCTATAGATGGGTATAGGTGGAGTCATAGCCACACACATCTGAGGGAAAGGCTTTCTAGGCAGGAAGAACAGTGTGTGAAAATGTCCCATGGCAGGAGCATGCACAGCAGGCTTGAGGAGTGGCACAGAGATAGGGTGGCCAGAGTTGAAGAAGTAGAATATGATGTAGACTGGTTGGGAGAGGCAGGCCACGGAAGGCCTCCTGGCTCACTCTAAGCCTTTAGCTTTTATTCAGAGTAAGAAGGGAAGCCATTAGAGAGTCCTACCAGGAGGGCTCTGTCTGCTGAGTGGCTTCTACAAGGGCAGGAGCAGGAAAACCAGATAGCGACTGTTTCAATCATTCAGGCAGAAGACAGCGTTGAAAGGAAGGAAGGTGGCAGCAGTAGGTATGGGGAGAAATGCTGAGACACTTGAGGTGATGTTTATGGGAAACCAAAGGATTTGTTAATGTACAATTTGCAGGAAAAGGAGAATCAAAGGGGACTCCAAGTTATTTGGCCTGAGCATCCGAAAGAATTTGCTACCAATTATTGAGACGAGGAAGTGTGTGGGGGACAGGTTGAGAGAGAGCAAGAGAAGGTGCTGGATGAGCTGGGTTCATGAAGCCAATCAGACATGCATGTGGAGGTGTCTAGCAGGTAGCTGAATGTGAGTGTGGCATTCAGGAGGGAGGTCTGGGCTAGAAATAGACATTACAAGCCATGTGGCTAGACAAGATCACCAAGGGAGAGTGCAGGTGGAGAAGTAAAGGTATTCCAAGATTGAACCTAGGCTTCCAATATTTGCCAGATTCAGAAGAGAAAGAGGATCTGGAAAAAAGGGCAATGAGGAGTCTGAGGGGCAAGAGGAAAACCAAGAGACAGTGGTTTCTGAAGGACAAGAGAAGAAAGAGGGAGAAGCAAGGGGGATTCCAGTGACTAGTGGGACAGAAGCCTGATGGGGTGGCTTTCAGAAAGAATGAGAGGAATGCAATTGTAGAGAGTGAATAGAAATCCTTTATTCAAGGACTTTGAGATGAAAGGGAACAGTGAAATAAGGTAGTGTCTGAAAAGAGAAGTGGTAGTATATACAGTAATATCTATGCTATAAACAGTAATATATATCACTGCATATATTTAATTTACATATCTAATTTTACATACACGACTAGATTACTATATCTGTATATATTACATATATATAGATATACAGATATATACATTATCCTTCAAAGAGAAGGAAATGTATGCAGGACAGAGAGGAGAACTGCTCTAGTGATGTCATGAAGTAAGGGAGAAGAGGAGAGAAGATGGTATCCAGGGCACAGGTGCAAGGTTGACCTTGGACGGAGGCACTAACCATTCATTCTTACTGAAGAGGAAAGGCCAAACACACCAGCATTATGCAATGTAAAAGGCATATCTATGCAGTGGTGGGAGATTGTATATCTTCTGATTACTTCTCTTTTCTCAATAAAATGGGAAATAAAGCCATTCATTGAAAGTAACCAGGAGAGAAGAGGTGCCAGAGGTTTAAAGATAGAGAAGAAGATATGAAATGGTTATAAAGGAGAGTTGGATGTAAAGAAATATGAGAATGTAGTATCATTGATATGCAACATTAATTAAGGACTATTTTGAGGTGAACCATCATATGTTGAGATGGAGAGCAGTCGACATGCTTGTGTGTTTTCCTCCCGTCCATCCAGCCAGAATGGTGGATTAGCCAAATAAGTTACAACATAAAGAGGGGCCAAGGAGTCAAGTATGTGTTCAGAGAGCAATTAGACTCTAAGCAGAGTAAGGACAGAGGTGAACATGAATAAGGTACAAATTAAAGGTACAGTGTGCAAGTGAAGTCAAGGAGTCATGGGATTTGGGATACACATGAACAGAAAGGATAGAAATGGTGGCAGGACAGTGGGGAGCTTGAATTTGAATTTGTGAAGGTGCTGTAGTTATTGGTAATGACAAGGTCAATGATATGATCATGTAGGTAAGAGGCTGTGGTGGAGAGGAAGACAAGACCGTTGGAAGAAAAAAGGTTCAGGAACTGTGAGACCAGGATATGTGATGAGTCTTCCAAGTAGACACTGAAATCACTGAGAGTTATGACAGTAATGTTGGAGAAAGTGACAGGGGATCAGGAGCTGAAATCTCCAAGAAATGAGGAAGGTGGTATAATTAGTAGATGGCATCATCCAGGAGGACTAGTGAGTGGTGTAGACAGAGGACATGAGATTCACCTCTGGAGGATGGATGGTCTGGAAAGAGCAAGGAGGAGCAGGGAGGTCACCCATATCACCTCCAGGCTCAGTGAAATGAGGAATGAAGGGTTGAAAACAGCCTCCACCTGGTGGGGTGCAGGAGAGGAGGTGTCCTCAGGGGAGAGCAAAGCTTCAGTCAGGACAAGAAGGTAAAGGACATTCAGAGGGATGGTGAGGATACAGGGGACTTTGCTGATGAGCGGCCTTGAGTTTTAAGGGGCAGTAGGGATGGCCTTCTGAAATCAGGAAGGGGTTGGAGATAAGCCAGGAAGTAGCCATAGGAGATGAAAGTCCACAGGATGAACAGTGACCAGGGGAGTTTTGAAGAGCATGAACTGGGGAGAAGGGTGTGATGAGAGCCCCCAGTGGCCTAAAGGCAGGGCATGCTGGTGAGGCTGTAAGTGGGAGGCAGGAGTGAGTTGGGGTCTACACAAACCATGACAGGTCTGTGGCTTCTCTTCACTCCTGTGCATGATGATTGGAGGTAGGAAAATGAGGAGTCTTTTTATTTTTTTAGATGGAATTTTGCTCTTGTTGCCCAAGCTGGAGTACAACGGTGCCATCACGTCTCACTTCAACCTCCGTCTCCCAGGTTCAAGCGATTCTCCTGCCTCAGCTTCCCAAGTAGCTGGGATTACAGGTGCACACCACCACACCCGGCTAATTTTGTATTTTTAGTAGAGACAGGGTTTCACCATGTTGGTCAGGCTGGTCTCAAACTCCTGACCTCACGTGATCCACCTACCTCGGCCTCCCAAAGTGCTCGGATTACAGGTGTGAGCCACCTCACCCAGCCCAAAATGAGAAGTCTTGTGTGGAGCACCCAGAAATCTCTAGGGTGCCTTCCTTGATCCCCTAGAGATTTTCATAAACTGTCTTGAGAGGCACAGGTGCATTGGTAACACTGGATTATAAAATGTGAGTAGGTCAGGGGGCAGGAAATGAGGCTCACACCGTCAGCAGGGCAGGTTATGGAGAACTGTGCATCGTGTTAAAGACTTCTTCATTAATCCCACAAATCAGGGTTATTAGTCTGTGATGTGAGAGAGGTCCTTTGATATTATGAAGATTATGGACTCTCTTCTACTCCCACATAATCCTACACAACCATTATGCCTATAATTTCAGGGAAGGGAGGAATTTGTCCGCTGTATACAAGACTATTCAACCAGAGAAACAGATGAGTAGGAAATATATATTAAGAGGCATATTGCAGGGATTCGGATTATGCAGATGTAGGGGCTGGCTACAAGTCTAAAATCTGTAGGGGAGTCCTCCAGGAAGGGTAGGCTGGAACACTAAGGAAGGAGCTGATGCTTCGGTCCACAGGAAAGCCACAGCTCTGCTCTTCAATCCTTTCGACTGATTGAATTGAGGCACCTAAATTATCTAGGAAAACTTTACTTACCATCAACAGATTATTGAATTTAACCACATCTACAAAATGTCTTTACAGCAAAACCCAGAGTGTTTGATGAATAACTAGGGACTGAAGCCTAGCCAAGTTAATGCAAAAAACTGACCATGAAATCAGTGTATTTCCTAAAACCTACAGATCTATGGCTGGGAGTTCCTTTTGTGAGCAGAGGAGGAGCCCATGAAACATTAAGGAAGAAAAGCGAGATGGTCCACCTTGCATTTCAGAAAGATCAGATCTTCAAGATTAGGTGGTAAGAAATCTTAGTAAAGAATCTGAACAAACAATACTAAAAATAAAATACAACTTTCTCCAGTGCAAATCCATGTGAATTACAGCTGGTCTCAGTGGAAAATAAAGCAAGCTGGGAAGAACCCCAAAGAAAATTTATTCCAGACTTCCCTGAACACTCAGGAAAGGAATTATTAGTCCAATGTGCAAGAACTTTTAAAGTAATAGATCAAAACTCCCAATAACGTTCTAATCTTCCACTGAATTCATGGTTAATGAATTGACGATGGGCACCTAATCAGTGCCAGCTTGCTCATGAAAACAGAAAAAAAAATAATTAGCCATAGTTCCTGCCACCTCCCACTCTCCCAAAGAGACAGTCTATCTGGGGACTCCATCGGTTAGCACTCTTTCAATTGAAAGCAATGGAACACCCAACTCAAAATGCCTCAAAGCAAGAAAATGGGGAAGGGTGCTTTTGAATGCACATAATTAAAGTCTGGGGGTAGATCTTCTGACTTCATGTTGTGTTGAATCCAGGTGCTCTAAGCATACGGTCTGAACTCTGTCTCCACATCTCTCAGTTCTGCTTGTCTCTGAGGTGGTATGACTGTTGTATGTATGTTGTAACGAGAGACAGTATCACCAGCAACTCCAGGTCTACACCCTAGTAGCTCAGCAATCCCAGTAGAGAAGACTCCTGGACTCCCAGGGTTGAGTAGACTCCTACAGTCCAGTCTCAGTGGACTCACTTAAGTCACCTGCCCTCCCATGAATTAATCACTCTAACTTGAGCCACGGAATATCCTGAAGATGCTGGAGCATGGGTGGGGAGACCCCACCTGAACTGTACGTTTTGAGAGAAGGAGAAGAAAAGGTCTCCAAAGGAAAATTAAGAGGCTATTTCCAAAGAGGGAATTGAGTGTTGGGTAAACAACAAAAGTCAGTGCCCTTTTTTGGGTCATCACCCCTCAAGCCCCAGTGACCAATGCAAACCAGCACAGATCTGAGAATTCCACTGGGCATCCTGCCCTAATGCGAGTCCCAGTGCCCTATCTCCAAAGGGGGAGTAAAAACAACACTTGTTATTAACGTGTTTGTGTCTCCCAGCAACAATATGTATTATTAAAAATCAAAGGAGATAACATATACAATTATGCCTTATAAATAATAAACATTGCATACAGATAAGGTATGATGAAAGCTTTATCAATGGGGTGGGACTTCAGTTTGTGATGAGAAGGAAAAGGAGGAAAAGGGACAACAAGCAGGAAGAAGCACCACTATTTGGGCAGTTAAGAAGGGGAAATTTGAACACAGGTCCAAAACCCATGTTCTTTCAATTTGGCATTACAACGTGGGTCTTATGAATACAGACAGGCAGTGAGAGAGAGAGAGGAAGGGAGTGGGGAAAGCATTCCTGAGTGCCCAGGTCCTCAGCCTGGATTTAGTTTCAGCAATAGTTAGCCAGCTGAAAGTTTAACTTAAGCTGTGGACTGAGGGATATTAATTAGAATGAATTTGTTAGAGAATGTTTTAGCCAGGACAAAAAGAACTGAACATTTTAGGAATGTGCCATAGACACCAAGCTGAATTTAAATGCTCTTCTGTCTGAATTCCTAAACCCTCCATTCATCCAGGTATCGAGAAAAGAGACTCCATTTCTTGCCAGAAGACTGGGCTTGCACATTCATCAGATCCATGATTCACACCTGTGTATATATCTAGGGGGCGCTTACTTAAATCACCTCATTCATTTTCCACCACAGCCTTCTCAGTGGATACAGCGTCCTCGCAGAACCAAGGTACACACACAATGGAGTGTTAACTGCCAGTGTGTGAACCAAACCTCTCACCCCAAGCCCGGTGCCCCTTCAGCCCCATCACAGGCACCTGTGCAGGGAAGCAGCCCTCACCCAAAGACACTAGCCCTGCCTTCCACATTCCAAGAAGCCCTGAGGCACATTCACATCTGCCTGGGCCCCAGCTCAGCCTCTCCAGGGAGGACCTGGTACAGCCCAACTTCCTCACTTCTCTTTGCGTGGAATGATGCCAAGCATCTCTCAGGCACCGGCAGAAGGAGCAGAGGGTGTGATGTGGGTGGCATTTGGGCCAGGCATTCCGTGTGAGTCTGTTTTGCCTCCCTGTGGGCCTATTTCCTTTCTCCCTCACCTAGCAAAAAACACCAATAATTATGATATAGAAAGGGGCAACATGGGATTTTCAAAAGACATTTGAGTGAAATGAAAATGTACAGGTGAGAGTAACCGGGAAAACAGGTGAATGCCACCTGGGAGTTTGCTATCCTCCAACAAGAAAATCACCATCATGACTGCAATAAAAGCCCAGGAACAGAGACCCTGAGCTGGTCTGGGAGACACACTCTGATATAATTTGACTGTGTCCCCACCCAAATCTCATCTTGAATTGTAGCTCCCAAAATTTCCACGTGTTGTGGAAGGGACCTGGTGGGACATAACTGAATCATGGGGGTGGTTCCCCCCATACTGTTCTTATGGTAGTGAATAAATCTCATGAGATCTGATGGTTTTATAAGGGGAAATCTCTTTCGCTTGGCCCTCTTTTCTGTCTTGTCTGCCGCCATGTAAGACATGCCTTTTGCCTTCCACCATGATTGTGAGGCCTCCCTAGCCATGTGGAAATGTGAGTCCATTAAGCCTCTTTTTCTTTATAAATTACCCAGTTTCAGGTATGTCTTATCAGCAGCATGAAAACAGACTAGTTTCCCTCTAGCTGGAAACAACGTGGGTCCCACACTCTTCTGCAGGCCATTCTGCAGGACTCTTCCACTGTGGTAAGAACCTACAGGCCCCAGGCTGCTAAATCTTAGAAGGAGGCCCCCAGGAAAGCTTAATCACACTAGAAGCCAAAGGTTCTCAACCCTGCCCTTTCTCAGAATCATCTGGGATCACATTAAAACGCAGACTCTCGAGCCCAACACCCAAAGATCTTTATTCTGGAAATGTGAAGTAGGGCTTGGGCATCTTTGCCTTTAACAGGCTTCCCTGGAAATTCTGAGGACCAATGGATTTGATCATCACTAATCCAGGTAGCTTCCTTGCTGTGTGACCTGGGGTAAGGGAGTTCACCTCTCTAAGCCTGTTTCCTCAACTTTAAAATAAGGCAAACCCACCTCTTCCACAGGGTA
Organism: Homo sapiens; assembly: GCF_000001405.40. NCBI lineage: Eukaryota > Metazoa > Chordata > Mammalia > Primates > Hominidae > Homo > Homo sapiens. The sequence continues at coordinate 15,393,740 of NC_000004.12, forward strand.
GTTGTGACAACTAGACGCCATGAGAGCACTAGCACCAAGACAGGGCTACTCACTCATTCACATGTTTGTTGAGGCCTACTATGTGCTGGGCCCTTTCTGGATACAAGAGACACAGCAGTGAACCAGACAGAAACTCTGTTCCCACACAAGCCTTCCTTTCTAATGAGGATAGACAGATAAGAAACCAGTAACCATTTCCTACATCGTATAGTGACTGCATTAAGGGGGAAGTAAGGGCAGAGGGGGTGTGTAGGGCCAAGGCAGGAGGGCTCTATTTCATATAGCAGGGAAGGGAAAGGCTCACAGATACATGAAGTTTGAGCAGAACCCTGAAGGAGATGAGTGAGAGAATGAGCCTGTGAAGGTCTAAAGTGTAAACATTCCAGGCTGAAGGAAAGTCCCATGCAAAGGCCCTGAAGTGGGAGCATGTTTGGAACACTTGAGGAAAGTACGTAAGGTAAATGTGGTTGGGGCAGAGGTGCAAGGGATGATAAGAGGAGCTGAAGTTGGGGTGAAACCCAAGGGCAGATTGTATAGGCTTTGCCAGCCTTCTACATGGAGAGTGAGCTCTCAAGAAACAGTGGCTAAATCCAAGACAACCAAAATGTGCCCAGTAGGGGAATGCCCAGATAACTTACAATCAGCTCATACTGCAGAATGCTAGGCAGAGAAAGGTATTCACCACATATTGTTTAGTGAAAAGAGCATGTTGCAGAAAATAGGTATGTTTGGATTCCATTTCAAAAACAAATTCATCCTCATATGTGTACATGTTTGTGCAGAGTCTCAAAAAGGTGGAAGAATGCACACACAAAAGTTTGAACAGTGGGAATCCTTGAGGAATTGGGTTCAAAGGAAGGGATCTGTGTGTGGGGACTCCCACATTTTACTTTGTGTAATTCTATATCATTTTTGGTTTTACGACAAACATATTTTTTATAATTTTCAAAAATTACAAACATGTGTTGGATTCCGATGGAACTAGACTCTCTACTCTTCACATTTTGGGGATCACAGGAGAGATGATGGTGGGTATCAGAAGGTCTTGAACCATAAGGCCTGGCCCTGGTACTTTTTTACCTAAGGCATCCCCAAGTGCCTTAGGATAGATATCGGCACCCAAGGGGATTCTCATTATTAAAGACAATTTGAACACCTCAACTGTTTCCCAAAAGAACTTGAGTAGGACTGTCTTAAAATGTACCTGTGGGATTTTAATTTATGGAGGTGATTCAGTGACAACACAAACAGACTAATGCCATTGAAAGAGAAGTTTTATAACTTATATTTCCCAAGAGGAGGGGGCACACCATGCCACACAGGGCCACATGGGAAAGAGCCTGGCTGGTCAGGGGGCAGAAGGGAGAGAAGAGAGAGCCTGGGCCAGAGCCTTCACTGTGTTTTCCATGGGAAAAGCAAGACAGGGCAGGATAAACAGCTTAGGACTGGCTACTTGGAATAAGTCTGATGGCTTTGGAGCATAGGGACTGTCCCTAGTTGTCTGGTGCCTGGCCCTGGGGTGATTTAGGGAAGAGGGAATATTGGCTCCATGTGTAAGAATTCCATAAAAGAGATGGTGGGGGGCGTGGACTCTGGATTGGTGTTTTTGCATTTAAAAAAAGAGTGCTCTTGGGCAAGCCCCCTTGCTTTCTGTAAGAACTGGCTATGCCTGGGAGGTGCAGTCTCTCCCCAGTCAAATGCCAGAGCATCAGGAACACAGAAAACAAGAAAAGATAGTTAATACAACTGGCCCTGTGATGAATGGATGCCAAATAGACACAGACTCTAAGAAAACAAAGCTGTTACAACCACAACCCAGTTAAAAGAGGCCAGTATACTCAGACTCGTAACTCAGACATTCTCTACCAGGAGGCATGATGGGCTGGGAGCTGGGGGATAGTGAGAAAATAGAGAAAGGCAGGGCCGAGGGAGGGTCCATTGTTCAAATGACACCGAAAAAACAGCAGAAAATTGTAAGACCTACTCTGTGCTGAGAAAATACAGGGCACCTTAGATATATTGTCTCTAACAATCAAACCCTTTGAAACACATATTAGTATCACCATTTTACGGATGAGAAAAATGAAGCTGGGAGGGGTAAGTATCCTGCCCCTATGGTCATCTGGCCAGTCAGTGGTGGAAGTAGACGTTAAACCTCAGTCTTTTTGACTCCAAAGACACTGTTTTAACTTTAAAGTCTAATTTCTCTGAAATCTGGGCTTGAACCTGGGCAGATGCTAATCTCCAAAGAAATCAGTTTTAGTAAGTGGGGGGCAATGAAGAGGGCTCTAAGCAGTGGGAGTTTCAGGTCAGAGCAAAGCTGCAAAATTCCAAGTAAAGCTTCCAAACAAGTAAGTGGATGTGGCTGAGACCTTCACAAGGACCTCAGGGAGGATGTCATTCCAACTTGACCAGGGCACCAGCAATGGATGAGGGCTGCAGCCTGACAGCACCCGAATGTGAAGATTCAGCCACTTGTACCGCATCCTGGGCCTCACTGCTCCAAATTCCCACCAAGGTGGGCCTGAGCCAACCTCCATCAGGTTGGAGATGATTGAGATTGAGAGGCTCTGGCTGTGCCTTCAAATGGGAGGGGCAGGGGGCAGACAGCACTGACACAGAGGACCATAAAATGTATCTAGCAGAGCAGGAGAGCTCCATCTGGAGGTCAGGCGAAGTAGTACAATTGTGCACTATCTTTTCTCAGCGCTTCCAGTGTTAATCATGATCTGGGGGCAGCTGAGCAGATCTCATGTATTCAGCAATTATTTATTGAGCACCAAGCAGCATATCATATTTTAGTTTCCAAAAACCCTAAGACAAAGACTTAGGGGGCACATTATTTATATGCATAAAGCAGGGAGTAGGGACAGAAAAAGGATAATAAAGCTAAAAAAAAGGTGTGTTATTGAGTGGTTGGCACTGTGGGCAACTGATGCTCAGTCCCTCTGAGGACCCTGAGAGTTCCTCAGAACACCCCTCAGAATTGTCCCATCAGCAGAGGAGAGGCTGTGTCTTCACTGACTGAGGGTTTCCTGGGTGGCTTTCCATCACCAGCCCTTCTTGGCAGCCCACACACTGAATAAACTTTCCTGTAGTTCCAGAGAAAGGGACACAGGCAACTCAGGGGGTGGCTGTCAGTGTGATGGCATATTAGTCTGTTTTCACGCTGCTAATAAACACATACCTGAGACTGGGCAATTTACAAAAGAGAAAGGTTTAATACAGTTCTACGTGCCTGGGGAAGCTTCACAATCATGGCAGAAGGCAAGGAGGAGCAAGTCCCGTCTTACATGGATGGCAGCAGGCAAAGGAGAATGAGGAAGATGCAAAAGCAGAAAACCCTGATAAACCACCAGATCTTGTAAGACTTGTTCACTACCATGAGAACGATATGAGGGAAACCGCCCCCGTGATTCCACCGGGTCCCTCCCACAACACATGGGAATTATGGGAGTACAATCCAAGATGAGATTTGGGTGGGGACACAGCCAAACCATATCAGATGGAAACTTCCCACTGCAGCTTCAAGTGAGCTCAGAGGTGGATTGAGAGCCCTGGAGCAGGGCAACAGCAGTTTCTGATCCCCTAAGACCTCTCGGAGACTGTTCTCCCACAGTGGACTCTATAGCTACTCGCCTGCTCTGCAACCTCCTGGGCCTAAGCTCAGGGCTCCTCTGTCTGAGTGGTCATCCCCTACTCAAATTCAGGAGTGAGCTCAGACAACTCTTCCTCTAAAATATGCTTTGTGAGCATAAAATCTGAGGCAGGAGTGTGCCTCTGCACCTCTGGCTATCTCTAGAGGCACCTGGATAGTGGTTACAGGCCTGAGCTTACAGCTCCGTGTCACACTGGGCTTGAAGATAGTAAGTCATGGCCCTTATCTTCAAGGGACTTAAAGTCTCAAAGACAAGAAGACCACAACTCTCTCTAGGCTGTGAGCATTCCCAAGAGTTCTTAAGGCTTCACTTATGAATGTGCTTTCTGAGAAATAAAAAAGAGCAACATTCTATGCACTCAGCTCCACTGTAGATCCTAAATTAGTCATAGGATCCCCAACAGACCACCTACCAAAGCCCCACCCAGGGAGATTCATTAACAAATCAAATTAAAATCTCTCAGCAGATGCTGGCGACTACACAGTTCTACTTCCAAGAATCCCCAAATCATCCCAACTGATTTTGAACCTGCAAGAGCACCCAGTGGAATTAAGGCCCACCACTCTCACCTCCCCTCCTCCTGTAGAGTCCTTCCTAAACCAGACCCACAAAGGAACGCAGCCACAATTTCAGTCTTTCTTGCTTCTTTTCCCAACTTTACTACCATTAATCTAGTTTTTCATTCATTTTTTTCATTCACTCAGCCAACAATTTCTTCAGTGCCAGTCATGCGTCAGTTGCTGTGTTTGGCTCCAGCAATGTAATCATGACTGAAATATGGCCCTAGGTCAAAAGGAGCTTATAGGCCATAGCGATGACAGCAATTTTATTCTTCCACACCCAACTGGAAATTTTAAAAGCACCTGGGGTTACCAAGAGATCTAATGAATCATAGCTAGAAACCATTTTCCAAACACTAAAGGCAAAGCTAATTATATCAGACTCATGCTTAATATCCATTATTGACCACCCCCCCTCCCTGCCCCATTGATGTCCAAGTCCCTTTATTTACAGCTAAGCATCTTGACTGGATTCCCAGCTACTGTACAAGCCTTGTCCTCCAATATCTACCTTCACAGACTTTCTGTTCCACAGTGAACACTTCAGCATATCTCTTCTGGGACTACCTGGGTCTAGGCTCAGGACTCCTCTGTCTGAGTAGACAAGCCCTACTCAAATCTCAAAGCTGAGCTCAGGCATCCCTTTCACAGAAGTGCCTTTTGTGAACATTCCCCTGAGGCAGCAGTCTGCTTCTGTTACCTGTGGCAAATCTGTAGGGTCTGCAGCAACCTCAATTCTTGCCTGCTCAGAAGAAAGAATTCAACTGAGGGGCATAAAGCAGAAGGAGAGACTGAGGCAAGTTTTACAGCAGGAGTGAAAGTTTATTAAAAAGCATTAGAGCAGGAATGAAAGGAAGTAAAGTATACTTGGAAGAAGGCCAAGCAGGCAACGTGAGAAATCAAGTGCATGACTCCACCTTTTGACTTGGGGCTTTATAAGCTGGTGTGCTTCTGGGATCTCGCATTGCCTCTCCCCTGATTCTTCCCTTGGGATGGGCTGTCCGTATGCACAGTGGCCTGTTAGTGGTTGGGAGGTGAGCATGCGCAGTGTGTTTACTGGAGTTGTATGCATGCTCACCTGAGGTGTTCTTCCCCCACCAGTCTAGCATTCCTAGAGGAAGGTCATGTACCAGTTAAATGCTGCCATTTTGCCTCTTAATGCACATGCTTGAGACCACTCTCCCAACTCCTGAGATCTTATCAGGAACCTGCTGATCACCAGTTTCAGGTGTTTTCTATCTATTGGGAAACTGCCCTTCCCTGGTGCCGACTGCAACCAATTATTATTTTAGAGAGACAGTTAACTTTCTGACCATCAGCTGATGGTCACCTGACATTCCTAGTGGGTGGGTGTGTTGGGGAGGAAGCCCTCTCCTGTTCTGCCAATGCCTGATGAGCCACCTACTGTAACACTTCCAGCAGCTCTGAATATCTCTGTAGGCTCCGCAGATAGTAGTTAAGAACATGCACCCCAAGTCATACTGACTACAGGACCCATTTCAATCGATGATCTGTGACTTGGCCAGGTTCTTCGTATCTCTAAGCCTTGATTTCCTCCAGTTAGAATGGGGATAATAATAATCATGTACGTAGTGTTTTTGCATGGAATAAATGTGATGACCCATTTAAAGACTTAGCCCAATGTTTGAACACATAGTAAGCCCTCAAACATTAGCTCCTGTGATATGTAGCTAATTTCATAAAACACTTCATTTTAACTGTTAGCTTAATTTGACTATCACCTCCTTACCTATGTCTTATATAACTATAAGTCCAACTTTCCCACAGCATGCTGGGTATATAGGTATTAAGTAAGTGAATGAATGAACTGAGATGCCACTTGCAAAATTTGGAAGGTGCTTTCAAGTAGTATATACTGAGTGCCCACTTGAAGCCAGGCATTGCTCCAGGGCCTTTCCCATATATGAAATCATCTGTTCTTCCCAATATTCCTGTGGGATTAAAAAGACTACTGCCATTATCACATTTTTATGGGTCAGAAAACAAGTTCAGAAAGTCTATCCAATTTTTCTGAGGCCATGACATTAGTGAATGCCAGGACAGAGATTTAAGCCTGGCTTCTCTGGTTCTGGGGAAGATACATCAATGTGATTGTAACACACAAGCTAGATTTTAGGGAAATGACACTGCAACTAAGATATCGTCCATTGTTGCTAGGCCCCACAGGAATTCAGAGATGCAAGGTTTTATTCTTCAAAAATGTCTTGGATTGTACACACATATTTTAATTGTTGAGAGAATAAACAACTTGACTGAAAAAAGAAAAAAGAAAACATTTACAGTCTGTATATTGCAAAAAGATCTAAAGGCAGCAGCTCCCACGGCTCTTTGAGGGATATAGATGATCAGTGTAATCTGTCATAAATCAGCCAAGTATGTTCAGTGGCAGTAAATAATGCTGTCAACAGCATTAAATTTGATGCACAAGAAGACACATTTGTATGAAAGGGAGTGGAGAGAAACAGAAAAGGATTAAGTTCCATTGTTTTGTTTTCTGGTGAACACAAGAAATCTGAAACCGTCTGCAACAAGAAACCCTAACTTTGGAAATTGTACAATATTTTCCCTCCAACATTCAAGGAGACCATTGAAGCTGGTCAGTGTCCTGGCTGGATGATGAACGGTCTGCTCTGATCCATACCTTCCAGCCAGACCTCATGACCTTCTCAATTCCCAGGCTTCCTAATGTTTGTTATAGAAATTATTGGCTTTTCTTGCCCTGTATTAATCAAAGAGGCTAAGTTAGGCAGCACTAACCAACAAATCCCAAATCTCAGTGGCTTCAAACAGCAAAAAGGTTTATGTACTGATGCATAAATACAAAAGCCTTTATGTTACATGCTCACTATGGAGCAATCAGGGTCTTTGTTCATTGTGGGCCCTCAGGACCCAGCCACCATCACCATTTCCCGATACCCCCATCACAGCATAAGGCTTCAGATTTCACCATGGAGGGGAAAGGGGACATGTAGGTAATTCATGTTTTCTGCCCACACAATTCTTCTAGCCAGGCCTAATTTTAGAGACGAGGAAGGGTGATCCTGCCAAGTGTCTTAGAGGAGGGCAGAACCGGAAATACTAGCGGGCGCACCCCAGTGCTGCATACCACACATAGAAGAAGTCAGAATAGTTCCTTTAGAGAGCTATTTCCATGTTGCACAATAGCGAGGGGGAAGGGAGTGGCAAATAAATGAGGAGGAACTGGGAAAACATATCATTTTTGTTGTGTAGGGATAGTCTCTGATGAGGAGACCATGTCTGGGGTGGAAAGGAATGAGGAGCGTGTGGGGAGGAGCGACCTTGCAGCCACAACAAAATCTGCATCTTTAAGTGCTTCAACCTGAGCCACACTGGCCTCCCGGACACCAAAACCTGAGGGGGATGTTTCATCAAGGCCAGCTGAGTAGGAAGAACAGAAACCACAAACCTACTGGGGCCTGGTTAACTGAATGCTGCAAGCCCCCTCTGCACTGTTGTTGGCCAAATAGCTGGAGGCATCTCATCACATTTGAATGACACCAGTACCAAAGCCAGGCAAAGGTCCCAGCATGGGTATTGCAAGAGGGGGGAAACAAGTAGAAAAATCAAAAACAGAAGGCAGATACAAAATTACATACATCATAAATGATCCACCACCAGAGAACACAGAGATCAGTTCTCTTCAGTCTTAAATGAATCAACATCGTAGTTTCTCAGAAAAGAAAGTTTAAAAACGAAATAGAAATGATCAGAAAAGAAATAAGATGAAGACCAGTTAAAAAGTAGCAGAGCTCAGGAAATCAATGAAATAAAACAATTATAGACATGAAAGTCAACTTCAAAGTCAACAGAAAACAGATAAATGCTATTGAAAGCACAGGAAAGCTTCAGATACCACACGAAATGAGAAAGAAAGAAACAGTGTGATAAAAATGATTACAGACAAGACAACACAAACTGAAGCAAAAGGGAGGCTGACATACCCAAATTGGTATTTTGAACAGAAAAAAAGGAACAGGAAAAAACTTAAAGTCAATTCAAGAAAGCTTTTTGAGTTTAAAAAAGCTTTCTCTAAATGTAAAGGGAACACCATATCCCAGGAAAAATAAGCAAGATTGGTAACATCAAGATATGGACTGTGAAAATTCAAGGAAAAATGTCTTGTATGTGTTGTTTAGAGAACAGATATCACAAGCGGAGCCTGGCAGGTTACTTTAGTCTCCACCACAATCCTCAACACCAGAAAATAGCAGAGCAACCTCTACCAAGTTCTAAGGGGACAAGGTGACCCAAGAGGTTTTTTTCTTTCACTCAGCCAAGCTATGCTATAACTATAAAAGAAACAGGCAGGCATTCCTAAACATGTAAGAATTCAAGGACTGTATTAACAAAGCCCTTCTTGAAAAGTATTTGATGATGAAATCTAGCATAGCAAGACATGAATCAAAATTAAACACCCAGCAATGGAGAATCCACCAAATAAGGACATGAGCAAGTATTAGATCTTTTACAAAACCGAATCAAGACTAAGCAACAGTGGGAATTATTTGACAGAAAAGAATATAAATGTTATAATTCCAGGCAATCCAAAAATAATAATGTAACTGAAAAAAATTGGGAGGCTAGGGGTGGAAGGGAAAAATGAAATAAATAAAACCCTCCTCTTTCATGGCAGAAGATAAATAAATATTGTATAAAGTTAAAACATACAAAGTTTTAAAAAGCAAAATGACACTAAATTCTGGAATTGTTTTTCATAGTTGTCATCTAACCTTAGAAATATCTGAAGTTCAGCAATTCCTTCAGTTGGATTCTAGTTTATTTTTATTCTGATACATTCAAGTAACCTCACATTCAATCATTTTTTATAAAAATAGCATGCGTAGTATGAACTTATTTTTGTAAAATTATATCCAGCAAGGCTTCTGGCTAAACCTGTGCCTCAGAGAATCTGGAATGATGTTCATCAAATGTTGGCAAAATGATTTCTGAGAGGTGAAAGTTTGTTTTGCTTTGCTTTTTTCTGTTTTTTTTTTTTTTAATAAAATTCCTTGAAATTTTTATGATAAGCAGATACATTTTCACAAAATCACCACAATCTCCCCCAAATAATCACTCTCTACAGATCATGTCAGCTACTTAGGTGCCTGAAAATCTGCCTGTCTCTGAGTCCCATGCTTCCCCAAAATACTATGCAAGCCCAGCAGTCGGCTCTGCTCAGAAGAATGTGCCCAGGCAGCGCAGCCCTTCCCTCTTGGAGTCAGCAATCAATTTTGCTCTGTGTTATTCATTTTGGATGTCCAATGTTGGTCTCATTCTGTCTCATCCTCTTACTCTAGTAATGCTGTATTAGTTTCCCAGGACTGCTTTAGCAAATTACCACAACCTGGGTGGTTTACATCAGAAATTTATTCTCTTGCAGGTCTGGAGATCAAAAATCCAAAATCAAGGCTTTGACAGGGTTTGTTCCTTCTGGAGGCTCTGCAAGGTCATTCATCCTCTGCCTCTCTCCTGGCTTCTGGTGGCTACAGGCAATCCTTGGGGTTTCTGGGATCGTAGGCACAACATTCCCATGTCTGCCTCTGTCATCACCTCACCTTCTTTTCTGTCTCTTTTCCCCTTCTTTTCTCAGGATACATTGGATTTAGGGTGCACCCTAATCCAGGATGATCTCATCTCAAGATCCTTAATTACATCTACATAAACCCTATTTCAAATTAAGTTTGCATTCACAGGTTTGGGGTAGACACGTCTTTGAGGGGGCTACTATTCAGCCCACTACAAATGGTGTGATTTCTGAATGGTGTAACAACTAAAACTGCTTGCAATATAGCTGTGCTCCAAGAATTGCCCAACTCCAATAAAATAGTTGTATTCTTTATGTTTTGTTCAAACAGGTTTTTTTCTGTATTATGAAATGATATAAAATACCTAAATTTTAAAAACAAAAATGTCCTCTATTTTTAACATTCATAAAAATACTACTATCGATATATTTTAGTTCAGTATCCTCCTAGAGTACTTTTCTATGCATATACAAATATATCATGTACTAATAATGTACTTATTGTTTTGCAGCTCTTTACAATGAATCTATTTTAGGCATTTAGTCAAATGGATTCACCTTAGTTTATTTAAGTAGTTTCTTTAACTTGACATTTAAATTGTTTCCCATTTTTTGTTATATAACAAGCTGGCTAAAATAAATATCCATATAGATATAGATGTTTTTATATATATTTTTAAAAAGACCAAAACCATGAGCTGCTCCTTCTATGCCATTCATGGAAGCAGCGAGTGCTTGCTAGAAGAGAGTTTCTCACAATACATGGGGCCTAAGGATCCCTGAAGACACAAGCAGTTTTGGAACCAGATATATCTGAGTACTAGTTCTTCTTGCTTAGCTCTATGACTTTAGGAAAATCACTTAATCCTTCTCAGTCCTGATTTTCACCAGGAAAATAATCTCTAGTCTTTAAATCATGGTGAAGGTTAAATGATGATTAGAGTTAACACTTATAAAGTATTTAGAATACAGCAAGTGTTTTTTATGCTAGTATTATAACTTATACTTCAGAGAGACTTCCAGAAAGATCCACCTCAGTAATTTCACTGTGGAACAGGAAAAGGGTCAAACTCAAAAGTATTTGCATGAGTCAATGACTAGGATCACTTAGTATATTCTCTGATCTTGGCTAAGCATTTGTGACTTTACAGCGGCATAGTCAGAGCAGGTTGACTGCGGTAGGGTTGTCATTTTATTCTTAATGGGGACCAAGGGCATGGGAACCAAACAGTCTGAGAGAGAAAGCAAGACCAATCACTTCCCGAGTAAGGAATGTCTGCACAGCACAACAGAACTCATTCTTATATTAAGTGGCAATTTAACAACACATCCCCAAAGCATCTGTGATCACGAGCCCTTATTCCAAAACAAACAATTCATAAGTTGGGTTCAGTAATTGCTTCAATTTTAATGTACATTGAGATATTCAGAACTTCAATGATTTGCATAATATTCCATGGAATTAATAACAGAGTCAGTTCCCACTTTTTCTCAATCCTAAGTGTATCAGTTAGGAATGCTTTAGTTGCATGCAACAGAAAATACACACAACCATGGCTTAAACTAGTAAAAAATTTTATTTCTTCCTATAACAGGAAGTCAGGGGGTCCCTGGCACTGGTTCAGCTGCTCATTAAAGACATTAGGGAATGAAGCTGTTTCCCTCGTTCCACTGTTTCATCCTGAACATGTTGTCTTTCATCCTCGCACTTGTGTCGAATGACAGCAGGCGGGCTCTACACTTGACATTGCATCTGTGTCAGAGGCAAGCAGAGTAGGACACAGGGATGTGCTGATTGGATCTGTGTCCTTTCATCAGGAAAGCAAAAGCCTTTTCAGAATTTCCCATAAGGTGCCTGCTCATGCCTTATCAGCAAGACTCCTGTCAGATGCCTCCCAAGCCCTCCCACAAAGGCAACTGGGAAGTGAGGATATAGGTGGGCATATATTGCCACCCAGTAGAATCGGCACTCTGGTAGCAGAGGCAGAGGTGGAAATGGGCATCAATTTATTAACAGTATCTGCCACAGAATGAGACCTGAAAGGCTCAGAGAACTTAAGTTCACAAAACCTTGTTGCTTCCTCCTAGCCAATACCAGCTAAAGAATTATCACTCTCCCTGCTGAGTGTTTATAACCTGGATAATATAGTTGAAGATCAAATTTGAGCAAAGTGATCTCTTAAAAATGGAAATGAGGTCATGTCCCTCTCCGGCTTCCTTCAAGACCTTCCTATTGACCTTCAAATAAAAAAACTCCTCCACAGAGCTTTCAAGACCCTGCATAACCCAGCCTGTGTCCAACCCCTCTGGCTTCACCTCTGATACCCCCACTTGCTCTGTCCTCTGCCATCTCACTCTCCTTCCTGTGGTGATTGCCCTGCTGCAGTGCCTTTCAGCTGTTAGTCTCTGTAGGAAGAGCTTGTCCCCCCCAGACTCACTGGTCACAACTTTGCATCATTTAGATCTCTACTCAAAGGCTGCCTCCTCAAAGACACCTCTGACCCACTCCTTAAACCTAAACTAGCTACCCACCCCTTCTCCAAGATTTACCATTCTCTTAACTGCTTTCTGGTCTTTGCAGCACTTACGCTGTTGGAATAATCACTGCATTTGCTTGCTGGCTTGATGTCTGCCTTCTACTCTACAACACCAATCCCTAAAGGCAGGACATTTTTCTGTCTTATTTGCCACAGTTTCCCCGCCAGGATCCACACTTTGCACCTAATACATATTCAATAGCTCTCTGTTGAATGAGTGAGAGTATAGACCAGAGCTAAGAAGCCAGACATCAAATATCCAAGCAGAACCAGTAATGGGGATGCAAATTTGGGATAACAGGCTAAGGGTAGAAGCACACTGAGGACACCCCATAGTGCTACGTATTAGAGAGGAAAAATGAAGATGAACTATGTGTGCTCGCTGCTCTCAAAGGAGTTTATGGTCCACCTAGGAAGACACGCATACACAAACAACACAAGGGACTCTGTAAAGGGAAGTAAGAGGAAAACAGGGTGGGGGCTGAGTATGCTGCCAGCGTCAAACTTCCTAATTGGAAAATGATGCACAAAGAGTTCACTAGAGGGATGCCTATTACAATGTTACTGGCAAAAACAAAAATTAAAAACAACCATACCATCCAACAATAGGGAATTAGTGAAGACAATTTTAACACATCCATATACTGTAATTTAAAAATTACTCTGTAGAATTATATTTTACTATTTAAAAATTGATCATATATAGTAAGAGATAATAGGATACACAAAATTGATAGTTCAATTTTATTAAATCTTTAAAGGGGGAAAGAGACAGGGAAAGAATATGTATCTTTCCAGATGCAGATCCCAAAATGATAACAGGGTTATTGCTGGGTGGTCTGATTACAGCTGATTTCTATTTTCTTCCTTTTGTTTATTCATCTACTCTAATTTTTCTATGATTAACATGTATTAATTGTGTAATATTTTCCCATTTTGGAACAACTGATTCAAGTTCATGTTTTAAATCCCATCTCAACAGTATGATTAAAACACTAGATATCAGAGTGTCATTCCTTGGAGCAGGAGACCAAGCGGCTCTTAATTATTTTCAAGCACATGTAAATGTTTAAGAGTCTCTCCTGGGCATGGAAAAAGTGTGTCAGGCGGGTAACACCAATGGTACAGCCCCATTGGTGGTACAGCCCAGACAGCCCTTAACTTGAGGTCAATAGCACCCTATGGACCTAGGAAATAGCCACCATACCAAAAATGCCATTTAAAGTTGTATTCTGTGCCAAATTCACTTCATCCACAGAACTTGCAAAGTAGTTATTATTCTCTCATTTTAGAAATGAGAATCCTGAAATTCAGGGAGGCTCAGAGACTTGTCTAATATCCTCCAGAGAGTAAAATTTAGACCAGCTCTGCCTAACTCCAAAGACCTGGCTTGTTTACCTGCACTGATGTTAGCCGCAAGCCTAATCAAGTGGAGGACACCTGGCCAGAGGCTCATCCAGTGGATATCACACATTTCCTTTCACTGTCATTCTAGAACCATTGCTTTGGCTAAAATCTTAATCAGTGGTGAAATCAAATAAGTCACAAAATGCAATGTGGTCTACTGAATTGGATCCTGGGAAAGACAAAGAGCATTAGTAAAAAAAACAAAAAGCAAACAAACAAAAACTGGTGGAATCCGCACAGCCTGGACTTAATTAATATTTTATACAGTCATTCCAGAAGAGCAGCTCCTTCATGTTATATATATACATGTTAGCCGGGTGTGGTGGTGGGTACCTGTAATCCAGCTATTCAGGAGGCTAAGGCAAGAGAATCGCTTGAACCCAGAAGGCGGAGGTTGCAGTGAGCCCAGAAGGCAGAGGTCGCTCCAGCCTGGGTGACAAGAGCGAAACTCTGTCTCAAAAACAAAACAAAACAAAACAAAGAATGTATATATGTGCGTATATACAGATAAGAAAGTAGGCCGGGCTTGGTGGCTCACGCCTGTAATCCCAGCACTTTGGGAGGCCGAGGCAGGCGGATCATGAGGTCAGGAGTTCGAGAGCAGCCTGGCCAATATGGTGAAATCCCATCTCTACTAAAATTACAAAAAACAAAATTAGCCAAGCATGGTGGCGCACGCCTGTAGTCCCAGCTACTCGGGAGGCTGAGGCAGAAGAATCACTTGAACCCAGGGGTGGAGGTTGCAGTGAGCCGTAATTGCGTCACTGCACTCCAGCCTGGGCAACAGAGTGAGTAAGACTCTGTCTCAAAAAAAAAAAAAAAAAAAAAAAGTTTGTATGTATATACAGATAAGTATGTATATATATACAGATACAGATAAGTATATATGTATGTATGTATACAGTGTTCAAATAACTCAATAAGGTCAAGTTTGCAAATCATGTTGTTTAAGTCTTTTACAACATTAAATATTTGTCTCTTAAGAAAAAGAATGTATGTATGTATATACAGATACAGATAAGTATATATGTATATATATACAGATAAGAATGTATGTATGTATGTATATATGGATAAGTATGTATGTACAGATAAGAAGAAGCTGCTTTGGTGGAATGATGACGGTGGGAAGGGGCTAAACTATTGACTTAGAAAGCTGTCAGCTGTGGTGTTAACACTCCCTCCATCTCAGCCCCAAAGAAGGCTCTAAGCTCCTCTGGAGAGCACTTTGGATATACCTGAACTGGTCCAATCAGACTATCTCATAGTCTGAAAACAGGAGTAACTTTCCCAATAGCACTCAGCTGCTCATTGGTGGAGAGGATTAGAAGCCCTGTGTTACGGACTCCCTGTTTTATGAACTGAATGTGTGTGTCCACCTCCCACCACCAAAATTCATGTGTTGAAGCCCTAACCCCAGCCAGTACCTTGATCTTAGAATTCCCAGCCTCCAGAACTGTGGGAAATAAATGTCTGTTATTTAAGCCACCAGTTTATAGCAGTATCTTGGTAGGGCATCCTGAGCTGACTAAGACCCCCAGTCTCAGCAAGTCCAACGTTCCTTCCAGTATCCCAGTTGACACCCAAGGACAGATGGGATTTTCAGATCAATTTTCAATTCCACTTCTGCTCAAAAACATCTCCAACTAAAATAACCACTCTCTAAAATTTTTAGATTTTTGTAAAACCAAGAAAAATTAACTTGCTTTATCAAACATCTATCTTTTTAAAAGGCTGCATGCAGCTGAAATATTATTGACATAAAAAGGGTGAAATTGCTATTATTTTTATTCAACTGGACATCACTGTATCATGGTAGTGATGGTCCTCAGCCTCAGGCCCTTCATCCAAATTATCTGGGAAGCTTGTTAAAAATCGAGATTTTCAAGGCCTCCAAGACTCTAAGTGATTGCAGCTTGCGAATGGGCCTCTGTATCTATCTGTATTTATTTAGTGCTCCTTATTTACAATGGTTTTCTCAGGAAAGACAAACTGGGGATGAAAGATGAATGTGGAAGAAAGACTTATTTTCACTATTCATGCTTTTCATTATGAAATTTTTAAAAACCATTGTGTACATGCATAGCCATGGTCAGAACCTATGAATCTAGTGAGATGCTGTTGGATCTCTTAAAAACAGAGCATTGTGCAGAATCACCAGGAGGGTCTCGGGCAGTCTAGTCAGGCTGAGCTCCTGGAGGAGACAGTGAATTGTGGAGTCCGACGGCCCAGGGTCTGAACGTGCTCTGCCCACCCAATGAGACACCCTGGGCTTGGTGTGCTCACTTTAGTGAGCATCTCATCTATGAAATCTGTATAATAGGACCCACTTACCAGAGTTGTTAGGCTGAAATAGGACAATACATATAAAGCATTCCACACACAGTTTGGCACATAGGGAACCTTCAGTAAATCATAAATATGATGACTCTTTTTTTCTCCATTGTCCTTGTGCTGGAATGAAGGTTATTGAAATGATCACAATTGAATTATCTGGGAAAGCAAAACTCTTCTTTGTCTCATAAAACCAAGTCAGTTGACTTAAAGCCAGAAAGTGTATGTGCTAAAACAGTTTCTACATACCCCATGAAGTGCTAATGGCCAAAATTTCTCACCCCAGCCTTCCTGCCGTTAGCACTAATCCAGGAAACTAGAACTCCTGAGGCATTTTAATTTAGAATTATAAATGTGTGCAGTCATAATTTTCTTAGACATCTTCCACACTATTTTGGAGCTTTGGCTTATTGCTTTATGTTTGCATTTAATTTTTTTTCTTAGAGATGTAAATAATTATGTTACTAAATATATGGGAAATAGAAAGTAGGAAAAAAACAGTTCATAATTCCACCACTTTCACAATGGATACCAGCATTTTGGTATATTTTCTGCCAGGCTGTTAACGTGTGAGCTTTATCATTACAAGCATTATAATCATATTGAACACAATTTTGACTCTCAATGTTTCTCTTAACAGTATATTGTGAATATTTTCCTTATGATGGAAAAGGCATTATAACTACCTTTTCAACTAACTGCATAATATTCCACTAAGTGACTAACCCACAATATATTTAACAACTCTACTATTACATGACATTTTGGTTTATTCCAATTTTTTCTGGTTTTCACAGTGCTGCAATAAACATCTTTGTATGTGAACATTTTTATTGAATTCATAATTATTTCTTAGGCTAGATTCACACAATTGGCTAGCCTTCAGTTTTAGAGATATGAAATTACATTAGATTATGGTATTAAACTAACTAGGTGAACTTAGAAAAATCACCAGGATTTCACGTGAATATGCTTTCTCTCTGGTTTTCAGAACTATTAGGGGAACAAATCTTTTGCAAAGCAGCACGAAGGCAGCCTGTAATCTACCAGAGACATACAGAATTGCAACAAGGTCAAAGGGCACCACTTTATTTGGCTGCTACAATATCAACATCAATTTCGAGTTACAACCCAGAAACAAAACAGAGTTTTGAAAAGCAGCAGTGCCTGTCATCCAAATTGCATTTCCTGTTTCACACGCGAACAGGAAGGAAAAGAAACTGCCACTGGCCCCCTACTGAAAGAGACTCTCACTGTGGAAATGTACGTGCATACTAACTTCCATTATTGCAAGGAGTCAGCAAATTCATTCCAATAAGAACTTATTATATTAATAACCATTTACATTTATTGAGCACTTACAATGTGCCAGTGTTCTTAAATATCCTAAACATATACTAACTTTTTCCCATTTTCTGGAAGGCACACTGAGGCATAAAGAGAACATCATTTTCTGAAGATGACAATGATTTTCACAGGAAAGACAAACGAGATGAAAGATGAATGTGCAAGGAAGACTTATTTTCACTATTCATGCTTTTCATTATGAAATATTAAAAAAAAACCACTGTGCACATGCACAGCCATGATCAGAAACTATGAACCTAGAGAGATGCTGTTGGATCTCTTTAAAACACACCATTGTGCAGAATCACCAGGAGGGTCTCTGGCAGCCTAGTCAGCCTGCATTCCTAGAGGAGACAGTGAGCTATGGAGTCTGACAGCCCATGGTCTCAATGTGCTCTGCCCACCCAATGTGAAAGTGGTTAGTAGGAGGTGGAGCTGGGCTTCAAACCCAGGTATGCTGGCTTCAGAAATCACTGTCTAAACCAACCCGGACACCCCTATTCTTTTTGTTGCCTACAGCCCTGGCAGGGTCTCCTGGCTTCCCCTGGTATAGTAATTTTCTATAACGGCTATAACAAATTATCACAAACCTGGTGGAGCAGTTACCATCTTATGGTTCTGAAAGTCAGAAGTCTCAGGTGGGCTTCCAGGGCTACATTCCTCTTGGATGCTCTGGGGGAAAAGCTGTTTCCTTGCCTTTTCTATCTTCTAGAGCAGGAGTCCCCAGTCCCTGAACCACGCACCGGTACTGGTGCAAGGCCCATTAGGAATGGGGTAGCACAGCAGGAGGTGAGTGGCAGGCGAGTCAGTGAAGCTTCATCTGTATTTACAGCTGCTCCCCATCACTCACATTACCACCTGAGCTTCACCACCTGTCAGATCAGCAACAACATTATATTCTCACAGGAGCGCAAACCCCATTGTGAACTGTGTATGAGAGGGATCTAGGTTGCACACTCCTTATGAGCATCTAATGCCCGATGATCTGTCCTGGCTCTGATCACCCCAGAGGGGATGGTCTAGTAGCAGGAAAATAAGTTCAGGGCTCCCACTGATTCTACCTTATCATGAGTTGTATAATTATTTCACTATACATTACAGTATAATAATAATAGAAACAAAGTGCACAATAAATGTAATGCACTTTTGAATCATCCTAAACCATCTCCCACCCCCACCCCCACCAGTCTGTGGGAAAATTGTCTTCCATGAAACCAGTCCCTGGTGCCAAAACGTTCGGGGAGAACTGTTCTAGGCTTCCCACATTTTCTGGCACAGGGCTTCTTCCTCCATCTTCAAAACCATCAGTGTAGCATCTTCTCTCATTGTTTCCCTCTCCTTCCATCCACACATCACCTTCTCTCTATAATTCTAAACTTCTGCCTCCCTCTTAAAAGGACTGTTGTGATTACAGCACAGGGCCCACTTAGATGATCCAGGATAACCAGCCCACCTCAAGACTCTTCATTTAATCACATCTGCAAAGCCCGTCTCACCACGTATGGTAAACACACTCACAGGTGCTTGGGATGAGAACTAGACATCTCTGGGAGGCTATTGCGCAGCTCACCACACCTGGAAAGTAAATTACACTAAAAGACAACTTGAAAAGACACAAGTGCATCTGCGTAACTACTTTTCTGGAGATTTTTACAGAAGGCAAAACTGTTAGAATTCCAGCAATCTCAACGAGTGAGCAATAGGAGACAGAGATCACATAAAAAGAACATGAATCAATCCCTCTCAGTTTTTGAGCCCCTAATACGTTCCACAGACTGTTCACCTAACCCATTTCACTGTCACACCAGCACTGGCAGTGTGCAGTCTTGTCTGCAAAACAGAGATGAGAAAACTGAGGTTCAGATCCGTTATAGAATTCTCTTGGGAGTTGCACCACCCAGGTGGCTCTGACTTCAAAGCCCAGTTAGTGTCCACTGTAGCAAGATAACCAACACCAAATTTGATCAAAATGAACAGCATATTTTAAAGACATCAAGCATCGAGGATTGATAGTTACAGAGGCAGTCTCCTGCACACAACCTCCATAGCCATCCTCTGTGTTCACATCATGTGCTTCTACCACCTATTTCCGTGGTTACCTATCTATGTTTTTATTGTCATCTCTTCAGAAGGTAAGGACCTTGTCTGTTGCTGACTGCTATTGCACTAGCTCTGAGTAGAGGCCAGGCACCTAGTAGGCACTAAATAAATGGTTGTGTAAGAAATGGATAACACTCCTTTGACCCGGAGATAATCGAGGGGAATAAACCCAACCACTTGCAACATGGATGAGATGCTAAAAATTGGCAAACTCTCCAAAAAGATTTCTTAACAGCCAAAATAAACAGCAATGAGTCCAAGTTAATGCACAATCTCTTTGGAAAACCCTGTGAGACCCAATCTAGAGCTCGTATTCCCTCTTTAAAAACTGATTTCTAACCAATTTGTTGAGCTCTTTACTGCTGTACTTTTTGCTAAAAGGAATATGCTTCAGTTGTAGTTAAAATTAAAAAGGAAGATTAACTTTCTAAAACACATGAGCCACAGAAGCAAGGTAACAGCAAATACAATAGCATTCAAAAATGCATCAGCAAAGTTACAGCCTCTGTGGATGGAGACAAGGATTCAGAGAGACTGACTGATTGCATTTCTCAAGTTGACAACCACAATACCGCGTGATCCTTACTCAGCCCCTACAAAGAGGGTCATCTCAGTTTTTAGTTCCAATCCTCTCAAACACAAATGTAACTGGAGAGAGCAACCTAGAGTCAAAGAAACAGTATTTTTTCTTTCATGTATATGGAACATTGTCATCACAATGTGTATTTAATTGTTTTTAAATTTTGACTCTGCACACAGGTATAATGGGCACTATCTTTTTGATTCACACTTAGACCTCAAGCGTTCCTCACTCATGGCAGCTATTCACTTTGTGTCGATTTATGTCTCTCCTAGAGTTCTGTATGCTTCTTCAGGGCAGATAAATAGTTTAATCATCCTTGAAGCTCAAACTTAATGATTGGAAGCTATGTGCTGAATGAATAAATAAACCATTTATTATTTTAAAAATTCATGATCATTAAGAATTTCAGAAAATACAGAAAGGGAGAGAACAACAAACAAATCTGTGATCATAACATAAAACAAGTAACATTTCATGATATTTCTTTCTGGTCTTTTTTAATGTAGAGGGTTTCTTTCTTTTTATTTTTCTCCTTACAAAATCATATGCACACATTTTCTGTCAGGACTTTTACACACACTATAACCTAAGCATTGCCCAATGACATCTCATAGTTCTGCAGCTTGATTAAAGCTAAAGAACACACTAATAGGGCTTTGGGGGTACAAACACATTTTCTTCCATTCAACACATTATTAACTCTGGTGTGACAAAAAGAGAGTTCTGCCTGCATCTCGGTGGTTATAAATCAGGCTTCAGTTCCCCAACCTGACTAGAATATCCGTTTGTTTTGCTTCCTTTTCTATTTAGAATCTGTGACCTAAATTTAGAATCTCTCCATTTCTCCTCAGTGTGATAAGCAGAAACAGCCCTCAAAACTCTCAGTAGAACCTTCCAGCAAGAATCCTTTGGCAAAACATAGCATCAGTCACTCTGATTCTAGAGTTGTTCTATTTTTTTTTCTATTAAAGTAAATGTTTTCATGAACTCACAAAATGTGTTAGTCATAGCCATCATAGAGTTCCAGTTGATGATTAAAAAACAAACTAGGTTTGGGATAAAATTCAAGATGCCTTCCTTACTCCAAATTTGTTCTTAGTCAACAGAGAATAGAGGCCAATGCCTTGAAACCAAACATATTTTTATGAAACCAAACATCATAAAACATGAGTGCGCATACCCTTACATCACTCAGACCGCTAAGATTAATAGACATGCTGAAAGCATTTGCTTCACACTTGCTCAACTGAACAAATACATCTTTTCACAAAACAAGTCCAAAATCTTGGCCATTCCCAAATGTCTAAAATCCAAGACTCTTTGCTTTCAAACTCCTCAATGAGAAAGCACAGAAGGAGAGAATTCAGATCATTAACCAGGTGTTTAAGGTTGGCACCAGGAAGAGAAGGAGCTAGAGTTGTACATTGAGGAACCAAAAAGATAAGAAACAAAAGAGGAGGAGGAGGAAGAGAAAATACATGAAGAGAAATATTCAAAGACACTCTTTTACATTATCAATTATTTATTTCTTTAAGAAAAAGGACATTTATTTTCATCCACACAAGATATTGTTCGTTAGATGAGTAGAGCAAGTTTGTTTTGTTTTTATGTAGCATTTATTGACTTGTTTCTAAGACCAAAGGAATATGCTTATTTCCCATTGAAAAATAGTTGGAAAATACAATAGAAATAAAATTAGAAAATACAAATCACCCATAACCTCTCTGTATAGCAATATGGCTACATTAATATTTTGGTATTGGGCCTTCTCTTTTTTTTATTTGATGCATATATATATATATATATTAGAGATGGGTTCTCACTATGTTGCCCAGGCTGGTCTCAAACTCCTGAGCTCAAGCGATCCTCCCACTCTGGCCTCCCAAATTGCTGGGAACACAGGCTTGAGCAACTGGCCTGTATGTATTATTTTTAAACTGGAATAAATGTTACAAACCAGAGACACTATTTGGTAGCCTCCTTTTTCCCTTAAGCAATATGATAAAAAATATTTGCCTTTGTCATTAAATGTTATTTTAGTACACAGATTTTTAAGAACTGCAAAACAGTCCTTTTGTTGATGTGCATTGATTTAACTAATC
This sequence comes from Homo sapiens, assembly GCF_000001405.40. Taxonomy (NCBI): domain Eukaryota; kingdom Metazoa; phylum Chordata; class Mammalia; order Primates; family Hominidae; genus Homo; species Homo sapiens. Next base: position 15,415,935 of record NC_000004.12, read on the forward strand.
TTTAATTATAGAACAAATCATTTATAACATCAAAAAATGTTACACTGTGATTAACAGTGTTGTACATAGAGCTTTGAGTACTTTTTAAAAATTGTTGTCTTCAAATTACATCCTAAGGGTGAAAGTGTTGGGGAAAAAGGGTTTGCACGATTTTCAGACTCTATGTATATATTTGCCATATAAATTTTGCACTCCTAAAAGTTTATATCACTTTATATTTGCAAGAACAATCTATAAATGTGCCTGCTCTTTAATTGGTTTTAATTTTTTGCATCTTTACCAAACTAATAAGCCATTAGAAATTATTTCATTTGCTATTATTCATTAATTTATTGAACAAATATATATCCAGCACTTTCTACATGCCAGGCTCTGTTTTAGAACTAGAGGCACTACCATGAACATAGGCTCTGGCACTGGGCAGACAGGGTTGGAATACCAGCTCGGTTCAACTCCCTCTGTTACCTTAGGCATGTTCCTCATTTGAGATTCCATTTCCTCCACTACAAAGTGCAGGCAAACCAACCCCCACTTAGAGGTGATCCTGAACGCTGACCATGCTGACACGTGCACAGTGCCTGGACCAGGCAGGATACAGGGGCCTCTCAGTAGGGTAGGTTCCTTAGCTCCCCTTACCTGTAACCTGGGCAACCACTCACTAGAGGCACCAGCTGTCTCCACGATACTCGACCCTGCCTTGATTGTAGGGACTCAGTCCTTGACCCTGAAGTGCTCTGATGTCTCAGACAACCCCTTTTCCATCTGAGGAAAGACAGACTAATTGTAAGAAGCCAATTTCTGCAGTTTGTTAGATCTCAGGTTAGCATTGCATTATTGCATTGATTCTAACATAGGAACTGTGGCCGCAGCACAGCAAATTGAGTCTCATGACCTTGAAGTCCTTCCTCTTATGTTAAAAGTCAGAGGCTTCAGTTGAAAGAAAAATCAGCTGAAGTGCAGCCAACAGCCAACACTACCTTCTTGCTTGTCTATTGCATTCTCTCTAGTCTTAGCTTTATTTCCCTATACAAAAGATTTTTCAGGGATAGCCCAAGTAGTGATAGTTTTTCTTTTCCTCCAGATCTTTTATGTTATAAAGAAATTTAAAAAATTATAAATTTAGCTAAATACCCACCTTTTATTCTTTCTCTGTCCTTCAGTTAACAAATGAGGACCTGAAACTAGTGCATTTCATTCCCATGTATACTTTTAAAATTTTTTTATTGAAATGAAACTCTCATAATGTAGAATGAACCACCTTAAAATGTACAATTCAGCAGCATTTAGAACATTAACAATCTTGTGCAGCCACCAACTATATCAAGTTCCAAAACATTTTCATCACTTCAGCAGAGAACCCCATACTACTAAGCAGCTATTCCCCATTTCTCACTCCCCTGAGCCCTTGAAAACTATCAATCTGCTTTCTGTGTCTATGGATTTATCTATTCTGAACATTTAATATAAAATGACTCATGAAACATGTGACTATGTTAGTCTATTCTTGCATTGCTATAAAGAGATCCTGAGGCTGCATAATTTATACAGAAAAGAGGTTGAGACCAGGCACAGTGGTTCATGCCTGTAATTCCATGCCTTTGGAAGGCCAAGGCAAGAGGATCACTTGAGTCCAAGAGTTCAAGAACAGTCTGAGCAGCATAGTGAGAACCTGTCTCTACAAATATGGTGGCACACACCTGTGATTGCAGATACTTGAGAGGCTGAGGTAGGAGGATGGCTTTAGCCCAAGAGTTGAAGGCTGCAGTAAGCCATGATCAAGAAAGGCCCCATCTCAAAAAAAGAAAGAAAGAAAAGAGGTTTAATTGGCTCACAGTTCTGCAAGCTGTATAAAAAGCATGGTGCTGGCATCTGCTTCTGGTGAGAGCCTCGGGAAGCAAAGGAGGAAATGGGCCACATGGATCAAGTGGGAGAGAGAAGGGAAGAGGTGCCACATACTTTTAAACAACCAGATCTCTCAAGAACTCAGTCACTATTGCAAGGACAACATTAAGCCATTCATGAAGGATCCATCCCCATGACCCAAACACCTCCTACCAGGCCCCATCTCCAACACTGGGGATTACCATGGGACCAGAGAGAAGGTTCGTCAGGATGAGCCCGCATGGACAAGTGCCCAAAAGGCTTCCTGTAAGAGGCTACATCTTACCCATCAGCTCTTAAACAAAAGTTTGTTGAAAATCTCTCCACTTCTCTCGTTATCCTTTGTAGCCACAGTGATCAGCCATGATCATCTTTGCCCACTCAGCTGCATCAGCCTCCCAACTTGCTCCCACCTCCCCTCCCCAGCCCTCTCTAATACCTTCTCCATCATCGTTTTATGCACAACAAAGATCATGTTCTCCTCTAACCCTCTCATGGAACCCCATTGCTGTTAAGATAAAAGCCAACCTCTTCAGGCCCTGAAATGACTTGACCCCTACTATTTTTCTGACCTCCTTTCTTACAGGCCATTTTGTCTTATAAGTTCCAACCCATTGTCCTTTCAGTTACTATAATTCCCGAAGTCCTCTCCTGCCCCAGGGCCCTCTCACATACTGTTCTCCCTCCCTGTGAGGCTTTTATCCCATCTTCACCTGGCTAAGTCATCCTCAGGTATCCCCAGGTATCTCATCCTTAGAGTGACTTTCGCTGATCTCCCAAACCACAGTAGGCACTCTTTTCAATCTCTTTCACCAACCCCTCTTCTCCTTTGTAGTGCTTATCTCTCTTTAGTTATATAGGTATTTACTAAAAAGAGGTAGTAAAATACAGTAGTTAAGTGTCCTAAGACCACATGGCCTCAGGCAAGTTATTTACCTCTTCTGCCTGTTTTTCCATCTGAAGAATGCAAAGAATAATAACAGTAACCTTCTCCTGTGGTTGTAGAAAGACTGAGTTGGTGTATGCAGAGCCCTCAGCACAGAGTCTGCCCAGAGCCCCTGGCTGAGACTGTGTAGGGAATTGGGGGCATTTATGCAAAATGACCACTGAGATGCCACCCAACACAAAAATGGCACAAATGCCAATACCATTGTGGAACAAGCTTTGACGTTCTCTTCACAGCAGAGGTTAGCTTCACTAACCTTTAAAGTTACTTCCAAATCTGAGATTCTGTGGCTCCGTCTGTGTTCCAGGGACAAAAGGTGCCTGGCTGTGGGGGAACTTACATTCCCCAGGATTTTGTTTTTATACAGGGACAAGGCAGTGTAAATTCACACAACCTTTTGGAAAGCAGTTTGGCAGCATGTACCAAAAAAGACATAAAACATACAGACCTTTTGATCCAATAATTCCATTTCTGGGAATCTATCCTAAGGAAATAATCCTAAATAGGGATAAAGGCTTATGCACAAAACTTTCAATGTAATCTCATTTATACTAGGAAAAAATAGAAACAGCTTAATTGTCCCCTAATAGGAGAGAAGGGGGTTAAATAAATTATTGTACAACTACTTGATGGATATCGTTTGGCCATTAATGGCTCCAAAACATAACAGGGGAAAAACACTTATGATATAATATTAGGTTAAAGAAAAAGCACACAGCAACAGTGTATAGGTACTATTACAAATCTTTGAACAGAAGACCTATGCATACACAGAGAGAACAAAAATAACAGAAAGAAAGAAACTAAAGTGGTAACAGTGGTATAGTTCTGAGAAATAGAACTAAATAAATAATGATTTACTCTTGTTTTCCTACCTTTTCCTCCTGATATTTCGTGAGCGTATATTTAAAATAAAATACAAATAGTTCCATAGGACAAGAATAGATAATATATGAGGTTAAAAAAATAGCATATGTATTTTGATCAAAAAGTGTATATACTATGAATAGGAAAAATATTAGAAGGAAATCACATACATATATGCACACACACACACAAACATACACACACACGGCCAAACAAAAACCAAACAAACCAAATCTGTGCCTAATCTTCTAGAATCCCACTATATTAGAATCCTTGCCAGTGGTGGGGTGGTTTTCTTACCTATCTTTGCCCAAGTGTGCTTCATTTTTGCTGCCTCCCATCCTTTCTCCAGATAGCAGTCCAAGAAATCTATCTATTAATAGGAGTCACATACGATTCTCATCACTGGCAAACTCTTCACTGGCTTCTTAATGCCCTGAAGATAAAGTCTAAGTTCCCCAAGAAAGCTTTAGCCTCAATATCCACAGCCTCCGCAACGGGCTCCACCCCCCATCCTTCTTCCTCCTCACTCTTCTCCAGCCTCCCCAGCTTTCTCACTCTCCAAGGTGCCTTGTTCTCTCTCAATGCCAGGCTTTCACTGAAACCATTAGCTCTCCATGAAAAAACTACTTATTCCATCCTGGCACTTATTTTCTCAGACACCTTACAGTCAACCTTCAGTTTTCAAGAAATTGCTTAGGAGTTCAGTCCCTAAGGAGAGTGTTTCTGATCACGTAGATGAGATTATCCTGAAAACACAGATCTAAAGTGCATCCAAAGACATGCATTTCCTAGTCCCAACAAGAACGTAAACTCTAAACACTATTGAAAGAAAAAGGAATGCCTCTAACTTAAATCTGCTCCTCCCTGCACCAACAGAAATCAACATTTTTTGAGTTTGAGTAGCACAAATGTGTCAGTCAACAAGATGCATTACTTCATCAAACTTTATAACAACCTTACTTCATTTGGATATTTTTAAAATTTCAATTTATAGAAGAGAACACTAAGGTTTCAGAGGGGTAATCCTCAGAGTCTTTTGCCCAAGGCAATTTGCCCAAGGTCACATGGCTGGACAATGATGACTTTGTCCTTCAAAGTCAGCAGTCTTACTCCACAAAGAAATGTCAGTGGGAAGGGAGAAGACATGAAGATTTCTGCTAGTTTAGACTCTAGGGTAACATTCCACTGCTTTGTCTTTTTTTTTTTTTTTTTTTTTTTTTTTTTACCAAACCTCAGTGCTCAGCTTTCCTCCCCAGCACACTGAGTCATTGTTGGATTTCCCAGCTCTCGCTCCAATGTGATGGAGTCTGCTGAGGACATTGTTTTGGCTGGAAGTGAATATGTATGCAAGAGGCACCACCTGCCGCTAAATCTTTGCCTTTGTTGGGTCTAATATAGCTCTTGACCCTGAACTTGGCTCATGTCCTCAGGCACCCTCCCCACAAAATGCCTCACATGTTTTTAGCAATAAACAAAGTAGAGAACATGGGCCCCCCATTATCCGGATAAACGTTTAGAAACACCAAAATGTTCAAATAGACCGAGATGACTGAAAAAAAAAGAGAGTTGAAGAGCTTTTTCTACTAAATAATAAATGTAAGGTATTAGCACAATATTGTTACAATCACCACTATTTTTATGCCTACATAATGTCACAAAGACACTCTCAACATTCTGTGGCTGGAGTGGTTTGCATCATTGAGTGGAGGCATTGCTTCCAGGTCTCTGGCCTTCGGATGGTTTTCAGGTGCAAACAAGAGGAGCATAGAGAACCCAGGATAGTCAATGGCACTTACCAAAGAACAGTAGCCAAAGGTCAATGGTAAGAGCAGCGGCAGCTATGTCAGCACTGTTCACCCACTTCATATTTACGGAGCACCCACGAAGTGCCAGGCAACAGGGACTCATTTTCTGGGGATTATTTCAATTAATTTTTACAACAATCCAAGGAGCCAAGTACTATCACTCTCCTCATCCTAAACCGAGAGCTTGGTTTGAAGGTCAGACAAATCTGGGTTTGAATGCCAAATCTATCACTCAGTAGCTGTGTGACCTTGGGCCAGTTCTCTCATTTAGAAACTTCAGTTTCCACACCTGTAATAAGGAGATAATAATACCTACTTCGCTAAGTGGTCAGGACTCACTGTAGGTAGCACATAGTAGATGGTTAATAAATATATAGATATAGATATTTAAAATTTGTGGTACAACCGTACAATGGAATACTATTCAGCAATGAAAGAAACATGCAACATGAATGACTCTCAAAAACATTATGTTAAGTGAAAGAACAGAGCCTCAAAAACCCACATATTGTAAGATTCTATTTATATGACACTCTGGAAAAGGCAAAATTACAGGACAGATATATGATCAGAGGTTGCAGGCAGCTGGGGTGGAGGAGACTGACTACAAAGGGACATAAGGGAACATTTTGGAGGGAATGGAAATGCTCTGTATCTCTTTTTTAGTGGTGGTTATACAATTGCATACATTGGCCAAAAATCACGAAACTATTAATACCAAAAGGGTAAATTTTACATTTTAATAATTATAATCTAATAAACCTGTTTTTTTTTAAAAAAAAAAAAAAGGATATTGCACAGATATGACAGCAAAGGAGCTTCTTAATCCAGATTCCTTGGGATTTGGCAGATTTTTTATCTCCAGTTCATTGACCTGAACATGCCTAGTTATTCTTTTCATATTTGCCTATCTGATAATTCATCCTATTTTCCCCAGGGCAGAATAAATCAAGAGGTGAGGAAGGAAAAGAGCTTACTTGGAAAATCCTTCCTCCTGAAGACCAAAGGATCAGGGAAAATGCATTCTCATCTAATATCTACCCTAACCTAACATTATTTCATCTAATATTATTTCCTGTCCATTCAATGCTAAATTTCCAAATAGCTCAGTGGGTACATGGAAATTCATTATCTACTTGATCTCTGTTTTTTAATATGTTTAAAACTTTCGATAATTTTTTTTTTTTAGAAAGGGTCTTGCTTTGTCACCTAGGCTGGAGTGCAGTGGTGCAAACATGGTTCACTGCAGCTTCAACATCTCGGGCTCAAGCCATCCTCCCACCTCAGCCTTCTGAGTAGATGTGCCTATACATGCACTCCAGCAATGGCTGGTTTTTTATTTCTTTTTTATGTATTTATTTATTTTTGTAGAGATGGGGTTTTGCCATATTGCCCAGGCTGGTCTCAAGCGATCTTCCCACCATAGCCCCCCAAAATGCTGGAATTACAGTTATGAGCCACCACGTCTGGCCAACTTTCTATAAGTTTTTAAGTTTTTTACGTTTTAAAATATGAGAAGTGATATTTTGGACAAGGTAAAGTATTATGATCTGGGATAATGCTATATTGTTAATTCACATTTATCCACAAGGATGGATATTTATGTAGATTAAAACACTGGATTGTCTTCTACATGTGAAGTAGAAACCAGGTATCAGTGAAGGCTGTAGAGCAAAGACTCTTTTGGCCACCCTGCAGGGACCTGAGTTCCAGTTCTGGTTTAGCATAAATAGGTTATTTGGGCAAGTCACTTCTTACTGAATCTGGCTTTTTATCTGTGAAACAGGAAACTCAAGCAGATAACCTCTGAGATCCCTTCTTCTCTAACAGTGTGAAATTCCCAGTGCAGTGTAAGAACTGTGAGTTGAGATCCTGTCTTCGCTTTCAAGCTGTATGTTCAGGGCCCAGCACAGTGCCTGGCACACACAGGGGTCAATGACATTTGTTCATTCCATGAGTCACTGAATTGCCTTTTTTAAATATGCAAACTCCTTTTCTCATAAGAACCCACCTCTTTCCCTGCAATGAAAGCAGATTCAGTTTAGAAACCAAACTGAGTCATTTCAGCTGGTTGAAGTCCGCTTGAAAAGCCAGGAAAGCGGCAGCAGGCACCACCTCTACCTGGTCAACAGCCTGGTTCATGAAATCCCACTCACAGCCCTTCTGAGGAACCTACTGACCCCAGGATAAGGACCAAAACCTCCCGTGGCCAACAGAGCCCCGCCTGGCCCAGGCACATCCTCCCTGCAGGCTTATGCCTGCCTTTGCTCTTTCCCACTGGCCTCCACTCAGCATCATCCTCTTCCACCTCAGGGCCTTTGCATATGACATTCTCTCAGCCTGGATGTGTTTTCCTGCCCTTCTGCCAGGTTCATGCCTACCGTTTCCCCCCCTTTTAGGTCAGATGTCATTCCTTTAGGCAAGTTCTCTCTTATTTAGGCAAGTTCTTTAGGCAAGATTCAACTGGGTTGTCCGGCTAAACACTCCACAATATCCTTTATTTTTTTCCTTCAAGCATTCTCCAAAACTTATTGAGTTTATCAAATGGTATTAACTGTCCTTAATATGAAATGAATAAAAAATAACCTCATTTTTCTTCCATCATTTGTTCTAGCCAAATTCTGTTGGATCTTTCTTCCCTGCCCTTTTATGACATCTCAGGCAAATTTCTTGGCTTTCTGGTAACTTCCAGTTACATGAACAATTTTATTAGTCAATTGTGACTCATTTTCAGATATTAAAAAGACAAATCTCAATCAAATTTTCTATTTTATATCCAATACAATACTTGTCCATCTCCATGGCTGTAGTTCAGGATATGCTGTACCCTTTCACTCTTCCCCCATCTCCTGCCACTTCCTTTCACTTTCAGCTCCTCTTGAGTCAGGTCAGAGAGTAGAATAATCAGGAAAAAAGTGACTGAATTATTCTTACTTAGTAAGTGCTACTTGTATGATCCTCTCCTGGCTCCAATGTCTGCTATGCACTCCAGGTAGCCAAATGCTGGCTCTTTCGGGGTGAAGGTGTTCCTTGGTTGATAGCTTGCAGTGCTCCCCCCACCAGCCTCAGATTCTGTACTCAGTGATACACCCAGTGACTTCTTAGTGGCCTCCCCCCACTAGGAGGACTCCTTGGCTCAGGAAGTCCCATCACGATGGCCCCACTCAGCTGCCTTCCTCAGTACCATCTCCCTCTTGGGGAGTGCATATATTCTTGCCTCTCTAACAGCTGCCCCTGCACTCCTCTCCCTTCTCCACAACTCTACCTTGATGCCTCTCTTCAACCACTAATCTTTTCTGAATTTCTAGCTTTCTTTTATGTGGACTGAAAATGGCTGATGGTCACTGTCAGATCCAGCTGGATTTTAACAAGTTCTAAGTCGATGTATGAGCATTGGTTGCCTATCATTCTCTGCTTTGTGTTCTCAGCTGAAATTCCAAGTGGATGGGAATTCCCAATTCATATCCTGTTAAGCACAGTTCTGTGATTATTTCATAAATATCTCTCTTCCTCACTAGATTTTGTCTCTACAAGGTCTCTTTGTTTGCTCTCTACTGAATACCCAGACCAAGCATTCAGCATCTGACATATAGTAGCAGCTAAATAAATAAGTGATGAAGTAATAAATAAAAGAACAGGATGAGACACAAAGAAGACCAGATTTGTATCACTACAACTCCCCGGTTTGTAAGGACAAGCAGATAAGGCATCATTTGAGCAAGAGTAGATAAGGCAAAGATTCCTAGAGCCTGGCTGCCCATTGGAATCACCCATAGAGCTTTTAAAAAATATTAATGCCTAACTTAATCTACTGATATGCTCATTCAGTAGATCTAGTTAAGAGCCAGTGAGCTAAAGTGCATGGCAGATCCAAATTACGTGCTAGAAGGGTTCAGGAGAAGACAGGGTTGTGCCTGCTTGAGAATATCAGGGAGACTTTCTGTAGAAAGTGATGCATACAGAAGATAAATGTGAACAGATGGAGAAAGAGGCATAGGGGAGACATGGTTGGTAATGGCTTGCAGCTACTGGAGATGATATAAGCAAGGCACTGAGGTTACAAAGAGAAGATTCAATTCCTAACAGAACCCAGGGCACCCATGGAGAGGAGGAGGAAGAAACAGAGGGTATGCAACTGCAAGTTGTTTGGATGCAAAAACATGGTCTTTTAAAGTTAGCAACAACCTAGGGAGGAAATATGGTAAGTAGTTAGGTGTGTCAATTGTGGATCAGACTGTCTAAATTACTCATCTGTAGAAGGAGGATAATACAATTACTCACCTCAAGAGGTTATGATGAGGATTAAAGAAAGTGATGCTTGTCATGTCTTAGCACGTTGTACATGCTCATTACATATCAGCTAGAACCTTCTTTTTAAAATACTTCTACCACCTAGAAAAATGGTGTGTGAGTGTGTGTGTATGTATGTGTGTAGTGGTGAGCAGAGCTGGCTTATACCTGCCAGCAAGTGCGAATTCTACAATTCTACATTCTATAACTTTCCAACTCTGCATTCAGTGAAGGTCAGATTGTTAGCTTGAAATTGACCATGGCGGGGGTATTCACTCCAAGAAAACTAACAAAAGCTACAAATCTGAACCTTCTTTTTGAGAGCTAGGTTAGCGGCAAACTGTTAGGTGCTCTGGGAACACTGATGGGATTGGAATGGAATGGAATGAATTCAGTTGAAAAGTAAATAAAGGATATGGGGTAAAAAAGAGCACAAGTTGAGAAAGGAAGATTATCTGCCTAGGAAAGACAAAATAAGACCCCGTCCTTGGGGTGAGTGGCAGGTAAAAATGGAATCTGACTTTTACTCTGAGCCAATACTTCCTTAAGCATATTTTTCTACCCATCACTTCACCACTGCTTCTAAGTGTGAAAATAACTGAGTGAAATAGACACTGACAAGCTTTATCAACATCTGAGGTTCTGAACACTCTCAGAGACATTTTCAAAGGTTCATTCTCTCTGGGAAAAAGAATGAGTTCAGAAAGACACAGATTACAATAAATTATCTGGGATGAAAATAATAAAGAAGAAAAAGAAGAAATTCAATTTTTATTGAAGAACAGAAAAAATACTGTAATACTTTAATGATACAAAAAACCTTATTTTATGTGGTAAGTAACATTAAAGAGAAATTAGAGAAGTTGTGAATGACACAGAAAAGAAAATATGAATATCCACAAATTGTATCAACACTTTAAGGCAGAAAAATAAGAATGCATCTATTCTTTTATTGGTCTACAAATTCATCCACTTCTGAGCTCCCTGGCAGAGACTGGGCTACTCCAAAGCAGACATAATGGAAAAAGCCCACTTAAGAAGTTATCACTTATAAACAAATAAATGAACATATTAAAAGGCTGTATCACCTGAAATTAAGCTTGTAAATGGGTGACATCAGACACCATCATTTGGTTCGAGAATATTAAGAACTATGAGAAACCCTGGAAATAATCAAGGACAACCATCTTATTTTGAAAGTGAGAAAACAGACACAGAGACTTTATCTGATTAAAATCTGACTCTAATTTAGCAATAAGTTATGACTAGCTTCTATGCTCAAGACATTGTTTTGACCATCCTATGATGGCATTAAGATTTTGGAAAGCCAACAAATTCAAAGGACCATTTCCTCCAGTGTGGAGAGTGGATCCCAAAGGCAAAATTAAGCTGGTCAGAACGGGGAGCCCAGCAATCTCGTTGGTCAAGTGTGTGGTCAACATCCACTTCACTAACTCTGGAAACATTCCTTTCAATTAGAGTTCTCATTGCTTGAGAAGAATGAGAGGAAAAGAAAGATAAAAACAAGATTTTTTTCAGTCGTCTAATTTCCATAAATGACATCATAAATTATATATTGCTGTTGCCAAGGAAATATAAGAAATACATAGCAGAAGGAAACAAAGAAATTGATTGCACCATAGACGACTAGTCATATGCTTTGGAGAATCATTCTGCCTTTTGAGATGTTATGATCAGTTCTTTACAGGCACAAAGACATATTAGTTTTCTAAAAATACCCAATCATTTATCCATTCAGCAAAGAACAAAGAAAACAAAATCAGTGCAATTCTCATAACCCTCTTTCTTTGCACAGCACATAGAATGAGGGGCTATTTTCCTGCCATATTTACCAAGAATAGGGACAGTGTTCATTATTCCACAAGACACCATCCTAGGTCCAGAATCTAAAGGCTCTACCTCCAAAACTCTCAAATATAAAATGGCTTTTTTCTCTAAGTTAACAACTAATTTCCAGTCAGTGAGTAATTTTTTTCCTGAAACATTCACTCAGTGGAAAACAAATGAAGAGGGAAAAAATTAAGTAAACAAATCTGAAAAAGAGGCCACAACACACAGAGATGGAGAAGCTCTAAACTTACCACTGAAGGAAAGCAGGCACTTAAAGTTTATCCCAAACAAAACTGTAATTTTAACTGGTCCCCGAGTTGAGCCTCACTCGATGAATGACTTCCAGGGCCTTTGGCTCTTTGGGACTAAACGAGAAAATTATTTTTAGCACAACTATTTGGAAATCTTTGAGAATTTGGATCTGTTATTCTGTCTGGTACCAAAGCAAGTTTTTCACTGAGCTCTCATGAAAGATCCTCAGTCTCTTGTGGATTTAGAATCCTGCAGCAGCCCACCATCTAAGAGCAAGGTATGGTGTTTACTCTTTTTTTTAGAATTTTGGCAAATGTAGATGCAATGGCCTGTTCTCGTGACGGGAGCTTTTTAGCTTATTAAACAGATGGCTCTGTAGGAAGAATCCATAAAACTGAAGACCTAGCTTCAAGTCTCTGGACTGACACTAGCTTTCTAACCATAGACAAGTTGCGGGACTTCTCAGGACCTTGGTTCCCCATCTAACCTACCACAAGATGGTTTTGGGGAGGACGATATGGGCTTAGCATTGCTCTCTAGGATATAAAATGTTTTGCAAATGTCAGGGTTTTTTTTAATCACTGTGCCATAAAGTAGTCAAAACTTTATCAATAATGAACTGTTGACAATAATAAATATTGATGAATTTTTTTTTCTTCATTGAGCCTCTACTGTAGACTAGTCTCTGTCCTAGAGTTTGCATTTTAGTGGGGAAACAAGCAAGTCAATAGATAGCCATAACACAGTGCAATTGTGTGGCCTTGCAGGGACTTGAGTAGTGCCAGGAGGAGAAGGAGGTTAATTCATGGCAAACAGGAAAAGCAGTTCTGCAGAGGAAAATTGGAGCCCCCAAAAGCAAAGAACTGGTGAACAACAACATAAAAGGAACTGAGGCATGAGCAGCTCAGGTCTCCATCCTGTCCCAATCACAGTGCCACTCCCAGTGCAACAAGAGAAACACAGAGCTTGCTGTTGTGAAATCTCCACCTCTGCAGGCCAAGAAAATGTCCCGTTTTGGCTTTTCCTGGTTACCTATTCTCTTCTTAATGATTTCCAGGCAAAGCACATTTTCAACTTGAATTAATTATCAAGTCCAGCCCTTTGTCATGAAGTAATATGTTATAGTTTCCCTCACATGATGTAGGGACAAACTCAAGTGTTTGAAGACAAAAGAACTCAGTACAAATTCTGGCTGCACCATTTCATGCCTGTGTGGACTTGAGCCCACAGAGTATCAATGTTCTTACTTATAAAGTGAAGGTAATAGCACTTACTTCATAACAAGTGGTGTGAGGATAAAGTAAAAGATGTCCTTAAAACACCTGGCACAGAAATAAGAATACTGGGCTCTCCCTGCATTCCAATTCATTTTTATTCAGTTTTTTTAATTATGGTAAAATATACATATCATAAAATTTACCATTTCAACCATTCTTATGTGTACGGTTCTGCAGCATTAAATACATTCATTTTGTTATGCAGTATCATCACCATCTCTCCAGGACTTCTTCGTCTTCCCAAACTGAAACTCTCTATACCCATGAAACCATAAATTCCCATTCCCCTCTTCCCTTCCTCCTCCAACAGTGAGTATTCTACTTTCAGTCTTGATGAATGTGACTACTCTAGGAACTTTGTGTAAGAGGAATCACACAATATTTGTCCTTTTGTGACTGGCTTATTTCACATAATATACTGTCTTCAGGGTTCCTCATGTTGTAGCATGTGTCAGTATCTCCTTTCCTTTTAAGGCTGAAGAAGATTCCATTGTACGTGTAGACCAGGTTTTGTTTATCCATTCACCTTTCCATGGACACTTGGGTTGCTTCCACCTTTTGCCTATTGTGAATAACGCTGCAGATATGGCTATGCAAATATCTGTTTGAGTCCTTGCTGCTACGAACATGCATGTGCAAATATTTGTTTGAGTCCCTGATTTTACTTCTTTTGGATATATGCCCCAAAGTGGAATTGCCATATCATATGGTAATTCTCTTTAATTTTTTTGAGGAATCACTATCCTGTTTTCCACAGGCGCTGCACCATTTTACATTCCCACCACCAACATATTTTATTTTTCCAAGAAAAAAATATACTTGGAGTCTACTTACACTGGGGAAAAAATAATATGCTATTTACAAAGGGATCTCAATCTATGAACATGTTTTCCAGGATTTCAATCTTTGTACTGAGTTAATCAGTATTTCTCCAAGTATTTTCCATGGCTAGTTTAGCGAGAACAAAGGGCTCCATGACTAAATAAATTCACAAAATACTATATACAACATTTCTGCCTCAAATATAAGCACATGAACATGGAGCCTCTTGAATCTAAACTAACACAAATTAAATTTTTTAAATGTGTTTTAAAAACAAAAACCTGTTACTTTGTAATCCCTACAGAAAAATAGGATGGAGGATTATTTATAATTAGCATCCAGGACAGACGTGTTCAAGATTAACAGTATTTCCAGGTTGGGCGTGGCAGCTCACTCTTGAAACCCCAGCACTTTGGGAGGGCGAGGTGGGCAGATCGCTTGAGTTTAGGAGTTCAAGACCAACCTGGGTAACTTGGTGAAACCTCATCTCTCTAAAAAATACAAAAGTTAGCCAGGTGTGGTGGCACACACTTGTAGTCCCAGCTACTCATGAATTCAATTCAATGTTTTAAAGCATATTGTATGTGGAGTGACAGCTAAGGGGTACAGGTTTCTTTTTGGAGTTTTAAAATAGTCTTTAATTGGATTGTGATGTACATTAAGTTGTACACTTTGGTAAATTTTATGGTGTGCAAATTATATCCTTATAAAGCTGTTAAAAATTATTGTAATGTTTATGAAATTGTGACCTACGTGATTTATTCCCAGTCAAAATAATCAAGTTCACTGCAAGGCAGTGGGGGAGTGGGTAAAGAGTGGATTATTCAATAAAAGGAGTTGAAAATATAAAGTTATATCCCTACCTCACACTTTTTATCAGAAACATTCTGATGGAACAAATTTTTAAATGTGAAAAAATGAAACAAAAAAATTGAAAGAAAAGCACAAGGATTCTTTTCAGGACCTTAAAGTGGTGAAGGCCTTCTAAACCCAATAAATTGAACCTCAAAAAATATTTTCATGGTAAAAATATTTTAAAATACATGAGGAAAGACAAAGGACAAACTGGGGGAAATTATTTGCTGCTCATGTCATAAGCCATTTGTAGATTAAGATAGATAGATGATAGATAGATAGATAGATAGATAGATAGATAGATAGATAGATAGATAGATAGATTCATTGCACCATTGCTTATAACAGCAAAAGAAAGAAAATAGTCCAAATACCCATCATAGGAAACTGGTTAAATATTACAAACACATCTATATGATGGATTTTTTTAGCCACTAAATAAAAAAGGACAAGACAGCTCTACACATATAGGTGTCAATACAGAAGCTATAAATACTCATATGGAAACTAAGTGAAAAGGCAACGTACAGAACATTGTATATGGGATGCCAACATGGGGAAGGAGGACACTCAAGAAACTCGCACAGGTGATCAGCTCTAGGGAGGGAACCTGGGTATCCAGAAGACTCAAAGGGAGGTGAAGAAATTGACTTATCGTTGCATACTCTTTTTTCTTTTGAATTTTATGAAATGTACATGTATTCCCTATATAAAAAATTAATTTTAAAATATTTTTAAACACCCTAGACTATGTCAAATTAAAACAACTCAAGTTTTGTATTTGTATTTCTCAAACACTGCAAAAAGGACACATAGGCTCCAGGGAGATTTCTTCAAACCCCACCTCCCTCTTTCTTGTGTAATATTCTCATATTTCATAATTTCTCACCAGTTTTTTTCCCCCACAAAGCTCAAACCTCCCCACAAAATTCTCCTCTTTCTCCAGCCATGTTTTTTGGGTTAAGCCCTGCTGTAAGTGGTTGGACACATCAATGACTTCAACAAAGATCCCTGCCCTCATGTAGCTTACATTCTATCAGGAAAAATATAGATATAAAATAAAGATAGGAATTAGCTACTGAGTTAGAAGTGAAAAGTACAATAAAGAATAGAAAAAATGTAGAGCAGATAAAAGGAAGGTCATGGGCAGAAGAAGGCAGATTGCAGTGTTAAGCACGGTGATAAGGGTTGAACTTAGTGACAAGATGCCATTTGAGCAACGATGTGAAGAGGGAGATGAAGAAGTAGCTATATAGACATCTTGGTGAAGAGGGATTTAGACAATGCGAAGAGACACGTGAGACCCTAAGGCAGGGCACACCTAGTGTCTTTGAGGAGCACCAAGGAATCCAGTGTGACTGGAGCTGACAATGTGAGGAGAATAGAAGATGAAGTCAGGGAAATAAGGAGGGCCTTGTAGACCATCGCACCATGTAACATGAAGCTTTGGGCCCTTAGGTGCAATGAAGAACCAAACAGCGTGATCCCACTGTGATTTTTCCATTATAATGCACACCCCGTGGTCTTCTTGCATCAACTGAATCCCAGTACTTGACTGACCAGTCACCATCGTGCCACTAGCATGCATCAGGCACCACAACACATTGTTCCTCAATTCTTTTTGTTTTTTGAGACAGGGTCTGGCTCTGTTGCTCAGGCTGGAGTGCAGCAACACAATCTCTGCTCACTGCAACTTCCACCTCCAGGGTTCAAGTGATTCTCCTGCCTCAGCCTCTCGAGTAGCTGGAATTACAGGTGCACGCCACCATGCAGGGCTACTTTTTGTATTTTTAGTAGAGATGGGTTTCACCATATTGGCCAGGCTAATCTTGAACTCTTGACTTCAAGTGATCCTCCAACCTTGGCCACCCAAAGTGCTGGGAATACAGGCGTGAGCCATCGTGCCCAGCCTGTTCCTCAATTCTGATAAGGATTTTTACGGAATAATCACTTTGAGTGCCTTTTTTAAAGTTTTAATTGGGAATGCTTGAAGCATTTAGACTCCTATACAGGCAGTAGTATTCTTCCGCACTTGTCATAAAAGCAATCTATTTATTCAATGAATAAATCTGTTTACATTGTTTTAATTTATTCCTTGAGTTCCTTTTTGCCTGGCTATTGGCAATACTGAATATCGTTTCTTCCAATCACATCTTTAAAATTTCTGCTTCCTTTGCCCACCATCAACTAGACCCTTACCACATTCTTCTTCACAGACTGTTCCTGTGACTATTGGCATAGTTAGGCTTTCACACCTGCATCACCATGTCTGAGAAGCCACTGTCCAAATCAACTTCTCTGCAGTTGCTTTCAGGTCCCTCCTGAAAGCAACTCTGGCCTCAGCCAATAGCCTTGCACCCCATGTCTAGTTAAAAGCCTCATTATGACTATCTTCTATGAACCTTTATTTTTTTGGTAGAGATGGGGTCTTGCTATGTTGCCCAGGCTCCTCTCAAATTCCTGGGCTCAAGTAATCCTTCCACCTCAGCCTCCCAATACACTGGGATTACAGACGTGAGCCACCACACCCAGCCTTTTTTTTCTGGGGAGGGGGGTGACTTTATTGCTGTCCTGCTCCATCACCACAGCAAAATGGGCCCTGCACGCTCCAGGCCTGCATCATGTATCACCACAGCAAAAACATGACCTACTTGAACACGTTCCCTCCCAGGATATGTATTAAAATTCTTTAAAGAAAACAGAATAGATTAATAACTTAAGTGATTAGGCACCAACAGCAATTTGAAAAATTAAATGTCCATTTTAAATGGTAACAAGACAAGAACTTAAGATTGGGTTTACTCTAGCCCATCTTCTCTTCCTGTCAAATAGCAACAATTCTGTGGGAAATGATTCTAAATTTCAACACACAAGTAGCAGACAAATAAGTGAGAACACATATCACCAGAAATCACAGGACAGCCTGAATCTCCAGGCGGCCTCCTCGGCAGGTAGCCCATCGTGATTCCAGGCCCCAAAGAGCTTGGCAAGTCCCAGAAAGGTGGCCCCCTGAGGAAGGGCTTTAAAGCTCCTGAGATCAGACTTGCTTCCCCCACATTTTAAAGATGAAGTCCCAGACAGGGCCACTTTCTCATTCCTTCTCAAAGCCTCCTCTAATCAGCCTTTCACAACGGAGAGAGAACTGCTAATTTAATCAATGCATCTTGTTCTTACTGTGGCAGGGGGTGTGAACAGAATGTTCTTTCCATATATTTTTTTTTCATCTGAAGCTCCTTTGGAAGGCCTGTATTGAATGCACTGGGCTTGTCAGAAAGTGCCTTAATTCCAGTTGAGCAATAGAATCAATAATTTTGGATTTGTGCTGTATGACAAGGGCATACAAAAATGTCTACCAGACAGGGCATGGCAAAAATGTTCTCCTTGCTTTTTTTTTTTCAACTAGTAACACCAAGATTTAGTCAAAGTTACAGAGCCTGAGTTCGGATAAGTTGCTTTGGTTTTTCACTAATAAGATTTCTAGGAATCAGCTTACTTCAAAATCACATGTGCACACTGTGTTTTTCTTAGTTTGTCATTCCTACGCTCTGGCAATTTTCTGGGTCTAATTCCAAGATGTTGCAATTTCCCCATGGGTACCACAAAAGTGGTGATGTGTGCCTGGTCAATTTTCTCACATGGCTGTCAAAAAACAAAAGAAATTTCATCTGATTGCTTTCCCCACATTTTGTGATGATTTCCTTTGGGAGAGTATACACCAGGTCAAGCACTATATAGATTTCTTGTTAAAGCATGGGTCCAACCATCCAAACACAACTCATTTGCATGACCCCAGAACCACCTGTATATGTTCTTCCCTTTAAAAAACTGCTAATACTAAGGACC
Organism: Homo sapiens; assembly: GCF_000001405.40. NCBI lineage: Eukaryota > Metazoa > Chordata > Mammalia > Primates > Hominidae > Homo > Homo sapiens. The sequence goes on from NC_000004.12 coordinate 15,434,627, forward strand.
ATTTAGCCTAAAAAATCAGGTATCTCCAATCTATACCACTCTCCATCTCACCTTCAGCCTATATGCCAAAGTGCCATACTAATAAATGACTCATCATTCTGAGCTTCTAGGCTTTATGGGGGAGTCCTATTAGATCAGAATTGAAGAGACCTGCTGCCTGCTTCACTTGGGGCACAGGCACCATGCGTGGCTTAATTTCACACAGCTCTTTAATTGAGCCCCAGTGCTAACAGCTTAATGGGACACCACGACATTATATCCTGCAGATTTTAAATTAAAGTTTGAGACCTCCCCTCAGGACATGCACAGTACCCCAATTAACACTAATTGGCATTATACATGATTACCAAGTGAAAACCATGGTTTTCCTGAAAATGCCTCCTCTTTTCTCCAGCTTTAAATAGTCCATAAATTCTAAGAAAACAATCATGGGTGCATGCAAAGATTAGCTAGAATGATGTCTAGCATGATGTTCATATTGGGAGAACTTTGGAAGCAACCTAAATATCTATAATGGGGGTTCTGTACATAAAAGATAGTAGAGACAAAAGCAATTATTTTTTAATGTCACACATAATTTTGACATGAGAAGGTGTTCATGATACATTGTCAAGTGAAAGAAGTTAAGGAAGTGTAGAAATGGCATGGTATCACTTTCTCCATAGTATAGACAAAAGAGACTGGAAGGATATATATACTAAAATGTAAATCTCAAGGTGGTAAAAATAATGTTGATGTTTATCTTTTTCATTTCCAGGTCTAAATTTTTTTCTTTAAAAAATGCACTATGTTTGTAAAAAGAAAATGCCATTTTTAAATCCATCATTGATTTCTGAAGAATAAATGCAGTGATTTATTTTGAAATGTTTTTAACCAATTCTTCATCTGCACCAACTCCCGTGTAGGGCACTGAGGATTCTATATCAATAATGTGTTGATAATTTTCAATGGAATTATGAAGGTAAACAGTGTTTTACATGTCTGGAAAGACGAACACTGGAGTGATTTGTTGCAAATGCACATTCTCTTGTTCAAACTGATTCAATCATGCCAAACCACACCCCTCCCAACACAGAAAGTTCATTTACGTCTGTGTGTTTCTCTTCCAGAGCCAAAGATGTTTGTCTTGCTCTATGTTACAAGTTTTGCCATTTGTGCCAGTGGACAACCCCGGGGTAATCAGTTGAAAGGAGAGAACTACTCCCCCAGGTATATCTGCAGCATTCCTGGCTTGCCTGGACCTCCAGGGCCCCCTGGAGCAAATGGTTCCCCTGGGCCCCATGGTCGCATCGGCCTTCCAGGAAGAGATGGTAGAGACGGCAGGAAAGGAGAGAAAGGTGAAAAGGGAACTGCAGGTAATGAATGAGAAGTTGCATAAAACACCCTCCTTCACCCCCACCTTAAAACTGTTCCCCTTTCTTTGTTACTTTTTCTAATGGGAATTGCTCCTTAAACCCCTTCTGTACTTTCATTAATCGTAACTTACTGAGCCCTTACTAGGCTTCAGATGCTTCCCTAAACTCTGTAGCTGCATCCTTATTTCACTGCAATGACAACTCTTTCAGCTGAATGTTATCCCATCTTATAGATGAGAAAATTGAGCCACAGTGTGATTAAATGAATTACTGAGAATGGACCGGGGTGGATGTGCACTGCTAGTAGCTGCCAGAGCCAGACTCAAACATCTGATGTCCAGAAGTACTGGGCTATTGCAGCCAGCAGGCAATGGCTGGATGTGCAAGCGCATGGATGGACAGACAGAGAGATGGACAGAAGGGGAAATGGACAGATTAAGCAGAGGCAAAAACCAGGAGCCAGATGCATAGATGCCATCCTGCTCAGCATGAATATCCTGAACAAAGATACATAAAGGGCTTCTAAATTTTATTTTTCACAGATGAAGTGACAATAGCACTGTAAAGCCTACCTTTCCTAGCTCATCACTTTCCCACCTGACACATAGCAGCTAAAAAGCAGATTTTTACAGCTCTTTACAGCAACACAATTGCCCACTAGTCCTTCAGTAATTTTCACTTTGTTTCCTCGCAAAATAAGTTGGTCCGGGAAGCTTGCCAGATTCTGCAGTCCTTCAGGGTAAACCAAATTGAAATTCTAGACAGGCTGTGTTAACTCTAAAAGAGGAAGGGATTTGGAATCAATCTTTCAAGACAAGTTGCTGAGCATAAAAGTTGGGACAAAAGATAGGAAGGAAAAAATTCTATATAACTCCAATCATCACACCTGATTTACTGGAGTTCTGTAAAACAAAATCATAAAACATATTCAGATTATTGGATAATAATTCATTTCTGAATTTGCCATGCGGATAATATCTGGCAAATCAATTACCAAATCTATGAACATTGCACAATAATAGATAAAGAACCTTTAGGGAAAGCTTCAACATCAGATAAGAAGCTTTAATTTGGAGCTAAAATGTAAGTTTTTAAAGACATCCATAGGGTAACACCTGTGAATATAAGTTACAACTGAGTCATAATTATGAATATTCTTGAAATCCTATAATAACATCAGGATTATAGTTATATATTGCTTTTAGTTTACTGGGTCTGGAAGCAATAATGTAGTGGCTATACAAACAAACATTGGAGTCAGAAAGACTTTGGCTCAAATCTTAGCTCTTTCAGTTACTAATCTAGTATCCTTGGCCACATATGCTCTTAGAGGCTCAGTTTCCTTATTTGTAAGTTGGTGGTAATAAGGGTGATTGTTAAGTTTAAGGGAAAGAGTACATGCAAAACCTTCCACAGGATAACTGCCATGTGATAAAAACTCAGTAAATGTTATAACTTATTAAATTCTGATCTGCAAATATGAGTCACAGCTAAATTTGTGACTAGCAAAAGCCATATAATAAACTAGACATTGGTAATTCGTTTCATGAGGTAGTTCTAATATTAAAGACATATATGTGGATATGCATTCAGATTAAATTAAATGTTCAGAACTGCTACAGTTTTAACCATATATGAGGCTAACTATACCACCACATTCATAGATCCACTCATTCATCCATGCATCCAGGCATTATTCATTCAATAATATTTCTGTGCACCTATTACTATCTAATATTATTCTTCCAGTGTTTCTCAACCTCTGCACTAATGAGAATTTGGGTAGAATAATTATTTACCGTGGAGTGACTATTCTGTGCATTGCAGGATATTCAATAGCATTCCACTAGATGCTAGTGGCACTCCTCTCTAAATTGACAATCAAAATTTTTCTATACGTAGCCAGCTATCCACTGGGTAGAAAGGTGGACAGTGCAAAATTGCACCTGGTTGAGAACGCTGTTCTAGACACTGGGAACGCAAGCATAAGACATTGTTCTTGCCTTGATAAGCAGACATTCATGTGGGGGAGGCCAATATATACAGACATAATTAAAATACATCATCATAATAACCACTTACTAAGAACTTACTATTTGTCAGGACCTTTACATTTCATATTTAACATCTACTATAACCCTATTAGCAATAATTATAATCAGCAATAAAATTAATGTTACAAATGAAAACAAATTGAGATTCAAAAACCATCAAAAACAAAATGACTTTCCTAACCTGAGATTATTTAAATACAATATACACACATAGGATACATAACAGCTCAGAAAGAAAAGGTAGGAATGACTATATGATCGATGAAGAGAGGTGTACCTCACTTATAAACTAGAGGAACAGCCTGGGAGATTTGGGGATGTGTTTTTAATATGGCTGTAACTGGGCACAACCTGGCTGGGAGTGCCTGCTCCCTGTTTCCCCTTTAATGACACTACAAGTGCCTTCTCATTCACGTACTCTTGGTGAATACCCTCACCACATCCACCCCAACCAAGTCCAATCAAGCATAATTTTGGTCCAACTTCCCTATCCTAAATGAGAAATGCAGAGTTTATTACACAAAGTTATAAATTTTCTATTAAAGTATCTGTCTCCCTCACTGGTCTGTTGCAATTATTACTGTAGCATAATATTAACATTTAATTTAATCTGGGTACATATCCATATAAAAATCTTCAGATAACACTAGAATAACCTCTTGAAAAAGATCATTCATTCCAGTTTATCATATGGATGTAGGTATTCATGAACTTAACTTTGGCCCATATTTGCAGATCCAAGGTCATAAGTAATGACAGCTAATTTGAGGTTCGGGCATTACATGAGTAATGCCCAGGTTTCACTTAGCCCCTAGTCCATGACTGGTATGTAGCAGATGGTCAATTAATGTTAGATGGTTTACATGGACGCATGTATGTATGCATAGATCCACGGATAGATGGATGGAAGGATAGAATGAATGAATGGTTGGATGGAAGGAAGAAATGGCATGGAAGAAGAAATCTAGGTAGAACCATTTCATGGAGAACTATAAAGAAATCCTTTCTGATCTAGTTTCAATACCTAAACATAGACTAACTCTTACCCCCATAATCCTCCACTCTACCCAAGCATATGTCTGACTAAATAGGGAGAAGGACAATGACTCATCCCTTCTTTCCACTCTTAATGTGTGGAACCTAAGCATGTGAGCAAATTCTTCATACAAACAGGAAGAGTAACTATACATTATTACAGCTAGTCCATGATTATCTATCACCCAATTCAGCATCTCAAACAAACATTACTATAGAAAATCCAAACTTTCAGGCCGTGAAGGCCTTTTTGTGGACAGCATTGTAAAATTGCATCCCAGAATGTATGATTTGGTCTCAAGGAATTTTCAAGAGGGTGAGACCTCAAACAATCTAGTCCAACACTTTCGTTTCAAGGATTGGGAAACTAAAGCCAGAGAGATCAAGCCCTTTCTTAAAATTCACCTAACTAATCCATGGCTGAACTGGGGTTTTATCCCAGGTCTGTTTGCTGCTTTGCCCAGTAAGTTTGGATTGGACTTAGATCCAATCTCCCCTTATTACAAATGGAGCATTTAAAACCCAGAAAAGAAATGACTCGCCCAAAATTTAAATTTCAGTTTAGCTTAATAAAATTTCTCAAGAACAAATACATAGGTAAAGTAAAACACACAATTCATCAGCAATATATTTGCTCTGACTACAAAAGTGCACTACAGGTTACTAATAATTTGGATACTTTTTGAGGAAATATCATCATACAAGCACTATTTGTGAAATAGATTTGGCCATAAAATTGAATGATATCTTTCGATGGTATTAAATCATTGCTGTTATATATATAAAATCATTGCTTTTTTATATATATAACAATGCCTTATATGTAAAATGTCATATATAAATCAATGTCTTATATATAATCTATTTTATATATAAAACGTGAATGTCATATACAAAATCAATGTCTTATATAGATTTTATATGTATAAAATATTGTATATATAATGTGTTATATACATAAACTATTTAAATTTTAAACCATTTATATAAATTAAACTGATTTTGCTTATTTCCTTCAACCAGGATCACCATTTTTCTGTATTTAGCCTATAGTTGGTCTGCAGATATAAAGATTTAGACACACAGAAAATGTTCCTGTATGGTGATTTGGAATTTGTGAAAATTCTTTCACAGCAATTATGTCTTCTCTGTATATAAAGAGACTCAGAAAAATTAAGGGACTTACCTAAAATGATACAACCGTTTAGTGACAGAGCCAAACACTATTTAAGATTCTTGACTCCAACCCCAAAGGTAAAAGGCATTTTAATGAACCGGAAACATCATTCGACTAAGAAGGCTTGGATTCTAGTCCTAGCATTGGTACAGAAGCAACTTTTTTTTTTTTTTTTTTTGATACTGAGTCTTGCACTGCCGCCCGGGCTGATGTGCAGTGGCGCAATCTCGGCTCGCTGCAACCTCCGCCTCCCGGGTTCAAGCAATTCCCCTGCCTCAGCCTTCCGAGTAGCTGGGACTACAGGCGCGCACCACCACGTCCGGCTAATTTTTGTATTTTTAGTAGAGACGGGGCTTCACCGTGTTAACCAGGATGGTCTTGATCTGCGGACCTCGTTATCTGCCCGCCTCGGCCTCCCAAAGTGCTGGGATTACAGGCGTGAGTCACTGCACCCAGCCCAGAAGCAAGTTTTTTTTACCTGTCTGGGACTCAGTTTTCTCCTCACAAAATAAGCTACTGCATGGTGGTGGCAGTCATTGTTTTATGGTTATTGTAGCATGTTGAGCCCTCGCTATGTGCCAGATGCGCTTTCGAATTTATGCTCCTGCTGGCCGGGCATGGCGGCTCAGGACTCCCAAATCTCAGCACTTTGGGAGGCCGAGGCAGGCGGATCACCTGAGGTCAGGAGTTCGAGACCAGCCTGGCCAACATGGCAAAAGCCCCATCTCTACTAAAAATACAAAAATTAGCTGAATGTGGTGGTGCACACCTGTAATCCCAGCTACTCAGGAGGCTGAGGCAGGAGAATAGCTTGAACCTGGGAGGTGGAAGTTGCAATGAGCCAAGATCGCGCCATGACACTCCAGCCTGGGCAGCAGAGTGAGACTCTGTCTCAAAAAAGAAAAAAAAAGAATTTATGTTCCTGCCAAATGCTCTGGCTCCAGAGTCAGGCAGGCAGGCATGAGGTCAGACCACAGCTCCATCATTCACTAGTTCTCTTCTCTTCAGTAAAGTAACTCCTCTATGGCTCAGCTTCCTCATTTGCAATGAAAGTAATAATAATTCTGAGTTCATAAAGTCACTGTGAAACTTAAATAAGATAATGCATGCAAATAAAGCATTTAACATTGTCCCTGGAACATAGTAAATCCTTCATAAATATAAGCAAATCTAATTTTGATTAATTCTCTTATTATTATCACAAATAGAAATAGAATGAAGCCTCTAGGGATTTGCCTGGTTCTGTCTGCCCCTCTGGGCCCACTCTGAGAAATAATATCATCATGCTCATTGAAGGGTTCCTGTAGTGCCCAGTACCTATATGTGAATAATATAGTGGCAAGTGATCCATCATCAAAATGATAGTTAATTATGTTAAATTTGTCAGGATTTAAATTATTTCTTACATATTCAGGAAAATTGACTTAAATTCTGACGAAAATTTTCTATTTTTGTTGTTAGTGCACCAGTGATGTTTTAAAAGTTTATTATTGGCTGGGCGCGGTGGCTCATGCCTATAATCCCAGCACTTTGGGAGGCTGAGGTGGGTGAATCACAAGGTCAGGAGTTCAAGACCAGCCTGGCCAACATGGTGAAACCCAGTCTATACTAAAAATACAAAAAATTAGCTGGGCGTAGTGGCAGGCGCCTATAATCCCAGCTGCTTGGGAGGCTGAGGCAGGAGAATTGCTTGAACCCGGAAGGCGGAGGTTGCAGTGAGCCAAGATCATGCCACTGCACTCCAGCCCTGGTGATAGAGTGAGACTCCATCTCAAAAAAAAAAAAGTTTATTATTTAGTAGTACACTGTTAAATGTTGCCTGAAAAGACAAAGTTGGGATGTGCTGGGACCATGTAGGTATATTGTTTGTGATTATATCTTTTGAGGAACTATTAATCAAACTATATACTCTTTCTGAAGGTTTGAGAGGTAAGACTGGACCGCTAGGTCTTGCCGGTGAGAAAGGGGACCAAGGAGAGACTGGGAAGAAAGGACCCATAGGACCAGAGGGAGAGAAAGGAGAAGTAGGTCCAATTGGTCCTCCTGGACCAAAGGGAGACAGAGGAGAACAAGGGGACCCGGGGCTGCCTGGAGTTTGCAGATGTGGAAGCATCGTGCTCAAATCCGCCTTTTCTGTTGGCATCACAACCAGCTACCCAGAAGAAAGACTACCTATTATATTTAACAAGGTCCTCTTCAACGAGGGAGAGCACTACAACCCTGCCACAGGGAAGTTCATCTGTGCTTTCCCAGGGATCTATTACTTTTCTTATGATATCACATTGGCTAATAAGCATCTGGCAATCGGACTGGTACACAATGGGCAATACCGGATAAAGACCTTCGACGCCAACACAGGAAACCATGATGTGGCTTCGGGGTCCACAGTCATCTATCTGCAGCCAGAAGATGAAGTCTGGCTGGAGATTTTCTTCACAGACCAGAATGGCCTCTTCTCAGACCCAGGTTGGGCAGACAGCTTATTCTCCGGGTTTCTCTTATACGTTGACACAGATTACCTAGATTCCATATCAGAAGATGATGAATTGTGATCAGGACCAAGATCCCTGTGGTAAACACTCTGATTGAATCTGGGGTTCCAGAAGGTGGAACAAGCAGGAATGGGATCCAAAGAGACTCCCACTCAGATTCTAAAGCATTTAAAGACAATTCTAGCAGAATTTATCAAAACAAGATGAAACACAGAAAAGTTGAAACCACAACAAAATGAATTCTATTAAAGAATAGCCCCAGATATAAATTCTCTTGAAAGCAATGTTCATAAATATTTAAGCAAATTAAAGACAATGTTAACAAATTTTCTATTAAATGCCCTGAGTGATAAAACCAGTTGGCAATAATATTGCCTTATTAAATCTTCAAAAAATATATTTTAGTCTGTTATTTAAGAAAAACATAACATCCCAAAATCTTTGACAATTCTCGAAAGGCTATATAGTAAGTCAAAAACCAAAGGTAAGAGATGCTAACTATTTTTCAAGCAAGCTACAGAGAAATGATAAATGTTTTTTGTTTTATTATTTATTCCTTCATGTTTGTATATATTCACTCAACAACCCTTTAATGAGCCTGTAAGGACCAGACACTGTGGCGCTGAATCAGATTTAATAATGAGTTAAGACAAAGCCCCTACCTATGGGCTAGTGTGTGGTGATCAAACTATCACAATTCAGTGTGATGAGCAGCATAGCAAACAGATGGATTTGAAGCTAAAAGCACACAGGGTCTGCTATTCCTGAGGCTGGGGGCCAGAGAAGCTTTTACGCATGGAAAAACACTAATCATGCCAAGGTGTATGTGTTTAAGGGGGTGTGATGGATGCAAAGGGAATGAGGAATTCAGCACTGCATTCTCTTTGCACCCTCAATGCATGATTGGTATTCTCAACAGCAAAGGGGTGAAAAATCTAGAGACAGAGGAGGCCTGGCAGGGGTGATAAAAATGGAGATTGAAATGAAGAGAAATAGCCAGCAGGTGATTCTTCTGAATCCTTTAGTGTGATGGTTTCCCAAGACAAACATTTGTCCTAATAGCTTTCTCATAAATATGGGCACCACTTTACATTGTGGTAAGACATTGCTTCTCATGGATCTGCTAGGTATTTATTTCAAATAAAGCAAGGCATATGTTCACTGATTTACGAGTAAGCTGATGAGAGCAATGAACAGGAGAAGGAGGGAGAGAGCCAAATGTCTGAGTAAACAGATATCCCTTCCAAGTCTCACACCTCCCTTAGTCCCACTCTTGCTTGTGTCAGCACCTTGTTCTTCACTGAACTGCAATTCTTCAATTATTCTCTTCCATGATTTTGTCTGATCTACCATTTCTATGGTTTATGGTAATAGTATTCCCTTTATCCCTCCCTTTTGGTAACTTCCAATCCTCCTTCTATGTATTCCTTTCTCTGCTCATTGACTTATAAATAGTTTTCATACCTCTTATGTTTGAATCACCATGCTAGATTCTGTGAAGACAGAAGAGTATCAAGATTAATATATTAATAGTATAGCTCTGACTGGTAAATTTCTTTTTTTTAATCTTCCCCAATTTAAATTTTTTAATTTAAAAGTAAATTTTACTGTCGAAAATGCAAACTTGGGGAGGGCGGAAACATCACACACAAGGTTTCCACTTCACACTTGGAGGGTTGCATGGCGGCTGGGCAAAGGTGCTCCCCACTTCCCAGATGGTGCGGCGGCTGGCCAGAGGCACTCTTCACTTCCCAGACAGAGGGGCGGCCGGGCAGAGGTGCTCCTCACTTCCCAGAGGGTGCAGGAGCCAGCTCTGACTAGTAAATTTCTAAGGATACCAGAAAGGAAATGGCATGCACACACACAAAAAATACCTAAATTTTGGATGAGAAAATGATAAAATATGCTAAGTTCTAGGCTGGAAATAAGGGCAAAATGCTGTGAAAGAAGAGGAAATGTTTACTTCCAAATTAGGATGTGACAGAGAAGGGATAGGGAAATCCTCTCTGCTCATTGGGCCTTACATGATGGGTGACACTTGGAGTGGCACAAGTTGGGGGAAAGCGCACTTGAGACAGAGGTAATGATGGGGACGAAGTGAGAACAGAGACCCAGAAGGAGAATCAATGGACCATATTTGTAAGAGCTTTGAAAGCCAGCCTGAGAATTGGAGGATTTATTCATAAGAAAGTGTAGAGACCCTGTGTATTTCAGAGCTGGATACTGCCATTACCACAGATGAAAGTTGCAATGATCTAGCAGTTGTGTGCAAAGGCAAGGCTTGCTTTTCCTGTCTTTCAACCCTATCTTGCTTTTCCTGTCTTTCAACCCTATCTTGCTTTCATTGTCTTCATCTTCCTGCCATACTTTGTGCACTTATTGCTCTCCTTCTGAGTCAGGACATGTGTACAGGAGACCAAGAACAATGAGTATTAGAAAAAAAGGAGACAGCAAAGGTGGTTTGAGGTAGTCACCTGCTTACAGATAACAGCCAAAGATAGAATTCCAAGTTATAAAGCATAAAAAAGAGCCAACAGAAGTAACTAATCCGGGAAAAGTGAACATATGGGCCCTTTAAAGACTACAAGATTTGCTAGATAAACTGGAAATGGAGAAGTTATTGCAGACAGTCATGAACCACAAATCACTGTGATTAAAATTTTCTTCTGATCGTAATCCACGAATGCATTCATTTTTTGGACATTGCTTACTTATCTTTTAAATGTTTCTTTTATTACAAAGCCTATTTTGAGTAGCTTTTAAAACTGAATTTCCTTTAATTGGTTTGAAGCCTAGAGATGAATTTCGTTTTCAAATATCTGGTGGGATGGTAATGGGGATTAGAGAACTGACATGAGAAAAGAGGAGCTGTTTTGGTATTAAACGAATAAAATCTTAAGCAAATATAGGTGTCTTTTATTCTTAAAAAATAGCAGATACAGTTTATCCACATTTGTAAATATTTGTATAAAGAAAGTAGCAAAACAGTTTTGGTTTAAAAAGTTCCAAGTCTCATTGCAATCATTCTTTGTAAAGGCTGACTTGTAATGAATATGTATTAAGCAATATTTATTGACTATACACCATCTTGTTCTAGAAGAGTTTAAAGCCACTTAAGAAGATAAATAAGATATAAAAAGAAAACAGCAGTCAAAAGCAGATGAGAAGAAATGGGAAAAACAAAAAAAAAAGAAAATAATGAGGCTAATATAATGCTGTGTGTACATGAACATGAATGTGCCTGTGTTACACATTTTCAGGCCACAAATGTTTCTTTGTGCCCCTGCATGCACAAGGGTATTTCCAGGTCATTTATCATTGTGAACAGTGTTGCTTATGATAAAAAATAGATTCTATAAACTCTAAATATACTTTTTTTCTACCACTCTGTGTAAAAGATCATGAACGTAAATAAATTTTAGATATGAGCTGGGTTAGTCCATTTGCATTGCTATAAAGGAATACCTGAGGGTGGGTAATTTATAAAGAAAAGAGGTTTATTTTGGCTCACAGTTCTGCAGGCCATACAAGCAGCATGGTGCCAGCATCTGCTTCTGGTGCAGCCTCAGGAAGCTTCCAATCATGGTGGAAGATGAAGAGGGCACCACCATCCTATCACATGGTGAGAGAGGGATCAAGAGAGTGGGGGGGAGGTGTCACACTCTTTTAAGCAACCTGATCTCACATGAACTCATTAGCATGAGGACAGCACCAAGCCATTCATGAGGGATCCACCCCCATGACCAAAATTCCTCCCACTAGGCCCACCTCCAACATTGGGAGTCATAGATCAACATGAAATTTGGAAGGGACAAAAACATCCAAACCACATCATTAGGTTTCTCTCTTTGTCTCTCTCTCTCTCTGTAGCTCCACTTTCAGTAAATAGCATCTCTACCCACCCTGTACCAAAGTCAAAACCGTAAGGTGCAAACTAAATGTCTTTCCTCCCTTCCCTACTGAATTTTGCCCAGCATAAAATTCTTATGGTTCCAGCCACTAAATGCACATATCTGATTCATTGCACCTTTCCATTCCCGGTGCAAAAGGTGTCATTCATACATTCATCATCACTTCCCTTAATCAGTGAAAAACGTTGTAACTGGCCCTTTGCCTCCAACCACAACCCTCCAATCCATCCTCCACACTAGATTGAGTATATCCTTTTAAAATGAAAATGTGCATGCCATTTCCCGGCTTAAAAAACAGCAATGACCCTCCCAATCCCTCCGCTATAAAAGGTGTTTTGAACTTCTATAAGTTTTGCCATCAGGTGTGTATTTCATATTGTTTTCTGGTATCCATACCTAAATTCCTTCTGAAGGACTATCTTCCTTTACGTGCTAAGTCTATGAGCTTCTCAGTGGAACTGACACTTCCAGTATGTAAATCTCTAGCCTAACTCATCAGAGTATAGCATCCCACTCACCAAAATAATTGATTCAGGTGACTCTATGAGAGTCAATGAAACTTTGCTGGGACATCTATAGAAGAGAATCTCCTTCTTTTCTGTTGGACTTAAGCCTGTGAACCTCCACCAGCCACATTACCACCACAGAGCATAATACCATGCAAGAATAGACCCATGCACAGATGAAGCAGAGAGACAAAGAGAGAAAATGGGTCTTGGAGTCATCATTTGAACCCCAATCTAGACATATCTATAGCCAGCTGTTCCCTTGGACTTTTCAATTATGGAAACTGTTAAATGCTGTTTTTACTTAAGCCCTTTGATTATTTGATCACTTGGAAAAGATGTTATCCTACCTAATACTCATAAAAGCATCGTTTAGCATGGTGCATTGAGCCCTTGAGGATGTAGCTTCTGCAAACTTTTACAGTCACATCTTCAAAAGTCACCCACGTGTAACTATTATCCAAGAATATGCAGATAACTGCAATTCTAGGGTACTTTGCCCTAGGGTGCCTCACCTTTTCAGGTTCAGCTCAAAAGTTACTTTCTTTTCTCTAATCTTTCCCTTCCCCTGTGCCTAAGGAGAATTACAGATGACCACGTGTGTGTTCCTTGCCATCTGGGAACCAGTGCATAGTCATGGTAGCAATAGCAAACACTTACTGGGCACTTTTTGAGTGGTTTACATGTATCAGCTCACTTGGTCCTTGCTACGGTCTGCATGTTTGTGTAGCCTCAAAAGTCATATGTTGAAACCTAATCACCAGTGGGATGGTGTTAGAAAGTGGGGCCTTTGGGAAGTAATTAAGTCATGAAAGACCTACCCTCATAAATGGGACTTATGCCCTTATTTTTTATAAAAGGCCCCAAAGACCTCCTTTCAACACATGAAGACACAGTGAGAAGATGGCCATCTATGAATGGGGAAGCAGGCCCTCGCCAGGCATCAAATCTGCTGGCACCTTGATCTTACTTTCCAGCCTCCAAAACTGTAAAATAAATTTCTGTTGTTCATAATCTATGCAGTTTTTGGTATTTTATTATAGTAGCTCAAATGGATTAAGACAGTCCTCACAACAATTATTCACCTCATTTTACAGATGGATAAACTGAGAGGCAGAGAGGTTATGAAATATGTGAAGCAAATAGTAAGTGGCACAGTAGCCCTAGGCAGTGAAGCGCCAAAGCCCACTCTCTTAACCACCGTGCTGGCACATTGCTCATATATTTTTTACATTTGTCTATCTGATGGAGAGTTTGTTTGCCCTATTGATTTTTATATCCCAGGACTCTACATGATGACTGCTATAGTATGTGCTCAATAAAATTATGATGAATTAATTAGTGACAAGTTCTTTTCAGTCACAATCTACACATGTGGTCAGAGTCAAATGGGGGAGGTGTCACAACAGGAAAATCCTATTATCATCTTGTACATTAATCAATATTATTTAGATTATAACTGCCAGACTCCAATTCAACATGGTTCAAGTAAAAGGAAACTCACTGAAATAACAAAAATCCCAGAGCCAGACCTGGGTACCCAAACAATGTCACCAGGGTCTTATCTCTCTCCCTCCTACAGAGCAGCTCCCCACATTGCTGGCTTCACTTTCAGGAAGGGTATTGCCTTTATTTATTGCAAAGATGGCCACCAGCAACTCAGGTTTGCATTTTGCAGTCCGAGCAGGGGGAAGAAAATTATCTTTCTCAATAATTCCCATGAAATACCTGGAAATGACAGCCTTTTGATTCTGAATGGTTCTACTTGAATCATGAGCCTATCCCTCAACCAACAATTGGCCAAGGAAATGTGATGTTGCCATTGACCAGGCTTACATCACAACCCAGCACTAGAGCTCAAAGAAAAATCCATCTCATCTAAATCACATGGACAGAGGTGGTAGGAGGAGGAAGAAATTATTTCCCAAAGGAAAATGAAGATTTCAGGTCAAGAAAAAGAGAGATTAATTAATTGGCAGACAAAATTAACTAGAGATTTCCTAAGCTGTTTTCATATAAAATCAAAACCACATTTATTTTGTCTGCATGATGCAAAATAAACGTGTTGCTAGAATGATTTTTCCCTGAAATAATCTAATTTTTGATAATATTTGGTCAGAATTGGCTAAATATTTCATACTGTAAAAGCCTGGCATCTGTGATGATCTCATCCTACAGGCTGTCATAATGCTGATCTCCAATGGCCACTTTTAATGAAAGAATAAATTATTTCCAACTGAAATACTTCTTCTTCCCCTCAAACTCTCTGATTTTTGACATCAATACCCTAGAATAGGCAATAACATATGCAACTATTTTAGATAATGATAAAAAGAAGAGGAAGAGCATCCTTGGAGATAAGTCTCTATGGTATCAAAAAGAGCCAGTTTGAGGTTGCATAGAAAAGAGAACACTTACACACTGTTGATGGGAGTGTAAATTAGTTCAACCACTATGGAAAGCAGTACAGCAATTCCCCAAAGAGCTAAAAATAAAACTACCATTCAACCCAGCAATCCCATTACTGGGTATATACCCAGGGGAATATAAATTATTCTACCATAAAGACACATGCATGCAAATGTTCATTGCAGCACTATTCACAACAGCAAAGAAATGGAATCAATCTAAATGCCCATCAATGACAGAATCCATGGTACATATACACTGTGGAATACTATGCAGTTATAAAAAAGAATAAGATCATGTATTTTGCAGGAACATGGATGGAGCCAGAAGCTATTATCCTCAGCAAACTAACATGGAACAGAAAACCAAATACCACACATTCTCACTTATAAGTGGGAGCTAAATGATGAGAACTCATGAACACAAAAAAGGGAAGAACAGACACTGGGGTCTACTTGAGGGTGGAAGGTGAGAGGAGGGAGAGGATCAGAAAAGATAATTATTGGGTACTGGGCTTAATACATAGGTGATGAAATAATCTGTACAACAGACCCCCGTGACACGAGGTTACCTATGTAACAAACCTTTACATGTATCCCCCAACCTAAAATAAAAGCATTTAAAAAAAAAAAAAAAAGGAGCCCGTAAATCCAATTCATTCCTCAGCCAACACATAATGACAGCCCTGAAAGGAGAGATTAAAAAGCTACTCTCAGTTGTTAACTACATTGCTGACCTCATGTTTTCCTTCTTGTTTCCTTGAGAGATCACCAGTCAGTGTCTCATGATACCAGCAGTTACCATTTACTGTGTGCCTAGTAAATGGCACCATACTGGATCCTTTCAGCATGGTACTTTATTTTATCCTCAGGAAAAGCCCCTGTCAGTGGCGCATTCTTCTAACCTCTAGAGAGAATTCAGTACCACTCTCACCTTCTTCCTCTCTTAAAAAAAAAAAAAAAAAAAAAACACCCACACACAGAAAAGAAAAGAAAAGAAAAGAAAAGAAAAGAAAAGAAAAGAAAAGAAAAGAAAAGAAAAGAAAGAAAAGTAGCATTTGTATGGACGTTGGGATGGAAGCTTCCCAAGTTCTGGGATGCCGCTTCAGCATCAGAATGGAGAAGTTCAAAGACTCTCAAGGCCACATACCAAGTTCTCTAGGGGTTCTTCTCTCTCCAGGATGTGCCTATCAGTGTTCAGGCAGAAGGCAGCATAACACTTTCAAAAGGATTTCACTATGGAAGGTCAAATGAAAGAACTGTATTAAAGGTGCAGGTGGGGTGAAAAGAACCATGCAGGGATGCTGAAGTATCCAAGGACTAGCAACAGCAGGAATGCTTCACCATCCCAAATCCTGAAAAGGAGGAGAGGCAGTGGTGGTTGCAAAGTGCAGTGAAGAACTGGAGACTTGGCAGAGGGACCAGCCTACAGGAACTACACCTGCAGAAGAGCTCAGCCACTGCCAGAAGTAGGGAAGAAGCCAGGACTGTGAATCCCCTGACCACCCTCTTCTACCTTTCAGTCTCCTATTTATACCCCTCACTGGTCAAAGCCCATGACTCCAGGTGCCCAGATAGTCTTGGTGATGCAGTGCACAGAGATGAACTTCTTGGGCAAAACTCAGAACAGACAGGGATAGAAGATGGATGGGAGCCAGGAGAGAGGGTAGGAGCAACGGAAATCAACCAGCACAGGGCTCCCCTCCCAGATCTCTTCCTTCTCTAGTCTCTCTAAAACTCCACACAGCTTATGCAATAAAACTGGCTTCCTGTTTTTACTGGTTCCTTGAATGCATACAGCAGAAGGAACATTTTTCCAGAGCTGTGTAATTTATGCACAAGGAACCCTTGAGTCTCAGATGTGGCCCAGCTCCACTTACAAAAAAATTGCATGGGATCTTGGAGTGAAGTCCTTGGACTGATGAACAGAGGGTTTTTGCCACAGTGTCCCTCCTAAGTCCCTCTCCTAAACTTGCAACAGCAACAAACAGCTGGTGGAGATTTAGGAGTTCAAGATTCTAACCTAGTAGCTTTCCAGCTCATCATGAGTTAAATACTCTTCTTACCCCTTTAGAGGTAACAGTACTGAGGCTCAGAGCAATTGAGCAATTTGCCCATGACAAGCCTTAATAAATGTGGGATATTCTAGCTCTGCCCATCCACCTCCAATGCCCATGCCCTGTCATGAGCACACACACATGCACTCCCCTGCCTCTCAAGGCCTCTTCTTTAAGACATGTTTTCACAGCAAGATCATTGCATTATGGAGGAAATGCAATATCCACAATTATCTTCCTTTGATCCTAGCAAACATCATTTTCCTCTGACCTTAGCTGGGAGCTAAGCCTGTCACAATCATGACTGGCTTACTCATGATCAAAATATTCAGTGCGGCCAGAACATGCAGCTCGGCAAACTCTAAGGAGTCCCAAATATAACAACCTACTTTGCTCTGCCCAAGGAACAGAGACTGGCCCCAAAGGATTGATGCTGACCCTCTGCATTTGGTTTAGTTCCACAAAAGGAACCTAGGCAATCTTTTAGCATCATCGTTGTACTATCATGCTTAGAAAAATCCAGGCAGTCTAAATTCCTCTATACACACTACACATTCTTGTCAAGATTAATCCTAACAGAAGCCAGGAGCAAGTAGGACCACACATTCCACAGGCCTTGTGTGTTCCCTAATGTGGTTTGTAGATCAGCCTGAGACATGCCAAATATATTGGGTAACTGAAGACTCTTTTGAAAGAAAAGAAAACATAAAATTTGCAGTGCTGTACCATGGTTTTCAAGAGACTCATTGATCCCTTTTTATTTCTGCTCTGCATCACTGTTTCCTAAATTTGGTAGGAATCTTGCACTTTGAGCCAGATCCTTCTTTTTTTAAGGGCTGTCCTGTGCATCATAGGACATTAGCAGCATCCCTGGCCTCTGCCCACTAGATGCTAGTAGCATCTCCACCCAACCACGTGAGTCATCACAAGCAACAATATCTCCCATCATTGCCAAATGTCTCCTGGGGGGTCAAAATTGAGAACCACTTGTGAACCATATCTGTACAGTCTTGTCATGGTGAGAGAGTCTACACAGCCCCCCAAATCTACTTTTTCCAACTGACCTTTATTTACAGAAATGACCCCATAGCTGCTCCTCATTTCAGGTATGATATCTCTTCCCTTGTGAGAATCCCAAGTTAAAGAGACTCCATCCTGGAAGGTGTACAGGAAGAGCAAGAAACTGTGCCCTCATCCAAATTCTCTTTTACTATAGCCAGGATTTTTTAAAATGTTTTCTAAGATACAAAAATCACCAAGTCTCCTATTTCTAAGAATTTACTCCAAGAAAATAATTAATAATGTGTGCAAAGGTTTAATTGCAGAAAGAGCCCTGCAGCAAAGCTTGCAATATGGAAAATTGAGAAATAGCCTCAACATGGGTGAAATGAGCTGTGATACACTCATCCAATGAAACAGAGTCATAAAAAATGATGAGGATGCCCCACCAGGCACAAGAGCTTGCACCTGTAGTTCCAGCTGCTGGGGAGGACTGCTTGAGCTCAGGAGTTGAGGCCAGTCTGGGCAACATAGGGAAACCCTGTCTTTAAAAAAAAGAGGATGGAAATGTATTGGCACCATAAGATATTCACAAAATATTAACTAAACAAAGTAGATGACTGAGGAATATTTTCAGTACTCATTTCATTTTTAAAGTCTGTTTGCCCATATGCATAGAAAAAGTCTAAATTAAAATATTAATGGGGAATTTTAAATCTCTACTCTTTTGACCTTTATTTTTAATTTTTACAATAAACATTGTACTCATTTTACATAAAATATTTTATGTATGCTCTTAGGCTAGTTGCATATTATTTTGTTTCCAAAAATTGCAGAGAAAATGTCTAAGGAGAGAGAAATAAAACTCTTAGGAGTTGAAGTGTAAAACACGATATCATTCTTAAAGTTTCCTGGTGGCGTACCTGGATGTCTATTCCAGAGGATTTTTTAAAGCAAGATTACCACCAAGTAATACTAGTTTATATGTTTTTAAATTGTTTCTTCCTAACTAGAACAGGGAGGGAAATTAGTCTTGAGTTTACATCATTTTATTGAGTTTTTCTTAGTCCAGAACTATGAACCCAATGGATTACAACAGTATGAAGTCATTCAGAACCAATGCATTTGTCAGATGGCAAAGGCATTTATGAGCAGCTATATGAAGAAGACTGAATTCATGGCTTCACTCCAGTGCCATCATGGAGGTGGCAGAACTTACCGAAGTAAAGACTTGCCCAATATAGTTAGGGTTCCAAAAAATGATCTGCTAGCACTAAAAGGAGAAAAATCATAAACTCTAAGGGGTTGCATAGATGCTCTTTCATTACAAAAGTACTATCTTTTACAAGATTGTGAGATGCTGCCTTGGTGGAAATAAACAAGAAAAAACAAAGTCTCAGTGATCTATTCCAACCACAGTTTCAGATAAATTTGGCACCACTGAGCATCCCCATTGTTACTGAAACAGAAAACACTCAGGTCTTACTATTATTATTACTCCAGAACAACAAAGAGAGTTGCAAGGATTTTCTACAGAAAACATCCAGGTCTTACTACATGTAGAACTAAAATTAAAGCACAGCCTCCTGAGATGTCCCAGTTGGTCAGAATATTGACAAATAATAACTAGAAGGTTAGTATGTGAGATGGTCAGGGCCCAGAAGCCATATATCCATCAATATATCAAGGTGTGTCCACACAAGGAGTTGCCCACCTGATTCCCTTTTAGGGTTGCCAGATAAAATTCAGAAGATTCAAATATAAATTTCACATAACAATCATTTAGTAGAAAACTGTCTCAAATATTTAACTGGGTGTCCTGTATTCCTTTTTGCTAAATTTGGCAACTCTAAATTATGAACAAAAATTCACCTACAAAAACATAAATATGAGTCCAACTAACTTTTTGGAAGGCCGTGCATATAATTTCTCATATAACAAGAAGTAATTGTTCTTTTGAGAAGGGATTCTTAGCTTCCTAAAACAGTTTTAAAGGGCCAAAGTTAGCTGGATGAGAAAGCCATTAGAGAATCTTTTGGGTGGAAAGTCAGAAGACAAGATCTAGCCCCAGGAATTCCAATAATCAGCTTTGTGTGACTTTTAGACAAATCACCTAAATCCTTTAAGCCTCTGATTCCACACTGGATTGGTGGTGGAAAGTAAGTGCTGTCTTTCTCCAAACTCATGGCAGACATTGGTAATAGATAGAAGCATTTCTTCCCACTGTGCCCCAGGGCAGCCTCAGAATTCTCAACAAAGTCTCCAGGTCCATCCATCAACAAGCATGTACCCTTGAGATGAAATCAACTTGCCTTCCCTGAATTAAAGGAGCCTTTGGTTACCCTTCCAGTTCTAACGAAAGTTTGGAAACTCTTGTATTCTAATTCAATAGGCAAGGCTATACCTAGTTTTGCACTCCCAATTAAAAGCAAAACTTGGCAACTGCCTTCTGAAATCGCTATTTTACAAAATCAGAGCAGGAGTAATGGGTGCTGGAGTTCTGCTTGGACCAGGCCTTATAGGCCATTACTTCCAGCTGAGTGGCTCCAACAGCCCTCCAGGGCCTTGGTGGAGGCCAGGGTAGATCCTGACACTGGCCCTCAGTGAAGAACTTGACTCCACTCTGCTTCACGTCTCTGCTTCTTTTGCATCCATGGGCTTCTCATACCACTCACAGGTTTCCTCACCCTGTTATCTGCCTTTTCTACAGCATGGATTCTGATTTCTCATCATTTCAATCTCTGCTGGCATCTCCCAGCCCAGCTCTAGTTCATGACATGTTCTTTGCTTTAGCTCCAATTGCTCAATCCCTGCTGACTCTTTCTTCATGTCTCAGTTCAAATCCCCAGAGTGAGGATCTCATGTTTGGCAGGCCCCTGTTTATCAAAGAGCCAGCCTGGGGATTGGCTGCAGCTGATCCACACCCTCCTTCGGTCCCATCAGCTAGGACTGTGAATACTGGTATAAAGCACAGTTGCCTGCTCAAAGCCCATCAGCACGAGATGTAGGCAGTTTTGTTTTGTTTTTTTTCCAAAAGTGTGTCATCAGGTAGGCACTGCGATGTTCAGTTCATAATTTCACAGGGTCTTTGCAAGAACAAAATGTGGTAATATATGTAAAAAATGACAATTTTAGCAGATTTCCCCCAAAAGCAGACTCTGAGACAAGGACTTGAGTATAAGTGGTTATTTGGGAGTTGCAGGAAACACCAATAGGGTAGTGAGGAAGCAACAGAGCAACAATAACTGTGTCTGTAAGCTAACTGCCATTGTGGTTGATTGAAGCTCATCCCAAGGAGCTGCCCAGGAGAACAGGATAACACACACCGAATCAGCTCACCCAAAAAGGGAGGAAGCCGGAGTGTTTAAAGACCAACTCCCAAGAGTCATTGGCTGAGGACCGCTCTCAGGATCAATATTTTTCCAGCACTTTGAGAGTGCCTTTGGTGCTCAGGTAAAGTGACTTTGCAGGGTTCTGAAAAAAGGCTTCAGGCACAGAGATGGAGATAAGACAGTTAAAAATCTATCAAAGCACCCTGAATTGGTTAATGCAAGGGATATGGAAGAGGCAATGACTTCATCTGCCACCGTACTTGGTCAACCCTCAAATAAATGTTGGCCCCACAAGAGAAGGGGGTATTGTCTGCTTAGTTCCCTGTACCTGAAACTGCCTGGTGCATAATCAAAGCTCAGTAAATATTGGTAGGATGAATGAATGAATGAATGAATGAATGAATGAAGAAATGTCTATATAAATGAATGAATTATTTGGACAATTGTTGGAGATCTTTTCTATTTGTTTTTCTTCTCTTGTGAATAAAGAGGTAACGGGATGGGAGAGGGTAAAGGGGAGCAGCTGGGGGACACAGAACCACCTTGTACCAAAAGAAGCCTGAGTTTTAAGACCAACACTTTTTGCACAACTACCATGACTTAGGCAAAGCAGAACAAAACATCTCTCTCCTACACACTCCTCAAGTTGAATTTTAATGATTTTTTTCTACTATTTGCCCCTTATATTCATTTCAGTTTGGTTTCAGCTGCATAAGTTGTTGAGGGCTGTATCTGTCTCCTTTCCCTGGTCCTGTATCCCCAAGGACAACCCTGAGCCCCACTCTTACCTAAACCCTACACCAACAACATCACAAGCAAGCCTGCAGTCATTAGAATTGTGAGGGGACTATATTAATCCACCTCCACTGATAGGATTTGAGAAGGGCTTCCATTTAATCCCACTCCTCACCCCTGAGGGTGCCAAGCCAATTGAGAAATGCACACAGAAGCCACATATGTACCAAAATACTTGTCTTCCTACTGGTAGCACCAAATCAGAGAGAGCAACTTGGATATGAGGTTGAAACAAACTTCCCAGTAGTTGCCTCCAGGTCTAGACCTGATTAGCATCCCACAACAGAAACTTTTCCATTCAGCCTCAAAGAGAACAGAGGTCTCCCTCCCCTCAAATCAAGCTCATAGAACCCAAGAGAGGCCACATGTGCAAGTGACTTTTTACACACAGCCCACTCCCAACACAGAGCCCAGGGGGTACCAGACTCTTGCCATCTCACCAATCAGAGAAATCCCTCCTCCTCCCTCCACCAGAAGGAGCCATGGAGAGGTAAGCCACTAATTATTAAGAGAGTGGAAGTTCCTATCTTTCAGAGCAGCAGGAACTCAGGGAAAGGAACAAAAATTGTGCCTTCCCTACCACATCTATGAGAAAAGAGCTGATCTAAAAACATATTTACCTTTTAATTCTCAGTGACCAGATAGGGGCAAGTGCACCACTGGATACAGTGAGGGGCTTGCTCTACAGAAGAGTCATTTTCAGTTCCTCTTTCCTCCTGTTACACAGCTATCAATGCATTCAGGTCTGTGCAGAAACCATACGTTCTTCACTAGCTAGGGCCAGACCTTCTGCTCCTTCATCTCTCACACTAAGATTGTTAGTGAACTCTGCAGTGAATGCTCAGCCAGAGTTTGGAAATGTCATCTTACAAGCTCTAATATGTCAAGGAGAAAACTGTTTCTTTGGGAATGTTTCTTCCTAACCAAGATAAGAAAACAGTAATTTTGCTTTTGCTTCAAGGCATACTTTGATGGCAGGAGAATCCAGTTTACTTTTTAAGGTACTGACCTCTAGTGGCCAGCAACAATAACTACTCTATTAGAGACCATTTCCAGAGATTATGTAAAATCCAAGTGCGGGCTAGGAGAAACTTTAGAAATCAACTTTCTCTGCCCACCTCATATTCCAGAAGAGGAAACAGAGATCCATAAACGATGAGGGCCTTGTCAGTGGTCGCTAAGATGGGACTAGAGTCAAGGTCTTCTGTCTTCCATGTGGATCTCCTCCCATTGCCTAGTATACATTTATTAAAGCTACTTAGTCATATACACTGTAATTCATAAACAATTAGAGTAAAAATGACATTTCGTTATCAGATAATCCCTCTGTGGTTTCCTGCAAAGCTTGATGGGATAAGTGTGACTAGAGGTCCGTTTTCACGCTGCTGATAAAGACATACCCAAGACTAGGTAATTTATAAAGAAAAAAAGGTTTAATGGACTCACAGTTCTACCTGACTGGGGAGGCCTAACAATCATGGCAGAAGGCAAAAGGCACATCTTACATGGCAGTAGACAAAAGAGAGAATGAGATCCAAGTGAAGGGGGTCTCCCCTTATAAAACCATCAGATCTCGTGAGACTTATTCACTACCACAAGAACAGTATGG
Organism: Homo sapiens; assembly: GCF_000001405.40. Taxonomy (NCBI): domain Eukaryota; kingdom Metazoa; phylum Chordata; class Mammalia; order Primates; family Hominidae; genus Homo; species Homo sapiens. The sequence continues at coordinate 15,458,357 of NC_000004.12, forward strand.
GGGAAACCACTCCCATAATTCAATTATCTCCCACTGGGTCCCTCCCACAACACATGAGAATTATAGGAGCTACAATTCAAGATTAAATTTGGGTGGGGACACAACCAAACCATATCAAGAGGTTTCAACCTCACTGGATGGTAAACAGCTAGAGGGTGAGGATTTTTTCTTAATCATCTTTGAATCTCTAGTACTTTGCACCACATCTGCCATGTGGCAGGCACTAAATAAATGTCAGATGGATGAATAAATTGATGGAAAGATAAATTTTAATTTGAAATTAAACACCAACTAAAACCAAAAGCTACCTGTCTTGCTACCCAACTAGCAAATGGCAGATTTAAGATTTGAGGCCAGCAGTTCAGTTTCACACTAAATGCTACTACTCCTAAAAGACCTCTTCACTGGCCCATGGAACCCCCTCCTACTAGTGACGACTTTCCAAATTTAACAGATGCAGCATTTCTGGCTCTTTGAATCCACACAGCTGATTCGAAAGTAGGTTGTGTTTTTTAGACTCTCAGTCATCAGTTTGTGTTTTTTAGATCTCAGTCATATGTTTTTTAGATTCTCAGTCATAAGTTCTTCTCCTTATATAAGGACTCAGTGAAGGCTTTGCTTTGTGTGTTGGTTTGTTCCTTCAATCACTCAACATATTTACTGAGTGTCTGCTATGCACCAGGAGCTTCCCTGAGCAATGGAAACCCAGCAGGAAAGACAAAATGATGTGTCAACAGCTATGCTAGTGGTAAGCACTAGAAGGATAAAGAAAGAAGGCAGGCTTGTTAATGATGATGGATCCTTTTCTGGTGTTAGCAGAGACTTGAATTAGGAGGGAGTCTTGAAGGTCTCAAGCATACATTAGTATCATGGAGAAAGCGTGAGTGATTCTCAGGATCCCTTGGAAAAATAACCCAGGCTGGCAGTGAGGAGAGAAAATCTCCATATAGGAAGGGGCAAACTTACGCTCAACACTGATCCCCAATCATTGTTCCTAAAATTTACTTGCCTTTTGAGAATTTTAGCAATCTCCACTGATACCATCATTCTTGCTACTGAAATTACTCTTCTTTACTTTACCCTCTCATCTCGAGCATGGATATAAATTCTTTCTGTAATTCCCCCACAGCATAGATGAGTCTCTAAGGGAACAATTATAAGATTTTACAGATGTGTCAGAGATAAGAGGCGAAAATTATAACACAGAGAATTACTAAAAGCTGGCAACTAGATATGATGGCACTTGTGATCCACAAAATCTAGTCCACCGTCATGAAGTTGGCTGGGTCCTTGCAGTGCTACTGTTTTTCTGTTTGGCCCTAGTTGGACAGTACATGGCAGTGTCCATATTTCCCTGACAGGAAAATCCTCTAGTATGGCAAAGCCCCTCAGAGTCCAAGCCCCAGAGAGCAGAATGATGCATAGTAGCAGGCAACCCTTTGTCCTCTGCTCCAAATTCCATCTCTCAAATAGTGAGAACACAAGCAGCTACCAATTTATGGATGGATTTTACTCTAGAAATCTGTTTGCTAGTCAGTTCTTTGGAATCTGCCATGCATTTCCAAAAACATCAACAGTGACTGAGATCAGAGGCAAGTCCATGAAAATTCTATTTATACCCTAGTCCATCTAAGGATGTTGGAAACATAGCTTCTCAATTTAGCAGAATTCAGGAAACAAGTATAGATGCTCCTGGGTACTTTTTTTTTTTTTTTTTTTTTTTTTACCAATCTATGCTCTGTACCAATATAAGCACCCAAACCCCTACAGGTCCCCAAGCTTCTGCATCAGAGGGTAAAGCAAAGTTGTCTGTACCAGGAGCTGTGGCTACAAACAGCAAAGAGTTGAAAATTCTTGAGCTGGAATAGCAGAGAGGTCATTCTTATATTGAGTCTAGCAAACTGCCTTTTTCCCAAGTATCTTTAGCAATTGCTGCATTGGAAGGAAATACAGTACAATTTGTGGCATCACAGGGCATGAAAAAATGAAAGATGGATCAGGCTGTGTAGGAAAGCAAAACCTACTTTTTAATCAGGAGGGTATTATCAGCTAATCCTCTCTCTAGTAAGCTCAGTAAGTCTCCTTGGGTAAGATCTTGTTTCAAATGGAGAGTCCTGTGAGCAACTCATCTTGATTATGCAAATGTAAGGCAAGTGGACACCCACTGCCCTGGAAAATGGGAATATAACATCATTTTCTGTGGCATGACTGATGCTCCCCAATTTTCAAAATGCCCCTTGTGCTCTTTGACATACATTGAATAAATCTGCAAAGGGAGCCAAGAAACCTCCTAGAGGAAAAAGAAATTTTGATACTAATTTCTTTTCTGCTGAATTTCAATAGCATTAAAAACTCAGTGATAAACTTGGTTGGTTAAAACTGAGATTGATCAGCCAAAAAGGATACTTGCCTCTATGGAGGGGAATGCAACATGAGGAAAGGGAGTTTGTGGGCTGTGGATTGGTGACTATGGTTCAAACTAGAACTCAGAGGATGTTGGGCTCCAGGAGGGTCCATTCCTGGTTTAAATGTAACCTGGGATTGAGGTCTTAAAACCTGCTAAATTCTGGAAGCAGTAGCAGATCATATGGGTGTAAATCATATTGGAAAAAACAGGGTTTCTCAACCTCAGCATCCTTGACATACGTGGACAGATAATTTTTTTATGTTGGAATGGCAGTGCGGGGACAGTTCTATGCAATGTAGGATGTTTAGCAGTATTCCTGGCTTCTACCCATGAGATGCCAGTAGCACTCCCTTCCCCCCACCAAGTTGTGACAACCAAAAATATCCCCAAACTTTGCCAAATGTCCAAGAGGGTCAAAATTGGTTGAAAAGCACTAGTATAACCTGAAAGAGGGTAAACCTGGAATCTCTAATGTGAGGCAGCTGGTATGACTAACAGAAACATCAATGTAGCTGAGAGCAAAATTGCTTAGACTTCTTGGGAACCATTTCCAGCAGTAATTGACTAGCTACTTCTCTCTCCATTGGCATTTGCACAAAGGGTTACCCTTTGAATCAAGTGAGCCCCTCAAGATTTATGAGCAATTCTAGAGAGCAATGAAGCTTCAAGACGGAGACATTACATGCCCTGCTAAAAAGGGCAAGAATATTTTCAAGCAACTACACAGAAAATGAAAGAGTTCTGATGATATTTGTACACTAAGCTGGTGAAGCAGGTCCTGCCAGTGAGATGCATTTAAGGGAAGTAGCTGGAGAGAAAAGAATATAAAAATTATAGAAAAATATCCTTTTCAACAAAAATAACAAAAATTCACTACTTATACTGGAGCAGCAGTTTTCTCTGATATGTAAGAGCATCTCTAGTTAATTCAAATTATGACATGACTCTCTAAATAAAATGAGTCTTACAGCATTTTATTCTCTATAGCTCCAACAGCTCTCTTAGAAAGTGAGAATGTTGTGAAATGCAGCAAATAAGAAGAAAGTGTGCAATTCAAAACAGATTGAAAATCATAGCACTAGAGGAAGAAAATTAAATGCTTTAGTATCTATAAAATAAAAATGGGCTACACAGTCAATGTATCTGAGTCAATAAGTGTTTCTCTCTATTTACTATAAACCCAAGAGGTTCTAATTTGCTGGAGTTCAAGTTATGTTTGAGGGAGAGAGGTATGTAATTCAGTAAACTGGAAAAGATAAATCCAAATTGAAAGGCATGGTTTTATAAAATTTATGATTCAAAAGTCATTCTTCAGTGTCCAACTTGAACCTTATTTTAGTCAGGTTTTCCCTTGTGATAAATTTTTCTTTCAGAGAGAATGAATCAGCTACAATCAAAAGTAGTATAAAATTCAAAGAACCAGTAAAAATGACACATTCACCTAAAGCTACGATTGTGTTTCACATGTACAAGTGTGAAAGGCATATTTTAGCCATTTATTGACCTAAATAATGCACCACTGCAGCTTTACCCCAAAGAGAATATAGCATAGTAGTCTCATATCGGGCTCTATAATTTTTAGTGTTGTACAGTATCCTAGTCTCCCAAAGAGGCTTCAAATGCATCATACTTTAGTGGCATTATCCTCAAAGGCATTGAATGCATTTGCTTATTTTTTTTTAGGTATACATGTGTCACATACTGAATGTTTGTGTTACCTGCAAAATGCATATGTTGAAGACCTACCCCGTAATGTGATGGCATTTGGAGGTGGGGTCTTGGGAAGGTGATTAGGTTCAGACGAGATCATGAGGGTGGGGCGTCCATGATAGGATTAGTGTCCTTATAAGAGAAAGAGAGCAGGGCTCACTTGATCTCTAGCCTGTGAGGACACAGATAGAAGGTGGCCATCTACAAGCCAGGAAGGGAACCTTCACCAGAACCTGACAATGTCACTCTTTGTTCTCAAACTTCAGCATCTAGGACTGCAGGAAATAAATGTCTGTTGTTTAAGCCACTCAGTCGATGATATTTTGTTATGGCAGCCCAAGCCAACTAAGACAACATGTCCTTTAATCCATTTTCTGCTGCTATAAAATAATACCACAGACTGTATAATTTATAAAGAAAAGATATTTATTTGGCTCACAGTTCTGGAGGCTGGGAAGTCCAAGATTGAGAAGTGGCATCTGGTGAGGGTCTTCTTGCTGCATCATAACATACTGAAAGGATCACATGGTGAGCAAACTGTGATGCAGAGAGAGGATGGGGGCAGAACTCATCCTTATTACCAGAAAACTACTCCTGTGATCATTAACACACTCCCTCAATGATAGCATTAATCCATTCATAAGGGTGGTGCCCCCATGACCTAATCACCTTTTAAAGGTCCCACCTCTCAACACTGTTACGATAGCAATTAAACTTCAACATGAATTGTGGAAAAAAACATTTAAACTACAGCAACATGTAAAAAGTATGTCCCTCAGAATTCCATGTAAAAAAATCATGACTGTATTTCATTCATTCATTCATTCATTCATATTTTTTCATTTATTTAAAGGTATAACTCCTATAGTTGTTATTGTTGCATAACAAATGACCCCAAAATGTAGTGGTTTAAAATAATTATTTTAGAATGCACATGGATTCTGGGAGACAGGAATTTGAACAGAGCACAGCTAGTTCATTTATCTGTGCTCCACAATGTCTGGAGTCTTCACTGAGAGAACTTGAACCTGAGGAGGCAACTAAACAACTTGGGGCTAGAATCATCTGAATGCTTGTTCACTCTCATGTCTAGAGCCCTGGCTAGGACAACTCAGACTAGGACTTCCAACAGAGTGTGTATGTGTAGCCTTCCCATGTGGCCTGGCTCCCTCATAGCATGGTGGCCTCAAAGTAGTCAAACTTCTCACATGGTGGGTCAGGGCTCTAAGTATAAAAGTTTGGGCAAATAACATAGAAACCACATCATCTTTTATGGTTTAGCCTCCTGATTCAGCCAGGAAGCCAGCATCACTTCTGCTATACTCTCTTGGTCAATAGAGTTACTAGTCCACTCAGTTACAAATAGACAAAAGATAGACCCCACTTCTTGATAAAAGGGGTGCCAAATAACTTGGGGGTTTTGTTTATAAAGCCACCATAAAGGCATACCAAGATAGAGCACAGGATGTTTATTATTAGGAATAATCAAAGGAATATGACCGAAAGTCTATCAGAGTTTTAAAATAATAAAGAATATTTTGAAATACCTTATGTCAATCACTTTAAAAAGAAAAAGGACAATTTCCTAAAAACATATAATATACTAAAACTGAAATAAGAAGAAATGTAAAACCTAAATATTTTGGTAGGGAGTAAAGAAATTGAGTCTGTGGTCAGAATTCTAGTTACAACCACCCACACCCATATACCAGTTCTCAAAAAAAGATATACAAATGGCCAATACGTACAATGGAGCATGATGCTCTACATCACTACTCATCAGGGAAATGCAAATTAAAACTACAGTGAGATACCACTTCATACCTTCTATGATGGCCATAATTTAAAAAACTAAAAATGGCCAGGTGCAGTGGCTCACATGTGTAATGCCAGTACTTTGGGAGGCCAAAGGCAGGCGGATCACCTGAGGTCAGGAGTTCAAGACCAGCCTGTCCAAGATGGCAAAACTCTGTCTCTACGAAGAATACAAAAAAAATTAACCAGGCATGGTGGCAGGTGCCTGTAATCCCAGCTACTCAGGAGGCCGAGGCGGGGGAATAGCTTGAATCCGGTAGGCAGAGGTTGCAGTGAGCCGAGATCGTGCCGCTGCACTCCAGCCCAGACAACAGAGCGAGGCTCAGTCTCAAATAAAATAATAATAATAAAAAAAACTAAAAATAACAAGTGTTGGCAAGGATGTGCAGAAATTGGAACCCTTGTACAGGGCTACTGGGAGTGTAAAAGGTGCAGCCACTGTGGAAAATAATTTGGCAGTTCCTCAAAACTTAAACAGAATTGCCATACGATCCAGCAATTCCACTTCTAGGTATGTACCCAAAAGAATTGAAAACAGATACTTGAACAAATACTTTTAGGCAAATGTTCACTGCAGTATTATTCAAAATAGCTAAAAGGTGGAAACAACCCAAATGTCCATCAGCAGATGAATGGATAAACAAAATGTGATCTACATATACAATGGAATGCTGTTCAGCCTTAAAAAGGAATGACATACTGACATATGCTACAACACAGATGATCCTTGAAAACATTATACTAAGCAAACTAAACAAGACACAAAAGGACAATATTGTAATAATCCACTTACATGAAATATCTAGAATAGGCAAATGTATAGAGACAGAAAGTAAATTAAAGTTTACCAAGGGGTAATGAGGGAAGGGAGAATGGGGAGTTGTTATTTAATGGGTGTAGAGTTTCTGTTTGGAGTGATGAAAAAGTTTTGGAAGCATAGTGGTGACAGTTGCACAACATTGCAACTGTGTTAAAAACTATTAAATTATACACTTTAAAATGGGTAAAATGGCAAATTTCATGTATACACATTTTACCATAATTTTTAAAAAACTTATTAGACCCAGACAATTGTATAGACTTCACAGAAATGATAAAGCTATTTTTACTTGAACTGTTACAAAGATGAGTGAGAGAGAAATATTAGTCTGCTTTTTTTTTTTTTTTTGAGGTTAGACTATCCTTTATCCTAAAATGAGACAAGAACAATACAAGGCTGATCTCAGCTAAGAACATAAATGCAAAAATTTCTAGAAAGTGGTAATTAAATCCAATATTAATTTTTGAAGTATCTTGACAAAATTGAGTGTATCCCAGGAATGCAAGCACAATTTGACATTAAAATGCCTGATAATGCAATTCTCTACACTAATAGATGAAAGAATAAAAATAATATTTAATTATCTCAAAAGATGTAGAAAAAAGCTTGTGATAATGTGATTCAACATTTATTCTTGATGAAAAACTCTTTAGCCAACTAGGAACACTTAACCAAAAGAATGAGATTTTTGTGTTATGATTTAAAATAAATTTGCTAGATTCATTTATTTTGCTTACATAAGAACTTTTGCAAGTAATGGTGTTTTGCAATGATACTTTTTAATATTTTTGGAACTTAAGAAGTTGTATGATTCTTATGAATTAGTTCAGTATTAAAGATCAAAGAGGACGTGCCCAGCTAGCTCTGTTGGCAGACCATGAGACTTTTAAAATATCAGGGAGGTAATAATCAGACGGTTAATTAGCAAAAGAGTGGTGAACAAGTCCTTCCTCTCATGGCAGCTGACCATTTCAAGTAGATAATCTCTTACGGTAAACATTCATATTTTTCTTCACTTAATAAACCTTGCAACATTTACTATGTGCCAGGACTGTCCTAAGTGCTTCACAATTATTAACTTAACAAATTTCCTAACAACTCTCTCTGGAATAGTTACTATTATTAAACCTCAGTTTCCTACAGAGAAGGAAACTGAAACCTAGAAAGGTTAAGAAAGTTGACCGAGATCCCTCAGTTGTAAGACAGAGCATTCAACTTCTTTCTCTCTCCTCTCCTTCTGGTACTGTACTGGATATGGTGGACCTCATCAATTTCTCCCTGTATCTTTTACCTACTCTTTCCTATTTTCAATATCTCTGTGCCACATTTCAATTTTTTAAACCTATCTTTTGCATCTCTTCAGCTCTCTCATCTACAGTTTAGCACATTCTTTGACTTTTATCTAAATTTGTGACTGTATTATTTATTTCTAAAAGTTCTATCTGGTTACTTTTTGAATTTGTCTGATCTTTTTGATAGTGTCTCACTCTTCTTTCATATTTTCAAATCCTCCTTGTATCTTCTTGAATATTTGGTCATTGTTATTTTTCCACTCTCCATCTGATTATTGTATTGCAAGAAACTCTTGAGTATCTAATAGTGTCCTCTGGTTTGTCTGTGGACTCTTGAGTGTTTCTCTTCTGTTGTCTAATTTTGGGTTGTGAGCTCATCTTCCTCTGTGTTTATTTGTGGACATCCTGAATTGTCCAATTGAAGGTGTGTTCCTCCAGAAAAGTTTTGTAATAACTTCTGCCTGGCACCCCACGGGGATACAGTAGACAGAGGCCACTTTTTAAAAGTTATCACTTAGGGGCCTCCTAAAATATATAAGGAGCATAAATAAGACAAACTGCATGGTGCAAACCAATGGTTGTAAATTCTTCATATTTTTCTCACCACATGCAGAATACAAGCCAAGACAGACAAGTTTTCTTATTGTCTTCTTTTACCAGCACGAGATAGTAGATTGTCCCCTTCAATTGGAAAATACATTATTTCATACAGTTGTTCTTGTATTACTCCTTTGGTAAATTATACTTTTCCATTTTCATGGTTCTCTCTTTTTATAACTACAAGCATTAAATTTCCTAGCCTGAGATCCTTTAATGTTTTTTGTAATGCTTTTCTGTAAGGGCAATATGCTAGCTTTGTCATTGGAGGATCCAGAAATGTCAGTATGTAGGGTCTGTGCTTTATAATCATTCAGTTTTTCCAGAAAATAATTTTCTACTTTCTCCAGTTTTGTGCAGGTAGAGGTAGGATGGGGGAGCCAATGGCATGTTCTTGATTGTCTAAGTTCTTGAGAAAGGTTCAGAAAGGGCCCTGCAACATCTTCATTTCATATACAGTTTTCAATCCTGAGACACACTCACTTGCTGCAGTACCTGGGAACTTGAGACCAGAGAGTCTCTGGTTTAACTTCCCTAGAAAAGAAACCGCCAGTCTCCTTTGGGCAGCAGCAGATGAGGCAGATGTGGAGGACGGAAATTATGCCTGAGGAATGGGCATTTTTCAGGCTGCCAAGAAAAAGGATCCTGAGGATCAATCCCTTAATATACAGACTTTCAAATCTTCCTGCATTTTTAGCCCCGTATCTCTCCCCACCTTCCTTAGTCTATGGTTGTATTAGTTTCCTGATGCTGTTGTAACAAAGTACCACACACTGAGTGGCTTAAACAGCAGAAATTTTCTAACAATTCAGGAGACTAGAAATTTGAAATCAAGGTGTGGCAGGGTTGATTCTTTGTGAAGCTTCAAGAGACAGTCTGTTCCAGGCCTCTCTCCTGGCTGCTGATAGCCTTGAGTGTTCCCTGGCTTGGAGATGGTGCTCTCCCCATGTCTTCACGTTGCCTTTCTTCTATTTTGTCTGTCTCTGAATCCAAATTTCCCCTTTTGTAAGGACGCAATCATCTTGGATTAGATCTCACTCTAATGACTTCATTTTAATGTGATTACCTCTGTAAATACCCTATCTCCAAATAAGGTCCCATTCTGAGATACTGAGGTTAGGACTTCAGCATCTTTGGGGATGAGAGAGAACACAATTCAGCTATAACACTGCTGCCCCAAATCCTGGCACAGTAAATCAGCTCATTTCCTCATATTCATGCCTACGTGCACACCCCATCATACACAGACACACACACACATACATACACGTACAGAGACACAAACACAAATACATTGACACATACACATGCATGCAGGCTGTGTCAAAAAATGTACTCTGGATTTGTTTTAATTAGGTATGGTAAGACACACAGACACAAACATGATTGGCACAAAAGAAGAAGTTTATACTTAACAGATCCCTAGAAACAAGAAGCATGGTGTCTTGGTTCGTTTTCTGTTGTTGTAACAGAATACACAGACTGGGCAATTTATAATGAACAGAAATTTATTTTTCACAGTTCTGGTGGCTGGGAAGTCCAAGATCAAGGGGCTGGCATCCTGCAAGGGTCTTCTTGCTGCACCATCCTATGGTGCAAGGCAAGAAAACATGAGAGCAAGAAAGAGAAAGAGAGAAAACGAGGCCAAATTCATTCTTTTATAAGGAATCCACTCCTGCAATAATGGCATTAATGCATTTATGAGGGCAGAGCCCTACAGCCTAATTGCCTCTCATTAGGTGCCACCTCCCGACACCATTGTGTTAGGGATTAAGTTTCCAATACATGCTTTTGGGAAGACACATTCAAATCATAGAACATGGCATGCCACACAGGACCACATAGGGAAGAACCAATGTTGGTCAGAAGGCAGAACGGAGACAGCAGAGTACAGCACAGAGCCTTTACTAGGGTTTTCCCAGGAAGGAATAGGTGAAGCAGGGTAGGGTGCTGCATAAATTTAGGAGTGGATAGCTTGAATAATCGTGGTGTTCTCTGGGCTATAGTGGTCTGGTATCTGGACCTGGGGTGACTTAGGACAGGAGGAATATTGGCTTAGTGTGTGAGAGTTTGATAATGGAGATGGTTGTGTGGGCTCTGGATTGGTTGGCTTGTATATCAAAGGAGACTTTGCATATTTCAGGGGAATCATTTGCTATCTCTAGAAATTAGCTAACATAGGAGAATCAGTTTCTCCAGGATCAAGGCTCCAAATGCCAGAGCATCAAGAATACAGAAAATAAGAAGATACAGTCAATACACATACACACAAACATACACACACCATACACACAGACACAAATACACACAAACACATGTGCACATACACACTAGTCTATTGGAGTGTGTTTCCTTGGCTCCATTCATTCTATTACTCTTCCAGCTACTTTGCCTCCTACCTCTCCCTCTTTTTTTTTTTCCAACTTTTTTGAGCCATAACATTTATATCCGTTTTCAGGAATTGCAGTGGGATTCAGAGAATAGGCAAAGATTAAACTTGTGCGTTCAACCTTCCACTTTTAACTGGAAAACACTCAAGTGCAACATTTGTTGGTACTCTGCAGCACCTCCACAGAGCTTTTGCTGCTGCCACGTTAGACAGCTTCACCATGTAATGACGACCTTTTAAGATTCTAAATCCCCCCACCTCTGAGCCTGTTCTTCATTGGAAATGCAAGACGACCGGATGACATGAGGGAGGGGCAGCTCTTAAGGCTTGACCTAATTTCCAGTGCTGCTCATGTTGATTTCTCTCCGTCCTTCTACTGCAGGCTGTGCGTCTCTGCTTACCCAGCATGCTTGTACTCCACTACTGGAAGTAGCCTGTCACTTTAAAGGAAAAAAAAAAAAGCTACCGAGTGACCTTCCTTAGGAACGGGTTGCTAAGCTGGTGTTTTTGCTCCAAGACATGGCTGCAGCTTCCCAGGGAGGAGCCCAGGGGCATCTCCAACACTCAGCCTTTCCCTCCGGACCCTTTTAAAAGATTCAACAGCACCGTCTCTCTCCACTTCCATCCTAGAATGCAGAATCTGCAAAGTGCCTTTTGTAAAGTTTCTTAAGGTAAATCAGTCCCTAACCGGACTTTAGGCTGCAACAGTGATTTCCTGTTTTCAGTTACCCGGCTTGAAGTTCAGCCTCTCCAGGATACCGTGAGACTGGATTTAATGAATTGTAAATTTAGGGGCTCTCATCGTTATTTATGTTTTTACTTTCTGAAATGGGAACATAGACCATTACTTGGCAGCTTTGATTTGAGCTGCTATCTGGTATCTGGTTTGCAGGAAATGTAAGTCCAGTTCATCACAAGTCCTGAGTGAAAATGCTCTCTGACCAAAGCTCTGTGAAACATTAGCTGCGTGTTGCATTTATGGGCCTTTTAGTTCAAACTGGCTTAAGGGGAGAAGCACTAATTACTGCAAAATACACTTTTCTTGGTATGAGACAGAGAAAGGGCTACTAACCACAGTGCTAAGAGTTGCTGTGCTTTCCAAAGACTTCAAGAAAATGTACTGGCTACAACTTAAGCTGATTGTTTGTTTCCCTTCATTGCAAAGAGGTGGTATGAAAAGCTAATAAAGTCAAATAAGAAATATGTTTGCTACTGCATTTTCATATAACCTTTTCTGCAAATAAATTCAGCACCAGCATGAAATCTCTCTCTCTCTCTCTCTCTCTCTCTCTCTCTCTCTCTCTATATATATATATATATATATATATATATATATATATATATATATCCTAGAGCTCACTTATAGAGTCATTCATTCAAACATTTATGGAGCATCAACAATGCACCAGGCAATGAATTTAAGTTTAGAGTGTGCAAACATAAATTAGACTAGGTCAGAAGCTCAGAATTTGCTGGGAAAACAGACCTATAAACACATGATAAGAGTACAATGAGCTAAGTGCCATAAGAGATTTATAAAAACACTGAGAGGACAGTGGGATGACATCCAGGGAGGGGCTTCCAGTACTTAGCACATCATGTAAATGCACTGGTCATATATCACGTAACACAGCTCAAATATGGTACTCATGTGTACTCTTCAAGGCCAGTGTACATTATATCGAGCTGATTAAATGATTCTATAAAGCTATTGGTCACTAACCTTATGCTAAGGGAAACTGCAGCTGGAATAACTTGTAGAATAAGATAATGTATTCCAAAACAATGTATGTGGCACCTCCCCAGGTGTCCAAGCTCCAGGAGGGAACAGAAAAATGTTCTCAGGGTGTGAGGAAGAAAATACTCATGGGTAGAAGTGCAGGAGGTTTCAGAAGCACCATAAATGGAAACAGCAAGGCAACTGCCCTGGGCCTGGCTGAAGGGAGGGAGACATGAAACATGAGTTATGGTAGCTGGGGGTTGAAGATTGGAGCTGAAGGTGGGTGGGCTTGAACATCACCTAAGGTCTTTCTCATGACTCCTCTTCTATCCCCCAAGCTCTTTTCCCTCCTCATTCCTTTTTTCCACTTTCCCTCCCCACAATCACTTTTTCTTAGTAACAAAACCTACCAATATTGAGAGCCCAGCCTGTGCTAGGCATTTTACTACACACATTTCATCATTTAGCCCTTATAAATTAATCATCCTTCAAGGTAGGAAGTATGATTGCAATGTTGCAGACAAAAAAAAAAAAAACGTGTCTCAGAGAAGGGAGGGCATTGTTCCAAGATCACACAGCTAATAAATAAAGCTGAAGTTGGAACTCAGGTCCACATATTCCTTGGCAAAGAAATATGTGGACCACTCTTCCTATAAACCCATGTTTTTGCCATCCTGGAGTAGGGCATATATATTGTATGATTTTTTAAGCAACCAATATGGAGTTGAGATGCGTTGTATCTCAACCTCCAGGTATGGCTCTGACCCACTGATGACTCTTAGGAATAGTCCATTTATTCAGATGAAGGTGTCAGTACTTTCCTTGAAAAAATATATCTGGTTTTCTGCACTGAGTAAAATAAATCATTGGCTTAATGTAGCCTAAGCCTTTTCTCACCAGTGCAATGCTTCACAGCTTTCAACTGTAAATATTTCCAGAATAGCCCACTATTCTGGAAAGCACAGAATAATTATTGATGCCATTGCAAAAGCAAGAATAAATGGTGAGATGGAGGGGTAGAGTGGAGTGAGGGAGGACTCAGGAATCACAGAGTCTTGGGATCAAGTTCTGAATGTGACATTTAATAATTATAACTTTGGAAAAATCATGTAAATTGTCAGAGCCTCAGTTTACTCATACGCAAATTGGGGCACATACTACTAAGCCAGACATGTTATTGTGAGGACTAAAGAGAACATGTCTATAGTTAGCACAAAATAAGTGTGCAGTAAATCATAGCTATTTTGATGTTGCCAGTAGGAATATATTAACAAGTACCAGTGCATAAGATGATGGCAAACTGCATATTAAAACCAGGCAGTATTGATTTATCTTTTCTTAGCAACAGTGTTCATATAAAAAATAAATTTCGGTGTCATTTGATTTCCTTAGAAACTCATTTAAAGGAAATGATCAGGAAAGAATGAGGAAAAAAGAAAATCCCATTACATTTTTCATTTTCTACTTCTATTTTTTTCTTCCATATAAAGCATTTATTAACTTATAGAGAACTTTTTTTAGTTACTAAAATGTTTCACAGGTTTTTTTTTTTTTTCAGTTTGCAATGACCAGAGTTGTTCATTAGAGAGCTCTCATGTACTTTTGCATTTCATCTTTATTATCTGCCCCCTCATTCACTCTAGGTTATCTCCTTGCCTCTCTATTTTCTTAGCTGCTTTTACATTTTCCTTCCTCTATTTTTTGTACCCTGTGATGAGGTTTGTAGAGAAGACAATAGAATTTCAGATGCTTTATTTCCCTTTAACATGCTAATTCCCCTGTAGGGTCAGTGAAACCTTGATCTCAGATGAGCTGCTTAAATGACCTGACCAAGTCCCAGTTAAGATTTGGGTTCCAAGGATATTAGAAAGGGCTTATGATTTGTCAGCCATATGCCTGTTGTTTCTCCATGTGTTTTCTCATTTAATCCTCACAGCAGCCTAGAAGAAACAGTGGAGCTTTAAATAGTCCCAGAATGTGGCTATGGAACCACAGCCAATAAGTCAGTGACTTAATCATTCATTCGACAAGTATATATTGAATGTCCATGATGTCCCATAATCCTAGTCTCTGGGGGTAAACAATAAACAAAATAATGTTTCTGCCCTCTTGCAGCTATATTCTAATGGATATGGGCTGACATTAACAAGTAAGTATGTATGTTGAGTGGTAATAAGTACTGTGAAAAAATCATTGTAAGGTAGTTAGGGAATTCCAGGAGGGTGTTGGGAGGAGATCATTGTATTACGAATGGTCAGAGAAGAGCTCTCTGATAATAAAATTTCAGCTGAGACCTGAAGAAAGTGAAACAGCAAGAGCCATGCAGATATCTTGGGAAAAAGGAGAACTAGGTAGCAGGAACCGCAGCTACAAAGGTCCTGAGGCAACAGGATTCAAGTGCAAATCACACAGGGCTTGTAGGCCTTGGAAAAAACTTTGGGTTTTACTCTGTTGACAAAGGGAAATCATTGGAGGATTTTGAGTGAAGCAATGTGATTATGTCACTCAAATTTTCATCAATTTGCACTGGCTTCAATGCAGAGAATATGGTAGCCCAGCAATGTGGCAAGCTGAGAAATTAGGAGTTTCTTGCAGTAGATTTCAAGAGAGAAGATGGTGTTTGACCATGGTGATAACAGTGGAAATGTTTAGAAGTGATTAGATCCTGAAAATAATCTGAAGCCAAAACTGGCAGGATTTCTGATGGATTCATGTGAGACTGAGAAAGGAGTTAAGAACAACTGCAAGGTTTCTGGCCTGAGCAAAATGGATTTCTGTTTACTACAACAGGAAAACTGCAGTACAAGGCAGGCTCAGGAGTAAAAGCAAAGAACTTTATTTGAGGTATGTAAAGCCAAGTGAAGGTGTCCATCAAGCAGATACTTGAGTCTGGAGTTCTGGGGAGATGTCTGGACCCAGGATGTAAATTTGGGAAGTATCAGCATGCAGATGGTATTTAAAACCAAGAGACATAATGAGATGGCCAGAGGAATGAAAACAGGCAGAGCTAAGCCCCACAGCATTCCTATCTTTGGTGGTCTGAGAGATAGGGAGAAACCAGCAAAGGAGTTTGAGAAGGAACAGTCAGTGGGTAAAAGGAAAACCAAGAAAGAACTTGTTCCAGGAGCCAACTGAAGAAAGTATCTCAAAAGAAGGGATGGGTCACTTTCATCACTAAATGTTTCTGACCCTTCCATGCCTGGCTTATTTCACCCACAAGTAAGTGAGAACATGCAAATGACAAACATGGCATGTTCTCACTTATGTGTGGGATCTAAAAATCAAAATAATTGAACTCATGGAGATAGAGAAGAGAAGGATGGTTACCAGAGGCTGGGAAATGTAGTCAGGGGTCGGGGGAGGTTGTTTAATGGATACAAAAAAAAAATAGAAAGAATGAATGAGACCTAGTATTTGATAACACAATGAAAGGACTATAGTTAATAATAATTTAATTGTACATTTAAAAATAACTAAAAGAGTATAAATGGATTGTTTCTAACACAAAGGATAAATGATTGAGGGGATAGACACCCAATTTTCTGTGATGTGATTATTAAGCTTTGCATGCCTGTACCAAAATATCTCATGTACCCCATAAATATATACACCTACTATGTACCCACAAAAATTAAAAACTTAGAAAATGTTTTAAATGCCTCTGACCAAGTCAAGTAAGATGAGGGCCGAGAACTGATCACTGGACATGGCAACGCAGGGGTCACTGGAGATGAATCATTGGCAAAAGCAGTTGCAGAGTATGCTAGACCCCAAAAATAAAAAAACAAACTGGAAAGAGAGGGAATGTTTTGAGGGATTTTTCTATAATTGTTGAAAAATTGAGCAACAGCTAGAAAGAGAAGTAAAGTTAAGAGAGGGCTTTTTTTGGCCGGGCACGGTGGCTCACGCCTGTAATCCCAGCACTTTGTGAGGCCCAGGCAGGCGGATCACAAGGTCAGGAGTTCGAGACCCACTTGACCAACATGGTGAAACCCTGTCTCTACTAAAAACACAAAAATTAGCCGGGCGTGGTGGCATGCGCCTGTAATCCCAGCTACTTAGGAGGCTGATGCAGAAGAATCCCTTGAACCTGGAAGGCGGAGGTTGCAGTGAGCCGAGATCGTGCCACTGTACTCCAGCCTAAGCAACAGAGTGAGACTTCGTCTCAAAAGAAAAAGTGTAGGGGGCAGGGGCCTTTTTTTAAAGGAAGGAAAAAATTACAGCATTTTTTCCACTGGTAGGAATGAGCCAATAGAGCAGGAAGAAAATCCAGATGAAAGTGAAGAATTGTCAGGATCAAGGGCCTGGAGGAGGAGGAATGATGGGGCCTAGTGCACTGTTCAAGGAGGGGCCCCATGGGACATGGGGGTTCATAGTAGCAAGTGGAAGCAGAGGAGGTGGCGGTGGCTCCATGTGGTGGGAGGGGAAGGGGATGTAGAAGCCCTCTCTGGTCTTGTCTTTTTACTTGGTGAAATAAGGGCCAAGGTCAAGGGCAGAGAGTGCAGAGGGGCAGTAGCGGAGATGAGCTGTAAAATGGTCCTTCTGGAGCTGGATTCCAACCAGTGCCATCCAACTCTATGGGCACAGTAAAGGCAGGCTCCCAGGGACAGGGAGACCTGGCATCCTTCCTTTCCTCTGGCACTTATCTCCACCAATCCTGGGGTCTGCCAGGGTTCCTGGTGAGTGGAAAGTCTACCCAGCTCAAACACTTCACTTACCATCATGGCCAGCCTCTTACATATCCATAGTAAGAGAAGCAATATTTCATTGATTTCAAAATGCCTGACTTCTTCATTGTTCTTTGTCAGGGACCCATCCCAGCCAAAATGAATCCCAGGGAAGAAAAAGTAAAAATAATTACAGAGGTAAGTGGCCACTTTGATGTCCTCTAGGGATGTGTTTGTGTGTGCATGCTTATGTTACACGTGTTTGTGAATGAGGAAGTTAGGCCAACCAGCATCTATTGCACATGTTAAAAGAAAAGCTTTACATGAATTAGATTCAACAGAGTCTAATTGTACAAAGAACGATTTGTGAATTGGGCAGCCCTCAGAACCTGAAGAGATTCAGAGAGCTCTGCTCTGCTCTGTGGGCAGACAGCATCTATGGACTGAAGATGGAAGTGGAGTACAGAAACAGCTTGATTAGTTACAGCTCAGTGTTGCCTTATTTAAACACAGTCTGATCAGTAGGCCACCTGTGATTGATTGACACTCAGCTGCTGTGATTGGCTGAGACTCAGCTACCTGCTACAGAAGCATACTTCTAAATTAGGCTTTCATTTAGTTTACTAAGATTGCAGTTTGTTATGTAAGAACTCAAAGTACAGAGGTATCCTCAAGCCACATTTAGTTTAATTTAACACACACCGACTAAATGCACCCTGAGGGTGCTATATCAGAGACGTGGTGGAGAAGGGGAGGTGGATGTTGAAGGAAATGCAGTCCTGCTGACATTCCAAGGTCTTACCTCTACCTGAATGCTCCGAAGCTGTTTTGTCACGGTTCTATGAACTCTGACACACAGCAGCTCAAAGTTACTACCTATTATTGAGCATAGCTCTGCCTGAAGCACGCTGATTTCTAAAGACATTCAGAATGAAGGTAACAATTGTAGACACCTGCTAATACAAGCCTCTGTCTGTGGAGTCCTGCAATTTCTGACTCATTGTATGTAAAAACTCATTAAAGCACTGCCCACACCAGAGAAGGGAGGCTGTCTAATTTGGAGACTGCAGACCATCCAACAAAAGAGAGAGTATTCCTCTCAATCCTTACTTCTCTCTCGCTTCAAGGGCTCACTGGCTTGAGACAACAAAGACAGAAATGGAGATGATATGTGCTGTCCAATGCAGTCCTCCAAAAAGCCTGAGGAAACTCATTATAAAACCATGCAGATTAACTTTAAGCAAGATGGCTGGGCACGGTGGCTCACGCCTGTAATCCCAGCACTTTGGGAGGCCGAGGCAGGTGGATCACCTGAGGTTGGGAGTTCGAGACCAGCCTGACCAACATGGAGAAACCCCATCTCTACTAAAAATACAAAATTAGTCAGGCGTGGTGAGGCATGCCTGTAATCCCAGCTACTTGGGAGGCTGAGGCAGGAGAATCACTTTGACCTGGGTGGCGGAGGTTGCGGTGAGCCGAGATCATGCCACTGCACTCCAGCCTGGGCGACAGAATAAGACTCCATCTCAAAAAAAAAAAAAAAAACTTTAAGCAAGATCAAGTACCAACAAACCCACATAAATTTATATTTGCTTATTCATTCATATAACCAAATATATTTTGTGCCTGTAGTCCCTGGGAATACAGCAGTAAACAAACCTTGTTCCCTCATGGAACTTACGTTCTATCTTATTTGAAGTCCTACTGGATAGTTAGAATAGAGGATGAAAACATCACGGAAAAGCAAAACATTACGTAGGTTTCTCACAAGTCCATTCTAAGTCAGTAAAAACTTAGAATTGAATTAAAAGCCATGCTTGCACACCTCAATATAATTATCTTCTTGTAATCTAAGTTGGCGAATCCCCTGAACTAAGAACACTCCCTATTAGTCAGGCCCAAAGAAGGAGTCCAGAGTGAGGATGCAGCTCAGAGGACAAGTCAGAGATCAGGTCACATACACAAAGGAAAGGCCCAAACCAAGGCTATTCTCTCGTTCGACCTCACTTCCGTCCTCTGTTATTGCGGTTCATGTCTTCCCTAACCCCAGTGGCCAAGGGCAGTCAGGAGTAATTGAGGTCTGGCCCAGAAACCTGCATGATATTTCTTTGAAATTATATATCCTTAAAATTCATACTTTGTGTTCCGAATTTGTTTCAGTATAAAAACAAAAAAATCCTAATTTTAGGAAAAAAAAATCTAGTAAGTTTTGTGTACCCCAGAGAGGTTCTGTTTATCTTGCAACTTTTTGTTCACCCAGGGGCACTTGTGCCCCAGTCTATAAAACTCTAGGACTAAAACATTTTAGAGCTCGTAGACTTTAGAGCTTTCAGCTCTAACATTTTATGACTAAAATATTAGAAAGCGTAAGGTGGAAAGAGGAAACGAAGTTTGCGCTGTTAAAGGATTGTTTTCCTTTTCAAAAAAAAATCTGCCAAAATTTCCTTTAACTTGAAGCATTTGTGATGATGTAACATGTATCATTATTATCCTTTTCCTGCTGGTAAGGCTGGAAAGCAGAAAAACTTAACCGGTGAAATCCCTAATATGATTGTGATGTCTGTCCTAGCAGATTCACTTGTTAGTCGCCTTTCTTAGATTGTAACTTTTAAGAGCAGACAGCATGTGGCTTTCAATTCTGTGTCCCAAGAGCATGGAACATAGTAAATGCTCAATAAATGCTGTATGCATGAATGAGGACCTGGAACAATGGAAGATCCAACATCATCTCGTGTATGATGGTCCAATATGGATACGACTTTTCGAAAACATGTCTATGTTGAGAAGAGTGGATGATGAGAGCCGCACAGATTGTTAACTGTCCCCCAACTCACACTCAGCATTACTGGATAGAAGCCCAGGGTCAAGATGGGAGTTTTAATTTTAATACCTAAAAGTCATACCTCTCTTCCTGTCTTAAGATTCTCTCCCTTTTGCATTTTCACAAAGGAGTTCATTGAAAATGATGAGGATGCAGACATGGGAAGACAGAATAAGAACTCAAAGGTTCGAAGACAGCCAAGAAAGAAACAGGTAAGAAGTGACAAGAAACTGTGTCTGCGTATTGTCATTGATCAACAACCCGCCTGCATCCCCAGGGCCATACAGAATCCACAAGGGCAGCCTTCCTTCTTTTGGTACCAACTTTTGGCCTGCTCTGGGGGGCTGTGAGGCGGGGATGCAGATGGGTGGTCCAGGGTGCAGGAGCCTGATTCAGAGACTTATAGATGAGCCTCACAATAAGGCGGGGGTCCATACTTAGAGCATTTTTACTCTAAGTTTTCTCCCATCTCCTGAGAGAGGACTCTAGAAAAGATGGAAGGAGCCTGTTTTAGTGCTTCATTGAAGGCCATGGACTATGATGGGCAGTAGATGGCAGTACACGATTACAAATCTTGGGAAACTCCCTCTTTTTCCAACTCCAAGCCCAAATTCTGTCTTTGAGGCAGAAGCCAACTCCTTTCTCCCGAGCCTGCTGGCAGATCCTCCCCCACCTCTCCGCAGGAGTTCCCCTCCTAGGCTGGGAGCATCCCGTGCAGGGTAAATCTTTTCAAGGTAAGTCCTTGGTAAGAAGTTGTCCTCTGAGAAGGGAGGCAGGGAAGCAGCTATTGTGGATGGGAGCTCTGCTTGGAACAATCAAGATGCCAGCAGGGGAGGGAGGGGAGAGAAGCGCCATTTTGAGCCAGCAGTCACGTGAAGGGGCTGCAGAGAGGGGTGGCCAGGAGAGATGAAGAGGTCATAGGGAGACAGAAGAGACCTCCCTCCTAGCTCCCCCCTTGCTCAGCACACTCCTCGGGGCAATCTGGGCAGAGGAGTCACTTTCAGCCTTTCAAGGGAGGGTCCAGGTGGTTGGGGAGGTACTGCCTGGCCACGTGGGCTAGCTCTCTGGCCACTCCTGGGGACTGAGGAGACCCACAGCCAGACACAGCTCCGAAGCTTTAACCCCTTCCTGTGGGGTCAGTCTGCAGCCGTGCAGCCCAAGGCCAGGGGCTGTGGAGGCAGTAGATGAAAAGGGTTCAAGCCTTTAGCTCCACAGTCACAGGCACAGTGAGCAAGTGGGTGACTAGTGCCAAGGCTGCCACGGAGCTTAGACTGAAGAGGAGAAAGGGGCAAGGATGGAGAAGGGAATATAACAGCTCTCAAATGCTGAGCAATTTATGGGCCAGGCTTGGAACTTTATAGGTTGGGAGCATTGCAAGAAACGTAGTTGCACTCCAGAATCAGAATCACATGGGGACTTTTTGTTTAAATAAGTTCCATCCCGGGCCATCTATTTACGTCAGAATCTCTGTGCTTTCTACAGTGACTCAAACATTGTAGCATCTCAAAAAATGGGCTCTTTTTATTATTTTTCTTTTACAGATAAGAAAGCAGTGTACAAGGAAGTTAACTAACTTGCCCAAAGTCCCACAGTCAGTCTGAGTTTGGAGGCAAGCTTTAGTCTATCTGTCCTCAAAGGTGTTATTGCAAATTCTGCTTCCTTGTTTTCCTTCACTGAGAGTGTGGGGAAGGAACCAGAGGCTATTCTTGGGGGGTGTCCAAAGGGTGGACTAAATATTTGCCCCTGAATTACCCAGTAACACTTTAGCTGCTGTTTGCAAACTATTTGAAGTTGGGAACAAACTGATTTTCCTGTTTCTCTTTCCTCCAAATTCCTGCAGAGCTCTACATATTTTACCTAGAAAAAGTGAAAATAATAACGTTATTTGGGGACGCCTTGATAATTTCACAAAAGCATTTCTAGAGAAATTCTGGGTTGGCACCTCTTCCCTGGTGGGTACTCACAGTGAGTCAGGTGACAGAGACTGTGGTTATCCAGATGTGAATAGTACTAAGGCCTGTCCCCTCACTGGTGACCCATCTTCCCAAGAGAGGAACAGACTCAAATAAAGTCCTGGGAGTCTCTGAACCTCTGACCTTCTTCCTCCAGCCACCAACTGCTGTCCCCAAGGAAATGGTGTCCGAAAAATCCCACCTTGGCAACCCCCAGGAGCCTGTGCAGGAGGAGCCCAAGACCCGCCTCCTGAGTATGACAGTCCGGAGAGGCCCACGGAGTAAGTGCCCCTCTTCCATTCAGCTACTGCTTGTTAACTGCCTACTGTGAGCTCAGCACAGAGCAGTATAGGGATTTTTTATGGGTGTTATTTTTCATGCATTGCCACTGCTGCTCCACCCACTTTACCCCAACTTGGTGAGTGACTCTAGGTTAATCCCTGCCAAGGAGACAGAACACATAGCTTCAGGATGTGTTTCTATAACCACATAATATTATTTGGATGTTTGTCCCCTCCAAATCTGAAATGTGACCTTCAATGTTAGAGGTGGAGCCTAGTGGGAGGTGTCTGGGTCATGAGGGCACAACTCATGAATTGGTTGGTGTTGTCCTCTAGTAATGAGTGAGTTCTTGCTCTGTTCACTCACAGGAGAGCTGGTTGTTAAAAAGAGCCTGGGCAGGCCAGGCACGGTGACTCACGTCTGTAATCCCAGCACTTTGGAAGGCCGAGGCGGGTAAATCACCTGAGGTTGGGAGTTCAAGACCAGCCTGACCAACATGGAGAAACCCCATCTCTACTAAAAATACAAAAAAATTAGCCAGGCGTGGTGGCGCATGCCTGTAATCCCAGCTACTTGGGAGGCTGAGGCATGAGAATTGCTTGAACCTGGGAGGTGGAGGTTGCAGTGAGCCGAGATCGGAGCACTGCACTCCAGCCTAGGCAACAGAGCAAGACTCCATCTCAGAAAACAAACAAACAAAAAAGAGCCTGGAACCTCCTCCCCTCTCTCTTGCTCCCTCTCTCACCATGCGACACACCTGTTTCCCCTTCCCCTTCTGACATAAGTGAAAGCTTCCTAAGGCCTCACCAGAGGCAGATGCTGGCACCATGCTTATTGCACAGTCTGCAGAACAGTGAGCCAAAATAAACCTCTTTTCTTTATAAATTACCCAGTCTCAGATATTCCTTTATAGCAATGCAAAATGGACTAACAATACATAAGTTAGGGAGTGTTAATTAGAATGGAAATTAAATATGCAGAAACTCAAAGGAAGATGAAATTGTTAGGGAAGACATATGTGTTAACCTAGTGAGGCTTGAATCAGATGTTTGGAAGAAATGAGGGAGGTTTCTGAGGCTCCTGGTGACCTTGCCATTGAGGACACATATACTTCTCCCCCTACACACGCCTTTTCTTCTTCCCCAGTACAATGAACATTAGGAATTACCTGCTCATTGTAGGGAAAATGACCACCCTTCAGGCATTGCTTTTCATGAAAAGTGGATTAGACAAGAGGAGAAGTGGTTACACTTTTTAATTGTTACATAATTGTTAGACTGTTTTCCCTATGGCAAAGTTGGGAAATAAGTAACTGTTGGAAACTAGAGGCCTTTGGAAGCAAGTAGACTCTTAGATTGGAAAAATGTGGTTCTAATCTAAAAGCAATGATACAATGAGAGCTGTTATGAATTAATAAAAACAGAACCAAAATTTATCTCATATGGCTGTTTCTTTTTCTAAATGCTCAAAATTATTTATTACTACCAAAGATTACAACTTGTCATTTCAGGCTGCCATAACAAAATACTATAGACTGGGGGGCTTAAACACCCAACATTTATTTTCTCATGGCTCTGAAGGCTGGACATCTGAGATCATGGTGCCAGCATGGCCGGTTTCCAGTGAGGCCCTTCTTCCTGGCTAGTTGGTGGCCACCATCTTGCTGTGTGCTCACATGACCTCTTCTCTGTGCCTGCACTGGGGGAGGGAGAGGCTCTACTGTCTCCTCTTATAAGGACACTAATCCTAATCCTATCAGGGCCCCTCCCTTATGATCGCATTTGACCTTAATTACCTCCTACAGGTTCTATCTCTAAATGCAGTCAGATTGGGGGAGAAGGCTTCAACATACAGATTTTCAGAGGGGGGACACAATTCAGTCCTTAGCACAACTACTGGATATTTAATTATTTATTTTAAAATCAAGGGAAAGACTGCCAGGAGAGGTGGCCACCAGTCAAGGCTCTGTGACATAAAAAGTGGATTATTTTCTAACTCGAAAATGAAGAAGATACTGTCCACTGTCACCATGGAGATGATCTATGCATTAGTCCCTTCCCCCACAAAAAGCGCTATTTCTGAATTGGGGAATGGAGAGGTATGGAATGAACAGAAGGCTGAGACCTGCCTACTGGAGCCACACCATGACCATCCAGTGTCTGGGAAGCCCTGGGTGGAGCTGGAAGCTGCTGATGAATTGGCAGCACTGATAAACCAAGACGAAGAGAAAACATCCCCAGCAGTGAGGGGTGGAGCATATGGTGGATAAGGAGTCTGTGGAGCCAGGCATCTGTCAGAAATGAGAAGTCAAAGCCAGCAGACAAAGTCAAGAGAGCAGAGGAAGTATTATTATACCAGTGGCATTAGAGCAGGAGACAGACAAGTAAAAAGGAATGATGAGTGCTGGCAGAAACAACAGAGTGCTGGACTGCCCTAGGCAGGCAAGGATAGCAAGGGAGGTGACAGAAGAATGGAGCCTCCACATATGGAGGAGTCTGCATGGGGAACTGTAGGGTGAGGAGGATTCCCAATTCAGGTCTTGGAAACACACAGATGTATGTGTAGAAAACACGGAGAGGGTCAAGAGCAAGATAGAAGCAGCCATGTGCTTTATGACCCAGTCATAGAAATCACCTATCAGTCCTTTCGACATATTTGTTAGAAGCATGTCCCTAAATCCAGCCCACATTTAAGGGAAGGAAAATCAGCCTCCTTCTTTTGAAAGAAGGAGTGTCAAAGAATGTATGGACATTTTTACTACCACATTAATTTTTCTTTAAAACTCCTCTTTATCTCACTTTTCTACTCAGAAATCTATTATATTACATTACATAAAATCCACACTCTCTTATTTATTCCGGGCTCTAAGGATCTATGCAATTGGGCTCCTTCCGGTTGTATTTTCCAGTGTTTTCCAGTGTGCTCCACTTTGGTTGACTCCTTACTGGCCTCTGAATGCCTCGTGACCATCTCAGCATTTCTGGGCTTTGGTTCCCACTTTAAGAGAGTTCTCTGATTGTGTCTTTATTAAGCTTGTGATTGAAACACAATTGAGCTGTTGCAGTTAAGACCATGGGCGTTGGCTTAGACAAGAGTGGGTACCAGTCTCTACCTATCTTACTCCCTTGGGCAAGTTCTCCGACCTACCTAAACTTTAGTTTCCTTATTTGTAAAACAGGGACAATAATAGATTGCGTGAACACTGCCACAGAGTTTATACTCCAGTTGTGGGAGGGATGAGAGGAAAAAAGAGAAAAACAAATGAAGTAAACTAGATAAACATAGAGTACAGCAGGTGTGAGAAGTCCTGAAGAGAAAGATAAAGAATAAGCTGGCAGGACTGCAGTGGGAGTGAGAGGATGAGGTGCATTTATGAAAGGAAATGAGTGATCCCCAAGGGGAGAATGTTCCAGGCAGTGGTCTTAAGGCAGGAATGTGCTTGCGACATTAAGCAACAGCCAGGGGGCAAGGGCAGTGGAGAGTGAACAACAAGGAAAAGGAAAAAAATAAAATCAGAAGGGAGGAGGGGAATTGTACCCAGCCTAGTGGGCCCTTTGACTTTTAATCCGAATGAGATGAGCGTCATTGGAGGGTTCAAGCCCAGGACTGATATAATCAGATTTAAGGCTGACGGCTGCTGTGCTGAGTAGACTTTGGAAGGAGTGAGGGCAGAAGCACAGAGACCAGGTAGAGGCCAACAGCAAAAATCCAGGTGGGAGTTATTGGGGAATGGGACTGGCGGGTAGTGGAAGGGGTGGAAAGAGTGTGGGAAATCTGGGTATTTGGAAGGTAGAGACGAACAGGTATATTTCTCGATTGAACAAGAATTATGAAAGCAGGAAGGTTGCCTCCATGGTTTTTGACTTGAGTCAAAAATGGGTAACTCCACTTTCCCCAATAGAGTTTCAGAGAAGGAAAAGATGGCAGAAAGGGCAGGTTTGAAGGTAGAAATTGAATGGACATGCAAAGTTGAGATGCCTGCTGAATATCCAAGTGGACATGGATGTATGGATACAGGGATCTGGTGGTTGGGGAGAGGTGGAGAGTGGACAGGGATTCCTTGATCTTTTATCTAGAATGTCCCTTTCCCACCTCTGCCCTCTTTCCTCTCAGCTGGTTCTACTTTCCTTCAGAGCACTCATCACCTCCCGGCATTTTCCAATCAGCTGACTATCTTGATCATTAGAAGGAAAGCTCCCTGAGATCAAGACTTTGTCTGCTGTATTCATTGCTTATTCCCCAATGCAATATTTGGAGCTTGATAAACATATATTGAAAAACTGCCATGGGCATAACAACAAATGCTCAAGACAGGGTCCTGCCTCTGGTAACCATCATTCTACTCACTATCTCTATCAGATCAATTGTTTTAGCTCCCACATATGAGTGAAAACATGTACTAGTTGTCTTTCTGTGCCTGGCTTTCTTCACTAACATAATGTCCTCCAGTTCCATCCATGTTGTTGCAAACTGCAAAATTTCATTCTTTTTTATGGCTGAATAATATTCCATTGTGTATATGCAGCATGCTTTCTTTATCCATTTATCCATTGATGGATACTTAGGTTAATTCCGTATCTTAGCTGTTGTGAATAGTGCTGCAGTAAAAATAGGAGTTCAGATATCTCTTTGATATACTGCTTTCCTTTCTTTTGGATATATACCCAGCAGTGGCATTTCTGGATCATAGGGTAGTTCTATTTTTAGTTTTTTGAGAAACTTCATATTGTTTTCCATAACAGCTGTACAAATTTACATTCTCACTAACAGTATACAAGCATTCCCTTTTCTCTGCATTCTTGCCAGCATCTGTTTTGTCTTTTTGATGAAAGCCATTTTAACTGGAGTAAGATATCTCATTGTGGTTTAATTTGCATATCCCTCATGATTAGTGAATTTGAGCATTTTTGCGTATACCTGTTGGCCATTTGTATGTCTTCTTTTGAGAAATGTCTATCAATGTTTTTTGCCTATTTTTAATGAGATTATTTATGTTTTATCTGTTGAGATATTTGAGTTCCTAGTATATTCTGGATATCAGTCCCCTTTCAGAGGAGTAATTTGCAAATATTTTTTCACATCTACTGAACTGATCATGTCCTTTTTCCTTCATTCTGTTGATATGATGTATTACTTTATTGATTTTATATATTGAACTATCCTTGCATCCCTGAGATGAATCCCACTTGATCATGAAGAATGATGTTGTTAATTTATTATTGAATACAGTTGGCTAGTATTTTGTTGATGATTTTTGCATCAGTGTGCATCAGAGATACTGGCTTGTAAAGTTTTTTGTTGTTATGTCTTTGTCTGGTTTTGGTATCAGGATAATACTGCCCTTGTACCATAGGTTTGGAAGTATTCCCTCCTCTGATTTTTGGAATAGTTTGAGTAGGATTAATAATAGTTCTTTAAATGTTTTGTTGAATTCAGCAGGGTAGCCATCAGGTCCTGGGCTTTTCTTTGAAGAGAAACACTTTTTATTACTGCTTCTATCTCATTACTTGTTTTTTGTCTATTCAGATTTTATATTTCTTCATGTTTCAATCTTGGTAGGTTGTATATGTCTAGAAATTTATCCATTTCTTCTAGCTTTCTAGAAGAAATGTATTGGCATATAGTTGCTCATAATAGTCTCTAATAATCCTTTGATTTTCTGTGGTATCAGTTGTTATGTCTCCATTTTTGTCTCTGATTTTATTTCTGTGGGTCTTCTCTTTTTCTTAATCTGGCTAAAGTTTTGTCAATTTTGTTTATCTTTTCAAAAAACAACTTTTCATTTCATTGATCTTTTCTACTTTTTATTAAGTATCACTTTCATTTATTTCTGCTCTGATCTTTATTATTTTTCTTCTACTAATTTCGAGTTTTGATGTGCTTTTGATTTTCTGTTTCTTTAAGATGCATTGTGAGGTTATTTAAAATCTTTCTACATTTTTGACGTAGGTATTTATTGCTATAAAATTCCCTTCCGGTAATGCTTTTGCTATACCCTATAGGTTTTCATATGTTGTGTTTCCATTTTCATTTGTTCCAGTCAATTTTTTATTTTTTTAATTCATCATTGACCCAATTGTTGTTCTGGAGTGTATTGTTTAATTTTTATGAATTTGTAGAGTTTTCAGAGTTTCTCTTGTTATTGATTTCTAGTTTTATTTTATTGTGGTTAGAGAAGATACCTGATATGATTTCAACTTTTTTGAATTTTTTGAGACTTGTTTTGTGGCCTGAGATATAGTCTATCCTTGAGCATGTTCCATGTGCTGAAGAGAAAAATGTGTATTCTGCAGCTGTTGGATGAAATGTTCTTTAAATCTGTTAGTTTCATTTGTTTTATTTGCAGATTAAGTCCAATATTAGTTTGTTGATTTTCTCTCTAAATGATCTATCCAATGCTGAACGGGAGTATTAAGATCCTCAACTATTATTAATGGGAGACTTGTATTGGGATTTAGCTCTAATAATATTTGCTTTATATATCTGGGTGTCCCAGTATTGGGTGCCTATGTATTTACAAGTATTATATCCTCTTGATGAATTGACCCCTTTATCATTGTATAATGACCTTCTTTGTCTCTTTTTACAATTTTTGTCTTGAAATCTATTTTATCTGATACATATACAGCTACTCCTGCTCTTTTTACATTTCCATTGCATAGAATAACTTTTTCTACCCCTTTATTTTCAGTCTATGTGCATCTTTACAGGTGAAATGAGTTTCTTATAGGTAGCATATAATTGGCTCTTTTTTTCAATCTTTTTCATCCGTTCAGCCAATCTATGTCTTTTGATGGGAGAATTTAGTCCATTTATATTCAACGTCATTATTCACAGGGAGGGACTTACTACTGCCATTTTCTTATTTGTTTTCTGGTTGTTTTGTTAGTCCTCTCTTCCTTTCTGCCTTCTTCCTGTCTTTCTTAGTGTATAAGTGATTTTCTCCAGTAGTATGTTAAAAAAATTTTTTTTTTTGTACCTGTCATAGGTTTTTGCTCTGTGATTACCATGAAGCTTGCAAATAACATCTTATAACCAGTTATTTTAAGCTGATGACAACTTAAATCTGATCACAATGAAAAGAAAATAAAAAGCAAAAACTGAAAAATTCTATATTTTAACCCCGTCTCCCCCCTGCTTTTTTATTTTTTGTTGTCTCTACTTATATCTTTTTGTACTGTCTATCTCTTGACAAATTGTTGTAGTTATTATTTTTGATAGGTTTTTCTTTTAGTCTTCAGGGCTAAAGATATGAGTGATTTAAACACCGCAATTACAGTGTTAGGGTATTCTGTATTTGTCTGTGTACTTATGTTCACTGGTGATTTTTATACCTTCAGATTTCTTATTGCTCATTAGCATTCTTCTCTTTTAGATTGAAGAACTCCCTTTAGCATTTCTTGTAAGATAGATCTGGTGATGATGAAATCCCTTGGCTTTTGCTTGCCTTGAAAAGTCTTTATTTCTCCTTCATGTTTAAAGGATAACTTTGCTGGATATAATACTCTAAGTTGGAAGTTTTGTTTGTTTCTTTGTTTTCTTCAGCACTTTGAATATATCATCCCATTCCTTCATGACCTATAAGGTTTCCACTGAGAAGTCTGCTGCCAGATGAATCAGAGCTACTTTATATGTTATTTGTTTCTTTTCTTTTGCTGCTTTTAGGATCCTCTCTTTGTCCTTGACTTTTGAGAGTGATTTTTATAGACCTTGCAGTAGTCTTAGGGGATTTGAATGTTTTGGTGTTCTTTGACATTCTTGTACCTGCTCAAATATCTGGATCCACGTTTGATTACTCCTTTGACCTTTTACTTCCCAAACTTCTCATGAGTCTAGGCTGCCCCTCAGTGATACCAGCCCAGCTCCTCACCTTGAACCTGTGACCCTCTGTCCTACAAGGCTCCAAGTATTGTCAAGGTCAGGCTGCATTTAGAGATGCAGAGATCAGCACCCCTAACCTATGGCCTCACACACTGCTTCGGGCACATGCCCGGAGGTGCCACCTCCCTAATGAACCGCACCAGAAACCCATGCAGTGAAAGCTTGCCTTCTAATCTGCTCTTCAAACATATATATAGTCATGACATCCCAAATAAAGAAAGCATCTCCCTGAACATGGAATAGTTCCAAATAAAATAAACATCTAGTTTAAAAGTACACACACTCCCCCATGATTCCATCTTGCACCATCTCTTGAGGGAGTAACTATCACACATTAAGTAGTTTCTTATGAACACAAATTTCTTCATTACTAACATCTGTTTTCCATTCATTCATGTTAGTTTCTCTGATTAAACCAACATTTCAGAGCCAATTTGTCAGTATTGGTGGAAAAGAAAGTTCAGAATCGAGTGAAATATGATGCAAATGAAAGGAAATAAAGTGTTTATTTTAGGCATACTTTTTAAAAGTCATGAGGACCTGGAGAGACTGGCCTGGGGTGGGAGGGGAATGTTATAAAGCACAGCATGAGACATAGAGGGGAGCTGCCTGAAGGAGCCGGGCCTTGGGGGTTACCTTAGTGCCCACCAGCTGGAGAATGGGATGAACATTCTAGTCCAAGGATGCACAGTGGAGAATGTAGGAAATGTCAAGACATTCACCAACGCTGCAGTTCACTACCTCACACAGTACTGGGAAGACTAAATTAAAGTACTAATACGTATGAATAAATATTACCTATTATTAGTTATGAGGAAAGCCAAGGCCGCAATTAATCTGTACTCAAAGCCCCAATTCCCTACCCTCCTTTAAAGCGAACAAACAAAAAAATAAAACTTCTTTACAGCAAAATTCTTTCAAACTCATTTTCTCTCATTTTTGTCTCCAGTCCTCTCTTGAAATCACTCCAATGTAACTCACACTCCCACCCATTTATTGAAAATGTCCTTGCCAAGGTGACCAATGACTCACACATTTGCTAAATTCAATAGTCAGTTCTTAGTCTTTATCTTACTTGACTTTCACAGCATTTGATGGCACTCATCATTCTCTCCTACTTTTGTACTTGGCTTCCAGGACTCCACTTGCCTGGTTTTCCTTCTGCCTCACTGGCTGTACCTCTTTCTCCTTTGCTTGTTCTTATTCACATCCCGACTACTCCATGTTGGAGCACCCTAGGCTTAGTGCTTGGCTCTCTTGTCTTTATCAATACTCAATTACTGTTGTCATCTCAAGACTTTAAATTCAATCTATATACTGACCAGTTCCAAATTTTTATCTCCAGCGTGGACTTCTTCCAGACTAAATATGCAACCGCGTACTCAACATCCACTTTTGCACATCTAATAAGACAACTCATATTTTTAGTAGGCATATTGAAATATAACTTACATATCATAAAATTCACCCATTGTTAGTGTACAATTTAAGGAATTTTTGGTAGATATATAAACATGCAATATCAAACTACAATCCAGTTTTAGAACATTTTTATCACCACAAAAAGTTCCTTTGTGCCTATTTGCCTCCACTCCTAGCCCTAGCTCCAGACAAACACTGATCTGTTTTCTATCCCTGTAAGTGTGTCTTTTCTGAACATTGCATGTAAATGGAATCATACAATATGTAGTGATTTGCACCTGACCTCTTTCACTTAGCATAATGATTTTTGAGATTCGTAAGTATTGTAGCATGTATCCACATTTCAATTTCATTTCTTTTGTTGATGAATTATATTTCATCATATGGACACACTATACTTTGTTTATTTATTCACCTGTTGACGGACATGTGGATTATATTCAGTTTGGTGCTATTATCCACAGTGTTGCTGTGAACACTTGCAAAATGTCTTTGTGTAAACTTATGTTTTCATTTCTTTTTGAAGGATTCCTAGTGGTAGTAAGGGAGAAGACTACCCCTCATATTGTCTTATGCCCAATTTCCGCCTCTAAGGAAAGAAAAAGTAAAAACTAAAAGGCAGAAATGAAAACCACAAGCAGACAGCCTGGCGCCACACCCTGGGCCTGGTAGTTAAAGATCGACCCCTGACCTAATTGGTTATTTT
Source organism: Homo sapiens (assembly GCF_000001405.40). NCBI lineage: Eukaryota > Metazoa > Chordata > Mammalia > Primates > Hominidae > Homo > Homo sapiens. The sequence continues at coordinate 15,490,838 of NC_000004.12, forward strand.
CATAAGAAAAGCACTGTGAAAATCCATGTCCTGTTCTGTTCTGTTCTAATTACTGGTGCATGCAGCCCCCAGTCACGTACCCCTGCTTGCTCAATCGATCACGACCCCCTCACACGGACCGCCTTAGAGTTGTGAGCCCTTAAAAGGGATAGGAATTGCTCACTCGGGGAGCTCAGTTGTTGGAGATGTGAGTCTTGCCGAAGCTCCCGGCCGAATAAAGCCCTTCCTTCTTTAGCTTGGTGTCTAAGGGGTTTTGTCTGCGGCTTGTCCTGCTACAATAGAATCTCTGAGTCATATGATAAACTTACTCGTAACTTTTTAAGAAACTGCCGATATACTTTTCAAAGTGGCTGCATCATTTTACTTTTCTGACAACAACGTATGAAAGTTCCAGTTTCTCCACATCTTTTCCAATACTTGGTATTATCTGTCTTTAATTATACCCTTTACAGTCGATGTATAGTGGTGTCTTATGCTTTTAACTTGCACTTCCCTCATGATTAATGATTTATTTTTTCATATTCTTACTAGCCATTTGTATATCTTCTTAGTAAAATGACTATTTACTTTTCGTTTGCTTGTTTGAGACATGAGTCTCACTCTGTCACCCAGGCTGGAGTGCAGTGGTGCAATCTTGGCTCACTGCAACCTCCACCTCCTGGGCTCATGTGATTCACTTGCCTCAGCCTCCTGAGTAACTGGGATTACAGGTGCTCACCACCACATCCAGCTAATGTTTGTATTTTTAGTAGAGACAGGGTTTCACCATGTCAGCCAGGCTGATCTTGAACTCCTGACCTCAAGTGACCCAACCACCTTGGCCTCCCAAAGTGCTGGGATTGCAGGCATGAGCCACCGCACCCAGCTATTTACATTTTCTACTCATTTATTAATTGAGTTGTCTTACTATAGAGTTGTAAAAATTCTTTATGTATTTTAGATACAAGTACTTTATCAGATACATAATTTGAAAATATTTTCTCCAAGTCAGTGGCTTGTCTTTTCATTTTCTTAATGGTGTCTTTGAAGTACAAAAGTTTTAAATTTTGATAAACTCAAATTTATTATATTTTTATTATGGATTGTGCTTTTAGGGTTGTATCTAAAAATTAATTGCCCAACTCAAGGTTATGGAAATTTTCTCCCATGTTTTCTTCTAGAAATTTTATAGTTTTAGCTCTTACGTTTCTCTAGATCTATTATGTATTTTCAGACAACTCAAATTTTACTTAACTGAAACTGACCTTCTGATCTGTTTCTATCAAACCAAACCTGTTTCTCCTAGAGTCATCCCCACCCCATTAAATGGACTTTACATTTTTTTCTATTGCTTGGGTCAAAAACTTGGAGTCATCCATAACACCTGTCTTTCTGTCTGCCCACATCCTATCTACCATCAAATCCTGTGTGCTCTACCTTCAGAATAGATCTAATGATTACTTCTCACTCTCTCTACTCTTACCACCCTGATCTAAGCCACTTTCACCTCTCATCTAGAATATTGCAGTAGCCTCCTAACTGATCTTCTTGCTTCCATTCTCACCCCTCATTTTCAACCCAACAGCCAGAGTGGTCCTATGAAAATATAGTTACATCACTTCTCTGTTTAAACCTTCCAATGGCTCTCACTCAACTCAGAGTTAATGCCAAATTCTTTTTTTTGTTTGTTTGTTTGGTTTTTTTTTTTGAGCACAGGGGACTTTATTGATTGTACATGACAAAGTGGGGCTCCCTAGGCTCCTCCCTCTTCAGGGGGTCTGCATGGAAATTGTGAGGAGGGGAGATTCTCAGTGAGGTGGGGGACTAAGGGCGGCAGGGACTCCTCAGCAGCTGAGGGTCTCTCTCTTCCTTTCGTGCTCTCACTGGGTCTGGTGGTCCAGGGGTCTTACTCCTTGGAGGCCATGTGGGCCATGAGGTCCACCACTCTATTGCTATAGCCAAATTCATTGTCATACCAGGAAATGAGCTTGATAAAGTGGTCACTGAGGGCAATGCCAGCCCCAGCATCGAAGGTGGAAGAGTGGGTGTCACTGTTAAAGTCGGAGAAGACAGCCTGGGTGCTCAGTGTAGCCCAGAATGCCCTTGAGGGGGCCCTCTGATGCCTGCTTCACCACCTTTTTGATGTCATCATATTTGTTAATGCTTAATTATTTAGGATGACCTATGTGGTTGCATTTCCCCTTACTTCTATGACCTAATATCCTAGTATTCCATTCCCTCAATTTTTGGGTTCCCCATTTCTGCTCTGGCCTCTCATCAGGCTTAGCCCTATCTCAGTGTCTTTGCATCAGATAGTACCCTACCTGTACCTGAAATTATCATCCCCTAGGTGTCTACATGGTTTGATCCCCCACTTTCTTCACCTGTTCTTAAGTCACCTGGAGGCCCTTACCTGGCCACTTTATTTATTATTTATTTATTTATTTATTTATTTACTTACTTACTTACTGAGACAAGGTCTGGCTCTGTTGCTCAGGCTGGAGTGCAGTGGTGCAATCTCGGCTCACTGCAACCTCTGCCTCCTGGGCACAGCCATCCTCCCACCTCACCTAGCTAATTTTGAGACTACAGGTAGCTGGGACTACAGGTGTACACCATCATACCTAGCTAATTTTTGTAGAGGCAGCATTTTACCATGTTGCCCAGGCTGGTCTTAAACTCCTGAGCTCAAGCAATCTGCCTGCTTCAGCCTCCCAAAGTGCTGAGATTACAGGCTTGAGTCACTGCATCTGGCCTAGTCTATTTAAAACTGCAATTCACCCCTCCCTCCTGGCCCTCCTTATCCCCTGATCCTGTGTTATTTGTCTCTACACTTGTATCACCATCTGACATACTAACTACAGAACTTATTTGTGGTCTATCTCCCCCACTGGCATACATTCTCTATGGGGGTGGAGGCATTCATTTGTTTTGTTTACTGCCCTATCCCTAGTACCTTGAACACATAACAGATGCTCAAAGAATATTTGTTGGTTGAATGATTGAAGGGTCAAGACAAGATTCTGTAATCCAGCATTGCCAAAACTGGAGTTTGTAGAATACTAGTATCCTCTTAGAAATGAACTGCCCCCAAAAAAGAATTCAAGTTGAGAAACTTTTCATATCATTTCTACTCTTGGAAATTCATGAAGCTCGTTCTGAGACTACACACACTTAACCTAGCATTTCTCATGCAGTTCTTGGCCCTCCTGAATACCTGTTAATATTTTTTTCCACTCTGTAGAAGACAATGGGGAAGACTCAATCCTAAGTAGAAACTCCATGTCAAAATATATCTGTGATATTCCTGACAACTCTCAGAGTCTCTGAAAGTCCTGTTTGGAGCCTCATGCCCTGTGCACCACCACAACAGCATGAGAGCACCGAGTCTTGTCCAGGCTGATGATCCCCAAGCCTGCGCCATCTGCTGAAGTATAAAGAAGAGCAAGGGGCACTGGGCAGGGCCAGGATCCCAAGACCCCACATGAGAAAGAGACGCATGTGCCAGAGCCGGGGTTCCTGAGTTTTCAGCTAACATAAAATGAAAATGCTAGTGGGACTCGGAAAGAGTGAGCCTGGGAGAACTAGAAAAAAAGATAGTGACCAGAGAAGTCCCTCCAGAGCACCTCAGCAAATGTGAACTATCAGCAGTGCTGGGGCTCATACAGGGACAGCCAGTTTGTTCTCAGCCCATTTTGACTTTCTTTTCATGTAGTGACACTTTCACAAGTGACACTAGTCTATTTCATAAAAATTAGAAAATCAGGAGAAGAAATCAATGACCTATTTTCTTAAACTCTAGTTACAGCCACCAATAAGCTTTTGGGCCGTTTTCTTGCCCTGGGTAAAAACCTGCCTGACAATAAGATTGTGTCCTATGTACCCATAGCATTAATTGTGGCTTAAAGGCTATCCTAGGGTCTTGCATCAGACTGTCCACTAATTACATTTTTTTTAATCCTCAAAATTTGAAAGTTTTTAATTAGTATTAATCAACTACATGCTTTGATTGACAACAAACAGTTACAATATGTAACAGGGTGAAGCATATGTAAATTTAAAAACAGAATGGTGACTTCACAAATTATTTATTTTTTAATTGTCTTTCCAACTTTTAGGTTCAAGGGGTACATGTGCAGGTTTGTTACATGGGTAAACTGCATATTGAGGGTGGGGGTTTGGTATACAGATCATTTTGTCACCCAGGTAATCAGCATAATACCCAATAGGTAGTTTTTCAACCCTCACCTGCCTCCCACCCTCCACCCTCAAATACCCAATGTCTGTTGTTTCTTTTTCTTTTTTTTTGGAAGACAGAGTCTTGCTCTGTTGCCCAGGCTGGAGTGCAGTAGCACAATCTTGGTTCACTGCAGCCTCCACCTCCTGGGTTCAAGTGATTCTCCTGCCTCAGCCTCCCATGTAGAGGGGATTACTGGCACATGCCACCACACTCAGCTCATTTTTGGTATTTTACTAGAGACGGGGTTTCACCATGTTGCCCAGGCTGGTCTTGAACTTCTGAGCTCAGACAATCCTCTCACCTCGGCCTCTCAAAGTGCTAGGATTACAGGCATGAGCCACCACGCCCAGCCTCTATTGTTTCCCTCTTTTTGTCCATATGTAGCTCAATGTTTAGCTCCCCCTTATAAGTAAGAACATGCGGTATTTGGTTTTCTGTTCCTTCATTAATTCACTTAGGGGATAATAGCCTCCAGCTCCATCTATGTTGCTGCAAAGGACATGAATTCATTCTTTTTTATGGCTATGTAGTATCCCATGGTGTATATATACCACATTTTCTTTATCCAGTACACCACTGATGGGCACCTAGGTTGATTCCATGTATTTGCTATTGTGAATAGTGCTGTGATGGGCATGTGAGTACATGTGTCTTTATGGTAGAATGATTTATATTCCTTTGTGTGTATACCCAGTAATGGGATTACTGGGCCAAATGATAGTTCTATTTTAAGTTCTTTGGGAAATTGCCAGACTGCTTTCCACAGTGGCGGAACTAATTTGCATTCCCACTCACAGTGTATAACAGTTCCCTTTTCTCCTCAACTTTGCCAGCATCTGTTATTTTTTGACATTTTAATATAGTAATGGCCATTTTGACTGGTGTAAGATGGAATCTCATTGTGATTTTTATTTGCATTTCTCTAATAATTTGTGATGTTAAGCATTTTTCAAATGTTTGTTGGCCACAAGTACATCTTTTGAAAATTATCTGTTCAAGTTCTTTGCCCATTTTTCAGTGGGGTTGTTTGTGTTTTGCTTATTGAATTAAGTTCCTTATAGGTTCTGAATATTAGACCTTTGTCAGTTGCATAGTTTGCAAATATTTTCTCCCATTCTGTAGGTTGTCTGTTTGCTCTGTTGATAGTTTCTTTTGCTGTGCAGAAGCTCTCTAGTTTAATTAGGTCCCACTGGTCAATTTTTGGTTTTGGTGCAATTGCTTTTGGAGACTTCATAATGAAGTCTTTGCCAGGGCCAGTGTCCAGAATGGTATTTCCTAGGTTTACTTTTAGGGTTTCTAAAGTTTTAGGTTTTACATTTAAGTCTTTAATCCATCTTGAGTTGATTTTTGTATATGGTGAAAGGAAAGAGTCTTCTGCACATGGCTAGCCAGTTATCCTAGCACCTTTTATTGAATAGGGAGTCTTTCCCCCATTGCTGTTATTGTAAGCTTTGTTAAAGATCAGATGGTTGTAGATGTGTGGCTTTATTTCTAGGAAGAGAGAAAGTCAAACTATCTCTCTTCGCAAGCGATATGATTCTATACCTAGAAAACCCATTTGGCCCAGTAATCCCATTACTGGGTATACACACAAAGGAATATAATTTCTGTAGCATCTGCCCAAAGGCTCCTAGATCTGATAAACAACTTCAGCAAAGCTTCAGAATACAAAATCAATGTAAAAAAATTAGTAGCATTTCTACACCCCAATAATGTCCAAGCTGACAGCCACATCAAGAATGCAATCCCATTCACAACAGCCACACAAAGAATAAAATGCCTAGAAATACAGCTAACCAGGAAGGTAAAAGATCTCTACTAGAAGAATTACAAAACACTGCTGAAAGAAATCAGAGATAACACAAACAAATGAAAAAACATCCCATGCTCATGGATAAGAAGAACCAGTATTGTTAGGTTGGACATACTGCTCAAGGCAATTTAAGATTCAGTGCTATTCCTATCAAACTACTGATGACATTTTGCACAGAATTAGAAAAAACTATTATAAAATTCATTTGGAAGCAAAAATGAGCCCAAATAGCCAACATGATCCTAAGCAAAAAGAAGAAAGCTGGAGGCATCAGACTACCTGACTTCAAACTATACTGCAAGGATACGGTAACTAAAACAGCATGGTACAGGTACAAAAACAGGCATACAGACCAATGGAACAGGTTAGAGAGCCCAGAAATACATTTTTCCTCTCAGTCCTGTTATTCTCCCATTTTTGTTCCTGAAGTCAAGCTGGCTTTTGCCCCATGCTCTTCCTACCCCCTTATCTCTATATTTTATAGTCTATCCTGGAATTTTGCATTAGGGAAAGATAATTTTGTGCTGAGGTTTAAGCACTGGGAATGGAGAGGCAGAAGTAAAAGGTAGTTCAGGCCTGTGTCCTTGTAACTCTTTTGTCCACCTCCCCTGCAATAATTATGGAAATACTAGGTTCTCCTTGCATATTTTTAAGTTGACATAAATTTTTATCATACTTTTAAATATTTGCCAAAGATTTAGAGGAATTACCCAAATGTTTTCCAAAGTAGCTACAGCAATTTATATTCCTACCAGCATAGAAGTTTTAATTTATCCACATCCTTGTCAATACTTGTTATTATCTCTCTTGTTTATTATAGTCATCCTATAGGGGTGAAGTGGTACCTAATTGTGGTTTTGGTTTCCATTTTCCTAATGACTAATGATGTTAAACATCTTTTCATGTGCTAGTTAGCCAATTGTACTTCTTTCTCAGAGAATGCCTATTCATGTGTTCTGCACATTTTAAAAGCAGGATCTTTGTGGTATATGGCTTATATGTCAATAAAACTGTTATTAATGAAAAACATAGGTGAGGCATCAGGATTCTGGACCACATCAATTTGTGGACATAACATGAGAGGAACAGAAAATTATTTGAAATGAAATACCTGTTTGTTAGGAAAACATGGTTGTGTTTTCTGAGGGGTCAGGTATAACAGAAGTCCTTAGGAGAAAAATGGAGAGTGTCCACTATTTTATTAAGCCTGGGTAACAGTGAGTATGGGTGATAGGAAAGAGGAGAGAGAGTGCAGAGAAGATCTGAAAGCCATTTCAAACACAAGGCTCATGTAGCCTTGGGGTTAATGGGTTTGCTAGGGAGCAAGAGCAACATTGCTGAACATCTAATCTCTTGCTGTGTCTGATGAAAAACATCACTTTGCCAAAGAAATCCACATTTCATGCTACATTGACATTATGTATATATTTTTAATGGAATGTCCTAAAATTCTGTCATTATCCATAAGTTCTTGCATGCCCTCAAATCAAATCTTAAAAAAATTATTTTCATCACACTTTGCATTTGATGCTACAGAAAATTTATTCATGTCAGATTTTCTTAGCTGTGTCAAAGGGCCATTTTCTGAATACGCCTCTTTTTGTAAATGTGAAATTAAGCCCTTCCTCGAGCCTGGCAGATCAGTTCTCACCCTCAGGGCTTGAAAGGGAGAGCCAGTTCGAGATCATGCAGCTGATTAGTAATGGAGTGGAGCAACTGACAATAAATTAGAAGAAAAATGTTTAATGAGGGTTGTCTTAGTATTTCCAGCTGTTTAAAGAAACACTGTTTGCCATATTCTACCAAGAAAAAAATGAAAGTACTTAACCCCATTAGCTATGATGTCAAAGGGAGGGAACTGGTACCTTTGGCTTCCATGGATGCCATGTTAGTAATATTATCTTTTTAAAAAAGTCTTCATCATTATCTGGTTTCAAACAAATGAAGATTACATTTATCTTGTTTGAAATACCTTTTTAAGTATAATATCCCTCACACCATCATGGTTCCTTTCTATGTTTTTCCTTCGCTGATCTAATACTACAAAAACCAAGTTCAAAAGTCCTCCAATATGTTTCTTGCTCTCAGCTGGTCACAGTCTGGCTGGAGAGATGACATGCCATCAGCTAGTTGTACAGACCTGATTTGGAAATCTTTAAATCCTCTACATGTCTTTTAGTAGCACAGACTTTAAAAACAAAATCAGTAAAAAGATCAGTGGTTGCCAGAAAGTAGAGGGGAGGGAGGGCTGAATGGGTGGAGCACAGAAGGTTTGAAGGGCAGTGAGACTACTCTGTATCATTGGATCATGCTGGATATGTGTCATTATAAGCTTTATCCAAATCTGTAGAATATACAGCACCAAAAGTAAGCCCCCAAGCAAACTATGGGTTTTGGGTGATTGATGCGTCAATGAAGGTTCATCAATTGTAATGAATGTGCCACTCTGGTGGTGGGTGCAATCATCAGGGAAAGTAAGCATGTTGGGGCTGGAATATATGGGAAGTCTCTGCAACTTCCCCTCAACTTTTTTGTGGGTCCTAAAACTACTCTAAAAAATTAAAGTCTATTAAAAGTGATAAATGTCATAATTTCAAAAAAGAATCTGGCAAGAGCTACTTTTTATGGTCTCAAAAATTGTCAATGTTTTTAAAACTAATAATAAACCTACTTCAGTTTCTTTATTCAGAAGAGATAGTGTTTAATAAAATATCTTGTCTCTCTTTTAAAGAATAATTCATAAAATTGTTCTAGTAAACCATGTACAAGTAATAACTGTTTTATGAAAACTAAAAAACCCTGAATTTTTAAAGAGGGGGTAAATAAGATTATTTTTATGTTCGTAAAAACTTATTAGTTTTGAAAAAGGCTTCTGACTGGTGGTGGAGGGGGTTGGTGACAGGGACAGAGGCACACTAAGTGGTCAGACAGAGGAAAGCATTGGCAAGAAGGAGGGTTTCAGTCTAGAAGCCCCTGTTAACCCACCCAGGCATTCCACACATGCTTAGTGATACTTAACAGTGTGCCTTCCCTGCGTGGCTGGGGACCTTAGAACCTGGGGAGGAGGAAACGGGTACTAATCAAATAGCCTAACAAATGCAGTCATGTGTTATTTAATGACAGGGATACATTCTGAGAAACGCATAACTGAGTAATTGTGTCATTATTATGGGACCATGATAAAGTGTACTTACACAAACCTAGATTGTGTGTGTGTGTGTGTGTGTGTGTGTGTGTGTATATATATATATATATATATATATGTATTTTTTAAATATGGAAAACCAAATGTCCCAGCATCATTACTGAATATCAGTTATTTCTCCTACTTGATCTGCAAAGCCAATATCAGGTGCCATAGATCAGATCTCTACATATGCTCCATTATAATCCTATTGGACCACCTTTGTATATGGGGTCTGCCATTGACCAAAACATCCTTGTGCAGTACATAACTGTATATAAATTCAAAATGTGACAGATGAAGGAAGTCTCAGGACTCTGCGCATATGCCACAGGAACATAATCTACCATAGTTATATTATCTGTAAAATGAAAAATGACTTGATTTTAAGTGAGTTTTAAAAGAATGCCAAAGGCCATTTTATTAAGCTAATGGAGATTCTCTTAAAGAACTTTGAACCTCAACACATGCATGCCAGACTCTAATCATTACCATAAATATTTCATGCCTCCATACAGGCATTAAGTGATAGTTGGGGGCATGATATAAGTAGTATTTTATAGCTTTCTATCACACATATGGAAGAAGGCACAACCCAAGAAACGGAGTGGCTGTGCTGCAGAAATGGGCTTTGAGGCTGGTGACTGTTGTCTTTGCTTGCATAAAGCAGGCTCAGGAGGAACCTGCAGACCTGTTATCTTTGCCTTCTCTCTGCCACTTTTCCTTCTACCACTCTTACTTTCACCTGCTGCCTTCCTCCCACGACAGTGTCATTGTCTACAAGCGTGAGGATCCTTCTCTCCTCAGGAAACTCCTTAAGGCTTCAGCGCTCACCATGGTTGAAAGCCTTCCCAAGCCTTTACTGTTCAGTCTGGCCCCTCTCCCAGAGCTTGGTGTCCTGGACAAGCACCTGCGACTTATCTGGCCCCAGACAAATTCACTCCAACATCTCCCAGTCTGACTTCCCGTCTCGTTTTTCTTTCTCAGCATCATCAAACTCCTCGTGTTGAAACCTCAGATTCCCTCACTTTTTCCTTATTTCTCTATAGCGGGGTCCTCCAGGTTGAGTGTGTGTTTAAACTCCCTGGGTGTCTGGGCTGTACCTCCAGGTTTTGGAGTATGCCTGAAAATCTGTGTATCTAAAAAGTTTCCAGAAGACACGACTGCTGCTGCTGCTGCTGACCATTTTTCCATACCTACCAATTGCCACTAGGCTCTATTGTATTTTCCTTTGTGTGGCCTGTCTTACTTACTCACACTGACCCCCTTTCCTTCCTATCTCACACCAGGACATCCTGACTGGGGTCCCTGGCACCTCACCCACTCCACCCCAACCATCCTGTGGTACAGCTTCTGAAAACGCTGCTTGCATTCATGTCCTCCTCCCTGCACATTCTTCACGACATCCACACTGCTTGGGGAATATAGCCGAGACTCCTTAATGTGACATCAGAGGCTCTCCATAACTTGATCCCAAAATCCTTCTGCAATCTTGAGTCCTTCTTCATCCCAGTAGAGACACTCTGCTCCACCCATGCTAACATTCTGTTCCCCAAAGACTCCATTTTACTTCCACCTCTTTTGTAATGGTTTAGAGAATTGGGGAATGTGGGGCTGGGACCAAATCCCAAGGATTCCACATCCTAGGTGTGTGATGGTAGAGCCATTTATCACGCAGGACTGCAGAGCCTTCATCTTTGTGATACCCGGTGATCATAATACCTGGGGCACTCCTCACAAAGATAGCAGAAAAATTGTTGAGAAATACATTTGATGCAGGTATCACAGAACCTGGCACACAATAGCTGCCTGATAGTTCATGATATTTATGGGTAAATTCAATAATATACACAAAATGTATATTGTCTCTATGATATAGCCCAGGGATAAACCTGGGCCTATAGAAAATGTTTCTCTGATCAAAGATATCAGTGCAATTGAAAGTTAAACCCGGAAACCCCAAATTCATTAGCCACCCATTCACCCGACAAGCCTGTTTCTCAAATCAACAAACTTGAGAGCCTTTTCCCAGTGGCAATTGAATTGGTAAGTATTCATGTGCCTTGAACAATCAAGTGTCATTCATTTCATTCTTAGTTAAGTCAAGATGACAGTGCTAGGCAGGACTGAGGTTTTGTCTCTCAGTTTCAGAAAAGCCAAGACATGTACTTACTACATCAAAAGGATGGTTGTTAGCATGATCTCATGTTTGCTTATGTGAAGTTCTAAATGTGCAAAATAAAATTATGTTCTCTTATTTCTTTTTTAATTTAACCTTCCCTTTTGGGGGGAGGGAATTGTTTTAAAGTAATTTTCCTTTTTCTTTTCTTTTTCTTTTTTTTTTATTTTGTTTTGTTTTTGTTTTTGTTTTTTAGGCTTACCTCCAATTCCTTCAACTTCCAGAACAGGCTTTGCAGAATTTTCCATGAGGGGACGCATGAGGGAGAAATTGCAAGCAGCGAGGGTGAGAGAAACCACATGAATATTCTGTTCAGTGCTGATTGCAATCTTCCAGGGCTTGTCTAGCTTACTTTTTATGCTCCAAACTGCATGGATTTGAATACCATTCAATTTGTCTTTCAAGTTTTAAATGTTAATGTCTTATTTTGCATTGGCACAGATGAAAATTATGCTTCAGAATTTAATGTCACTTTTCTGAACCATTTTCCTTGCTCTTCCCCTTAAAGAAGGATAGCATGTATTTTTTACTGATTATTTCTCGGCATTCCTGACATCATGTAGCAGTAAATTTCTGTTTGACTTTTTAGTCCAAAGCAGAAAGTGCATTGCTGCAGGAAATCCCCACTCCTCGGCCCAGACGCTTACGAAGTCCCAGTAAGAAAGAATTGGAGACTGAATTTGGCACAGAGGTGAGAAATACCCTCTCTACTTTGTGATCAAAACCAGTAAAGCAGAATATAAAGTTTCCAGCAAAAGTTTTTAGAGCAGAGCTATGCACAGAGGAGGTATTAAATGCTTATTAATAATTATAATACACTTTGGGAGACTGAGGTGGGAGGATCGCTTGAGTCCAAGAGTTCAACACCAGCCTGGGCAACAGAGCAAGACCCCACCCCTACTAAAAATAAAAATAAAAAATTTAACTGGGCATGCTGGCTTGTGCCTGTAGTCCCAGCTACTCGGGAGGCTGAGGTGGGAGGATCACTTAGGCCCAGGAGTTCAAAGCTGCAGTGAGCTATGATTAGGCCACTGCAGTCCTGCCTGGGCAACAGTGAGACCCTATTTCAAAAATATTAATAATTACAATAGCTACTATTTATAAGGTACTACTCTGTGCCAGGCATTTTACCACCTTTGTCCCATGTTATCACATTTCATTATCCCTACAGGGCAGGTACTATTATTTTCATTCACATTTAACAGATGAGGAAACTGAGGGTCAGAGTAGATGTGAAACCACCCTGGGTCACAGAGCATACATGTGGAAGAGTTGGGATTTGATCCCAGCTCTATATCATTTCCAGTCTGTCTCATTGGGTCAGCATTGCTGGATCCATGGATCTTCCTGGAAAGCAGGGAGAGAGATAAAAGTGCAGCAGAAAAATGGAGTCAGATGCTAAGGTCCTTGAATGTCACATTCAGGAGCCTCGGTAGTTTTCTACAAGCCATGGAAAGCTATTGACAACAGTAAGGGGAAGCAGTCTGAATGCACTAGAGTGAATTTCGTTCGTATTTGAGGTGCTGGTGAGGAATCTCAATATGTGTTCCTCCAGAGACACAGAGGAAGGGCCCAGACCTGGAAAAACAGATTTAGGAAGTGTTTCTACTGTGGTGAGTGTTTGAAGTTTTGAGAGTGCCTTTGGAGAAAACCTTAGAGTTAAAGCTGTTAAGGAGGAGAGGGAGCCAGGAAAAGAAACAGAGAGATTTCAGTGAGGGGTAAGCGCTAAGACGGCAGAAAAAGGAACAGAAAGAAAAACAGCAAATGGCTCAGGAGGTGTTTGCAACTACAATTCAATTGGTTTTTTGTTGTTTTTATTGGTTTGGGTTGTTTTTAACCATTAAGACAAAGAAGCCCAGGCTCTAGGGATATTTCTGATTTTTTAAATGATGCCTTTTCTTTTTCTGTGATGAGGTGTTATAAAATGTTACCTATATTCACCCCAAAGAAGTCACAAGTTGCATAATTATAAGGAATGTGGCAGCCTTGTTTATGTTTTGTGGTCGTCAGTAGGAACACTAGTCAGTCCAGTGAAATGGCTTTATGACTATTTGTTATGTGCCCTCATGATCCATTCCACTGAAAAAGCATTTCTTCCCTTTAATTCCCATTTATTTTCTTACTACAAAAGCCATAATTTAAAAATATTGGAAAATAAAGAAAAATATCTATAATCCCATCAGCTTGCCAAAAGAACTTTGGTTATTTTGGCGGGCATATGAGGCTAAGCATCTGGTCATGTTGGCTAAGTGACAGGAGGTTCAGGTCTTTTATATCTGGCTTTTTCTATACCTTCTGACTGAAAATCATTTCACAGCATCATTTTAAAAAATAGATATCATTATTCATGTAGCTCTCACTGTCCATGGGCCACAAATACTGATATCTCAAATAAAGCTGGAAGTTGTAGAAGTAAAAATATACTCCCTGGGCTACTAGGGTGTTTATTTCTCATTGTAATCAGGACTTGGCTTATATGTTCATAATATTCCATATTCCCTAAGTACCATTCTTACAGTATTGAGGCAAACATCAACTGCTTTGTCTTTAGACCAAGTCACATATTCATAATAGGACATCTCACAGCCACATTTCTTCATGTATATACCTCAAATCCAGAAGGAATATCTAAAAAATCGTTCAATATACTGTTCATCAAAAAATATAGCACATGAAGAGCACAGATGCTGAACTTCAGCTGACCAGGGCTAAAGGCTGCCGACCTCACTCACTAGTGATGTGACCTTTGAGTTTAGCTACTCTCCAGACCCCGCTTCCCGCCTCTATAAAACAGGGGTAATTCCAGAACCTAGTTCTTGGTATTGTTTTGAGGATTAAATGAGTGAATACATGTTACAGTGTTTCACATAGTACCGGGCACATGGTCAGCCCTCTGTATTTAAGTATTAATGATTGTTAGATGCTGTATACTCAGAGAGAAAAGGAGAAACCAGTTAGGAATACTTTGGTCAGTAATCCAAATTTACCAACGCAAACCACTGCTTAATCTCTTTTGTATTTCCTTTCACTTTATGCTCAGCAGATTTGTGATAGGTGAACAAATGCAAATCTCTAAGAACACATAAACATCAAAGTAGAAGTAACACAGAACCTTGAAAACTTAGCCTCCACTAGATATGACCAAAACTTCTCTACATGTGGCCCTGGTTCCCTGTTTCAGGTTACCCAAGATCTGATCCTTGAATCTAATTTACCTGTTGCCCAGCCAGCACTTATGAGAAACTCCTTCCTGCCAGGTGTCCGATAGGCTCAGAACACCCAGTGATGACAGTGACAGCTCACCCTTGAGGAGCTCAGTGGAGTTGACAGCCAGTGGGGATATAGGGGGATTCAGCTCTGTGGTGGGTGCTGTTAGCAGCCCACCAGAATGGCACCTCGTCCCAGCCTCAAAATCAGGTTATATAAAAATTAGTCCATGGCTTTCTTTGATCTGACGCCCAAAGCACAAGTAACAAAAGGATAAATAGCTACATTGGACTTCATCAAAATTAAAAACTTGTACTTCAAAGGAAACCATTGAACAAGGTAAGAAGAACACATGAAATGGAGAAGTTATTTGCAAATCATGCATCTTGATTAGTATCAGGACCACTATCAAGCATATATAAAAATTTGAGGGGTCTACAAGACAATCAGATTAGGGTGTCTTTTAAGAAATTGGTTTAGATTATGGTTTAAAGAGAGATCAGGGCTAGAGCTAATATATTTTGTAATTATGTTATAACAAAAGCAGTGAGACTTTAATTGGTCTAGCTCAAGTTAGAAGAGGGCCTAGAGCCTTCTTGGAGGATACAACAAATTTAAGGGTGAGAAAGAATTTCTAGATGGATATGTGCACATATGATGATAGGCACTCAATATTTTATTGCTGGATTGAAATTGAATGTAATTATTACTTTAAGATTATACAAATGTATTATAGTTCTTTAAAATTTAATTTAGCATGCTCAATCCTTTTAAGTATAATTAATGGCCTTAAATGTATTAATATAATTGACTTTAAAACTTTCTAAGATTTTGACAAAAATTACATTATATACTTTTTTATCAAGTCCATAAATACTGTAATAAAACCATCAATACTGCAATAAATCACATCAATGAAATTATATTATCTGAGCATATTTTCTATACCAACCCAATGGAAAGAAACAAAAATAATAATTTCCACATATTTTGCCACATGGAATTTAACCTAATTATTTTCTAGATTACTAATGTTAAGCTTTCTGCCTGGTCTTGTGTTTCATTATCATCATCTTCACAGATCTCTAAAGCCCAAGGCTTGCCTATACACAGCCAAGTTTCTCTCTCATGAGTTGACTTCTCGGTTTGTTTTGTGTGTTTTCAAACACATCAGTCTCTCTCCTTTGCTACAGGAAGTGCAGCAGACAGGAATAGAATGGCATCATCAACAATGCATGAGAAAGTCTTAGCCCTATTTTACAAGGCGACCTCACTTGGCAGAATCTTAAAAAGCCTTACTGACCAAGCACAGGAATCTGATCTTTATTCTACTGCAGTTTTTAAAAATCCTAGGCCGGGTGCGGTGGCTCTCGTCTGTAATCCCAGCACTTTGGGAGGCTGAGGCGGGCGGATCACGAGGTCAGGAGTTCGAGACCAGTCTGGCCAACATAGTGAAACCCCATCTCTACTAAAAATACAAAAAAAAAAATTAGCCGGGTTTGGTGGAGGGTGCCTGTAATCCCAGCTACTCAGGAGGCTGAGGCAGGAGAATCTCGTGAACGCGGGAGGCAGAGGTTGTAGTGAGCTGAGATCATGCCACTGCACTCCAGTCTGGGTGACAGAACGAGACTCCATCTCAAAAAAAAAAAAAGAAAAAAAAATCCTTACACTGGGTAATACTCATCTGCTTCTTTCCTCATCCTCAAAAACATTTAAAATACTGAGACAAATAATAACTTCATTTAGCATTGCATTGTGGAATGTATTGATTAGCACAGCTTCAACTTCTGTACAATTGAGTTGGTAGATAACTATTTAACCTTAACACTACAAAATGAGAAAATGAAGGAGAAGTATAGAATTCAACATAAAAGGAAACTGTATACAGTTGCTTGATATTATGATAGATTATACCCAACTGACACCCTCATTTTTATTCTGGCCATTACTGGACATCTAGCTGCACCTAAGTGAAATTTGACAGCACCTCACTTTAGCTGTACCTCCAGGTTTCATTCCAGGGTATCCCTTCCTCTCCAGAAGGCTTGCGGAGGCCCACTCATGTATTCTGACACATATGCAAGACTGGAAGCACCAACTATGTAGAGGCCAAGGGGACACTTCCTTGTCACCCTCTGAAAGTTCACTGAAAATCAGCTGACAAAAGGCAGATTAATAGGAGAAAAGGCATACACATTTATTAGTGTGCAAGGAGTAAAGATAATTACGTACCCTTCATCCTAGAGGAAAGAGAGATGGAGAAGTGTGGGTGATTTTAGCAAGTAGAAAATGATTTTTAGGGGAATTCAATGGGCTTGGAGAACGTAACAGTGGCCTCGGACAAAGTCTGTTGGGCCCGCAGAGCAGACAATGGTTTTTGACTAAAGTCTGTCCAAGTGTGTTGATGGACTTCAGTCTTTCTTCCTGCGATATGGGTACAGTTAATGAACACTCAGGAGAGGGACCAAAGGTCACTGTTTTCTTCTTTGGCAGGTTTGGACTCAGGCAGCTAAGGGAACTTCAGAGAACAACCTCATCCTGTGCTTTAGGAGAGATAGGGAATTTGGCATCCAGGGTAGGGGAGGTCAGAGAGAACTTGAGGCTTCTTCTTCAGTTCAGCATGTCAAAGCACCATATTTTGGGCCATCTGTTTCTGAGCCCCTCCAACCACCTGGGGGACAGAAGCCATTAGACAAATATTCCCCTCTTCTGTGTCCCTGGTGGACAATTCTGAGAAGCAGTCTACGTGACTCCTCAGAGGATCCCTGTGGGTTAAACTCTCTTGCCCACAGTGGTAGCCTTGTCAATCAAGTTCTCCTGCACTCACTTTCCACCTGCTTTATTCTTCCCAGTCCCCAGTTCCTGTTCTTTGGTGTCACTTCTCAGAGTCAACTACAGGCACAGAAAAACCCTTGCCACAGGCTCTGGTTTCCCATGGGCTAAACTAAAATGTTTAGTCGTATCATATGAATACAAACTATAGACCAAAAAAAAGACATGTAAGAAAAAGCTAGTAATATGATAATAATGGCTACCATTAATGCACCTGACTGGTTATATTTTATGTACATTTCCTTATTTGATGCTCTACTCAAGTGGCCTAAGTTGTAAGTGGTACAGTTAAAATTCAAAGCCAGGCAGTCAGACTTTAGAGCCTATGGTTTCAACTGCCAAGCTCTACAAGACAGTGCCTGATATGAATCAGACAATTTGATTCCAAAAAGAGAGTTCATTTTAGGATGGAGAAAGGAAGTAGCTTTGTGTGGTCTTGAGGAACAGGTAGGACTTGGGAAGGATATATTGAAGGTCCCCAGTGAAGATGGCACACTACATGACTGTTGTTGGGTGACAGTTATTCCATGCTGTGAAATAATTCTCTGTCCATATAATAATGATCAAGTTTCTGTCATAGGTAGAATAAGTATGTTCCTTCTTGCCATGAACACCTATATGTGCTACTGGGATGGCTTAGAATTGCTCAAAATTGCTTGACATTTAGATTGTGCTTCATGAAAAAGGAGGAGTATCTGGGTTTTAAAAGGGGTGGATTAGAAGGAGAGATGGGTAAGAAGTTGGAAACAGCACCTTGCAGATTAGCTTTCAGAGGCAAAAGGGAATACCCATATGATAACTATCACATAGAGCAAGTAGAGACAGAGGGCTCAGCTTCCCAGGGTGGATAGCAGGACCAGAGGTTCAGTGAGGACAGGCCATGTACCCTGGAGGATGTGTGTTGGACTTACTTACAATCAGACATTATCAATGTTTTTCTTTATAGACTGTTTGGAAATGATCCTCTGTGAAGTGGATAATCTTAATTTATAGGATGAGATAACACTTTTTTTTTTTTTTGAGATGGAGTCTTGCTCTATCTCCCAGGCTGGAGTGCAGTGCTGCAATCTCAGCTCACTGCAACCTCTGCCTCCCAGGTTCAAGGGATTTTCCTGCCTCAGCCTCCCCAGTAGCTGGGATTACAGGCGCCCGCCACCACGCCTGGCTAAACTTTGTATTTTTAGTAAAGGTGGGGTTTCACTATGTTTGCCAGGCTGGTCTTGAACTCCTGACCTCAGGTGATCTGCCCACCTCGGCCTCCCAAAGTGCTGGGAGTTCAAGCATGAGCCACTGCATCTGGACAACAGTTTTCATTTTAAAGCTTATTGAGTATACAATTTTACATTTGTTCAGTCTTGAGAGAGACGAGTTGAGTAAGAAAATATCAACATCAACCTTCAAATATACAGTCATGCATCACTTAGTGATGGGGATATGTTCTGAGAAATGTGTTCTTAGGCATTTTCGTCATTGTGTGAACCCATTGTGTGAAGGTACCTACACAAACCTAAATGGCATAGCCAACTACACACCAAGGCTGCAAACCTGAAGAGCATGTTACTTTTCTAAATACCATAGCAATGTAACACAATGGTAAGTATTTTTTTATGTAAACATAAAAAGGGTACAGTAAAAATACCGTATTTATAGTCTATGAGACCTCCGTCATGCATGCAGTTCTACAGGCTGTCGCTATGGAGCGCATGACTGCATTTGAAATTTGCCAGCATTCCATGCCTTAGGAATGATAAGATGCAGCAGCAGTCAGAAGATAAGCCTTTGGGATGGGGGGGTTAACCTTCATTTTAGAACAGCCTAAGTTTCTTGGGTTAAATGGTTTATCTATCATTTTTTTCCACTCATATAGCCAGGGAAAGAGGTAGAAAGGACTCAACAAGAAGTTGACTCCCAAAGTTACTCAAGAGTCAAGTTCCATGATTCTGCACGAAAAATCAAGCCTAAACCCCAGGTGAGAAATCTTGTTTTTTAAAATCATTTGTTTGTTTGTGTTTTTTACAAATATCCAATGACACATGACTACAGGCCGGGTGTGGTGGCTCACGCCTGCAATCCCAGCGCTTTGGGAGGCCAAGACAGGCAGATATATTGAGCACAGGAGTTCAAGACCAGCCTGGACAACATGGCGAAACCCCATCTCTACAAAAAATACAAAAATTAGCCAGACATGGTGGCACACACCTGTGGTCCAAGCTACCTGGGAGGCTGAGATGGGAGGATCACTTGAGCCCATGAGGTCGAAGCTGCAGTGAGCCATGATTGTGCCACTGCATTCCAGCCTGGGTGACAGAGTGAGACCTCATCTCTTAATTAAAAATAAATAAATGACTACATATATAACCTGACTCCTGTTGCCATGCAGTTTGCAAGAAAAAAGTATGAGAAGTGATTCCAACTTTCATACTAACTGGAGAGATCAGAATATTGCCTGACTTGAGGATGAGGGAGTGCATGGAAAGACAGGAAATGTTGGTGATAAGACAGTTTGTTCAGCTCTGAAGTTGCCCCGGCTTTCATTATAGGAAAAAAGGAGAGTACTAACTCCAAAAGAGAAACAACAAAAAAAGGTCATTTGTTTAAAAATTCTATATTTCTCATAATACAACAAAACTATCTCAGCATTGGCCAATAAAACAATAAATCCACTGTTTGTCATTTTAATAATCTTATCTAAAGTGTTTACTGCTATAAATATGTATTTACTTGTTGGAATGTAAATAATTGCTGGGGTTTTTTAAAGTCACTAATTAGAGTTACTATTAAAGGAGGCCTCCAACTGCCTGTGGCAGATATTAAAGTTTATTACCAGTAGTCTCACACCTTTAACTAAGACAATATGCTTCGGAGGCCTGGAATATGCCTGATCTCATTAGCATTAAGCCAGCTGTCAGTTAATTGTGCAGAGCGCATTACAGCTTATAAATGGGAAATTGCGATTGCTCCTTGCTTTTCGTTAGGTTCCACCTGGCTTCCCTTCTGCAGAAGAGGCCTATAACTTCTTTACTTTCAACTTTGATCCCGAACCAGAAGGATCAGAGGAAAAACCAAAAGCAAGACATAGAGCGGGAACTAATCAAGAGGAGGAGGAAGGGGAAGAAGAAGAACCACCTGCACAAGGAGGAGGAAAGGAAATGGTATTTAATATCAGGATGGTAATGAGGTGTGGGTGGAGGGCTAGGAGGAAAAAGCTGATGTCCCTGCAAGAAAGAAAGTGGCTGAGGAGAAACCTGCCACCACCAGGAGAATGACACTCCACGTCTGAGTTGAAATCCCAAGTACTGAATTCACATGGCTCCCTGTAGCTCTGGGTTAGACCCTACAATGTGGTAGGAAGAACCTTGATTAAACCTGTTTATTTTTCTTTTGTGGAAAAAAGAATTAAATAATGTGGCTTGAGGGTTTTTCTTGCTAGACTCCACGTAATGATTAGTATTTATTCCATGTGCAAAATATGTTCCTCTGCAAGGCAAATGAAATCTTGGTCTCTCTCTTACCACAACCTTACAAAGTAAGCAGCATTTTGTGCCCAAACACCACACCCAGGCTACAACTCAAATTCTGCAACTGTGGGTGGTATGTGTGAGATAAAAGGAGAATAAGCCATTTAAAAATGGGCAAAGGTATTGAATAGACATTTCTTCAAAGAAGACATACAAATAGACAATAAGCCCATAAAAAGATTCTTAACACCAATCATCATAAGGGAAATGCAAATCAAACCCACAATGAGATACCCCTGCACATCCATTAGAATGGCGCTTATCAAAAAATAAGTGTTATAGAGGATATGGAGAAATTGGACTTTGGTGCGTTGCTTGTAGCCATGTAAAACAGTGCAGCTGCTGTGAAAAACAGTATGGTGGTCCTTCAAAAGTTAACCACAGATTTACAATATGATCCAGCAATTCAATTCCACTCTGTGTATATATCCAAAAACACTGAAGACAAGAATTTGAACATATACTTGTGCACCGATGTTCATAGCAGCATTATTCACAAAAGCCAAAAGGTAGAAGCAACCCAAGTGTTCATCGGAAGATAAATGGATAAACATAAATATACAATGGAATATTATACAACCGCAGAAAGCATGGAAATTCTGACACATGCCACAACATAGATATACCTTGAAGACATTACACTAAGAAAAATAAGCCAGTCACAAAAGAATAAATATTGTGTGATTTCACTTATATGAGCTACATTGTATCATCAAAATCATAGAGACAGAAAGTAGAATGGTGGTTGTCAGAGGTTAGAGGAAGGAGGGAATGTTTAATGGGTATAGAATTTCAGTCTGGGAAGATGGATGGATGGTGGTAAGGGTAGAATCACAATATGAATTTACTTAATGCCACTGAACTGTTCACCTAAAAATGGTTAAAATGGGCCGGGTGCGGTGGCCTGTAATCCCAGCTTTGGGAGGCCGAGGAGGGCGGATCACCTAAGGTCAGGAGTTCACGACCAGGCTTGGCCAACGTGGTGAAACCCTGTCTCTACTAAAATTACAAAAATTAGCTGGGTGTGGTGGCAGGCACCTGTAATCCAGCTACTCAGGAGGCTGAGGCAGGAGTATTACTTGAACACGAGAGGCAGACGTTGCAGTGAGCCGAGATTGCGCTATTGCACTCCAGCCTAGATGACAAAGCAAGACTCTGTCTCAAAAAAAAAAAAAAGGTTAAAATGGTGGACTTCATGTTATATATATTTTACCACATTAAAAATAAGGAAAACACACTAGGATATTCTAGTATTCACATAATTGGCATACTTCTGTGCTTCACTTACAATCTCCTCCCTTGAAAAATGCCTCCCGGAAATGTACTTTTTTTACCTAGATCTACAGAAGCTTGGGAATATTTTAGCTTATTCTATAACAATCATTCTACAAATCAGCATTCAGGCCATTCAACATTGCTTGAGTGTCCTCCTGACATGACAGCTAACTTCCCAAAAGCAAGTGATCTAGGGGAGAACCCAAAAAAGAAGCCACAGTTCCTTTTATGACCTAGTCTCAGGAGCCACATACTGTCACTTCTGCCATATTCTACTCAGGAGAAGCAAGTCACGAGACGTAGTGCACTCTCAAATGGAGGAGAATTGGGCTTCACCTGTTGAAGATAGAAGTCTCCAATTGCGAATATCTTCTGAAATTATGGCACTTTCCTCCAAAGGCCACTTCTCCCTTCCTTTTGCCTATTCACTGCCCCAGAAGCTCTGTTCCTAAAACTGCTCTTTTAAATCACACACATTTGGAAGCCCTTCCCTATAGTCCATGCTCTGCTCTGCCCAGACACTTTTAAAGTATTTTCGTCTTCAAGGTTCATTTAGCCTTTTTGAACAAAGTTTTAGATCCTCTGTAGCCCCTTTCGCTAGCTCCCCTTTTCTGTCTTCTCTGCAGTTTTTCTCTGGGTGATTTTGCTCACCACGAAGCAGAGGTGGGGCAGGAGAAGGAAGATTACACACTGCCATCTGGTGATCTTTCTCTTTTCACTTGTTTGATGTTTTGGCATTCTCTGTCTTCAAGTTAAGTTAAAAGCATGGTTTCTACATAGATTCCCTTTTTCCTTCTTATTCTTTTGTGTACTTGGGGAGGAAATCTTAAGAGGCAGGTAGCTAGACTGCCATCATTGTCTTTAGCTACCTGAAAGTCTCCACAGGATTTTAAAAGATGTTGCTCATAAATGGACACCAGGTTTAAATTTTTAAAAGAAGGAGAAGGAGAAAGAAAAAGAAGAGGAAGGAAGAGAAGACGTTTAGAAAATATCCAAACAAAATCAATATATGTCAGCTAACATTTGTGATTATAGCCTCTTTGCTTTGAATTTTTAAGTGTATCATTTAATTTTATCCCCACAAAGTGCTTAGAGGTAAACTCCATTACTATAACTATCTTATAAGTGAGGAAACTGAGGATCAGAAGGTTAAATAAGCTGTTTCAAGTTCCTCAGGCAGTATATGGTGAAGCTGGGATTTAAACCCAGGCAGTCTGAACAGGGTGTGTGGACTGTGCACCTATACACTTGGTGCCTTTTCCCTTGGTTTAGTGCCAGGTGGAAGGTTAAACTGCTACATAAATTATGAGCCCAATTCTTTACATAAATGGCAAGAAGCAAGCAGTCTCATAGGAGGCCAGATTTGTTGGGATTTTGATTGTTTTGCTTACCACTTCTCTTCTGAAACAGCCATCTCTGATTTTGACATCTTCCAGGTGTGCAGAATACTGCAAAACAATTTTTTTAAAAACCCACTTGTTAAATATGAAAGGTTATATAGTTCTATGCTTTCACTTTTTTAAAAAAAGGAAAAGATAAAGTTGTAGGAAATGTTAAGTTTCATGAGTTTGGTATTGTGAATTATTTTTCTAACTAAGAATCTTAGCATGATTTTTTCTTGTTACTTTTTAACATTATGCAGGATGAGGAAGAACTGCTTAATGGTGATGATGCCGAGGACTTCCTATTGGGCTTAGATCACGTGGCTGACGATTTTGTAGCAGTCAGACCTGCAGATTATGAAAGCATCCATGATCGGCTGCAGATGGAAAGAGAAATGCTCTTCATACCCAGTAGGCAGACAGGTACTTGCTCTTTTTATTTTCTTGTTCAGCTTAGACATCGTCACTTACCTTGTCATGAAATATGGCTAGTGTATAAGGATGCCTCATCTCCAGAACTGATTCCAGTTTCTAATCTAACAATCAAGAAATATCTTCAAACAAACAAAAAAAACACAACATGGAAAAATATCCATTCAACAAACACTTATTGATAGACTAATGGAAGATATACCAGAGTACTGTGGGAACCCTTTATCAAATCAGTGATCCATTACAGGGGCTTAGAGTTTATGAGAACAGCCTTTCTTTCTTCTTAAGTTTATCCCCAACCTTCCCTAAGTCACCATCTCCTGTGTATTTTCTTACTACTCTATGGCGTGATCTTGTAGAGACCTTTGCTTCCTGTTGCTGCCTATCACTCCCACTATGATTCAAGCTCCAAGGCAGCAGGGGCCTGGCCTGGATTCCCAGAGTCTCATCTGTGCCTGGCACAAGGAGGCTCTCAGTAAAGATGTGTTCTAGGAATGAATAAAGCCGTGAATGAATAAATGAGGTAATGATCACGTTCAATCAAATAAACTTGTTCATTTACAAAGCACGTCCTCATACTTTACCTCATTTAATTCTCCCAGAAGCCCAGTTAAGTAGATTAGTATCTCTTTTGTACAGGAGGAGAGAGTTCAAAGAAGTGCCTGGCCCTAATTCACCCAGCTGAAGAGTAATAGAACTAAAACTTGTCTCTCATCCTATGATTTGAATACTACCTTCTTCTCAGTATGCCACACTGATGAGTTACATATTAAATTTTTAGGCGTTTTCTTTAAATACCTGATTCTACAACATACTGCTACAAGTGAGCACATTCATCTTTTCCTTGGTTCTGCTTTTAAAAATTAATTTGGAAAATTTGCATTTTCTAAGAACATAAATGAAATCTCTGGTGATTAATTCACCAAACTGCAGTTTGAGATATTTAGATTGGCCCTAATGTTTATTTTATTTATTTATAAACGATCTAGTCCCTACATATAAAAAGCTTCCTGAGAATGTACAGCCCAGGTTCCTGGAAGATGAAGGCCTTTACACCGGGGTAAGACCAGAGGTGGCACGCACCAATCAGAACATCATGGAGAACAGATTGCTGATGCAGGACCCCGTAAGTGTGCACCCTCTGCTCTCAGGTGTAGCCTGGGCACACTAGACATAGCTTTTATTTTCCTAACAGGGCAGTCATTGCATCCACTGTACTCATTTCCTCTTGAGGTTATCCACAGAAAGTGGTTCATTTTTTTTTTTTTAACTTTCTCTCTCAGTACATTTATTGATCCTCAAATAACATAACTTCTCAACTGCTCAAAACCCATCTTTGCTAGCTAGATCTGGGCTTTTCCTGCTAAACCAGATCCTGGCAACATTTTCCTACTTGACAGAATTTTTAAATTATCCATAGGTAGAATAGTTTCACTTTTGAGTTTTTATTCTGTGTTTTTTTTTCTTAAATGTTTAATTAATAGAAGATAAATTTTTCTTAAGCACTCATTTAAGCTCTTTAAAATACTTTTTAGGAAGCCAGGGTGTATATTTTAAATCAATTGTGAGAAGTGTTAGTGAAGACTTGATTTCTAATGGAAACAGAACTTTTACAGTTCTGTTGGGGGAGGAAGTACATGAAATATATATGTTGACACAGAATTTTCAAGAAATGTTGTTTGTGTTGTGAACCATTTTCTGTTCGATTAGAAGAAAATGTTGCCATTCCCTCTGCTTCATCTACAGGAAAGAAGATGGTTTGGAGATGACGGCAGGATCCTAGCTCTGCCAAACCCCATCAAGCCATTTCCTTCAAGGCCGCCAGTACTAACACAGGAGCAGAGCATTAAGGCAGAGCTTGAAACACTGTATAAAAAGGTAGACACTCCCCTCTCTCCACTTTTATTAAATGAAATTGAAAGTGCTTTGCTTTCTGAATAGCTTGGGGTGCTATATTTATAACATTCTACTTTAATTTTTTAAATAATTCACTATCTTACACATAAAGAACAAACATCAGGCATATTATGTAAGAGTAAGTCTAATTATACTCAATGCATCCCTTCTTTTTTTTTTTTTTTTTTTTTTTGAGACGGAGTCTCGCTGTCGCCCAGGTTGGAGTGCAGTGGCGCGATCTCGGCTCACTGCAGGCTCCGCCTCCCGGGTTCACGCCATTCTCCTGCCTCAGCCTTTTGAGTAGCTGGGACTACAGGTGCCCGCCACCTCGCCCGGCTAATTTTTTGTATTTTTAGTAGAGATGGGGTTTCACCGTGTTAGCCAGGATGGTCTCGATCTCCTGACCTCGTGATCCGCCCACCTCAGCCTCCCAAAGTGCTGGGATTACAGGTGTGAGCCACCGCGCCCAGCCCAATGCATCCCTTCTTAAACAAGGAGTGAGTTTCCTAGCTAGGAATGACTGAGTCTGCATCTTTTTTTACACATCCAGGTTAGCTACACTTATTTTTCTTCTTTTGCCCTCTCTTTTCTCTTGTTATCTCACATTTGCTGCAGGACCACTTCCCATTTGTTGTCTCTTTATTATATAACCGGAGAGTTTCTATCCTTGCAAATCCTTTATATTGTATTTTCCTAAGTCTGGTAACAAGCTGCCTAATTCCAGCCCTTGCTCTACCATTCACTGGGTGAACTTGGCCATTAGTCTCTCATGCCTCAATGTCTTCATCTGTAAGGCAGGCACGATAGCAGTGTCTGCCTCCCAGGCTTGCTGTGTAAATTGAATGAGGTAATCCACATAAGTGTCTAAAACAGACCTAGTAACTGCTGGCTATCATTACAGTTCCCTGCCCTCATATTTAATTGCATTGCTCTTGCTTTCCTGGGTGTATTAATCTGTTATCACGCTGCTGATAAAGGCATACCCAAGACTGGGCAATTTACAAAAAAAAGAGGTTTAATGGACTTACAGTTCTACATGGCTGGGAAGACCTCACAATCATGGCAAAAGGCAAGGAGGAGCAAGTCACGTCTTACATGGATGGCAGCAGGCAAAAAGAGAGCTTGTGCAGGGAAACTCCCGTTTATAAAACCATCAGATCTTGTGAAACTCATTCACTATCATGAGAACAGTGCAGGAAAGACCCACCCCCATAATTCAATCACCTCCCACCCGGTTCCTCCCATGAAACCTGGGAATTGTGGGAGTTACAATTCAAGATGAGATTTGGGTAGGAACACAGCCAAACCATATCATTTCACCCCTGGCCCCTCCCAAATCTGTCCTCACATTTCAAAACCAATCATTGCCTTCCCAACAACTCCCCCAAAGTTTTAACTCATTTCAGCATCAACTCAAAAGTCCATAGTCTAACATCCCATCTGAGACAAAGCAAGTCCCTTCTGCCTATGAGTCTGTAAAATCAAAAGCAAGTTAGTTACTTCCTAGATACAATGGAGGTATAGGTATTGGGTAAACATGTCTCGCATTCCGGTCATGCTGATGCAAGAGTTAGGTTCCCATGGTCTTGGGCAGCTTCGCCTCTGTGGCTTTGCAGGGTACAGCCTCCCTCCTGGCTGCTTTCATGAGCTGGTGTTGAGTGTCTGCAGCTTTTCCAGGTACACAGTGCAAGCTGTCAGTGGATCTACTATTCTGGGGTCTGGAGGACAGTGGCCCTCTTCTTATAGCTCCACTAGGCAGTGCCCCAGTAGGAACTCAGTGTGGGAGCTCCAACCGCACATTTCCCTTCTGCACTGCCCTAGCAGAGGTTCTCCATGAGAGCCCTCCCCCTGCAGCAAACTTCTGCCTGGGCATCCAGACATTTCCATACATCTAGGCAGAGGTTCTCAAACCTCAGTTCTTGACTTCTGTGTACTCTCAGGCTCAACACCATGTGGAAGCTGCCAGGACTTGGGCTTGCACCCTCTAAAGCCATGGCCCGAGTTGTACCTTGGCTTCTTTTAGTCATGGCTGGAGTAGCTGGGACACAGGGCATCAAGTCCCTAGACTGCACACAGCATGGGGACCCTAGGCCTGGCCTAAGAAAACATTTTTTTCCTCCTAGGCCTTCAGGCCTGTGATGGGAGGGGATGCTTTGAAGACCTCTGACATGCCCTGGAGACATTTTCCCCATTGTCTTGGTGATAAACATTCGGCTCCATGTTACTTATGCAAATTTCTACAGCCGGTTTGAATTTCTCCTCAGAAAATGGGATTTTCTTTTCTATTACATTGTAAGGCTGCAAATCTTCCAAACTTTTATACTCCCCTTATAAAACTGAATGCCTTTAACAGCACCCAAGTCACCTCTTGAATGCTTTGCTGCTTAGAAATTTCTTCTGCCAGATACCCTAAATCATCTCTCTCTCAAGTTCAAAGTTCCACAAATCTCTAGGGCAGAGGCAAAATGACACCAGTCTCTTTGCTAAAATATAACAAGTCACATTTGCTCCAGTTCCCAACAAGTTCCTCATCTCCATCTGAGACCACCTCAGCCTGGATTTCATTGTCCATATTATTATCAGCATTTTGGTCAAAGCCATTCAACAAGTCTCTAGGGAGTTCCAAACTTTCCCACATTTTCCTGTCTTCTTCTGAGCCCTCCAAACTGTTCCAGCCTCTGCCTGTTACCAGTTCCAAAGTTGCTTCCACATTTTTGGGTATCTTTTCAGTAGTACTGCACTTCTGGTACCAATTTATTGTATTAGTCCATTTTCATGCTGCTGATAAAGACATACCCAAGCCTGGGCAATTTACAAAAGAAAGAGGTTTAATGGACTTACAGTTCCACATGGCTGGGGAGGCCTCACAATCATGGTGGAAGACAAGGAGGAGCAAGTCACATCTAACATGGATGGCAGCAGGCAAAAAGAGAGCTTGTGCAGGGAAACTCCCATTTTTAAAACAATCAGATCTCATAAAATTCATTCACCATCATAAGAACGGCGCAGGAAAGACCCACCCCCATAATTCAATCACCTCCCACCCAGTTCCTCTCATGACATGAGGGAATTGTGGGAGTTACAATTCAAGATGAGTTTTGGGTGGGGACACAGCCAAACCATATCACTGGGACTGCCTCCTTCAGAAACCTGTGTAATTTTAAATTTGTAACATTCAGCACTGATCACATGAAACAGAATGGGGTGGGTATAACAATCATCATTTTTGTCTATAAAGAGGAATGATGAATAGAGAAAACACAGGCCCAGGCGGATTCTGAGTACAGTCCTGCTGTCCTACTAACTAATTAGCTTGCAACTTTGGGCAAGTTCCTTTACCTCTCTGGATATTTTTCCTTAATTGAAAAATAGGAATAATAATCATTTTCTCTTCCTCATAGGGTCATGATGAGTACTGAGGTGATATATGAGTATGACCTTTTTAAAAATTATAAATTTCTATAAAATATTATTACTGACAAGTATCAGTGGATGGCTACTTTGTACAGAAATGTGATCCTGGAGGCAGATTTACAAAACAAGGGTAAAGATAAGTTCCAGCCCATGAGGAATTTATCGTCTATTTGGTTATATGACAAAAATACATAATACAATTAGTGATCAAAACAATATCAACTTATGCATTTATTGAATAATCCATCAATCTGTATCATCATCCATCCATCCATTCCATTAAACACAGATATGATGAACACTGAATTGTGGGTTAAAGTTAGAAAACAGAAGAGTAATTAATATGGAGGGTAGGGCATGAGGGAGCCAATGGATCTCATCTGTCTCCTTTTGAAATTCTAAACTAATTTAGAAATACACTGGAATCAGAAAGGGATCCAGATATCCCTTGCACTAAGGGTAAAACCAGACGGCAGAATGCCACTTGAACCCAAGACCAGATGGTTTCCTATTCCATTTCTCACGAATTAGGTTCCCCATCTAGACATAAGCTAAGCGGCTCTGGTGTATTTACCAGGTGGAATGCCAAGCAGACCATGCAGGCCAGTGAACAACCTCTCCTTGGAGACAGCTAAGACAGGACAGCTAGGGGCCACTGCTTAGCTTTGCAGGTAACCTGGACTAAGGAACTTGGGCTCCAGCTGACTCTCCAGTCAGACATGTCCTTCCTTCTCTCTTGGGAAGCAGCCAGTAGGACTGGAAGGGTGGGTAGAGAAGGACAGATGGTTTCCTTTCAATACTTTTGAGAAGCAAAATCTTCCTATCATACAAGCAGAAATAGGAAAGTCAAGAAAGAAGAGTTCTACTGACAGGGGCTTGTCATAAAGCATCACAGAGCAAAGGAAGTTAGAGAAGGAAGAAGTCCAAAGGGGCTGACATCTTCCAAGGGCATTTATTGGAGGGCTATGTTTTGAACACAACAAAACATGAAGAATGTCTTAGACTGCACAAGAAAGAAGCAAAGGGGATTAAGTTAAATGGAGGAGATATTATATCTATCTGTTATTCCATAACAGGTCACCTACTAAGTTTATTGTTGAATTGTATACCTCAGTCTTTTTTAAAAATGTAATTATTGTAACCTTCCAATTATTCAAAACACAGTGCTTTTCTTTCACAATTAACATTTTTATCATTGTATTTATTTACTTTAACCTTTTCCTTCATTTATTCAGTCTGTCTCTTGCCAAAAATAGCTTTTCCATTATTCCATGAAATAGGCTTGCCTTTAAGAAAAAAAAAATTAAATGCCTACAGCCTCTATTTTCAGTCTTACT
Source organism: Homo sapiens (assembly GCF_000001405.40). Taxonomy (NCBI): domain Eukaryota; kingdom Metazoa; phylum Chordata; class Mammalia; order Primates; family Hominidae; genus Homo; species Homo sapiens. Next base: position 15,521,526 of record NC_000004.12, read on the forward strand.
TCCAAACAGACTTTCCACCTAGGAGTTTCTGGCATGATGCAAGAGCAAGGCAATAGGTCGGCAGGCGAAGATTGTTTTGCTCATGTACTGTTAATCCATTTTCTTTCTCCTCTCTGGCTATGCTGAAAGTGACTTAGGGACCAGAACTGGATTACAGTCTTCTACTTAGCAGTGTGCCTGGCACATAGAAATACCTCAATAAAAGCGCAAATTGAATGTCATTAAAATGACTTTGCTGCGTGTATTAAAAGAAATTCCTTCTTTTCTATGCCTATCTCTGACTCAGCTGTCTATCCTGCAAAATACTAGCTTTCCTTAGGTTCTGGTTTAGTCCTGGCATCCACATAATGGAAAACCAAGTCAGAGTGCCAAATCAAAAGTTGGCAATTACAGCTAGGAGCAGGGGCTCACACCTGTAATCCCAAAGCTTTGTGAGGCTAATGTGGGAGGTTTGCTTGAGGCCATGAATTTGAGAACAGCCTGGACAACATAGTGAGACCCCCCTACCTCTACAAAAAATAAAAAGGTAACCAGACATGGTGGCACATGCCTGTGGTCCCAGCTACTCAGGAGGCTGAAGCAGGAGGATCACTTGAGCCCAGGAGCTCAAGGTTGTAGTGAGCTATTATCACACCACTGCACGCCAGCTTGGTTGACAGAGCGAGACCTTGTCTCTAAAAAATACATGCATACATGCATACATACATACATACAAGGAAAAATGTTAAGAAAACAAAAGTTGGCATTTCCTTGGGCCCTTAACAGAGCCTTGATGAATTTATGCCTCAGAGCGCTTGGATCTGATGCTAACTTCACCCGGCAGGATCGACCAACACTGATCACCCGTTTGAGTCAAGCCCAGTTGTTCTTTGGTTAGAAATACTATGCTATTGACTCAAATGATGGATCATGCGCCCTCCTATTAGAGAATTTAAGAGTTTTATTTAGAAGGGAGTTGGTATTCAGCCCTGCCTTTTTGAATGTTTTTTTTTTTTAATTACAGAGGGGGAAAAGGGTAGTTTTTAAAAGTGAAATATTCTGTTCCTAATATTGTCTCAATATTAGGATGTTCTTAAATTGAGATGAGACAATTAAAGACAGAAAAATGCAAAAAGGAATTAGCTGTCATGCAAAGAAAAACTGTTAAACTTCCAATAAGAAAGAATACAATTTAATACATCTTAAGAAGTAATTAGTGCAAAAGTAAAAAATTAAAATGCTAGATAGGACATTGCAGGTAAAACATAAACAATATAAAATGCAGTTTGCCTAATCATGATAGCAAAGTAGGGTTAAAGTTGTTGAAAAGCAGGCCCGGCGCAGTGGCTCACACCTATAATCCCAGCACTTTGGGAGGCCGAGGTGGGCAGATCACCTGAGATCAGGAGTTCAAGACCAGCCTGGCCAACATGGTGAAACCCGTCTCTACTAAAAATACAAAAATTAGGTGGGGGTGGTGAGTGGGTGTAATCTCAGCTACTCAGGAGCCTGAGGCAGGAGATTGCTTGAACCTAGGAGGCGAAGGTTGCAGTGAGCAGAGAACATGCCATTGCACTCTAACCTGGGTGACAAGAGCAAAACTCCATCTCAAAAAAAAAAAAAAAGTTGTTGAAAAGCAGTACAAACATCCCTCTTCCTTCTCTCTCTTTCCTTTGTCCTTCCTTCCTTCCTTCCTTCCTTTTTTATTACTTCCATCCTTAACTAAAAAATACTTAACTAAAAGTCTACTATATTCTTAGCTGTGCTAAATTCTGGGAATACAGAGGGAGCAATCTTAGCTTGGCCATAGAGAGACTTTGTGCCTTGGCTGGAAAGACAGAAATGGAAGCAGGTGTTAAAGGCCCTGCAATGTGCAGGAGCCTCCCTTTTTCAGAACTGCATACCCACTGGAGGACTGTGTCATGATTCCAAGCTCCCGCAGAGGTACCACTAGATAAAACTGTCACTTTCCCATCATTGTTCTCACCAGTTTTTCACCAAAGCATTGTTAATCTGCTGCGTTCTAAGCACTTCACTACACAAGACTCTCTTGGTTGCATATGACAGAAACCCATCACAAACTAGCTTAAGCAAAGAGGGAACTTAGTGGCTCAAAAAACTGGAAAGGATCTGGGAATAAATCATAAAATGAAGGAGAACCTTTAGGAAACAAGGTCTCAGGGGCTAGGACCAGGGATTTGATGCCGGCAGGCCTCTCTTCCACCCCTCTTTTCTCTGATTCTTCTTGAATACTGGTGGGCCTCATTCTCTGCAATTGCAGGCATGACAGAATTCTCTACACATAAGGGGATGTGTCCTTTGATAGCCTAAGCTTAACAACTCCAGAAGGAAAGAATCATATTTTTCCCCACAGTTCACATTATCAATACCAAAAAATAAACTCTAGTCAGTGGCAAGTGGATCATTATCCACTAACCTCATGTCCAGAAAACATGGCATGTTTCCAGAAGACGGGAAAGGAGAAATCTTCCCAGGGAAGACCAGAATAATAATTCTAGAATCTACTGCAGGCTCTGAGGTGGACCCAGACTTTGTTGCTATTATTTTTTCAGGGCAAATGTAGAAACTTGTATTTTAAACTTACCAATGATTATTAATTTTCTGTACATTTTTGTTTGTTTGTTTTGAGACACAGCCTCGCTCTGTTGCCCAGGCTGGAGTGCAGTGGTGTAATCTCGGCTCACTGCAACCTCCGCCTCCTGGGTTCAAGCAATTCTCTGCCTCAACCTCCCGAGTAGCTGGGATTATAGGCACCCGCCACCAAACCCGGCTAACTTTTGTATTTTTAGTAGAGACGGGATTTCACCATCTTGGCCAGGCTGGTCTTGAATTCCTGACCTCGTGATCCACCCGCCTTGGCCTCCCAAAGGGCTGGGATTACAGGCATGAGCCACTGCACTCGGCCTTCTGTAAAATTTTTAATTTTTTTTTTTTTTTTTTTTTGAGATGGAGTCTCACTCTGCTGCCCAGGCTGGAGTGCAGTAGCGCAATCTTGGCTCACTGCAAGCTCCGCCTCCCGGGTTCACGCCATTCTCCTGCCTCAGCCTCCCAAGTAGCTGGGACTACAGGTGCCCGCCACCACGCTCGGCTAATTTTTTTGTATTTTCAGTAGAGACGGGGTTTCACCGTGTTAGCCAGGATGGTCTCGATCTCCTGACCTCGTGATCTGCCCGCCTTGGCCTCCCAAAGTGCTGGGATTACAGGCGTGAGCCACCGCACCCGGCTTTAATTTTTTTTTCTCCTTTGGTATGCATCTCTGCACATGGTGAGAACATCAATAGATAATCCATATTCATCACCTCTTAGCATTTCAGTTTTCAGTTGAAGACTAAAAAATCAAATCAATTTTAAAGTTAAAATATACTCTAAATATTATCCCTCCTTGGGAGTAATTGTTGCTATTGTGTTTATGATAGTCATCAATAAATAAGAAAGGAAAACAGACGCAACAAAAAGAAAGACAAGGAACTAGGTGTCTTTCTCCCTAATAGGAAGAGAGTTGAGGTCTTTTGATCCAGTTAGCCCAATGACTACTAAGTGTCCTGAAACACTTTTACACTTGCTTGAGCTGAGTCTAAGGCAGAGACCACTAGCAGGTTTTGGAACTTAGGCTAATGCAGATTTGTGGAAGGAGATGCAAAGTACAGGTGACCTAAGTTGCATTACAAGTAAATAGAACCACTCTACCCACGTTATTTACTCATACCAAGAAGCGTACAAGATGGAACCTGAGAGCCACACCCTGAGTGATCTCATAACTCTGGAACCCCATAGGTAAGAGGCAAGGCAAAGCAAGAATGAGCAGCTGCAAAGCAATTAGAGAGGAATTTTCCATTATGTCTGTGGTTTGAAGTCTAGTTGTACATGTATTTGTGAGGTGGAAATTTTTAATTAATCCAGGTAATCTGGGTTATAAAACACAGAGTGGTCACATGGAGATTAAAAACTAATAATACTAATGCAGTTTATAATTGAATACTTATACCTGAATGAAAGAGAAAAAAAAAATGGCCCTCCATTGTTGCAGTCTGAAGTGTAGGGATATTAATGACCAGATCTGATCTCTGAAAGGCCACCCAGGGCTTTCATAAGATACAAAAGACCAGTGGAAGCTGATCCATGTCCCAGTGGTTTTTCCTTCTATAAATCCAAGTGAAGATTCTTGGAAGAAATTGTTGTTACTGTGTTCATAATAGTTCTCGATATATAAGAAAGGGAACAGATACAACAAAGAGAAAAGGAACTAGAGGTCTTTCTCTCTAATAGTATGGGAGTTGTGGTCTTTTGGGCAGTCTAGCCCAGTGGCTGCAAGGAGTCCTGGAAGCTTTTTATACTTGGTTGGGCTAAGCAAAAAGCAGAGACCACCAGCAATTATTGGAATGTGGGGTAATGCAGATTTGGGAAATACAGCATATTCCAGAAAGTACTGCAATATAGTCAATTCATCCTGATTTGAGCCTAAAATATTTGTAAGCACATTCCAGTTTTCAAGGGCATTTTTAAAATAAAACAATCTGTTCAAAACTTATAATCATAGGACTCTAATGCTGGAATCCCCTCTTCTGGGCTGGGCTTCCTACCTCCCTCTGCACATCCCAGACTTCATGCTTTTAGATCCTAGGGCTGTCTTCCCTTCTAAATTGATTGCTGCTTGAAGACAGGCTGTATCACACTGTAGACATCCATTAATCTTTGTTGAGTAAATGAGATGATGCGTGTGAAATGCCTGATATGATACCTAGTGATCTACGAAATGCTAATTTAATCTTTTTCCTTAGCCTCCTATTTCTACACATGAAAAATTAGAGGCCCAGAGATGTATAGTGACTTGCCCAAGGTCTCAGAGCAAGTTCAAGGTAGAGCCAGGCCTAGAATCCAAGTCTCCTAGCCCAGATCTAGCATGTTTACATAACACCATGCAAAAGAATTAAATGAAGAGTTTGCTGAACATGTTACCCATAATTTAGGGAGAATAAAAGCTTCTTTTCTGATTAGAATTTTTACACTTTTCCTTTAAGCTCATGATTTGTAAATAATTCACTTATGCCACATTATCATTATCATACATTATCATTTTCTAGATAAATAGCTCATCTCTGCAAAAAGGAAGGATCAAGTGATGTCTCAACCACCATATCCTTACTATAGTCAGTCTTTATAATGAGAAAAAATAAAGGCACAAAATCAAAGATGTCTCCTCTCCACCCTTGAGCTCCCACCCACAGTAGCTGTAGTAATCAAAGTAAATATCTTGAGGATTTTAAGGAAGAAAAGCAAAGAGATGTATCTGATACATTATATACCAAACGATCCAAGACATTCCTATTGGAGACTTCTGTTTCTGTTTTCTACACACTTGGCTCAGCTGCACAGCCCCCACTCTTATTTTGCAAACCAACATCCCTCCTCCCCATGAAGACTGAGTGCCAGCATGATGCTCAGTTAGGTAGATGTCCCTTGCTGCTATCTACAAAATGAAGCCTTCTCCACATGTTTTAAAATGTAAATACATGGGGTATGTCCAGGATCCAAATAATGATCGGTTTGAACTAGAATCTATGCTCCTCCCAGTAAAAGAATTTCAAGGTCACCAGCTACAAAACCCAAGATTCCAAGAAACAAGGTAGTCTGCATGAAAAAGATTAGAACTACAACTTAGGCAAGTAATGAAACCTAAAAGACTTAGGAAAGCAAGATTGAAATGGTTTCTTTTCTAACTCCCAGTCTTTCATTTTGCTGTTCAAATATTCAAAAAAGAGCTGGCCTCTAAAACCTGGAAATAAGTAATCAAGCATTTTTCACCTGACTAGTCCAGGATAGGAGGTATTTTGCATCTGACCGTTTTCCCATTGTGGATTAGAGAATCATTATCTAGTAAGTGCTTTAACTGTGTTCTGTCTACACTCTGCTTTCCTTGGCAGGCTGTAAAATACGTTCACAGTAGTCAGCATGTGATCAGATCTGGAGACCCTCCTGGAAATTTCCAACTGGACATTGATATTTCAGGGTTAATCTTCACTCATCATCCCTGTTTTAGCCGAGAGCATGTTTTGGCAGCCAAGCTGGCCCAGTTATATGACCAGTACCTTGCAAGACACCAGAGAAACAAGGCGAAATTTCTTACTGATAAGGTACATGTGATTTCTTCCATAATGATTGTCAATGGAGTTGGTTCTTCCAATGAGCCCAAACAATGAAAATTTCTAACAGCAAAATGTTCATGCCCCTCTTTCACATGTTTCCTCGGTTTAGGATGTGTGATACATTATCCAGCTAGAGACAAAAGGGAAAGATAGAGTTGGTATACATGTGATGTGTACAAATTTATTGGCACACACTCGCCCTAAACAGAAGACTTTCTGTAAACAGTACAGCACCCACCAGAAGTGGGTGTTAGGTGGAAGATATGTGGCTATTACTTGCTTCCGTGATCTCAGAACCTGAGAAAATTGGTGGCTTGAGAATATCTGTCCTTAGAAACATTCTCATCTTGATATTTATTACCCCATCGTGTAGCACTTAAACACAAGTCAGTGTTTCAACTGATGCTCAAAGGAATGGCTAAGCATTTGGATTTATTCCCAATGTGACACTATCCCATGGGATTTTTGTGGGTAATTTTGACTATAGGCAATTTTGGTCTCACGCCCTGACTTTAAAACCTTACTGCCCAAAGAAGAGATAACTTCACAATATCTCGTTTTACGAGTCTGTAATTTTATAGTTTCTTTATATCACAAGAATACCATCATATGTCCTGGACCCAGACAAACATGCTTTTAGCTTTGGAAGAAAACTTGGTTCTAAGATATACACATAAAAGTAATATTTTCATAAGCAGCTTGATTTTCTGGGCCATGGAACAAGGATGGACATACACTATGCTTTACTAATCCAGTTTCTTCAAGAACAGATGAAACAGTTCTCCATCATAATTCATTTATGTGAAAGTCTGGAGACAGCCAGATGCTTGAACATCCGTTCCATTCACAGACTGATGGCACCATTTTGCCCAGGAGAAGTGGGTGGGTCCAGTTGCACTGCAGTAGGGAATAGAGTTTGTAACCCAAAACTTGTATCCATGTCGTTTTAAGCTCCAAGCTTTAAGAAATGCTGTTCAGACTGGCCTTGATCCAGAAAAACCTCATCAGTCTCTCGATACCATCCAAAAAACCATCAATGAGTATAAATCTGAAATTCGGTGAGTAAAGTTTGTTAAGTGTAACTACTTTTTTTCCCGTTAGATGTGCACTTGTTAGAGTTTATTTTTCCAGATACTTTTTCTGAATGCAATGAATACATGTGAAATTATGCCATATAAAACAATCAAATACATCTATCATATTAACACAGTATTTGAAGTCCAATAATGTGAATGAGGATGTAAGGAAATGGTCACTCTGCAGGTGTAAGGGAAAAGTGCTACAGCTACCGCTTCTGAGAGCAGCTTGGCCCCAACTCATAGAATGTTGAAGAAGCTCATCAGTTTGGACCCAGCAATTCTGATTCAGATACAAGATGTTCTTTAAGGAGCTATGTGTGCATATGTACATGGGGACATGTGCAAAGATATGCACAGCATCATTCAAGAGTAAGACAGACTGGACACTGTGGCTCATGCCTGTAATCCCAGCACTTTGGGATGCCAAGGTGAGGACAGTTTGAAGCCAGGAGTTTGAGACTAGCCTGTACAAAAAGTTTAAAAAATTAGCTGAGTATAGTAGTATGTGCATGTAGTCCCAACTACTCGGAAGGCTGAGGAAGGAGGATCGCTTGAGCCCAAGAGTTTGAGGCTGCAGTGAGCTAGGATTGCACCATTGCACTCCAGCCTGGGTAACAGAGTGAGACCTTGACTCAAAAAAAAAAAAAGAAAAAAGGAAGCCACTAGAAATAACCCAGTAGCAGAGTAAACCCATCTTGATATACGCTTACAGTGAATTTCTGTACCACAGTTAAAATGACTGACTCATATCTGCAGGTATCAACATGGATAAGGAATCATATCATGTATACCATTCTGCAACTTGCTTCTTTATATACAATGCATCTTAGACATTTTCCTGTTACAGTGCATGTAGATTTATATCATGCTTTAAAGGCTGGAATTATGTAGATTTATTGTAGTTTGTATAATTCTCAACTGATACGCATTTGCATTTTTATTCTATTTTTTATTATTTAAATTCTACTGTAATTCTACTGTAATTTAAATTCCTAAATATTATATTTGTGTACCTGTATGAGTACTTCCACAGAACAAATCCTTAGAACAGGAAATAATAAATCGAGGCTTTTTTTTTTTTAAGGTATATCTCTCCATTTATTTATTTAGGTCTTTTTATTTTTTTATTTATTTTTTAAATTTTATTTTTTTTAATTTTATTATTATTAAGTTTTAGGGTACATGTGCACAACGTGCAGGTTTGTTACATACGCATTTCTTTTTTATTTTTATTTTTTTTTTGAGACGGAGTCTCACTCTGTCGCCCAGGCTGGAGTGCAGTGGTGCGATTTCGGCTCACTGCAAGCTCCGCCTCCCGGGTTCACGCCATTCTCCCGCCTCAGCCTCCCGAGTAGCTGGGACTACAGGCGCCCGCCACTACGCCAGGCTAATTTTTTGTATTTTTAGTAGAGACGGCGTTTCACCGCGTTAGCCAAGATGGTCTAGATCTCCTGACCTCGTGATCTGCCCGCCTTGGCCTCCCAAAGTGCTGGGATTACAGGCGTGAGCCACCGCGCCCGGCCAGAGGCATTTCAATGTATACTTTTCTTTTTGCAATTTAGCTATGAGTTGGAAATTCTTCCAGCAAAGTAGAAATTAGTGAAGTTTGTAACCTATAATTGCAAAAATATGGAGTATATTTTTAAATAAAAATTATTTTTTATATTAAAAGGAAAACATATTGCAGTCTCCTTGTGAGAATAATTTTTGTTTTGGCATACATTAAGAAAAAAGTGACAAAAAGCTATTCTGAAAGCAATTGTGATTTTATATGGAACTGTCTTTATTGGTCACTATTTGAAAAACATCAGAAATACGTGTGAGATCTAGAGACAATGCCCAGCAGAGTCATGGACAGCAGACCCATTACAATAATTCTGTGCCCTTGGAGATGAAAGTCTTTGAGATTTAGCATTTCTGACCCAGTAAAAGAGATTTCCATCCCTTGCTGACTTTTCACTAGGTGGTAAAACAATTTCTAAGCAGATGGTCTATTGCTGGATGTTTCATCACATGGATCCATTTCCTCAAGCCCCCTGGGATCTGATCAGCCACCCCCGAGAACTCCCCACCTCAAGCATCTGCTGAGCCCTCCACTGGTGCAGTTAACCCGGGCCAGCACCATAAAGCATTTTCCATTTTATTTTCCATAGCGGCATCATGACTACATTCCTTATCCTCTGAACGGAAACCAGGATGTAGAAGGAAGAAAACATGAATGGTCATGCAACATAGGAATATTTTACTTAACCTCTCTGTAGGGTCTTTGCCCTCAGATGTGCTCAGTCTTGAACACATAAAAATTCTATGACCCCAAGTCCCCATCCAGCTACTACTTTATCTCTATATTTCCTTTAACAGCCAAACACCAGGAAAACATTTGCTATTCATACTATCTCCGCTCTCTCCCATTTCCAAACCATCCTATCTCACTCCTGTGCCCAACTTTCCTCTGAAGCAAATCTTGCCACAGCCCCTGGGGACCTCCACCTGGGAAAGTGGAATGGAACCTCTCAGCCTGCTCAGTGCTTGAACGCAGACACCATCCCCACGCATTGCCTGTCAGGACAGCCTGCATCTCCACACACCACCCTCTCCTGGGTGTCCTCGTCCCTTTCCAGCCATTTGTCCTTCTCATCATTCTTTGACCATCATTCTCCTCTGTCCAGCTTATACGTGTTCCGAGTCTCAGGTGTTACTGTTGTTTTCTTTTTACCCCCTTTTTTAAATTGCATTTTCTCCTGAAATGAATCCACTTTGTGGCTTTAAACATCACCCAGATGCCAGTGGCTCCCAAAGTTTCATTTCTGAGCAGGAGTCCACTGCACCGTCCAGACCCCATCGATATCAGATTTCAGAAGACTGTTCCTGACTCCCTAATCAAAATTGCCTTTCCCTCTTCCTCCCCAGCTCTGGTCACAAATTTTAATTAAATATTATTTTGTAATTTTCTGCTTCTTTAGCTCGTATGCAAATTTTTCTTGCTAAGAGCTCTTTTTAGCATTTCTGGGAAACTATCTTTTTTTTAGATACTAAAAAAGAAAGTAGAAAATATATCAGAAAGCCTGAAGATGTCATGTAACTCAGTAAAATAATTTTATATTGTGGTTTTTAAAACTGAAGCAGGGGTGATAACAGCTAAAGGCATAGGAGACGAACTGACCACCTGATGGTGACAGATAAGATTTGTAGGCCTCTTACTTGGTATCGGGCAAGGTTCTAAGCACATTATGCGGATTAGCTCATTAACTCCTCCAAGCAACCCAGTGCAGTCAACTCCTACCATACCCATTTTACAGATGTGAGCCAGCAAAGGGAAGTAGCTTACCCAATCCAGCTAGTAAATAGTAGAGCCAAGATTCAAACCTGTGTAGTCTGGTTGCAACAACTGCACCCTTAACCACAATGCTTTACTGGTCCTCAAAGAGAATATTTCTTATTCTAGTTTGTTGCTTTTTTGCTTTTCTAAGGGCTTCAGAAAGTCCTAGATCTTGACTACCTAACCACTATCATTTTCTGCCATCTTCCTTTTCTACAGCTACCAGTTGATCTACTAGAAACCTAGACCCCCTTATTTCTCTGTACCACTAAGTCATCACACGTACAACCTCCAGACTTAGGCCTGCCTTCTGGAGGTCATGAGGTGCTAATTTGTGAAATGCTACATCCTTGGTTCCTCATGATACTTTCTTAGACAAACCTCACACTGATATCATTTATGTATGTGTCCGTCCCCTGAGCTAAACTATAAACTCCCTGAGGATGGACATATGGAGATATCTTCTGTCTCTTAGACACTTCTAAATCCCGTGGAATGACTCATGGCACTTGTTCAAAAATTTAGTAATTGTCTCATTATGCAACAAAATGCATTTGGTATCTAAACATGGCTATCATTTGTAAAAAGAACTTAAAGTAAGGTATTAAATAAAGATGAAACCATTTGCAAATGATGCCTCTTCAGATCAAGCCAAAAATATTGGTAATCTAGTGAATATTGAAAATCTCCAAGGCATGCAATAACAATACTTCATCTCCTCAGTGTGGAACTTGTGATTTGTGTTAACACAGGAAGACTTTACATGTATTTGTTGCTAACTAGGACAGCAGCATACTTTGCTGTGTTTATAATAATTTAGTCCATGAGAACTGCCTTTGTTTTCTTACCTTCAAAGGTGACTATTTGTTGAAGGATGCATAGTTTTAATACAAATTTTTTAAGTACTTAAAGTCAGATCTGCCTAAAGAGAACAAAATCAAGTAAATCTCTCAAGACAGGTTGACATCCTATTGTCTTTACATTCACATTTGTATTTAGTTTTCTGTACTTGTTTCAAAATACGGTAGCTATCAAATTGAATATACAATCACTGTAGCATTATTAATTTCTTTTGCAAACACACCTGACTTTTTAATATATACTCATGTGTTATTATATCTTGCAGACAAACAAGAAAATTCCGTGATGCTGAACAAGAAAAAGATAGAACATTGCTTAAGACTATCATAAAAGTTTGGAAAGAGATGAAATCCCTTCGAGAGTTCCAGAGATTTACAAATACTCCCTTGAAACTTGTTTTGAGAAAGTAGGCTTTTTTGAAAAATTATTTTATTGGGCTATATCATACATTAAGAAAAATGTATAAAACATGGATACAGTTTTAAAAGTAATTACAAACAAATATGCATGTAACCACTTCCCAGGTTAAGAAATAGAACATTGCATACCTGAGCAGCCCCTCCCAAATAACATTCTCCTCAATCCCCAAAATAACAACTACCTAGACTTTTGTGATCATTGTTTTCTTGCTTTTATACTTTTGCCAACTATGTGCAATCTCTAAGAATATATAGTTTAATATTGCCTGTATTTGACTTATACATAACTGAAAGTATGTTGTGTGTATTCTTTAGGGAATACATACATGCTTCTTTTCTTCAGTACTGTGTTTGTGAGATTCATCTACTTGACAGCACATAGCTGTAGTTAGATTTCTTTGCTTTACAATACTTCATTATATGAATATAGCCAAACTTGTCCATTTCTGTTGATGGGCATTTGAGTTTATTCCATTTTCAACTGTTACAGAAACCACTTCTGTACTTTTGGCATTTTTGTACTTGTCTTTTAGGGTACATGTGCCCAAGATTTCATTTCAACTTTACATTGCTGATTCCAAACGTATTCCAGAAGTTGTGCTGATTCATGCCTTCATGGGGGTTCTCGTAGGTGCTTATCACCCATATCATGCCTATCACTTGGTGGTGTTAATTAACATTTTGCTGACCTGCTGACATGTTTTAATTTATATTTTCCTGACTATTCATGAAGGTGAGCATTTTTTCATACATGCATTGACTATTTGGATTTCCTCTTTTGTGAGGTGTCTCTTCAAGGCTTTGGTCACTTTTTGGACTGGATTATTTATCTTGTTATCTTTTTTGGTAATTTGTAGGCATTCTGCATATAACATGGGAATTTGTTAGTGGTGTGTATTGCAGATATCCTCTCCTACTCATTAGTTGTCTTTTTACTCTCTTTTTGTTGCTTTTTGATGGATACAAATTCTTAACTTTAAAAAGATAAAATACATTAGTTTTTTCTTTTACTGTTGGTGCTTTTTAAATGCTTCCCCTGAGTCATATAGATATTCTATGATATTGTCTCCTATAACCTTTATAATTTTAGCTTTCACATTTCATCTTTAATTTATTTGGAATTGACCTTCATTTGTGGTGTGGAGAAAGTAAGCTTTGATAATATTTCTGCTACCTAATTCACTAGACTTTTATATATGCTTAAGAGTACAGCTTATCACAACAAGAGCATCTATGCTGCTGGTGTTGGTCCCTTTCTGATTGTTTCACCTGGATAAGTGTTGTACCCATATACTGACACAAATAGTAACAAATGTGGGCAGTTATCAGACCTATTGCTTTGAAAACAGCCATATTACAGCCAAAGATAGCTACAAATTGTAAGTTTTCTTTGGCTGTAATTATAAAATTGAAAGAAAAAAAAAGCTTAGTTTTCAGGACAAGTATAAGACTGTGTGATCTTTGAGACTAGGGACCCTGTTGTCGTTGTATATCTGGTCCCTACCAGAGCACCTGCCACTTAGTATCTGCTCAGTTAATGTTGGTTAACAATAGTAACAAATTTAGGCAGTTATCTGACACATTGCTTTGAAAACAGCCATATTTCAGCCAAAGATAGCTGCAAATTGTAATTTTTCTTTAGCTGTAATTATAAAATTGAAAAAAAAAAGGTTAGTTTTCAGGACAAGTGTAAGACTGTGTGATCTTTGAGAGCAGGGACCCTATTGCCATTGTATATTTGGTCCCTACAAGAGCACCTGCCACTTAGTATCTGCTCAGTTAATATTGGTTAACAAATTCAAATATGCTACCCCACAAAAATAATGGCTGTCTCCCAGAAATTCCAGTGTTTGTGCTTTCGAATTCCATCTCCTAGGCTGAGCCTCCCACAGAAGCAGTACAGAAATCCTTGCCAGATTATTTTCTCTCTCCCTCCCTCCCATCATCCCTGCTGCTAACTCTCCCTCCATCCCGCCCATCATCCCTGCTGCTAACTCTCCCTCCATCCCTCCCCTCCTTCTTTTTGAGTTTATAGGGTAAACTAAATTTATAGGCATTTTACCCATAAGGTCATAACACTCCTTCCCCTGATAAGTGGCTATCTTCCAAATTCTTTTGGAGTACCCTTTTTTCACATTCTTGATTCATCTAGCCACCTTATAATAAAGCATAGTTTTTCCCACAAAAAAAAAACTATTCAAGTTTATTCATGCTTTTGAATAACAATGAGAAAAGTGAATGGTTTTCTGTATATCAGAGATGGAACATAATTTTGAAGCCGAATTCCCCCTGGTGTTTATAAATTTCGGGTACCACTGTGCATCCAAAGTGACTTATTTGGTAGTCATCCTAGAGAGCTGCAAGAGCTTGTGCCTTGGGGGACTGTAAACTGCTTAAACTCCAGGCGATATGTGTCCATAAGCAAATATTTGTCAGCTTTATGCACTTGTCTAAGTTTATGTAAAATGGATTACGAAGCTTAACTGCCTTGGGGGAAATAGTGCAGTCAGTATTCGGCACCATCTCCAAAGTGCTGGGTGGGATGGATGAAGTCACCACACATTTGCCGCCATCTACCAGGAGAGCCATGCTGTTCATCAACATGTTAAGGGCTCTGAAAAGATGACCAGCAAGGAACCTTTCACACTTATTTAATCCAGTGTTAATATGGCCACAATATCTTTTCCTGGTGGTACATCTCACAGAACTAATGTCCTACAGAACACACTGTGGGAAACGGTGGTTTGAACTGGGCTGATCTCCTGGTGGAGTATAAGCAAAATCATCAAAGAAAAACCCAAATCCTCCATCCAAAGTCAAAAAAGTGGTTTCACCATCATTCTCAGCAAACTATCACAAGGACAGAAAACCAAACACCGCATGTTCTCACTCACAGGTGGGAATTGAACAATGAGAACACGTGGACACAGGGCGGGGAACATCACACACCAGGGCCTGTCGGGGGTGGGAGGGTTGGGGGAGGGATAGCATTAGGAGAAATACCTAATGTAGATGATGGGTTGATGCATGCAGTAAACCAACATGGCACATGTATACCTATGTATCAAACCTGCATGTTGTGCACATGTACCCTAGAACTTAAAGTATAATTTTAAAAAATTAAAATTAAAATTTTTTAAAAAGTGGTTTCAGGGACTCAGTAGCAACAAAATGAAGCAGTTCCTCAGAGACTTGAAGAAGTCATAAAATAACTAATGAAATTTCCACCACTATCAGCTGAGAACTTACAGGCCCCATGTCAGCACACCACACAGATCATTTAACACAGAGAGGCATGGCTGCTCAGTGTTCAGTGGGTTGGGCTCATATTCAGCCCTTCCACTCACCAGCTGTGTGTTCTTGGGAACTTACTTAACTTCTATGTGCCTCTGTCATCTCATGTATACGATGTGGATAATAATAGCATCTGCCTCACAGGATTGTGAGTTTACATGTGCGACATTTTTAGAAGAGGAACTGGCACATAGCAAGTCCAATATAAGTATTTGCTGTTATTATTGCTCTCTTACTTAATTTCCAGAAATAACCAAGGGACTACAAATTATTTTAAAGGGAAAAAGCTGACCAGAAAGCAGATGAAGAAGCATATGAAGCAGAAATTCAAGCTGAAATAAGTGAACTGTTAGAAGAGCACACGGAGGAGTACGCACAGAAGATGGAAGAATACAGAACGTCGTTACAACAGTGGAAGGCCTGGAGGAAAGTGCAAGTGTGTAAACAAACACTCAGCCTGGAATAGGGCTGGCCAGGAAGTGTCTGGGAGGGCAGCCTCCAGTACAGGAGTGGGGAAACCAGACTGGCAGACTAGGGTATCCTGTGGCTCCCTCTGTCTCTTCCCCGTCCCCTGGCTAAGGGATAAAAGGATGAATGAATTGACTGGCTAATGCATTTGCTTAAAAAGCCACCCAGCTGACTGATACCAGAGCCAGCTGTGTCCACAGAGAATGCTATGGTAGCACTCTGTGCCTATTTAAGTAATAATGTAGTAATCACTAATGCATGTGTCCAGCACTGTGCTGAGTATCTTACATGCATTATTCCATTAAATGTAGGGATTGATGCTTCTGAGTTTCCTTCAGAAAATTATATAACTTTATGCACATGACCCTACAAAACTGAGTCCAAGGGCAACAAATAATAGATCAGGTGGGCCTGCAATGCTCACTGTGCTTACATGCCTTATTTTAATATTTCAAGATGTGTACTTCGCCTTGAAAACCAAAATTAATGATCACATGAATACCTACCATTTTTTAAGCTCTTTCCAGGGACTAGGCTGTATGACAAATGCTTTTTAGGCATTTCAACAGTCTCATTTCAACAGCCCTGGGAGAAATTTCCTGGGCTCCATTCTGTAGATGAAAAAACTGAGGCACAGAGAGGTCAGGTGGCTTAGTGACCTGCCTGATTACACACTTCTGGTTGAAATGGGGCTGGGGTTTGTATCCAGGTCCATCTGGCTATGAAGACTGTGCTCTTAAATGAAATTCCAAAATTCCTGTTTGATATCATGTTGCCTCTAACTCAACAGAGGGCCAAGAAGAAGAAAAGGAAACAAGCAGCAGAAGAACATCCCGGTGATGAGATTGCAGAGCCGTATCCCGAGGAGGACCTTGTGAAGCCCAGCCCTCCAGAGCCCACTGATCGGGCAGTGATAGAGCAGGAGGTGAGGGAGAGAGCAGCCCAGAGCAGGAGGAGGCCTTGGGAGCCCACGCTGGTCCCGGAGCTAAGCCTGGCAGGAAGCGTAACACCCAATGACCAGTGCCCCAGGTGAGTGGATGCTCCGACCGTAAATGAGGCTGACATCTGATACACATGTTCACGTGGGCACATGCACACACACATGCACGACATGGGGAGTGTACACTTACTGACCTACACGAGCATCAGGAGTATCATTAACTCTAAATGAATATTAGGTTGAACCACATGAAATTGCTGACATTTGCCCACTTTAGGTGATTTCATATGATTCACCTACCTCATGCATCTGCACTGGCCACTCAGGAGCACACTGGAAAGCTCCCTGTAGGAGAAGCATCCCAGTTGCAAATCTCTGCCTGCTCTTCACAGTGGCTGTCTGTGTGGCTTTTGATTTGAGTCCCTTATCTGTAACCTCAATGAGTCCTTCAGTCCACTGGTAGCATGTCCCACCTTTCTGGCACAGGCACGGATGCCTTTCCTTGCCCCTTCCTTGATTTCAGCTGCTCCAGGGATCAGCTTTTCTCCTTGAAGACCCCCCAGAAAGTTGTGGGTGGTATTTAAGTCAGGCCATCTGAAGCACACCCTCCAGATATGATAAAAATACATGTCTAGTCATTCTCACTTGATGCCTAAGAGAAACATCATTTGATTTATATACATTTGTACATATAATAATTCATAAACATACATTTGTAAGTTCATCTTTTTAAAAATTATAACATAATAAAAATATTTTTATGTTTCCTATTTATTCTTTCCTTCACTGAATAGCCATGGTTCTCAAAGTATAGCCCCAGAATCAGCAGCATCAGCATCACTGAGGACTTGTTAGAAACATAAACTCAGGCCAGGCATGGTGGCTCATGCCTGTAACCTCAGCACTTTGGGAGGCTGAGGCAGGAGGATCGCTTGAGGCCAGGAGTTGGAGACCAGCCTGGGGAACAAAATGAGACCTCACCTCTATTGAATAAATAAATAAATACCCCAAACATTTTTAATACCTCACATTGAAATAAATATGTTTAAGAAAGATTAATAAAAACTAGCCAGATAATTAAAGTCAACCAACTAAACAGAAATTTAAAAAATAATTTTAAAAAAGAAAGAAATGCAAGCTCACAAGTTCTACCTGAGACTTACTGAACCTGAAACCCTGAGGTGGGGCCTAGAAAACTGTTCTCACAAGGTCTCCAAGTGATTCTGATGCATGTTATGGTATATCATCATTAATTAAAGGGAGTCCATTAAAATCATCGATACCACAAAATCCCAGGCTTAGTTCTCCAGTAAATAGAAGATCTATCATGAATACAGGGACTGTTGTACACTGGAATCTTCAATATCCCAACGTGAAAAATGAGAATTCAAATAAAGTCAGTCAGCCTCCGAGTTCATTAAAACGTGGGAGTTAATTAGGATGTCATTATAAGACTTCTCACAGTCTTGGTTTCAAACTTCTGCTAATGTTCTAATGATTGATTTATTCTAATGATTGATTTATTTTAAAATTATAGCTTTTTGTGCATTTTCATGTGTTCCCTCAACTTCACATATTAAGATATTATACATAAACTATTCCCCTGCACTAAGTAAGCAATTTTCAAGGCACAAGTACCATACCCTATAATTTTAATTTTGACATGAATGTTCAAAATATGTGATGACACAGCATGCTTTCTAAAAGGAAAATTTGGGCTTGATTTGGTAATCTTTTATGAGTGGAGTCTAAGTCTTCAGTGTCTTGGATACTTCTTGCAAATTTGCTGTGAAGTGTCCTTTATTAAAAAAATGCTGAAGTAATTTGAGCTATTTCATCTAGAATAAGTCTAAATTATAGACATGTAAAAAGTTAAAACTACCACCCCCTTTAATTACTAGAGAATTTCTGTTTGGAATGATGAAGAAGCTCTGAAGGTGGATAGTGGTGATGGTTAGACAACATAGTAATTGTATGTAATGCCACTGAATCATACACTTAAAAATGGTTAAAGTGATAAACATTACGTTATGTTATATATATTTTCCACAATGGAACAATTTTTAATAAACTACCACCCCTCCCCCAAAAAAAACCTAAGCTTGTTTCAAATTTTGATGCCCTAACCTTTTCCTTTCCTCAATTAGCTTGAATTGCTATTGACTTAACCAATAACTGGCATTTTTTGGTGGATGTCTATACACATATGTACAATAAAATTAAAGACCAATGGGAGGTTGTTTTTTTTTTTAACTTTCTGATTCAAATTATCTTTAAAAATAAGGAATATTTATTAATACTCTGCATCCATTGAACATTCACTTACTGTCTGAAAATGTTGAGAAAAACTTGGTATCTTGGAAAAATGAACTCGATCTAACTGCTACAATATGCTGCTGTATTTTTAGAATAAAACTTCTTACTCAAATATAAATCATTATTATCCCCTTTGTCTTGAATTTATTCCATTTAACAAGGAATATGTGAATTTAAAACTTTGGGACACAAATGTAAAGCTTGCCTGAAAAACCTGAGGAGACTGTAGCACAACAATGAATGGACTCTAGTTCTTAAATCCTCTGTGCCCTTTTCAGTGTCTGTTAATGGCTTCTCCATAAATTCCATACTACTCTGCAAGACCTGTGGCTCCTCTGGTTAAATGAGGGCTGACATGATTGGGAGAGTTGCCTGCAGTGTGTCTTGTTCTGTTCAGTTCTTATTTATCATATATTTTGGTGATCTTAGTAAATTATTACTAACTCCACCTGTGAATGGTCTCCTTTTGCAGAGCGGAGGTCTCGAGAAGGGAGGATGTAAAGAAGCGCTCAGTGTACTTAAAAGTGCTGTTCAACAACAAGGAGGTGTCCAGGACAGTCAGTCGGCCACTAGGAGCAGACTTCCGAGTTCACTTTGGGCAGATTTTCAATTTGCAAATAGTCAACTGGCCGGAGAGTTTAACACTTCAGGTACACATTTTAATTATAGTTACTGGCCGGGCACTGTGGCTCATGCCTGTACTTTGGGAGGCCAAGGTGGGCAGATCACTTAAGGCCAGGAGTTCGAGACCAGCCTGGCCAACATGGCAAAACCACATCTCTACTGTAAATACAAAAAAAAAAAATTAGCCAAGTGTGCTGGCGGGTGCCTGTAATCCCAGCTACTCGGGAGGCTGAGGCAGGAGAATCTCTTGAACCCAGGAGGTGGAGGTTGCATTGAGCTGAGATCATGCCACTGTACTCCAGCCTAGGCGACAGAGTGTGACTCTGTCTCAAAACAATAGTAATAATAATTATTATTATTATTATAGTTACTGCCCCAATAATTTTTTGTTCATTACAGCTTTGAGATGATTTTAAATCATCCATTGGTTATAAATATGTCTCGATAGAGTCTCAAGCCTCTTCCTTGGCACATCTGTTCTTAAAGTCTTGGAAGAAAGAGATCTGTTCCCCAACTCACCTACTGAAAATGCTGGCAGAATAACTCTGGCCACAGTGCTCTGGAGTGTCTGCCTTGAGATGGGAGAGGGGTGCTGAAGGGGGTGGGGCACAGGGAGATCTCCAGCTCATTCATTGAAGACATATTTCAACATCACCCTCTACAAGGACTCTAGTGTAATATAACAGAGAAATCAATTATGCCGCAATCATGGGAGGTTATGATGTGGGAAAGATACAGGTGCTAGGATCCCCCAAAAATTAATAAATCTCCTCACTAGCCTAAATCCCACCATTAGCAATATATTTATTTGAGTCTATTTTAGTTTCCTGGGGAAACTAAACTATAACAAGGAACCACTAACTTGGTGGCTTCAAAACAACAGAAATGTGTTTACTCACAGTTCTGGAGGCCTAAAGTCTGAAATCAAGGCGTCAGTAGGGCCATACTCCCTCCAAAAGCTCTAGAGGAGTATCTTTCCCTGCCTCTTCCAGCTCCTCCTGGCACTTAGAGTTCCTTGGTTTGTGTTAGCGTAACTCTAATCTCTGCTTCCATCTTCACATAGCCTTCTCTGTGTCTCTCTCTGTGGGTCCTCTTTTGTCGCTTATAAGAACACTCTTATTGGATTTAGGGCCCACCCTAATCTAATATGATCTTATCTTCATCCTTAACTAATGATATCTGCAAAGACCCCATTTCCAAATTAGGTCGCATTCTGAGTTTCTGGGCGGACATCAATATGTGGAGGATGCTATTTAACCCATTACAGTGTCTTCAGTCTTGCTTGTTCTTTCGGTGACTCTTCTCCCACAATGCTAACAGGTCTCTCTTATGATCCTAACAGGCTTGTTAACTAGGATTGCAGCTTTGTGGCATGCATGCCCTTGTTTCCCCACCACCACCCAGGCAGAAATCACAGATCCTCATCCATCACTTAGGCAGAAATTTCTCACTCCCCTCCACCACCCTTGCCAGAAAGCAATAATTGATGGTGCTATTTTTGTTGTGTTTTCCCACTGAGCCTGAATATAATTTTAGAACTCTTCTCAATACAGTACTTCAGGTAGCCACTACCTATTCCTAGTGAGTATGACTGACAAAGTCTGCAGGTACCATCATGGCTGTATAATTAATAAAATATTTACATACTCTGTACTGACTGATAAATAGCTGCTGCCCTGACCTTCCCAGATGCCATCCTGGCCACATAAGCCCCACTTCAAGGACCCCCTGGACCTTACCACAATTGACCAATTAAAGGGGGTGGCTGACCAAGGCCAGCGCCTCCAGGGTCCTGTTCCCAAGCTGTGGTGGGCAGCTCTTCTAATGAACCCAGGAGGTGGGTTCAATACTGTGTATTGTTCAGCATTTTGAATATCAAGCCCCGCCTAGATCTCAGTAGTTAAAAACCTTCTACAACCTGTAGAGGACGTTCGTGACAGCTGGGATGTGTTCTTTTGACAGTGGGAAGGAAGCACTGAATGGAAAGAGAGGAAGCGGTGCCAAGAAATAAGAGGCAGAACCTGAAAGGGCCGGCACTGGGCACCCAAGGTCAACCGCCTTGGCTTAGAATTCCTTCAGTGCCTGTGGCAGTTCTGTCCTGTACCTTTTAATCTGTGATCTGGGGGGTGGGTGAGGGCAGGGGTGGTCCTCATTTACAAAGCACCAAGCATCAAGACTCAAGCAAAATTCCTTTGCTGTATTGATAACAGGATTGATATCTGCATAGCTGAAATTTTTTTCTTGAAATTTTAGAACTTTAGAATTTGGCTTAGTCTTGTCACTCATATAACTCTTTAAAGTGCCACGTAATTTTTTTAAATGTCTGTGTATTCTGAAACTTGAAAAAAAACAAACTTTTTTGGCTGCTAACTTAAACATAATATGAGTGAGAGGAGAAAGCAAGTAGAAAATGGTTTTAGAAAGGGGATTGGAGTTGGAGGTTTGGTGAAAACCTGAGATTTTCTTAAGCCTGAAAATTCACTTTCTGAATATCAACTGGGGGAAAATAATTTCTATTAATGCTTACTTCTTCCTTGATTTATAACTCTGAATGAACACAGAGAATGAAATGAGGTGATTTTGTCTGCAGGTAAAAGTAGAGAGTTGCCCAACTCTGCACTGGAGAGGAGAACTGGGGCAGCCTTCAGATACGTGGTCACTGGACACAGCCCCTGTGAGGTCCCTGCCCCTGCTGTGGGGTCCACGTGGACTCTCTATTCCATCTGCTCTGGGGCTTCTGCTGAGGCTGATGGCCTGGAACACTTGAAGGGCTCCTCTTCCTCTGTCCTCTTAGCAGTGTCAGTGGGGTCTGTTATCCTGCTTCCTGAATTTCAGCTAATCTCTCCATCTCATCACCACTCACTGGGATGTACAATTATTTGAGCCACTTAAACTATGTACATCATCACAACTGGAAGACCATTCAATTTCAGATATGTTTAAATGATAAAGTCTATTATACTATATACCACTAACAACGGATTAAGAGCAGCCTTTCTTAGCCAGGGATTCCCTGCAGGGATTCCTTTCCATTTGGATGGAACATTTAAAATCTGAATGCCTTGCTAGGGAGAGTTGAATTCTGAAGCCTCCCATCTTCACTGCTTCCCACATCAACCTGTCTGCCGTGCCCCTGAACACATTCACTTAAATTTTAAAGTAAGACTTACTGCACACAAAACATTGTCTAAACTAAGAATAAAACTTGACTGAGAAAGTAAAGAAACGCAAACTCCAGAAGCACACTTGCCGCTCCTCTGTCACCTGCCCTGAATAGAGGAGGAGCTGCAGGGGCCCACATGAGTCCCTCCCTTTCTGCAGGCATCAATAGTGAAGAGGTCAGTATTCAGAGTTCTGCCTCCTAGTCTGACATCCATCATCAACTCATCCTCCCTGTTCCTCCCCTACAGAGGAAAAGCTGATATCAGGAAGACCAAGATTAACATGAGAAGACCGGATAGAGAGCTAGAAGGAAGAGCAGAAGACAGTAATGAGGCAGGCAGGAAGGAAAGGAAGTGGGCCAGGAGACACCCACTGGCAGACTCAGAAAGACAGGAGAGAAGGCAAGAAGGCCTCCCCTCCTGCAGGTGCCCAGCCATGCCTCCACTGATGGGTGAGAGCTCAGACTACTACCCAGGCAGCCTGTGAAACACACTCCCACTATGGGCACTTCTGAATGTTCTGAATTACTTTAGAGGGAGAGACTATCTTCTGTCTCCCACAGCACACCAGTATTTTATTTCACATATATTCTAAAATGTAAACAAAGCCTTCAATACTATCTCCTGCTTATTGCCTTGAATATTAGCTTGCTGTGGATGTTACAGTCAAAATAATTTTTGAAAAACCAATGTGACAATACTATGAAATAAATTTTTAAATAAAAAAGCAAAGTTACCCAGAATATTATCCAGAATATATTCATAGGCAATAAGCTTGGTCCTAAAAACTAAATCATGTAATTTTTTAAAAAGTTATAAATTAAGGGAGTTTTGACTAAGTTCTTAAGCTATTTAAAGGGATTTGATAACTGCCCAACTCTCATACCACAATGGCATAATGGCATAGTTTTTTAAGACTGAGTAGTGACTACAGATTAAATTAATCTAGGAGATACTGTATTTCAAGTCTCTAGTCATAGTAAGTACTCTGCTATTTGGAAATTTTCCACATGATTGCTAGATTTAAACTAGGGAAGAATTACTGGCAACTTTAGGAGGGTAGAAAAACTCACCTAAAATACATCTGTTAATGCCAATGCTATCAAATTCTTAACTTTAAAGCATAGTATATTTCAGAAAAAGTTCTAAGATTCTCAAAACTATAATGCATCAATTGATAACTCAGCAACCAAGTGGTCAATGTTTTCTGCTTGATTGTGAAAAGCCAACTGCGTATCTAAGCCAGGGTGTTGTGGAGAATTGGAAGCCATGTATACAGAGGGGCACATAGGACCCTGCCTCAGGAGTTTCAGTCCAGCTAGGATATAAGGGAGAGCTACAAAGAATCAATACTCACTGGTGCATAGATGTTAACGACCTTTGAAAGGAGCAGTGTAGACTGTGATGTTTGATTTCTTGCATGTTTGTAACCATAAGGCTCAGAGCTTCTAGCCAGGCTTGAGATAAGAATGCCAAGGCAGTTCTACAAGCAGAAGGTAAGTCCAAAGGCTGGCACAGAAAGCCAGGAGTGAGGGGATGGGCTCAGGGCCTGGCAGTAGAAATGGGAAGATGGGAAGAAGGAATTAATTAAAGTAAGATTGGAGCCAGAATTGGTGGAATCCACAGAGCTTGATGACAGTTTAACTTGAGGAAGTAAAAAGGGGAGAATCAGAGTTGGGCCAGGCACAGTGGCTCACACCTATCATCCCAGCACTTTGGGAGGCTGAGACGGAAGGATAGCTTGGGCCCAGAAGTTTGAGACCACCCTGTGCAACCTAGCGAGACCCCATCTCCACAAAAATTTTAAAAAATTAGCTGGGCATGGTGGTACATACCTCTAGTCCCAGCTACTTGGGAGGCTGAGGCAAGAGGATTGCTTAAGCCTGGGAGTTTGAGGCTGCAATGAGCCATGATCACGCCACTGCACTCCAGCCTGGGAGACAGGGTGAGACCCTGTCTCAAAAAAAAAATTGGCCCCAAGAGAAGGATGAGATTGGACTTCATGGGACAGGGGAGTTGGAGCCAGGCCACAGTCCTTCCAGAAAGGTCTTGAAAATCTTGGCTTTGGAGGCCTTTCCAAAATAAATATGTAGGGTTTTAAAAATGAAATTTGGCTTAGAAATTTAAAAAGCTTTGCCTTCATTTTTGTGTCATTTGCATCTGTAACTTTATCCTACATTCATCTTCTCAACACCAAAACAACTAACAACAGTGGTATAATATTGCTGGGTGCCTTTTAAATTTTTTAACATTATCATTTTTCCTTATTAGTCAATCCTGTTAAGCTTTTGTATTCCTGGCATGTGGATTGAGATAGGGAAATTCTCCTTTTAACCTACTTGGTGATGGCCCAGCTTTCTCTTCTCAGGGCCTTTCCTAATTCTCTGGCTCATCTGAGGAATAACTCCTCTATCAGAGTGGGAATAACAGTCATGTTTGGAGAAGTGTCCTTGTTTACCCTCGCCTACCTCACTTTTGTGGTTGCTGTTGGTTCTTTATGGACCCAAGTCCAAAACAGATGTTTTCACATACATCTTACTTGCCATGCTTTAAACTGGATGACAGCAAGTCAGACTGCTGATCCCAGAAAGCCCTGCTGTGTGCAGTTGGAAAGGTCAGGTGGTTGAGGGCTGGTAGGAAGTCGGGTGGCGGCTGCAGGGAAGATGGGTTGCATGAGGCAAGAAGACAGGTGTGGTCATCTAAAGGTAAGACAATGAGGGTTTGAATGAGACAAGGCCTGTGAAACTGGGAAATCTCTAGGAAATGTTTACTAAGTGTCTACTGCAGGAACACAATATTTACATATGTTATCTCGTGTTATCCCGAAGAAAGCCATGGGTACTATAATGGGAGAATTCCCATTAAAAAAAAAATCTTCCTTGCTTTATTTCTCTGACAAAATGACAGGTATAGAAATGTCTGCAGGAAAAAAACATGCTGGTTACATGCTATCATTTTAGATGGGAAAAACAAAACTTGTGATTCTTTTCTTTTGTACCTTTACAATATTCTGTGATTTTTTAAACTTTTTTATTGATACATAATAATTGTATGTATTTATGGGGTACATGTGGTATTTTGATACATGAATAGAATGTATAATGATCAAATCAGGGTATTTAGAATATCTATTACCTCAAACATTTATCATTTGTGTTGCAGACATTTTAAATCTTCTCTTCTAGCTATTTTGAAATATACAGTAAGTTATTGTTAACTATAGTAACCCTACTGTGCTATCAAACACTAGAACATACTCCTTCTAACTATATTTCTATACCATTAACGAACCTCTCTTCATCCTCCTCCTCTACCTCCTCCCTTCTCAGCCTTTGATAACCATCATTCTACTCTTTTCTTACATAAGATCAGCTTTTTAGGCTCCCACATATGAGTGAGAGGCCAGGGGTGCTGCTAAGCATCCTACAACATACAACTCACCACAACAAAGAATTACTTGGCCTGAGAACCCTCAGCATCGTTGAGAGAAAACAAAAATGAAACTAAATTATACAGAGATCTACTTATAAATACCTACTTAAAGCCCAAAGTACCCATTTCCTAATTTTTAAAAATAGCATTTCTTCCTAGCATTTAAAAGAACTTCTGGGCCAGGTACGGTGGCTCACCCTGTAATCCCAGCACTTTGGGAGGTCATGGCGGGTGGATCACCTGAGGTTGGCAGTTCGAGACCAGTCTGGCCAACATGCAGAAACCCCGTCTCTATTAAAAATAGAAAATTAGCGGGGCGTGGTGGTGCATGCCTGTAATCCCAGCTACTCAGGAGGCTGAGGCAGGAGAATTGCATGAACTCAGGAGGTGGAAGTTGCTGTGAGCCGAGATCACTCCATTGCACTCCAGCCTAGGCAACAAGAGCGAAACTCCGTATCCAAAAAAATAAAAAATAAAAATAAATAAAAGAACTTCTGCTATCTTAAGAGAGTAGGAAATAAAGATTGGGGAAATTCTGGATTTTTTTTTTTTTGGCTTTGTCAGATAGAATCCGTTTTTTTCTCATTAAAAAAATCTGATAAATATCTCCTGAGACAGTAACACCAACTAGCAAACCCTCCATTTCCCTAGAGTCCATGATTGCCTCTGCCTACAGACTTGGCACCAAGAGCCCCCATTCAGTTCCTCTCTAGGCACCAGCTAGGAATGTGGCTCCAGAAACTAGGAATAAGCCGCCTTCCACTGACGTCCTCAGAAACACCCTTTATGTGATCACTTATGTTTTATTGGTCATCACCAGGCATGGTGACCAGCACAGGGAACACCCATGAGGAGTAAAAACCACCTTTCATAGCCTTTCATAGGATTGTGGTGAAGATTAAACAAGG
Organism: Homo sapiens; assembly: GCF_000001405.40. Classification (NCBI taxonomy): domain Eukaryota; kingdom Metazoa; phylum Chordata; class Mammalia; order Primates; family Hominidae; genus Homo; species Homo sapiens. Next base: position 15,548,490 of record NC_000004.12, read on the forward strand.
TACCACTCCGAAAGGCCCTTAAGTCCCTGTGCTTCCTACAAAAGGATGTCTCAATAAATTTTTGTCTCAATTAATTCTGGCAAAAAAAAAAAAAATGTGGTTTCTTTCATTTCAAACAAAATGAAAGAAAACACATCATTTTCTTGGGAAAAGACTTCATGCCAATGAGTTTGTAATTTAAGAGGTCAAACCAAGGTCTCCAGTGCAATAAATGATAACTACTACATGTTCTTTAAGCTGTAGAAGATTATAGAATTATAGGCTCTTAAGAGTGTTGGGTCAAGCAACAAATGGCACTCCTTGTCCCATCAGAGTTGTGAACCAATAAAAATATAGAGAACATTTTTTAAAAGAGGAAGGGTCACTTATAAATTAATAGAGGCTTGAGGAACATATCAGTCAATTACAACATATGGAATATATTTTGATCCTGATTCAAACAAAATGTTACAGAATTTTTTGAGGCTCTCAAGGAAATTTGAAACTTACTAATAGTTGAGGTTATTAAGGAATTATTATAAAAATGGTATTGTAATTATGCTTTTTAAAAATATCTATTATAGATACATATTGAAATATTTACAGATAAAATGATGTCTAGATTCAAAATAATGGAGGGGAGGGGAGTGGTTGACAGTATAGATGAAGTAAGATGGTCATAACATAGTGATCATTGAAGCTGGGGGTGACAGGTCTGTGGCATATTATTATTCCTGCATTATATGTGTTTGAAATTTTCCATAAAAGACTTTTTAGTATAGATCAAAATATTGCCTTTTTAACTGATAAAGATGAATTTAGAGAGTGTGTTTTAAGTGTGCCACTTACGGGCTTCCTGCTGAACTCCTGCCTATTAGAATAGCTCACAGCAAAATTAAGTCTGGGGTCCTGAATTCAGTACCTGTGCAATTTCTGCCTTTGTCTTTGACCCAGTGCCCCTCCATGATCAGCCAGCCATCTTGCAAAGGTGAGTGATGGATACTGGGGAGGCAAGGCCAGGATAGTAGCCAGTCACCACTTCATCCTCACTCCTGGACAAGAATTCAGATCAGGCTGTAATCCCAGCACATGGGGAAGCTGAGGAGGGCAGATCACTTGAGGTCAGGAGTTTGAGACCAGCCTGGCCAACGTGGTGAAACGCTGTCTCTACTAAAAATACAAACATTAGCCAGGCGTGGTGGTGGGCGCCTGTAATCCCAGCTACTTGCGGGGCTGGGGCAGGAGAATCGCTTGAACCCAGGAGGCAGAGGTTGCAGTGAGCCAAGATCACGGCACTGCACTCCAGCCTAGGTGACAGGGCGAGACTCCATCTAAAAAAAGAAAAGTTCAGATCATATGCCCTGTAAGGGAGGGTTGGCGGAAAGAATCCATGGTGTCATCTTTGTGCATTCAAGTGGTAAGTGGAAAATATTAACTAGTGGGGGACTATTACATAAGAAGAAAAATATAAAGATTAATCAGTGGAAATAAAAGTAGTAAAATCAGCATTTTTCAAAAAATGTAAACCAGTCACAGAGACCTCATGTACAGAAAGAATAAAACACAGGAAAGAAGCCAGGAGAACTGTGGAATATTATGTCATATTGCCACAAAAGTGAAGTGTGCCAAGAATACAGGGGATCGAATGGAGCCAAGGGTCCAACTGAGGCTGGATTGTGTATTCTTAAACGATGGTTGCCCTGCAATGGGGCCCTTCACCTCATGGTGATGGCATCATAATGAGACACACTGCAGTGATCAGTAGCAGAGCTGCTGATGGTCTAATTGGCTCCATCTAGGAGAAGATCTGAGAAAAATCTGGAGTTTCAGCAGCTAACAAATAAAATGAGGCCTGAAAGAGAAGAACTTGATAGATTTACTAAAAATGTAACACTCTGGAGTGCTTCTGCATATGGAGCTTCTCCGACTGACTTGGAGATTGGTGCAGATAATAAGCCATCTGGGGGCATGTCCTTACTGTCCCACCCATTCCTCCTGATGGCATTACTGTCTGAATACAACCTGAGCCTGGAAAAGGAGGAGGCCCATTCTCCTAGCAAGCCATATATTGGTTTGGAATAAAAACAATTATCCTCGCCTGCTACTTTGATTAGCCTCCCTACCCAGAAGATTAGTCCAGGCAAGAAAGCTGGGTGTCAACAACTTGACCACAAACAGTTGTAAGCTCATCTCCATGGAAACCATATAGTAACACAACTCAACTTTCCACAATGAGATGAGCCCTTAGGGCTGGAACAGTGACCAGCACAAATACTAACAACATGGACTGATTATCTGAGCGTGAGCACACACTACTGCTGTTTTTATTGGCTATTTCTCTTCTCTGGTTTTCAGGTCTATGAAACTGTCGGACACAGTAGTCCCACCTTGCTAGCAGAAGTGTTTCTGCCTATTCCTGAGACTACTGTTGTCACTGGAAGGGCTCCTACTGAAGAAGTGGAGTTTAGCAGTAATCAGCATGTGACACTGGACCACGAGGGAGTTGGAAGTGGTATGGAAAGCTAATATCTTCAATGGTTCACTGTTTCATTGTCAGATTTGAATGTGTATATATCTATTTCACTTCCCAGACAACCATAGAATTATAAAATTGATATCAAAAATTCAAATTCAAACAATGATGCTATGCAACTTTTTGCCAAGTTGCTTTTTATATACTGTTGGTGACAATGTAAGTGCATATAACTGTGCAACTATGAAGTAGTTTGGCAGTGTAAGTTGAGAACCTTGAAAATGACCTTTGGTGCCTTACTTTTATTTCTAGGAATCTTTCCTAAGAAAATAATTTGAAAGGAGGACAAACATGTATGCATAAAAATGTACATCACAGTGTTGTTCATAAGCCCAAAAAGTTTGAAATAATTATAACAGGGAGATTTTTAATTAATATTCTCTCATCTCCTTCTATAATTCCGATTGGATATATGATGGATCTTCTCACTCCTTCCTCCATGTTTCTTAACCTTTCTTCATTACCTTTGCTGTCTTTTTCTTTCACTGCTACAATCTATATAATTTCTTTAAATTTGTCCTCCAAGCCATGAATTCACTTTTTGGCTGTCTCTTATTATTGGAACTAATCCTTTCTGTTTTTCCTTCCAATTACTGTATATTTCAACTCTAGAAATTATGCTTAGTTCTTTCCCAATCAGTGTGGTCAGTTCTGACAGCTTTTTTTCCTTTCCTCAGACTCTCAATCATTTCTTTTATACATTCATTCATTCATTTAAATATATTTAAAATATTCTTAAATATTAGGTATCTGATCATTCCAATACCTATCTACTTATTGGTCTGATTCTGTTGCCTCTTGTTTATGGTGTCTTGCTTCCTCATGTGTCTGTTTTTTTATTGTGACTTATATCTGGAACTTTATTTGCATTATTTATTTAAGGCCGAATCCAATCCTCAGGTCCAGAGACTTAGGTTTTAGTTCCAGCTCTGATATTGGCAAGCTGTGAGACTCTGGTAGTCTTGTAACCTCTTTGCATATCATTTTCCTCATTTATAAAATGGATCTATTAATAGCTCCTTTAATGTCTTATAAGGTTATTTTGAAGATCAAGATAGGATGTTCAATATGAAGGAAAGATCTAGAGTTACTTCATTTAGTGCTTGAAAATCTTCTCCTTTAGTTGATTAAATAACTGCCCAGAGCGTTTTTACCATTAAATTCCCATCGGTAGAGGCCAAATCAGTGAGAGTTTACTGTAGCCACAACAGCTTAGTAATAATTAACATGTGTTGTGTGATCACTATTTGCCAGGCATTGTGTAAGTGCTTTGCAAATATTAACTTATTTAACTCCTGTTCCTCACGTCTGTCTTAGGGTGCTTGCACTTGTTCCTTCTGCCAGTAATGCTCTTTTCCAAAACAATACACCTCTACCTCCACTTCTTCATTTTCTTCAGCCATTTACTCAAAAGTCGCCTTCATTGAGGCTTTCCTGGCCACCCCTTCTAAAAGTTTATCCCCTCTCCACTCTCCAAAGCACAAATTTTCTATATACCTTCCCTAATTTGTTTCTCCTTAGCACTTACATACAATCTCTAACATACTAAGTATTTCTCTTAGTATACTAACATACTTACATACAGTCTCTAACATACTAAGTATTTCTCTTATTTCTCTTAGTATTGCTTCTCTCCCTGACTCAAATATACACCCCATGAGATCAGAAGTTCTTTTCTTTCTCAGTTTTTAGAACAGGGATTCTTAACAGTTTTGCTTCTTTAGCGCTATCTTCAGTGCCTGCAATAGTGCCTGGCATGAAGTAGAAGCTCAAATAAGTACTTTGAATGACTAAGTAAATAAATGTCTTTGAAATAACTCTGCAAAGAAGGTGCTATTTAGTATCCCTGATTTATACATTAAAAACTATGGCTCAGAAAGTTAACTAATTTGTCCAAGGTCACAAAGCTGTGAAGCAGGTGGACCCACTCGAGAGTGCGTCATGAGAATGTCTACTCTCTGCCATCAGAGACAGAGCTGAGCAGCTGTCAGCATCATCACCTGAAGAAATTCAGTGACACTGGCTTGAATCATGTGCTCCATCTTCATCACCCCCACCCACTCCAAGTTCCATTTGTCTACTATCTGCTTTCTTGCCAGGACTAGGCTCAGTCCCTCTTTCTAAACAGCATCCTGTTTAATCTGGTGTTTCCCCAGGAGTGCCCTTCTCATTTGAAGCTGATGGCAGTAACCAGCTGACTCTGATGACCTCAGGGAAAGTGTCTCATAGTGTGGCATGGGCCATTGGAGAAAACGGGATACCTTTAATTCCTCCATTGTCACAGCAGAACATCGGATTTCGGAGGTAATACATGGCAAGAGTAAATTGATGAGCAATGTCAGTGTTATCATTAAAGATACCCAAGGGGAAAGAAAGCTTGCAGTATCATATTCTTTCCTTTTATTGTCAGGTGCCAGTATTTTCAAGAGTTTTTTATTCTTAAGGTAAAAACAAAAAATGTTTTATAATAACCTCTAGTCCAAAAAATTAAAATATTAATAGCCTAAGAAATATTAAGTGTTTATCGGTATTCGATACAGTGAAAAGAACTTAATCTTCACAGTAACTCTAGGAGGTATTCTCTCCCCTATTTTACAGATGGGGGAGATGCACAGCATCACAGTTGTATATATTTTGCCCTTAGTAAAGGTTTGTTGCTAATGATGATTGGTGTAGGATCTGCTGTTTACATGAAAGTCCCCATTCTCCAGCCTCCTCCCTTGATCGCTATATCCTTGAGTCTCTACTCAGAACAGAAGAAAGGCACTCTGGGCCTCACCCTAGGCCAGCCCCTCCCTGTGTTTGATGGTTGTCCCTGAAGCTTAGATTGTGGTAGCCCGTGGCCTGGGTCTTCCTCTGTCAGAGCCTCTCTCTGTCATTCCCCAGTAGATGTGTCTACAGTCAATCATTTCACCATTCCAGGCCTCAGTTGCCTCATCTCTAAAATAAAAGGATTCATTGTGATCATGAAGAAGACACTTTCCAAGTCACAGGCTGTCATGTTCAACTTATGGAAAAACAGAATTGGGCTCGTTTAGTTCCCTTGATGCCTTCAATCCCCATAACGACCACACATGTCCATGTGATAAAAACCACAAGGAGATGCTGCTATTTGCTTTCTAAGTCAGAAGCCACTTCCAGTGGAGGCCTGACTATGCCTTTGAATGTAAGAAGTCTGCATTCATTTCACTTGCATTTAGTGCTAGAAAAATCTCCTGGGGAGTAAAGCTTTCAACTCCTCAGAATAGAAGGTAAAACACAATGTGAGTAACAAGATATGCAGGACTATTAATAAAGCCCCAGCTCAACCTTGCTGACTACTGTGGCTTCCTTTGATCTCCAGGTGTCCAAAGCTGGTGCTTAAGTTTGTTGTTTAGTAGTTGGTTTTAGGCTGGGCACGGTGGCTCACGTCCATTATCCGACTATTTTGGGAGGCCGAGGCAGGCAGATCACATGAGGTCAGGAGTTTGAGACCAGCCTAGCCAACATGGCAAAACCCCATCTCTACTAAAAAAAATAATAAAATTAGCTGGGCATGGTGGCGCATGCCTGCAATCCCAGCTACTTGGGTGGCTCAGGCATGAGAATCATTTGAACCTAGCAAGTAGAGGTTGCAGTGAGCTGAAATCGCACCACTGCGCTCTAGCCTGGCCGACAGAGCAAGACTGTCTCAAAAAAAAGAGTTGGTTTTGTTTCTTTTTCTTTTGGTTTGTCCTCAGCTATAGTGGGCCCCAGTGGCCTGGGATGTGAGGCTTTGTGGGCTTCCAGCACCAGATACAGAGGCCCCTCTTCACTGGCCAGAATCCAGGGACCAAGGGGCACTTTTATGCACTGGACAGAGTTGTAGGAATTAGTCATATCTGCAGTCCTTCCATTCCTGTTTCTTTATTGTCCTTATGTTTAATAGCCATCATCATGTAAAGAAAAATGACAAAATCCTTCCTTATGATAACATTTTCTCTCATGGAGGATAATAGCTTCCTCAAGTCATGCTGTCTCTAGAATTTGAGGTCCTGATGCAAACTGTTCTGTGGTCAAGTCAGTCTCATGGAATCAACTCTTCTTTTCAGTGCTTTGAAGAAAGCAGATGCCATCTCATCTATTGGCACATCAGGACTGACAGACATGAAAAAATTGGCCAAGTGGGCAGCAGAGTCCAAGCTCGACCCAAATGACCCCAACAATGCCCCTTTGATGCAGCTTATCTCGGTATGTAGCAGGAGGCACACATGCCATTTCTTGACTTGGCCTTTTACACAATTTTCCTTTACACTATCTTCTCCTATGCAATACTGTTTAAGAACATGGGTGCTGGGTTGAATGCCAAGTTTGAATTCCAGCTGTGCTTCTTGCCTGGCTATGGGACCCAGGCAAGTATTCAGTGCTTCTAAGCCCTGTGCTGCTGTCATAGCGGGGTCATGAGGAAATGAACAGCTGCAGATAAACTCTTAGCTCGGCCGGGCATGGTGGCTCATGCCTGTAATTCCAGCACTTTGGGAGGCCAAGGAAGGAGGATCGCTTGAGCCCAAGAGTTCGAAACCAGTCTGGGCAACATGGCGAAACCCTATCTCTGCAAAAAATGTAAAAATGTGCTTGGCACGGTGGCGCATGCCTATAGTCCCAGCTACTAAGGAGGCTGAGGTGGGAGGATCAATTGAGTCCACAAGGTTGAGGCTTCAGTGAGCTGTGATCTTGCCACTGCACTCCAGTCTGAATAGAGTGAGACTCCCATCTCAAAAACAAACAAACAAACAAAACCCCTTTATCTGGGCACACAATTTGTGAGCAGTAAATATTGTTGTTGTTGTCACTCCTACCTCCAACCTCTGTAAAACTCCTAAAGGTTTTATATCCCCTTCTCCAGAGAGGAAGCTGAGTTCAGAAACTCAGCGTTATTTGCTTAAGGTCACTCAGCTAATAAGTCGATTTGATTTCAGGACACTTGCTTTTTTCATCACAACTTAAAGCACTGATGGGGCATTTTAGGGAAAATTTGTTTTGTTTTCTTGTTGTTGATTAATTAGTTATCATTTAGGTTTCACTTAAGTATTTACCAGATAAATTGCTCAGATCTACCATAATATTCAAAATTCTTTCTTCAATGAATTTGCAAATAAATTGGAACATTAGTTTATTTTTCTTGGTATCGAATACAATTGGTTTTATTGGCAACTTCATTATTCACACAAAGCCATAATAAACAAGTAGGTAATCCAGAGGGTAGCCCTAGCAACACATCCTTATGATCATGGCTATCAGTATGTGTTTATCAATAGGATAATTGTAGCCGGCATGAACATTTTCATTTTGGTTCTAGTTTTTCCAAGTCCCATAACAAACCTTGGTTTATTCTGACTTTTATCTTTATAAACTCTCCTAAAGCATGATACACCTTAGTGTGCCTAATAGAAATATTTGGAAGATTGGGTCATATTACCTAAAATGTAGTCTATTCCATGTAAAGTTTTCAAATCACATTTCAATAGACACGTCACTTTCATTATTTTCTTTTTAACTATATGTTTTCCCATCAAAGAACAAAACGGGGATTGCCTTCTTGACTGGTCTCTTGCTATGAACCAGGATTGCCTTTCCCATGCAAGGCCCCAGCACATCTTGGGGCACTAGCTTTTCCTCTGCTCAGGAGGAGGTTACAGCCAGCAAAGCACCAAGCAGAGAGGCAGGCAGCACCTGGGTGAGGTGCAGTCCACATCTGCTCAGCTTCTCAGAGGTGCCAGACTTGGCCTTCTTGAGACAATGCACAGGGGCCTTGGAGGCTGGCTGGGCTGGATCCATCTCTGGCTAACTTTTCTCAGTGACCAAGGCTGTGAGGTGCTATTCAGGGACAGGAAAGCATGGCTGTGGAGCCAAGTAAAGCTGACCAGCTGCCTCTGAGGCCTTTATCTGCATATGCACATGACATTAAAAAGTCATATATTCGATTTTATATACGATATGTATATGGGTAATCTTATTTCTAGTAGGCACCTCGTAATACACTGTAGTCTGGCACAAATCTCTCCTTTTTCAGTCTGTATATTTGTGTAATAACACTACTAGGGAAGCATGAACACCAAAAGTGAAACATATAATTTTTATTGTTTGGAAAATGATTTGTGGTATTGTTTATAGCTACTAAATGAATATAATAGCATGTGACTCATTATTATTATATTTTAAAGTATTTTGTCTTTCAAGTCTTTTAATCTAAAACTGTTAAATGTTCCTTGACACTCAGTGCCAAGTTTCTTTGGATGAGATCTGACTGTCATCTGGAGTTTTGCATTTTCCGTTTTTTATAGGTTGCTACCAGTGGTGAATCCTATGTCCCTGATTTCTTTAGACTGGAGCAGCTGCAACAGGAGTTTAACTTTGTTTCAGATCAAGAATTAAATAGATCCAAACGATTTAGGCTTCTTCATCTTAGAAGCCAAGAGGTGCCAGAATTCCGAAATTATAAGCAAGTTCCAGTCTATGACCGAGAAATTATGGAAAAGGTATTCCAGGTAAGAAACTGCCATAGAGGGGTTAATAAAATAATAAAGTACCTACTGTGCTGTTAGGTATACTACTGTATATGTATTTTGTTTTTGTTATGTTGTCACTAGCAATAGCGGTTTCTCTTTTATTTCACTTTTATACATAACCTTTCCATGCTTTTTCTTGAATTCACCATTTAAATAATCTCTCTGCCTCAATATAATGATATATAAACTAATCAGTAACCAGGATTCTGAGTCAACTGAACTGCATACAATTAGAATTGTAGGGTTGAAAAATATCTTAGAGGTTAATATGGCTAATAATATGGCTAGTTAATTATTAACATGGCTAATTATTGAATGCCTTAGTCAGGAATTCAATTCCATTTTAATGCAGTATGTACTAAGTGTCATGTACTCAGCACACTGGTAAAGCACTACAGGGAAAACTAGAGGGATAGGATCTGAATAGCCATGGGATGGGTGGGGCATGAAGGAGGTAAAGGAACAGGGCTGGGCATCCATCCTGGTCAAGGGCAGCAGGAGGAACAAAGACTCAGAGGAGGGCAGATCGCACCTCCAGGTGTGGGGTGGAGGAGCCTTTGAGGAACTGCAGGTAACAGGCCTGTGTAGGTGGGGCAGGCCAGTGAAACCAGATGCATGCACTTTTTTTTTCTTTTTCCCTGCTTTTCATGAGCTGTAGACACATGCACTTTTATTAATACTTAACAAGGTAAATGGAGAGCCATCAGGAATTAGTACCAGGAAGATTTTTCATGGCAAAACTATTCTTGAAGAATATGGTTGGTTATTTGGTTCTTCTCTGTATTAGTTTGGACTTTGATCACAGGAGATAAAAGCCAATTTTGAACTACCTTAGGCACCAAGGGGAGTTTACTGGATGATGAAATCTCAAAATAGCATTAAATATCTAAAAACGTGTGAATGGCATGAGTGCATCTGTGCCTGGCCTGCTACCAGGACCCTTCTCCATCCTCTCTAGGCTTCTTTGATGTGTTGGCATCATGCTCCTCCTTTGCAGACAGGTTTTCTCTACTTGACCACATGGTCACCAACATCATACAAGTTCACATCTAGTATCTTCAGCCAGCAGAGGTGTGTCCCCCGAGCCTGAGTTAGGTACCACTACCAGGCATTCAACTGTGACCAAAGAGTGGGATTAGAGGAGAACATAGCAGTTCCCAGGGCACACACATAATTTTGTTGACAGAAAAGGGGAGAGGCCTGAGCAGACAAAGCCAGATGTATGCATCACTCTCCTCCAAGCAGATGACCTGGCTCAGCTACAGCCAGATGTTATATGATTATGGTAATGTGTTAACTGAAACTTTACTTAAAACAGAAAAGGCAAAACTTAAGCAGGAGCTTTGGCTAAATTGCTTGGAAGAGCTTCTCTGTGGCCTCTATTTCTTCCTGACTTAACGTTTTAACTTGTAACTACTATACAGAATTCTCTTCTACTAGTAAGGCATTTCAGCCACCTGTCTCAGAATCCTGGTTACTCTATCAAAGACCAATTCTGAACCAAAAGTTAGGAAGAAGGTGGAAGAAATATTTAAAACCACAAGTTATAACTTAAATCATATGTGATAAATAATTACCTGATCTTAAGAAAAGCACCAGAGAGTGCTTTAAAATCATTGCCTCTTTTTAATTTTAGGACTATGAGAAACGGTTACGAGACAGAAATGTAATAGAAACCAAGGAACACATAGACACCCATAGGGCCATAGTAGCCAAGTACCTCCAGCAGGTAAGAAAAATCATATAAAACTGTCTTCATAGGGAGAAAAGAGCCAGCACCCTAAGGTGGAAAGTCCTCTACTCTTTTAAATATCTATGTGAGCTTATGCAAGCCACTTAGCTTGCATAAATTTCCTCATAAACACAAATATATAATTGATTGACAACTATCATCACCTTTCAAATATATGAAACAACCAGGCTATGTTCTGGTTTATTATCAGCAGTTACCTTTTAATGGGTCATGATTACAAGGGATTCAATTTCTAAGTCATGTTTTTTCTAATATTTGAATGTTGCATTGCGTTACAATGATTACCTTTGTAATCAGAAAAAAACAAAAGTTTTTAAACCATATACTAACTGCCCTTATGCACTAGAAAACTAAAAATTAAAGCTGAAACATCCTTTCGTTTGTCCTTTTTCCTTCTTTCCTTCCTTCCTTCAATAAACTTAACTTGCCACAAATGCTAAGTGACTACAGTGCATTTTCCCCATCCAGTGTTATCTACCCTGTGGCTCATGTATTATTTTTTAAAATGAATTATTTAAGAGGTTATTTATTTATTTATTTATTTATTTTTATATATTTGAGACAGGGGGCTGGTTGGCTTTGTCGCCCAGGCTGAAGTGCAGTAGTGTAGTGTGATCTCAGTTCACTCTAACGTCCACCTCCCGGGCTCAAGCCATCCTCCCACCTCAGCCTCTCGAATAGCCAGGACTACAGGTACACACCACCATGCCTGGCTAATTTTTATATTTTTTGTAGAGATGGGGTTTTGCCACGTGCCCCAGGCTAGTCTCGAACTCCTGAGCTCAAGCAATCCACCCACCTTGGCCTCTCAAAGTGCTGGGATTACAGGCATGAGCCACCGCGCCCAGCCAGAGGTCCTCTGGAATTAGGAAGTGAATCATTCTGGATAAGGGAATAACTTAAGAATCAGTTCTTAAGTATGTGTGTTTTGAGACTGGCCCTATTTTTTGTAATGGTTAATTCATTATTTCAGCAAATTTTGCCATCTTATATGCCGGGAACTTTACCAGGAACTCCAATATTGCAGTAAGCAAAACAGGAAAACCCCTGACTTTAGGGAGCTTACAGTCTAGTACAGAAAGCTAGAGGGTTTACAGCAAGAGGAGACCAGCATTGCAGAGGAAAGTAACAGTTGGGCTGGAGGACTGGGGGGACACTGAGATGACATTAGGGTAAAAACTTAGAGTGTGGAGAGTGAACTACGAAGTTTAAATAATAACATTTTAAATAAGCTGATTTCTTTCCCCAGGTTAGAGAATCAGTGATAAATCGTTTCTTAATTGCAAAACAATATTTTCTTCTTGCTGATATGATAGTAGAAGAAGAAGTTCCCAATATCAGGTAAAAATAATCAAAGCCATTATTATCAATTCTTATAAAAATTATTATTTATACTCTATTATATGAAAGGTATCATATAAGATTTTTAAAAATCATCGTATGGTATGCATTTGGGCCAGGAATAATGTGTTAAACCTGGTTAATACCTGATGATGACATTAGTTGAGGGATTTCTACTAGAACAAGTCTTCCTAGGGCCTCTCCCATTGCATTCCAACAAACCCCATCTCACCTCCCCTACTTCCAAATCAACTTCATTAGCCTTTGCCATTTTCTCATTCCCGTTGAACTAAACCTGACAGCATTTCCCTCCTGCAAGTACTTCTCCTGTTTTCCTAGTCTCCCAGTGCCAGACATTCCCTTACTCTCCTGTCGCATGGCAGTAGAGGTGGCTGAGACCCCACCCACAAGCTTCTGGGGTGGACGAGGAAACCTGGTTGCAGCACCACAGCTGGTGGGCAGAGAGCTGGTGCATGTGCTTGGTGAGAGTGTAGAACAGCAGGAAAGATTTGATATTCACACAGATATTGGGAATTGACTGTATTTGCTTGATTGACTCATTAGTTTGGATAATTGTCAAATGGCTTCAACTAGGGGTGTGGATATAGAAAAGATGAAAGATAATTTCCCATACTGGTGGTCTTGTGCAGGCCACATGACCTTTTCTGTGATTAAGTCTCTTGGTCTCCTAAAAAGGTTTTTTCTATGCATATACTTTCTCTCCACCATCAAGTTGGGAAGGAGACAAAAAAAATGTGCAATCCATAGCAGCCCCTTTCCACATATAGAAAGGAGGCTACACCCACATAAATCCATGCAAAACCTCTCTCTCTATTCCAGGCCCACAGTCCAGTCATTGAATGTTTTCAAAGTCATGAAAATTACACTTAGAATAGATGATGATTTTTCATATTGTTTTTTTTTTCTTTTCCTTCCTTTTTTTCTGCTTTACTTTCTGCATTAAGTTCTGAAGGCTCAGGGTATGTTCTTTCTTCTTTTAATTTCAGTTCCTTCTTGGCTTTAAGATGTTTCTGTATTTGATGGTCCTGGCTGACATGGTGCTCCCATGCTGACTGCTATGGAGACATCAAAGTCTCAGGGAGGACTTACCTCCAGGGGAGGGAGGAAGCATTGACAATGGAAGAGTGTTGTCATGTTAGGACCTCTAACAAAGTTCTGTCTCTGAGGCCCCCTAGTTTGGGTTAGGTAGGTGTCCTGGCAGAGTGATTAAAAACATGAGCTATATAGTCACAGTGACCTGAGTTTGAACCCCTGCTCTCCCTCCTACTACTAAGGAACCTTCAGCAAATCATAACACCTCTCGTAGCCTCTAATTTCTTCATCTGAAATACAGGGTAAATATTATATGCGTAAAGATTAGAAATGTTATATGTAAGGCACCCAGCACTCTTCTCAATACATAGGAGGTGCTTATAAATGGTAGCTATTTTGTGTAAAACCTTGGAGAATAAACAGGAACAACAGCTCCTGGAATCCTGGAACTTCCTTGGGTTTCCTTATAGGAGCTGTCAGCAGCGCCTAGACAGGAGCTGCAGAGACCTCAGCCTCAGCTGGCATGTGCCTCTTGCAAAGAGGGGCTCCAGTCAAGAGGTCACTTAGCCAGCTCTGATCCTCAGGAAGGAAGCAGAGAACCATGTGCATTATAGCCTGTGGCCAGCTCTGCAAAGCTGGCTTTGTTCTTTGGCTGTTTCACACAGCCATTAACATCAGCTTCCAGATACAGTCACATCTTTGTTTCTGTTTAGTTTCTGGGCCAGAATTTATTTGGTCCATGAACGTTTCTCCTATGATTCACTGACTCTGTTGCTTTCATCTTACAGGAAGTGTTTCTTGCATATCATCTCCGTGAAAGGTAGAGACATGAGAGAAGGAGTCTCTTGCTTCTCCCCTAACCCCTTCCTCCTCCCTATACCTCCTCCTCTTCTTCCACCTTAATCACTGGCATCAACCCAATAGTTACCATTTTAGGACATCTACTAAGTGCTAGAGCAGTGTCAGGGTGCTTTACACACACTTCCTTATTCAATCCCTTCAACAATCCAAAGAAGTAGGTATCATTATCCACATTTTACAGATGATGAAACAGAGACTTAAAGAGGTGAAATGATTTGCCCAAGGGCAAAGAGTGGAGCCAGGATTCACACCCAGTTCTAACTCCAGAGTGAAAGAGATAACCCAGGAACTGCCTAAGCAGCTGTACACACCCACTGTCATGTGAAGGGAGCAGGCTAATAGGAGCTCAAGAGGTTTGGAAGAGAGAGTAACCCTTCCAGCTGGAGTAGCTGAGTCTCTGGGGGAGGTGGACACTGGCCCCAAGGGATGGGTAAAACTGCAACCAACTAGGCAGACAAGGAAGATGCAGGGAGGCATTCCCTCTGCAGGACTGGCCCAAGCAAATGTGAAGGATGGGAGACCATAGGCATGTTTGAGGAACTGGTGGGTGAGCAAGGTAGAGATAAGGCAGGAAATGTAAGGGCCAGAGCATGGCTTCTCTTCCTTGGATAAGCAGCAGCTAGAGTAAGTTTTAACAATCCATGCAGTAGGATCTCGCCCATTTGGGAGAATTTCTAGACTATTTCCACCCACCTTCAAAGGACAAGGAGTTTTTCAGGGGCGTGTGCAGGACCATGGGGCAGAGTTCGGGAAGTCGTCTCACAATTTTGCAGACCTTTCTTTTTCTTAGAGTCCTGATCCTGTTCTGTAATCATTAGCATTTTGGGCCTAAGCCTTTTCAAGCTGGCAGAACAAAAGCGACCACTGCGGCCAAGGAGAAAAGGTCGGAAGAAGGTGACAGCCCAAAACCTGTCTGATGGAGACATAAAGCTGCTGGTGAACATTGTGCGAGCTTACGACATTCCAGTGAGGAAGCCGGCAGTGAGGTGAGAGCCCTCCCAACAGCCCGAGATGCAGTGTGCAGCATCCCAGCCAAGTCAATCGCTCCTTTACAGCATACTCACTCTCATTCTTAACGTGGTTATTGTTCAGCAGGGGACTGAGGGTTCTTGCAAAGCCAAGGCCCTACTGTTTGCAAGTAATACATTCCAATTCCATCAATTCAGGCTAAAGAGGGGATTTATTAAGAACATCTCAAATAACTCGGACAAGAGGTATAGCTGAATTACAAGGGAGACTGCAGGGATAAGATAGTTCTCCTGAGGCCCCGTGGTCTCTCACTTGCCTCACTCTGAGTTTGCTTCATTTTTCTCCATGTGATGGAAGTGGCCCATGCAGCTAGAGTACCACCAATTAAGCGTCATTTTCTCCAGAGAAGTCTGAAGGTGCTAACTTGGCCAGGTGTTGATCCATGGTCTAATCGCCGATAGCCAGAGAGACAGGGTCAGAAGCACCAGCCCCAGAGATAGGAACAGATCTCAGAGAAGTGGGTATGAGCTGGGGAGAGTCACAAAAGGTGTCTGTCCAAGGTTCTGAAACATATGTGCTGTGAACATAAAAACGTGGCTTCCCTTTCATCTGTTCGGAGAAATGTGTTACGACTACTAGAATTCACTACACCAGGGGTAACAGGGAGCCTTCAGCCATTGGGAAGATGAGTCTGAGGAAACAGAGAAGGAAGGACCAAAAATTAAAACTTCTTTTTTTTTGTAGAGACAGGGTCCTGCTATGTTGCCCAGGCTGGTCTGGAACTCCTGGCCTCAAGTGATCCTCCTGCCTCAGCCTCTCAAAGTGCTGGGATTACTGGTGTGAGCCAATGCACCTGGCGTGAAACTTCTTTTTGGTAGTGCCCTTACCAGTGTAATGGGAGAAAGTAGCACTTAATGTGCATTCACCATGTTTCAAGCACCATGGTAGGCAGGTTCACATATAAGATTTCATTTAACTGTTACTGCTATTACTATCTCCACTTCACAAAAGGGGAAATGGAAGTAAAGAGAGTATAAGTGGCTTGGCTAAGGTCATTCAGCCCTAACTGTTTCCTTGGAAGAGCACTGTTCCAGCCCTTGGTGTCTTTTCTCCCTAGGTTCTTCCCCTTTAATTTAGTTCTGTCTCTCTCCTTCCTCTCACCCCATTATTTTGCCTTACATTTTTTATTTTGAAACAGGGTCTCACTCTGTTGCCCAGGCTGAGTACAGTGGTGCTATCACAGCTCACTGCAACCTCGACCTCCTGGGCTCAAGTGATCCTCCCATCTCAGCTTCCCAACTAGTTGGGACTACAGGTGTGCCCCACCACGCGAGGCTAATTTTTTATTTTTTGTAGAGACAGGCTGTCCCCATTTTGCCCAGGGTGGTCTCGGACTCCTGGCCTCAAGCGATCCTCCTGCCTCTGCCTCCCAAAGTGCTGGGATTATAGGCATGAGCCACTGCACCCGGCTCCTACATATTTGTGTGTATGTGTGTCTTTACATTTTTTAACTAATTCGTTAACCTATTAGAGAGCATCTACAATCATCAACTATTCCTAATGCTTTGTTACTTGTAAATGTCCATATAAGCTCTTGAATCTGCTGTGGCATTGCTTTCCTGAGCTCACAGCCTACCCTTTCACCCTGATTGCCTCAAAGCTCAACTGGGGTGAAAAACTATTTTTTAAAGAACATATAGGTGCTTCTTGTAGTTTTCACCTCCATAGACTATTTTTAAGTGTTAAATCATTTTATTCAACTAAATTAAGGGAGCATAGTTGATCCTACATGCTACACATTCAATGCAGATACATCGAGACAGCTCAGACATCAACTGTTCCATTAAGCCTGCCCAAGTCTTTACCATTTACCTTTGCACTCATCCACATACGGTTTTTTTTTTTTTTTGCCTCCCTCACTGTTCTAATACAGCCTCTGACCATCCCTCTAGTCTAATACCTATCTCACTTTATTGAGATGATTTGTTTATGTGTCTGCCTTCCAGTCTAGTCTGCAGTGAAGTGTTATCTTCATCTTAAAAGCCCAAAGTCTAACATGGGGCCTAAAATATAGGTACTAAACAAATGGGTTTTTGGGGGTTTTTAAATTTTACTTCTTAGACCCAGGGTCTTGCTGTGTCACCCAGGCTGGAGTGCAGTGGTGCAATCACAGCTTACTGCAGACTTGGAAATCCTGGGCTCAAGAGATCCTCCTCCCTCAACCTCCCAAGTAGCTAAGACTACAGGTACACACCACCAAGCCCAGCTAATTTGTTTTATTATTTTTTTAGAGATGGGGTCTCATTCTGTTGACCAGGCTGGTCTTGAACTCCTGGGCTCAAGCGATTCTCCCACTTTGGCCTCCCAAAGTGCTGGGAATACAGGCATGAACCATTGCATCCAGCCACAAGTGTTTGTTTAATAAAGTAACTGATGGTTTTCCAAAAAGAAAAGAGCTTTTCTATGGTACCTGTTGCATTAAATGTTCCAATTACCTTTGTCTGAAACCTTAGCTGTGAAAGGTGATAGTCTATAGAAAGAGACTATTTGTATTTTGCCCAGTGATGAATGTGAAATACTTGGCAAACCATAAGGTTCAATACAAATATGCAAGTATGTTGTTAGGGTGATGGTGGAGGTATCTGGAAGAGACTCTCTGGATTTGATCTTCATTTGTTCCTTTAAGAACAGCAGTTGAGAAGGGAGAAGAGGATAAGACTCGCTGATCCTAACTCAAGCTAGGAATCCCTGCACCTCCCTTTCCTGGTGAGGCTTGGCAGGCCCCAGGAGATTCCTTGCCTGACATGTGTAGCTTGGGGTTATTGGAGAGTGCAGGTACAAAGAACAGACAGTGGGGAGAACCTGGACTGGATGGAGATGGGGCAGGCTGGTCAGGAAGCTCAGGATCTCCTATCTGTGAGGGATTGAGGCTCTCATCTATGGAGGGAAAGGCAGGTCCCCCATTCAGGCGCCCCCTAGAAGGGAGGAGAAAGGAGACATTTTCCTTTGTTCTCAGCACACAGGCCTGGGCATGGAAGTTGGGGAAGGCTCTAGCAATCTCTAGGTGACTCTGTGGGGACCAGAGCATACTAAAAAGCCTTCTGCAATGTCAACAAGCATAAGGGAGAATGTTTGTCACCACAGCCACCAGGGCCATACATCTTTGGAAAAAAGCATCTTCTCAAGCTGGGCATGGTGGCTCACACCTGCAATATCAGCACTTTGGGAACCCAAGACAGGAGGATCACTTGAACGCAGGAGTTCAAGACCACCCTGAGCAACATCCTGAGACCTCTGGTCCCTACAAAAAATTTTAAAAATTAGCTGGGCATGGTGGAGTGTGTTTGTAGTCCCAGCTACTCTGGAGGCTGAAGTGGGAGGATCGCTTGAGCCTGGGAGGTTGAGGCTGGAGTGAGCCATAATCATGCCACTGCACTCCAGCCTGGGCAACAGAGCAAGACTCTATCTCAAAAATTTTTTTAAAAATAAAAATAAGGCTGGGTGCAGTAACTCATGCCTGTGATTCCAGCACTTTGGGAGGCCAAAGTGGGCAGATTACTTGAGCTCAGAAGTTTGAGACCAGCCTTAGCAACATGGCAAAACCACATCTTTACTAAAAATACAAAAATTAGCTAGGTGTGGTGACTCACACCTGTAGTCCCAGCTACTTGGGAGGCTGAGGTGGGAGGATCACCTGAGCTTGGGAGACAGAGGTTGCAGTGAGCTGAGATTGCACCAGCCGAGATCATGCCACTGCACTTCAGCTTGGGCGACAGAGTGAGACCCTATCTCAATAAATAAATAATTGTCTTCTCAATATATAATTAGACTTCCTCTATCATTAATTTCCTTCATACATTTTCTCTCCTAGCAAATTCCAGCAGCCGTCGAGGTCTTCAAGGATGTTCAGTGAAAAGCATGCTGCTTCCCCAAGCACGTACAGCCCAACCCACAATGCTGACTACCCCCTCGGCCAGGTGAGAGATGCTGGACTTCAGCTTTCCACCTTGCCCCTTAAGTTTTTAAGAAATGACTGTAAACTTCATGGATAGTCTGCTCTCTGCTTCATTTTCTTTGGAAACATACTACTTAGTAAATATACTCTATTTTTGCTAAGAATAAAATAATTTGACTAACCATTGGGAACTCAGAATTTGCTCTTGATTTTAAGGTTTTAGTACGTCCCTTTGTAGAAGTCTCTTTTCAACGAACAGTTTGCCATACGACTACGGCTGAAGGACCAAACCCTAGCTGGAATGAAGAACTAGAACTTCCATTTAGGTAAGCATATTTTCCTCTTTAAAGAACTATAGGACATTTTGAAGAAATGTGAAGAAAGCAGGCTCATGAGAAACGGCTAAGGTGAAGGATTTTGTAGCTAGTGAGCGGCAACAAGATCCAGGTGTCCTGACGCCAAGTCCCATGCTTTTCCTCTTGTACCACAGCTGACTCCCTTCAAGAATAAAAATGGAAAAATGTCCAACTTTTAAAACCCCAGATTCATTGTTGGGACATCCTATGCTCCTCCAGGCTCTGGCTTCTTAAAGCCCAAAGTTTTTCATTCCCTTGACCCCAATGACCTACACTGCTTTCCTTTCTTCCTCATGTCCCCTCAAGTAAATCTGAAACTCCTTAGTTCCCATAAATCATACTTTCTTCCTCACCAGAAATAAATAGGCATTTCAGAAGTTTGGTCAAAGGATTTTAGATATTTAAATGGTTCTTATTATTTCAGTACTTGAAGCAACCTTGGAGATTATCTAGTCCAACCTCTACCTTTATGGAGAAGAAACTAAAACCCAAAAAGGGAAGGTGACTTACTTAAAGCCACACAGTAAATTAGAGACAGAGCAAGGATTAGAACTACTTAAGTCAGGCCGAGCATGGTGGCTCACGCCTGTAATCCCAGCACTTTGGGAGGCCAAGGCGGGCAGATCACTTGAGGCCAGGGCACATGCCTGTAATCCCAGCTACTTGGAGGCTGAGGCAGGAGAATTACTTGAACCCGGGAGGTGGAAGTTGCAGTGAGTCAAGATCACGCCACTGCACTCCAACCTTAGCGAGAGAGCGAGACTCTGTCTCAAAATAAATACATAAATAAGAACTAGTTAAGTCAGAAGAAGGTAACAGCTACCACTATTATGCACAGAACAGCAAAAAGAACAAGAAAACATAAAGTCAAATGTTCAACAAAATACACCTATTACCCCAGACACCAGCCCTGCCATGCAGAGGCACGGTTGCTCCAGGCTTAGCTAGACTCAGAGTGGGTTATGTTACAGGAGACCTTACCCCTGTATTGCTTTACTTATATACAGAAAAGGTGAGTGTGAGGCAGGGACCATTAGACCAACCAGCCAGTAGGAGGTTTATCACTGGAGAGTGGTTTTGCTGGAGAAGCACCCTTCTGGGGCCCATTTGCTTAGGAAGTCCATATACTAGCTCCAGTGTCAGCTGGAAACCTTGTAGCCTGTCCACTAAGCTAGCTCAGTCCTGGCAAGCTGCCTCCTTGAAAAGCTTACCACAAGGGTGTGGGGGAATATGAGACTCACCAGGACAAGCCAGCAGAGGGTTTGTCTCTGCATAGAGTCTCTAATGTAATGCTCTGTCCATTTGAATATAGGTATTATAGTATCCCTGTACAAGAGAAATCCTAGAAATGAAAGCAATGCTTTTAATTCTAACATCTATGCTCATATTTGGGTATTTTTCAAATGCTGACATTTGAATGCTCATAATTTCTATGTTGCCTATTTTCACAGTCCCTGGTCATGTGCTGTCTTGCAGGGCTCCTAATGGAGATTATAGCACAGCCAGTCTGCAGTCAGTGAAAGATGTTGTGTTCATTAACATTTTTGATGAAGTACTGCATGATGTCTTAGAGGTAAGTTCTCAGTTTTAAGAAAGACACTTGTATTCACTTTCATATCCTCTACCCACTACATAAGTTCCAATCACATTGTTACCAGAAAGGGGTCCCGATCTAGATCCTTTCTTGGATATCACACAAGAAAGAATTCAGAGCGAGTCCACAGTGCAAAGCAAAAGCGAGTTTATTAGGAAAGTAAAGTGGTGAAAGAATAGCTACTCCATAGACAGAATAGGGTGTTCTCGAAAGTAAGAGGAAGAATGCATTTACCCTAGGTACAATGCTTGTTTAGATATAGGATAAAAAAAGATCATGGGAAGATGTGCTCTGCTACAAGAGTTTGTGATAAAGGATTCGTTTTCTAAATTACTGTATTTTGCAAGAATCTATTTATTATATTTAAAGCAAAATTAGGAATGCCTCTGTTCTCAAGATACCGGGATATCAGGACACTCCTAAGTCTGGGTCTGTTTAGTAAATATTATCAGTCTGTTCCCTTAACTGTAAACATCTAGAGGCCAGGAATGCCTAACTTTCTGGGAATGCAGCCCAGCAAGTCCCAGCCTCATGTTTCCTAGCCGTCACTCAAGATGGAGTCGCTTTGGTTCAAACGCCTCTGGTAACATTTTCCATCTTTCTTGTGTTTGAAATATTTGAAACTTGACATGTATCAATGGGGACAGGGGAGAGGGAGAAGGAGCTAGTTTTTTTATTTTCACTTGACTGTCTGCACTGTGCCAGGAATTGTACTAGGTGCTTTACGCACATTGTCTGATTTAATTCTAAATAATCCTATAGATTGTTAAATCTCTAGTTTATTGATGAGAAAACTGAGGTTCAGAGAGGTCAAATGACTTTCCTAGGGCCACAAAGCCATTATGTATCTGTACCAGAATTTGATTAGGTCTATCTAATATAAGTTCATATGCTTTCAGCTAAAATCTTGCTGCTTTCCTGCTGCCAGATTAATTAAATGAGTTTCTGGAGTTCTTAAGCAATTATTACTTCCCACCCTTCCTTTAGGATGACCGTGAAAGAGGAAGTGGAATCCATACTCGTATTGAGAGACACTGGCTGGGATGTGTGAAAATGCCATTTAGCACAATATATTTCCAAGCAAGGGTAAGTATCTAAAGTTAGAGGTCCATGAGAGCAGGGAATTTCTCTATCCATTTTTCCTATTAAAACGTTCTTTGTGGGCCAGGCGCGGTGGCTCATGCCTGTAATCCCAGCACTTTGGGAGGCCAAGGAGGGCACATCATCTGAGGTCAGGAGTTGGAGATGAGCCTGGCCAACATGGTGAAACCCCATCTCTACTAAAGATACAAAAAATTAGCCGGGCGTGGTGGTGCGCACCTGTAATCCCAGCTACTCGGGAGGCTGAGGCAGGAGAATCGCTTGAACCAGGGAGGCTGAGGCAGGAGAACTGCTTGAACCAGGGAGGCAGAGGTTGCAGTGAGCCAAGATCGCGCCATTGCACTCCAGCCTGGGTGAGAGGGCGAGACTCCATGTCAGAAAAAACAAAAACAAAAACAAACAAAAAAACTTTCTTTGTGCGATACATCCTTAACACTGGAAGAATATATATGCAAAGCCCATAGAAGGCTCAAAAGAAACAAACCTCTAAAGCCATTGATCTTCTGTCACATTTGCATTAAGTATCTATGTTCCTTACAATTAGTAGTTAATGTATGACTGTTCAAATCTGATAATTTTTTAAATATTAAATAAAGGTAAAGAATAAGGTGGGATAAAGTGGAAACTTGTCAAAACAACAAAGGTGGAATGGATAGATGCCTGAAAGTAACTTGAAGAAAACAATCAGGGCAGTTGAAAGCCCATTCAATCAAGTGCTTTCCATTAATATTTCTACAAGTCCTCACTATTTAAAACATGAAAAATGCAGAGACACGCTTAACAAAGACACCCTTCTTCAGAGTTAATGGTTTGATTAAGGGGATCCATTAAGTTGACAACTCTTGAATGACTTAGTAGCTCTAATCTAGGACAGTTAAAGGTTCTGAAATCGCTTTGAAGTCCCAGTATTAAGTCTATGGCAACAGGAGGCTTTGAATCACTGTAATGTCCACACAGGGTAAATGCTGTCTGGACCACAGACTCTCCATTAAAACCAAGACCAATGGTGTGAACCCGGGAGGCAGAGCTTGCAGTGAGCTGAGATCGCACCACTGCACTCCAGCCTGGGCAACAGAGCGAGACTCCGTTTAAACCAAAAAAAAAAAAAAGACCAAAACTCAAGTCTGAGAGGCTTGAATTGGTTGGTATCCCAAGAATCAATTGGAAATGCAATCTTCCCTAGGCAAAAGGGATTAGCTACAGGTTATGCAGTGACATGTTTGTCAAAATAATTTACATTTCCTTCTCTGAATAGATTTTAAATGGAAAAAAAAATTCAAGAGCACATTATTTTGCAAATCACACTGCCTGTGATAGTTGTTTGGCATTGCTAAATTTCACATTTGGGAAGGTATTCAGAAATAATTACTCTAAACTCCTTGACAAGTGAATTTCCTTCACTATATTCTGGTAATATCTGTGCTCTGTGTGGGTGTCTCTAAAACCCACTACCTTCTGAGGCAGTTTGCTCTCTTCCCAATAGCTCTGTCATAAAAGTTTTCCTTGAACTGTGCCATAATCTATATACTTCCCTGTAATTCCTATTCTTAGGTCCTGGTTCAATTCTCTGGAGCCACACATAACAAGTAGAAACCTGATTCAACAATAATAATATTAATAACAATATTTATTAGGTGCATATTATATGTTATTGCCGGGTAGTTTATACATCACCTCAATTAAACCTCACAACACAATTGGCATTGTCATCCTCATTTTATAAATGGAGAAACAGAAGCCTAGAGAGGTTAAGTAACTTGCTCAAATCACAAAGTTTACAATAGAGGTGGGATTCAACTTGTACTGGCTTTCAATATACTATCATTGCTTATGCCTGGGAAATGAGGTTGGTAAAAGCAGAGAAAACTATTGAACTTTTTTGTTTCTATGTTTCAGTACATTTTGGAGAATGACTTTATTACTTCTGTCATTTAAAAAGTTTGACTCCAAAGTGCATGCTCTCAAGTGTACCCACATTTGGTAATGTCTAAAGACATTTTTGGCTCTCACAACTAATAAGAGTTGGTACTGCCACTGACATCTAGTGTGCAGATGCTAGGGATGCTGCTGAACATCCTACAATGCACAGGACAGACCTCCATAGCAAGCAATTATCTGGCCAAATATCTATAGTGCCTGTATTAGGGTTCTCTAAACGGACAGGACTAATAGGATAGATATATATATATGAAAGGAAGTTTATTAGGAGAAGTGACCACACGATCACAAGGTGAAGTCCCACAACAGGCCATCTGCAAGCTGAGGAGCAAGGAAGCCAATCCGAGTCCCAAAACCTCAAAAGTAGGGAAGCTGACAGTGCAGCCTTCAGTCTGGGCTGAAGGCCCTAGATCCCCTAGCAAACTACTGGTGTAAGTCCAAGAGTCCAAAAACTGAAGAACTTGGAG